>NC_000005.10:51359807-51984807 GCF_000001405.40 Homo sapiens | reverse complement strand
TGTTTGTTTTAAGCTGTTATAACAAGAGTCAAAAAGTTAAAAAAATTTAAAAGTTTATAAAGTAAAAAAATTACAGTAAGCTAAGGTTAATTTATTAATAAACATTTAAAAGATAAATTTAGTGTAGCCTAAGTATACAGTGTTTAATGGATCTACAGGAGTGTACAGTAATGTCCGAGGTCTTCACATTCATTTGCTCCTCACTCACTGACTTGCCCAGAGTAACTTTGTTTTGCAAGCTCCATTCATGATAAGTACCGTATTAAGGTGTAGCATTTTAAATCTTTTTACCATATTTTCATGGTACCTTTTCTGTGTTTAGATACACAAATACCATTGTATTACAATTGCCTATAGTGCTCTGTACAGGAATATGTTGTACAGGTATGTACCTAGGAGCAACATAGGCTCAACCAGCTAGGTTTATGTAAGTACACTGTATCATGTTCCCACAAAGATGAAATTGCCTAACAATGCATTTTTCAGATCATATGTAATGTATAACTATATATAAACCTTAATTTTTTAAAACATACAATTTACCACAATATAATGAATGCATACCTTCAGGGATTAGAATCACGCTTTAAGTGAGAAAATGAATTCATTCCACAATTGTTGTTTTAGTACCTACTATGTGCCTATTCCTCTGCTAGGCACTGGGATAATTGCAAAATTAAAATGAAATCCAATGAAAAAATTCAGTCTGGTTCACTTAAATGTGCATTCATAATATTTGGCCACCGTACCAGTGATGTCTAGACTGCTATGCTTTGCATATTTATAGTACTGCTCTGAGAATTCACAATGCTTATACTCTTCTCTCATGGTGCCATCAAACCTTAGAAAATGAGAGTGTTCTGGCAATAATACTTGTGTGCTTCAATTGGGAAATTTAATTATAATGCTGTTTTATACTTTAAAGAGTTGATGCAACAGAAACAAATACTACTTACTGTATATTGATTTATACTCTACAAAGAAAGTGGTAACTAACAATGGAAGGCTATCTATCTTTCCTTCTGTTTCCCTCCTTTCCATTTCTTACCCACCAGTTGAGAACTTGGAATGCAAGTTCAGAATTATAAGCTGGAGAATGTTGGGAAGAAAATATTGGGGTGTCAAAGTGCAGTGTGAGAGTGAGAGTTACAGCAAGAAAGGAAAAAGAAGGAAATGGAGAGAGGAATTAGAATAACGAAGAGTTACAGACTGAATTGTGCCCCCCCTCCCTAATTTATATGTTGAAGTCCTAACCTTTTATGTGACTATATTTGGAAATAGGGCCTTTAAGGAGGTAAATAAGGTTAAATGAGCTCATAAAGGTGGAACCTTAACCCAACAGGAGATCAAACCAATTGGAAAAAAGAAGAGACAACAGAGTTCTGTCTCTGCATATGTACAGAGGAAAGGCCTTTTGATGACACAGTGAAAAGGCACCTGTCTGGAAAGGCCTTTTGATGACACAGTGAAAAGGCACCTGTCTGCTAGTCAGGAAGAAAAGATTCACCAGAAAAAAACCATGCTGGCACTTCATTTTTGGCTTCTAATTTGAATAATTATGAGAAAATAAATTTCTGTTGTTTAAGCCACTAGTCTGTAGTATCTTTTATGGCAGCCTGTACTGACTAATACACAGAAGGAAGGCTAGGTGTAGATGGATGAAGGAAAAAATCAGTGCTGTAGGGTGATGTGAGGTTCAACATGACTATTCCGAAAGGTGACTTTTTGTGTAATGCACTATGGGATTCTTCCTTTCCACTCCCGCATCTTCAGTAGAACCTGCTATGCTTATGTGTGTTCATCTTTTACTCTTAATTTTGTTCCTGGCAATAAAATTTACCATTTTATTTTATTTGATACAGCACAGACAAAGAGGAGCTTGTGGCCAGCTGATGCCCATGAGAATACAAGACTGGGGGTAAAAGGCCAGCTTTTGCAGAAACTTGAGGAATAGATTTAGACTTCTAGAGAGCATAAAATCTAAATTTTTAGGTAAAGTTATCTAGCCCGAGAGATATCTCTGCTAAAATAGAGGTTGAATGCTATTAGGAACCTCTGAAGTCACTATCCTTCAATTTAAAAATGAAGGAATTGGGGCTGTTTGAGGTGAGGACTAAGGTATTCTTGCACTATATTCTTGTCCAGATGGCAAGGGGAACAGGTGTTAGAACACAAAACTTGTGCTCTTTAAATTCCTTTGTTAACTATAATAATATTTTTCACTTGCTTTGGACCATATAATAATTTTTTAAACCCCTAGCCCTGTTCCATCTCTTTTTGAGATAGAATCTTGCTCTGTTGCTCAGGCTGGAGTGCAATGGTCTGATCATGGCTCACTGCAGCCTCGACCTCCTGTCCTCAAGCAATCCTCCCATTTCTCAGCCTCTTGAGTAGCTGGCACTACACGTATATGCCAACACGCCTGGCAAATTTGTGTATTTTTTGTAGAGATGGAGTTTTGCCATATTGCCCAGGCTAGTCTTGAACTCCTGGGCTCAAGCAATCCACCCACCCGGCCTCTCAGAGTACTAGTATTACAGGTATGAGTTGTAACACCCAGCCTGTTCCTTCTCTTTAAGCTACCCTGTCTTACTGGTCATAATTTGCTTTGGGAATTCATATAATAATTATACCCAGCTTTGTTTTGAGAAACAAATAACTGATGAGAAAGCGCCTTGCACACTGTAAAGTTCTACAAAATATAGAGTGTTATTATGACCTATTACTTGACTGTGTAACAATATAGCTTTTTTCATCTGATGAGAAAAATTAGATTTTATTTTAAATTTAGACACTGCTCAGACTACTCCTAACTAGTACACACATTATTGCCGATTATTGTCAGAACACACATATGCATTCCTACTGAAATAGCCAACTGCTGAGGCAGGAAACTGAAAGATACTGATTTTGTAGTTAAACAGGCCAAAGTTAAAATTCTGGTTACTCCATTAAGTAGTTGCTTATCCTGGAAGAAATTTCTAAATGTCTCCATGCCTTAGCTTCCCCCCATGAAACTGGACTCATGCCTTTTTCATGGGGTTGCTGTGGCGGAAAAGGAGATAAAACACGTAGTGTGGTTTCACAGATAACATTTATAAAAATGCATATTTGTTCAATGCTTGTAAACATGATTCGTGAATGAAACACGAATGGCAGACTATCGACATCACAGAACTGATGAAAAGAAAGGAGAGGACTCATACAGCAAACGTCAATGCCTTTCTGTCTTCTTTAAATCCAACCTTAGGTAGACTTTAATTCTGTGAAGTGAAAGCTCTTTTTTTTTTTTACATTCACAATTAAATTAAGACTTGAGTTCCTTTATGTTATTTAAAAAATAACAGATATGAGAGATAAATGAGGTAGGGTAATATATACAAATATATATTACTATATATATATATATACACAAAATATATATTTATTTTGTCAAATGGGCTTCCAGTCAGCCCCTAAAGCTGTTTACTTCAGGAAAGAACTGGCTTACAATTGATCTGATTTTCTGTCAGGGGGATCGTGTTAATGTTAACACAGCTCCACGGGGTCTGGCACATGAAAGTGTGGCCTCGAAGGGTAAAGGCAGTTACTGAAAGGGAAAGAATAGAAGGGCTTTTAAACTCTCCAGTTTCTAGTACATGTGAGATCATATTGGATGTGGTACAGACATTGCTTTGCCCTGAACAGTGGGGCAATTCAAAGACTCATATTTTTGCATCACAAGTACCAAAGAAAATATTTGCATTTTAATCTATTGCATTTTTAAGCTTTTTAGTGGACATTTAGAATATGGCAATTATGTCTCAACTTGAGTTAATATAAAGACAAAAAATGTTAAAGGTAAACATTTATTTCAATAAATGTTTTTATTTCATCAGAGATTTAAACAAGAATATCCACAAGTGAGTGGAAAGGTAAACCAACTTTAAAACTGAAATAGTAAGAAAATAGAATTACAACAAAAGTATTTTGTTTCATATATTAATAGATGCTTAGAGTAATTTACTGCTTGACAAGCTTTTAGATACGTGGAAATTCCGCTCCCTGTACACTATTCAGCATTTGATAAGGATTCTGACACTTTGGACATAGTTTTTAATTGAGTGTGATAAAGAGATTTTAAAGTACCCTAAATGTTTTGTCTGAAAATAAATATTAAATTTTTCAGTATACACATAAGATTGGAATGACTTTAAGACACAAAAGATCTGTAGAAATCTAACTAAAATTATGTAATTTTTTTTAACTTTTATTTTAGGTTCAGGGGTACACATACAGATATGTTACATAGGTAAACTAGTGTCACAGGAGTTTAATGTACAGATTATTTCATTATTTCCTTTTATCAGCATGACAATGAAAATGCTACTTTACTCACTAAAGTACCAGTTTGGAAAATAATATTGCTATATTTATTCCAAAGGGATTTTGAATTAAAGGCCAAAGCAAGAAAACTCAAATGTGTTATTTACCTACTTAATATTAGAAAAACACATCTTGTATCTCCAATATAACTCTAGTTATTAGCCAGTAAATTAATTAAAAACACTTTAGGAAAGTGTTAAATATGCTACTGTTCAGGGTACCCCCAAATTTTTTTAAAATCAAAGACCAATAAAGTAAAATGAGGAATCTCTTGAGGCCAAATATATTCTAAGAAATAGCAAAGCCACAGTTAGGACTCATAATAATAAATGGTTATCAATTTTATCCAGCCCCCAAATCCCCTGATATCTCCCTTGTACTCCAATGCACACAATATTCCAATAATTCACTAACTAACTAACTAAATAAATAAATCCATCCATCAATCAATCAAACATACGGTTACAATGGGCTAGGTAACCGTATGTAGAAATAGACATAATTGTAATATCGCCCCTGAAGGGGATGTTAATTCCTTCTATTGAAGTTATTACAAGGTTGGCTAAGTCTAGGCTGTCAGGATAGAAGGGAATTCTTCATTCCATAAATATAAACTATGAAGGGTACAATGTGCTGTTCAATTGAAGCTTTTTATCCTGGAAAAAATAAATGGAATCTTATTATTGAAAGTGTTATTTAATCAAAAAGCAATATGTTGGTAGAGGTTCAGGAAAGAAGCTCTCCATTAGACCATCTGACCTGAAATTTTAATTGGTCTTTGACTAGTAAAGGGTCACCATGGTGGCTATGTATTGCTTTTAATTTACCTAGGACCATTGAATGACTCAAACACAATCAAATGGATTCTCTCTCAAGGGCTGAGAAATACAGAGACCAGAGAGGGGAAAAATGGCTGTCATTTGTTTCTTCATTTCAGCTATAGATGAATCCCTATTTCTGAGTCTTCAGGAGCTACCTGGTGCCTCAGTATCCCTTTGATATTCTGAGTGACCCCATATTCTTACAGCAATTTTCCTTTTGGCCAAGAGTAGATTTTTTTTTTTTTTTTTTGCTAGAAACTACAGAGCCATAAATACCAAGAGTCAACAATGTCATTCACCTAATTCTTCTCAATCCTTTATCCTCCCAGGCCAGCCATATATATAGGTAAGTTAAGGCACAGGGCAAGAGCTAAATTTGGCACAGAAGTAATCAAATATCATCCAGTTTTTATTACATATGGGATCATATGGCATACGATACAGACATTGTTTTGTCCTATTATATATTGAGTGTTTATCATGTGTCAGGCACTATGATGAGGACTGGACATGAATTATCTAATTTAGTTCTTATAACAAATGCATAGGGTGGTTTCTATTACAGTGACCATTTTACATATGTAGAAATTAATCAATTTCTAGTCTCACAGGTATCAAATGGCAGATCTAGATGATATAAGCACCCCAAAGAGGCACTAAAAAATGATCAATGTGGCAAGACATATGGATAAAGTTCCCTCCAGAGTTTTCTCCCCTACTGTTAGTAGCAGAAATGTTTATCCCCCATTCCTGCCATTTATTTCCATGAAGATGGATCCCTCTCTGCCCCTCAATTTGTTACCTGGCTGGTTGATGACAACCCTTGGTCTAGATTTCTCAACTGAGTGTTTCTAATTCATCAAACATCTGCCTCGAGTGATTTAGTCTTTTACTCCTTCGTTTTTTCTTGAGTAAGCATCTATTCTAAAGAACAGATTTACCAGGAAAAAAAAAGTAGTAAATTCCTTTTGGTGTTTATTCTCAGTATATAGTTCATTCCACATTTTATGAACACTCAAGACATTTTTGGATGATCTGATCTACAGATACACCAGTATTATTTTTTAGTTCCAAATATAGGTGAGAGAGAAGTACAATTTGGTGCGTCACTTCAAGATCGTACATTTTACCATCTTCTAGTATCCCACTCTTTACATAAGTTAGAAGATTTTACTATTTAATAATAACCGTGATGAGAAGAATAAGATTTTACTATTTAATATTAATTGTGATGAGAAGAATGGCAGGTAAAAAAGCAATTCTCGCATTCCTCAACTTTACAGAGAAGATACCATTGGATCCACTGCCATTCTCAGCATTTAGGTTTCCAAAATGATAAATGATCGACTTGCCAATTTTTTACATAGGAGAAAAACAAAAAGAGCAAAAATCATATAGGAAGATTATGTGTTTAAATATCCCTAAAAAGAGCAGAAATCATATAGGAGGATTACGTGTTTAAATATCCCTGAAGTTGGCAGAAATGAGAGTGACTATCTTTTTTTTCCTTGACAGCCCATGCATATGTTAAATAATTCTGATATCTAAGTCTCATATGAACATGCAATATTAAATACATGAGAAAAAGTAAGCCCATATCACGATAACTTAGGAGCTCATTGGGTAATAGTCCAAGGAAAAAATCTTAGTCATTGAAGGGTACATTGAAAGATTCTTCCAAATCATTAGAAAAGAAAAAAAAAAGGAAGAAATTTTCAACCTGTAAAATTTATTATTAGGCACTTCTCCTGTAGCCTATAAACTGTACTCAACTGCTCCAAGGTAGACTGTGCTTAGTTAGTTTCTAGAAACAGAGAAATCTATAGATTTCTGAGCCAGGCCAATTGCATGCACTAGAAAATGGCTTGTAGTTTAATTTTCTCAAAGACTACTACTATGAGGAGTGGTTTCAAATATTGAATGGAGCACTCTCAGTTTTACAGTTAGAAAGTTGTTGGTAGTGTTCTTCTCTTCCTTTTTGAAAACAGTAAAGGGATCACCAAATATTAGTATCAGCTGAATGATATTACCTGAGGTGCTAGATAGGATCCAGGTCACCTTCTGGAGTTGAAATGACTTTTCCTTTCTCCTATGTTCTGATGAACTACGTGAGTCTAGATCACTAAATAAAGAATATAAATTATTAAGGGGTGCCAGGACAATATCAGGACAAGTTGACATCTTTTTTTTTTTCAAAAAAAAAAAAAGCATTGTTCAAAACAGCTTTCATTCTAGCCAACTAATTCCTAACTGTATAATATGTCAAGGGACCCACATAAGCTACTCATTGAGAAAATCGTCTTTTGACTTTTCTGTACAATTGTAGACTAACTTGGGAATTAGTAAATTAAAATCAGACTCCTACAAATGTAATGGTGTGAGTCAGTGTCCTGGGGAAATACCTGTGGTCATGTCAATGTATCAGAAAGATTAGTATTACCTAATGCATCACCATGTTAGGGGCAGTATATGGAGACTTTTTCCATAAGTATAACTTCTTAGACACTCTCTTTTGACTATTTGAATTTTATTGGTACAATCTGTCCAAAATCTAGTGATACTAATAACAGAATGGTTCATTATATAGGATACAGTGTTCAACATACTTTCCTTAGAATTCTTACCTTGACTTGCTAATTAAGGAATATATTGTTTTAATTTTTTCATTGGTAAAATGGGAAGGCAATACTTATTAAATACATTGAATGAAAGCATTTGTATCCAATACTCAATAAATTATAACAAGAATTATATCGCTATTTTCAATATCAGAAAGATGAGTTTTAGGAAGCTTATATAAGGATTATGAGTTTTCAGTAGAACTGCAGAGATTTTATCCTTATGGAAGATTAAGGTATGTGTCTCCTGTGTGTCCTAAGAACAAGATTAAATAAATTGTATTTCTTCATCACAGATCCATTAAAACTAATGCTTTAGAAGTACATTTGTTACCTTGGAAATATATTTCTAATTTGCTGTTAAATGAAAACGTAGGTAATATAAAATATATTTTATTAATAAAAATTAACTTCTTTCTCCTCTTTCCTCTTATCATACGAATTTTGCAGTTCCAGCATTTAAAGTATACTTTGAATGACATGAATTTTATCATATCATTTATAATTGATCTTTTTAAATAATCTTGTTTTATATTTTATTATTGCTCCTTAAAATCCTTATTCTAAATAAAAAGGAATGATAAAGTCACACAAATTCATACAAAAATATCTAATATAGAAAGTGACCCATCATCCAATGTTAGCTACTGTCAAAAAGAAAAACTTCGCATTTTATCACAGAAATAAAATATGTCAAAGTAAATTAAAACTGAATAGAAAATAGAAACAGAATTCACTCCTTTTTCTTACCAAATATAGATCTCAACCATAAATCTTTGCTGTGTTCAATGAATTAATATTCCATGTGTTTCTTCTAGATCTTATAAATTCCAGAGGAAAAACCCTGTGTTTCCCATAATGGCACAATAATGATATTATAATATAATTACATTCATCTCAATATAAAAAAACTATTAAATACTTTATACTTTCTGGTAGCATAAAATCTTATTGCAGTTTCTCTTGATTGATCAGTAGGAAGTTGGTCTCACGGAAAAGCAGCTAAAACACATTAAAGATGTTTTTGTTGTTTAAAATAAATTTTATCTCTCTTTTTTTTAACAACAGGAGTGTATGCTCTGGAGACCATAATACAATCATGATTTAGAAATAATATGAGGATTTTAGAAAACCACATTAAAACGGGATATTTTCTATTAATTGAATAGTTTCATGATGCTGATAAATATTTATAAATGGAAGGCTAAATTAAAAATACAGCAATAAAAGGCTAAACTTGGTAATTAGCTATTTTCTATATATTTGTGGGTGATAAAAAGCTTATCTATTTACCTTTATTAAATGGACTCTAAGCCTTAGTCTCAAATTGCCGTAAGTTTGTGCCAGCATAGTCACTCATGCCTGTAATCCCAGCACTTTGGGAAGCTGAGGTGAGAAGATTGCTTGAGGCCAGTTGGTGGAGAGCAGCCTGGACAACAAAGCAAGACTCTGTCACTGAAAATAAAATAAAACACAGAAAAAAAAAAGAATGATCACACAGGTAAATAATATTTAATAATATATAAAATAATAAAATAAAATAGTTGTAGCCTTAGCTGTCTAAAGTTGCTGGCTTCTACAACATGGATAAAAATGATATTTTTAAACGTTTTTGTCATTCAATAGCAGAAAACACACGATTTGTTATTTTAATAGTTAATATTTTGGGTGAGATATTTGTATTTGCAGGAGAACAAGTCTCCAGATAGCCTTGGACAGCCCAGCTCTTCCCCTTCTTGCTTGAATTTTTTAGGCAGAATATACCGAGACTGCAACATCCTAAAATAATGAAGAAATGTCGGAAACAATCTAGGCTATGTCCTTATTCCTCCTAGAATGTAGATATTCTGCAATGCCTGAGCTTAGTGAGCCAGGTGGAGCTCAAGAGATAAACCCAGGGCAGATCGCTTTCAAGGTCTCTCAGCTGCGGTACAACATGGGCACATGCACACGAGACTCTGTCCGCCCTGGGCAATCTCCAGAGCCTTGGGAGACCAGCTTGCCACAGATGCCTGGCTTCAATTTATCCTTGCTGCCTATCTGTAAGTAATAAAGTAATACATCTGCTTTGCTTGACTTGTTATGCAAGAGTTCTATCTCACCAGACTCACTCAATTGCTATAGCGCTTTTGCAATATTCATTCAAATAATATTCTTACTGAATGCAGAAGTACAATATCGAAGATTCAGAAACATTAACATGGCAGCAAGAGAAGGAAAAATAGATTTTTATGGTTATTATTACCAGCATTAAAATTTTCTCATAATAGGCATTTACTTCTTTAAACATGTATCTCACGCTTTTTCACCTGATTCTTTTTTTGTGTGGTTCTACTACCACAGTATTCAATGAGTAGAAAACCAGAATTTAACATAACGAATGCTCTGGAAATGTCTCTACAAAATCTGAAAAGAAATCGTGAGTAGAATAAATGTGATTCTTGTACCTATTATCTCACTGAAATATTCACATCTCAAAATAGTTGCTGTAAAATGCCTACATTGGTATGAAAAGAAAATGTGCCCCCTATTCCCTGAGAATATTTGCAAAATAAGCTAATACTGAAATTGTAGGAAACTGCTGTTTCAGGGAGCAGATTCTGATACCTCACATTCTTTTGTGAGTAGGTTGTGTTAAGGGAGGTTTTTTGCTATCATTCTCTTCTATTTTTAAGAGTTGGAGAAAAACTTGTTACTGCTTAAGGTGACCAACGAAGTCTGTTTGAGTCATGTAAGAAATGTGATTCTGTGGTTCTAAGAACAACAGTACAGGGAGAGAATGCCCTTTGGAAACAAGACCCATTGTTTTGACAATGGAGATTAAACTAACTTGGTGTAAAGGTAAGAATTGTTCTTTTTTTTTAAAAAAAAAAAAAAAGAAAGAAAAGCAAAGGAATAAAACCTCTCCTTAAATACATACATGGGCTATTCAGAGAGTTTTTCCTCTAAGAAATCATTCAATTTTTCATTCAACCCACTTATTAGATGTTAAGCTCTGTGCTATATACTGAAAGTGTAAATATAACTAAAATGTGGTCACCATCTTTGAGAATCTCACAAAGGCAGGAGAGGCAGACAGCTAAGTGAATGTTGTGTACTACATTTTGATAAGTGACAGAAAAAAAAGGCAAGGAAAATGTACAAAAGAGAAGCAATGGACTGAGATATATCTTTTTTTCAGGTGAAGATTCAAATCTATTCAAAAAAGCAACAGAACTTATTTTGCAGGATAAATTGGATTTTGCCTAGCACACATGTATGGAAATATTATAATAAACCAAGTAAAGAAGAACATGCACAGAAACAACATATGAAGCACCAGAGAACTTTTGGTACTCCAGTATGGATGGAACATAACAACAGTGTGGTGGACTGACGTTAAGTTCTCCCCTCCCATGATCTCTACCTGCTGGTCTTCATACCACCATGTAATCCTCTCTCCTTGAGTGTTGGCAGGACCTGTGATTTGCTTTTAACCAATAGAATATGACAAAGGTATTCTCCCCTGAACTCTGATCCCAGACATTCAACCGACTAGCTGGCAATTCCACATGGGAAATCAAGCCTGATTCCTACACTTAATAGTTCTACAGCGTATTACTTAGTTTAACAGCCTGCTGGGTAATTCATTATCCTAGTTGAGTCTCATGTTCTTCATCTCTTTAAGGGAGTAACAATAATACCCAGCTCATAGGAGTGTTTTAAGGATTAAGTGAGATGATGCATGTGAAGCATTGGTAGTCGCATCTCACAAATTAAGTCTCAATTAATGCAAAAATGGTATGGAAATATGATGATGTTGTCCCAAAAACACTTCTAACAAAATATGGCCAAACCTAAACTGTGTTCCTCCATATCTTCACTCATTCTGTGGCCGCCTCCTAAAATACCCTTCTTTTTTGCCCTGTCCACTCCAGATGGAATATCATCTCTCAATATTCAATGAATTAACCTCCCAACACCCATGGATTACTTGATTCTGAACCACTAGAGTTACTAATACAAATGTGCGTTTCTGAACCCCACAAGCTTTGATAACCTGTGCTCTAGAATAGGGATTCAATGCACAATTTAGTATGAAGGCATTTCAGACCTGCAGAGAGAGGCACCCCTCAACATAAACCTTGTAGAGACATGCTTTTTGATCAACACAAACATTGAGGACAACATAAACCTTGCAGAGACACACTTTTTGATGAAAAGATGACCCACCCTAATTTTTTTTAAAATTTGCATCAAAAAGTACTATCACCAGAGTAAGAAGGCCACACACAGAATGGGAGGAAATATTTGCAAATCATGTATCTGATAAAGAACTAAATTTCAGAATATATAGAAAATAGCTAAAATTCAACAACAAAAACAAAACAATCCGATTCAAAAATGGGCAAAGGAGTTGAAAAGACATTTCTCCAAAGATGATATATAAATGACCAATAAGCACATGAAAAGATACACCATGTCACCAACCACTAGGGAAATGCAAATCAAAACTACAACGAGATAGCACCCCACTATGATTAAAAGATACAGAAAATAAGTGTTAATAAGCATATGAAGAAATAAGAACTCTTGTTTACTGTGAGTGGGAATATAAAATGGTACAAACATTGTGGAAAAATAATGTCAGTTCTTCAATAAATGAAAAGAAATAATATTACCATATGATCCAGCAAGTCCACTTCTGGATATACCATATACCCCCCAAAATTAAAAGCGGATTCTCAAAAAGATATTTGTACACCTATGTTCATAGCAGCATTATTCATAATAGCAAAAACATGGGAGTAACACGAACATCCATTGCATCAGCAGTTGAATGGATAAGCAAAATGTTCCATATACATATAACAGAATATTATTAAGCCTTAAAAAGGAAGAAAATTCTGGCATATGCTACAACATAGATGGAACTTGATGACATTATGCTAAGCAAAGTAAGTCAGTCACAAAAAGAAAATACTATGATTCCACAAATATGAATTATTTAGAGTAGCCAAAATCTTAGAGACAGAAAATAGAGTGGTTATTTCCAGGGGCTGGATGAAGCAAGTAATGGAGAGTTATTGTTTAATGGTTATAGAGTTTCAGTTTTACCAGATGAAAAGAGTTTTGGAGATGGTTGATGGTGATAGTTGTACAACATTATAAATGTATTTAAAACTACTGGAGGAAAAAAAGAAATATGGCCAAGGTGATGGATTGTTGCTATTTTGAATCCATTCTATTACATAAGATTACATTTTGCTAGCAGACATGCTAGGAGACTTTTTCTGCTGACTTAAGTAAGAAGCCATTTTACAAAAGCCCACATTTGCAAAGCATCATGGGAAGCATCTAAAAGTTGCAGAATTTCTCCAGCCAACACTAGAGAGAAGCTAGAATCCTTCAGTCCTGCAAATAAATTATGCCAACAACTTGAGTGACCTTGAAAGTGGATCCCTTCCCTGTGCAGTTTTGAAATGAGAACCTATCTCTGGCCAATACCTTGCTTGCAGCTTTATGAGATCCTGAGGAGAGGATGTAACTACTCCAGGCCAGACTCCTAACTCACAGTAACTGAAATTTAGAATTTCTCTTATTTTTCAGCTGCTACATTTGTGGCAATTTGTTATGCCACAATAGATAACTAATAAATGGTTAGGAGGAAGTAGAGAGAAAGACAAGGATATAAAGCATAGAGAGCCTTGCATGCCATGCTAATGATGGATTGGACAATGTATTAGTAGAATCAGTAATACAAGGTAAGGTCCTATTGCAACAGCCTAGTGAAGAAAGGCTAATGCCTGAAGAGACAAACCTTTCAGAATATGATTGGGGAAGAAAAGGGAAGACTTTAAATATATTGCCCCCACACATACAGAATACCTATCTATACTAAAAACATAGAATAATTAAACAATCATTCATTTAACCTATGATATGGTTTGGCTGTGTCCCCATCCAAACCTCATCTTGAATTGTACTCCCATAATTCCCATACGTTGTGAGAGGGACGCTGTGGGAGATAATTTGAATCATGGGGGCGGTTTCCCCCATACTGTTCTTATGGTAGTGAACAAGTATCACGAGATCTAATGGCCTTATCGGGGTTTCCGCTTTTGCATCTTCCTCATTTCCTCTTGCTGCCAACATGTAAGAAGTGCCGGTGGGGTGTGGTGGCTCACACCTGTAATCCCAGCACTTTGGGAGGCCAAGATGGGCAGATCACTAGGTAAGGAGATGGAGACCATCCTGGCCAACATTCTCTACTAAAAATACAAAAATTGGCTGGGTGTGGTGGGGGTCACCTGTAATCCCAGCTACTTGGGAGGCTGAGGCAGGAGAATCTCTTGAACCCAGGAGAGGGAGGTTGCAGCAGAGATCGTGCCACTGCACTCCAGCCTGGCGACAGAGCAAGACTCCATCTCAAAGAAAAATAAAAAAAGAAGTGCCTTTTGCCTCCCACCATGATTCTAAGGCCTCCCCAGCCATGTAGAACTGTAAGTCCAATTAAACCTCTTTTTCTTCCCAGTCTCAGGTATGTCTTTATCAGCAGCATGAAAACGGACTAATACAACCTATATTTGTTAAATGTTTACTACATTATAAATACTATATTTTTAACTACCTGGAAGTGGTAAGGAAAATGATTAATACCTTATTTAAAAACACATTTATACAAGTCTGGATTTAATGAAAAATTTAGAAATGTCACCATGTGGTTGATCAAGTCTATTGTCTCTGGCACTGGCTCCAAGGGGCACCATGTGTGAATGTTTCTGGAATCCACTAGTTTTAATTAATAAATTACTATATTAATTATATGAAAAGGACTCAATAAAAGAGATCCAGGAAATATTTTCACCCAGGAAGAGGGTAGATTCATTATGCTAAACCCAGTGAAGAGTTGCTATCTAGAAAATATAAGGGAAGCAACATTAATTAAAGAAGCTAAAAGGATATCAAGAGTGAAGAGAAAATTACAGCTTTAATTTTCTCCAGGGACGCTGTTTCCTCCTTTTAATTCTAGATTCCAGATTAATTGATATGTGCTTAGACAACTCATTTCCTTTCTTTTTTATGATAATTAAGCTGTTTGATTACATTTAGAAGATATTTATATATCTATCTTTAGTTTGTAGATTATCACCTCTTAGATAGAGCTTCCTGATTTTATTCCCCACTGGTCAAGCCAAAGTAGTTACCAGATTTCAATAATAATTCCAACCATTCTAGTGGTCAGTTTCTTCAAATTTAGCAGATAGAAGCAAGTGGTAAAGAAATTTAAGAAAATAATTGTCCCAATATATAGTCAATATAAAATGGGTTATCTTTTTCTTTGGTTTTACACAATTTTGGAGGCCAGGCTCATTTAATCATAAAGATTGACACATTATCTAATATTAGAACAGGCTGCTTTGTTTTTGACAACCTAACTTGACAATATCAACTCTGTTTAATAAAGATATAAATGTATTTTTCATCTCCTTCCTGCACACTGATAATACAGATATTTACCAATATTTTTTTTGAAGTTTCAGATTCATGGTACATGTGTTACTATTACCCCTCTATTATATGAGCTCCTTAGAACTATAAAACAAGATTTTGTGATAGCTAATCTTCAAAGATCCTCCCAATACTCCATGCCTTCCGGTGTTTGTGCCTTGAGTAGGCCCCTCTCCTTGGATCTGGCTGATGCAGTTGAAACCATCTCTATAAACTTTATAAAATTAATCAGAGAAGAAGACGGGAAGCAATGAAAATAAACCAAGCTTGCAGCACATTCAGCGTTCATCACTGGGTCAGCTTGGCCTGTAACCTGCTTCCTCATAGTTGTTTGCTGCCTATTGTCCTAGAGTTTCACAGACCCTAAATTATAGCTTCCCTTTACTGTTCTATGAATAACAACTTGAACATAAGGGAATATAATTTTCCCTTTGGGATTTTCCTTCAGTTCCTGCATGCTGATGACTACTGACTCAGCTGTTCTGAAAGACCCCACCGATGCCAGCAGGTCTAAAGGACCCCATGAGGAGCTGATTTGCCAAAGAATGCTGATTTGCCAAAGAATGCAGTATCTGCATTCTAATGATTTCATCTCCCTTATCCTGAACCAATCAACAGCCTCAGTTTTTCAGCCCCTCACCCTCCATGGTTCCCTTAGAAACCCCAGACCAGAACTCCTTGGGGAAATGGATTTGAGGGTTTCCTCCCACCTCCTACTTTGGCACAATGATTAAAATCTTTCTCTGTGGCAAACCCTGCCTTCTCAATGTACTTGGTCTGGTACTGTGACAAGTTTACAGCCAATTCAATTTAACAGAAATTAATTTTGTGTGATGATCAAGGCTACAATAGAAGAAACCTTGCAATTTGGGCCTTGGTGCCATGGCCAGTTACCATGTAAGATGTTGTAACACCGTGAGACCACCAGATCATAAGGAAATATAAGTTGTTGATGTAAAGAGGCCATGTGGAAAGACAGATCCCCAGCCAACTCTGAACTCTTCCAGCCAAACCAGCCCAACTGCCAGACTTGGGAGTGAAGAAGACACATTAGTCATCTAGCAAGGTCCATCTAGCCACCCAAGTGCGCCAACATTTTATCTCAATCTCCTGAAAGGCTCCAAAAACTGACCAGCTGAGAGAGAGAGGATAAATTGATATTTTAAGCCACTAAGTTTTGGGATACTTTATCATGCCGCAATAGATAAATAAAATATTTACTCACTGAAAAAATTAGTTTGTTACCTATGCCGGTATATTTGCCATGTGTAACTTCATGAGAAGGTTAAGAACAGAAACCTGAATTTTGCATAAATCACATTTTTAAGAGTAAAATTTTTATGAAACTGTATAAGCAAGAACTTTTCTGCCTTTCTGACTTTCAAATAGTTTTATTTCTCATTTGATAAGAAATTTTAGCACTGGCAGATGCTCACAAAAATATTTCAAAAATTTCATTCTCTTATTTCTGAAAAAAATCACAATGTGGAGTCATTCAAATAATAGATGCAGGCCTCTGTCAAAATTGATTATCCACTCAAAATTTATCCAGACCTTCAATTTTTACCAAGAAACATATCTTTCTTGGAACACTCAGTTTCTCTTACTTTCCATACCTGCAGTAGTGGTTGGCTTACATATCACCACCATTTACGTCATTTGATTTATTGAATAAAAGAATTCAGCAAGTATATTTGTGTGGTAACGATATACCTAGCACTGCAGTAGGTGCTGGGAACGGAACGGTAAACAAAGTTGACTTGGCCCTTAACCATTTAAAGCTTACAGATTAGTGGATGTGACCATCACTAGAGGATTCCAAATTTTCTTTTGACAGACCTCGTAGCTTCTAAATCATTTTTTTCGTGATGCCCATAGACAAAATAAATACCTAACATTCCGTTTAGTAAGTGAAATCCACACATCTTAATAAATATTTTTGTTCTAACTACTAGTAATTGCATAAAAAATACATAAATTTAAGGAAGAATGCTGCTAGTTTGTTCTTGAATAACCACAATAAGTAATTAGATTTATGCAGCCACTGGGCACTGCACAAGTTCTCAGATGCTGGAATCAGACTGGATACCACTACCCTCATCTCCTATTCTACATTGATTTATATGTGGTACTTTCTTTTTATTATAAGAACCACTGAAAACTCAGCTTTTCAAGGATATAATGACATCAAAGGGAATGCAGCACCATCTAATAATACAGAAATGGTGAACTATTTTGTTCTTGCTGTTCATGTAGCTCCTACTGGTGGGTTATCATTGTTTTCCTTTCAAAAATTTAAAATATCCTGGAGCACCCCTGTGAGTTTACTGCAGTGTGCCAGTGCTTCTGCATGGGCACTTTGGGAATCAAGGAAAAGATGAAGAGTACATAATCACCAGCCTGGTTGGAATGGAGGAGCTGGATGATTGCATGGATTTCTCTCATAGGGTCAGCACACGTCTGCTACCAGATTAAAGTGTGACGCAAATTTGCTTCATCAAAATAACAACATAGCAAGGTTCATCAACTTTCTGAATTTTTTGTGAGTAGGCAAAATCTTATATAATAAATTCATAAAATCTAATGGTCAATTACGTCAAAGTAAAGTTTGTAATTAAATGATTAATTATTCATGCCAGAGGCTATAAATGCAGAAGAAAAAGTTACCTAAAATACAGCAAGTATACATTTCTCCTCTGGATACAACATTTTATCTTTTAATATAAAAAAAACTTCAGATTTCTGAGACTCAATAGGATTGGGGATATAAAAGTCCTGACTAACTAGATGTTTGTACATGGAGAAAGCAAGCGCCAACTCAGGGCTTTTGTAACCCATTTAACACACAATATAGTATGCAATTTATGAAATATCTTATACCTGCTTGAAACAAATTGGCCTTTATTTTTCAAAAGTTAGTCAGGTTTAATATACAAAATAAAGTATCAGGCTTTTGTTATTATAGTGAAAAACAATTAGATGTACAAAAATTTCATGACAAGATACTTTAGGTAATTTTATATTGCATCACTTAATAAAAAAGGAAAGAACTTGAAAAAGAAGAAATTACTTCAGCTGTTTGTGAAATATCAATTACATTAGCATATATTTTAAGAGTGCTTGTTATATGTGAGGCTATTAACATGTATTCACAGCTAACAATAAAATATTTGCTATTATAGCCAATTAACTTTTCTAGTGTAGAAATTGCACGCTGCCAACCCATGGGCTACCTTTACTTAGTAGTGATGTTTTGGGGTTTACACCATTTATACATTTTTGAAGGTAAAATTAGCATTTCAAATTGGGTTATTTCACAAGGAATTCTGGATTACCAGCTTTCCTAATATACTTTGGAAGATCTTGGAGACTTGGCCTTGAATGACTGAGTTGGGGTGTGTGAGACTGTGCCTTTAAGTGGAAAGTTCACTATGTAGTTTATCACATTCCCCATCACACCGTATTTTCTTACACCTGACTTATTTAACTTGTTCATAATTTATGCCTATCCCTGTAGCTATTTAAGTTTGTGAGTCCTGCTGCAAAATAGATTATTTATCTAGATGATGTCTAAATCCTCAGAATGATTGCCGGATGGTGGTAACATTTTTAATATATAGTAAGTCATATATATTCTTAGATTAACAAAACATACCCATAAGTCAATATTTTTCCCACCTTTTTTGGGAAAAGTACAAAAGGGAATGACAATACTTCATTTAGCTCTTCAATCACAAGGAAGTTTTATAAACTCCATTTGCCATGAAAACTTCTTGGGTGGAAGATTTCTAGGAAAATGATTAATAAGAAGTAGTGATCGTAGAGAAAACTTAATATAATACCTGTATTCATTGTGTATATCCTAAGACAGCTAAAGGCAAATATTATTTTCCCAGGAAAACTGTTTTTAAATTACAGATTATATAAAATATATGAGGACAGAGAACCACAAATGAGTGAAAGAAAATAAAAATACTTCACCTCCTCCCTGTACAAACCTTACCATTCATTTTAGCCATACAACATAATTTAATCCTTATATTTATTGTTTTTTGCATTGTTATTCTAATTTAAAAAACAATTTGTAGTTGCAAAATAAAGTACAATGTGGAATAAGGTCATTAAAATGCAGAAAAACATAAACACAAGGGCACAGGCATCTTAGTTGATTCAATTGTATTTGTGCACTGAATTTAGAACTGTATTTTGTTGCATCTACAACAAAAAATGTGTATATATGTGTAGAGACTTGATAACCAATTCAAGAATGTATGCAAATGTATCTAAACAAACATTTCTTCATAAAACTCAAAGGTGGGTATACCATGTGATACGTTATTGATAGTGAGTTTTGACAATATGTCAAAAATGATAACAAAAATGAAATAATGAAAGCTGAAACAAGTGTAACAGGCAGAATTCTAAGATGGCCCCTATGATTCCCTCTCCCAGATGTATATTCTCTGTATAATCCTCTCCACTTGACTGTGAGTATAATGGATTTTAATCTCATGATTAA
Organism: Homo sapiens; assembly: GCF_000001405.40. Lineage (NCBI taxonomy): Eukaryota > Metazoa > Chordata > Mammalia > Primates > Hominidae > Homo > Homo sapiens. The sequence continues at coordinate 51,964,993 of NC_000005.10, read as the reverse complement.
GTTATTCTATAGGGCAAAGGTGAAAGGATTTTGCAGACGTCATTAAAAAAACAAGACTATTGACTTTGAGTTAATCAAAAGGTTATTCCAAGTGGGCCTGATCTAATCAGGTGAACCCTTAAAAGGGACTGGGCCCTTCCTAAAGGAAGAGCGTTGAGGCACCACCTCAGAGAATCTCCTGCTAGATTTGAGGAAGTAAAGTACCATGTTGTGAGAGGCCCTGCAGAGAGGACTATGCAGTAAAGAGTCTGCAAGACTTAAAGCATCAGCTCTGGCTGATGACTAGCAAGAAAATGTGGACTTCAGTCCTATAACCATGATTAACTGAATTCTGCCAACAACCAGAGGGCTTGAAAGAAGACTCAGAGCATCATATGAGCTTGCAGCCCAACCAACACCTTGTTTTCAGCCTGGTGTGACTCTGAGCTGAGAGCATAGCTAACCCATTTCTGGAATCTTGACCTATGGAACCTGTGACGTAATAAAGAGGTGTTGTTGTTTAAGGCTGTAAATGTGTGGTAAATTGTTATGCAGGAATAGAAGACAAATACAATAACATAGAGTTTATTTCTCTTTCATGTGAAAGTAGCCTAGAGATGCGTAATCCAGGACTAATCTGTTGTCTGAGTCATCAGGATCCTTATCTTGCTGCTTCGCCATTCTTAGTATGTCACCTCATGGTACAAAATGGTGCCTCAAAATTGAGCCATCACATCTACTAGTAGACAGTAGGAAAAATGAGGGTAAAAAGTAGGCATATCCATTTTCCTCTGAGAATTCTGGGAATCACAAAACACTTGTGATGTTATCTCCTTGGCCATTATTTAGCTACATGGCATGTGCAGTTGTGTAAAGGAATGATTTTGACAGTCTGAAGAAACAGAAAATTAGCATGTAACTGGCAGATCTATCTCTTTTAAATGAAAGCTATCTTTAGAGAATAGATTCTAACAAATCTGTGGTTATTCTATTATTTTGAAAGAGGAATTCCTATGCTTTACAAATTATATTATATGCGAAGCTCAGACTTCATATTAAATCACAGTTTCACAACTTAATATATGGCTTGAGAGTCAAGTAAGTTTGTTTTTGTAACCTGTAAAATTGAGGCAATTATTCCAATGTATAGGCACTCTTAGATTAAGTGAAAATACATAGAGGTATAGGAGGTGAAGGTGCCAATTATGCAATGTTACAATACAGTATGGTTGCTGCATTCACTTACTAAGGAGTATGGGTCATCAGGTTGCCCTACTGAGTGAAGAATACTATTTTTCAGCATTTGGACAAATATATAATTAAACTCACAGATTACTGCAATATGTAACATGAATAGGAAAAAAAACTAAAGAGAAGGTGTTTTTAATCCATCACTTTGTCCATTATTTTCCTAATACTGTAGGAAAATGAAATGGAATTCCAGTAGACTTGAGTATCAAAAGTATCACTACATAAATTAACAAAATAATCTATTCAATAAGGCCACTTAAGACAGCTAATTTAAATATTAAAGAATATCTCTTAAGAGTAATGAATTATGGTAAATGGATACTCTGTTGATTCTCATTCTCAATTTCCATATGGATTGCTTAACCAACTATTTCAACTGCGACTTAAGGTTGCTTGCTCTTGTCTGTATGTAGTTCTGTTAACACTGAGAAGGCCTAAATTTCCTATTTGCTAGTGCTGGTAGGTATTTGCCTAATTCCTTATTAGATGGTACATATTTTGTTCACTGAGGTTAAAATGAAATTAGGGGGAGATCATTAAGACAGAGCTCCATTTTCTTTATGTGAAATATTTACATCAACTGTTTCATTCCTCAACAATCGTTTCTCTGATTTTAGCTGTAGTATCAGGAAATAGTCTTTAAAAATGTATTAATGAACTGAAAATTATATCAGGCTTTGCGATTCAGATTTCAGATACTTCCTGTAAGTTGAATCAAATCTGACAAGAGGTTTATGAATGCTACAAATACATATGCCACCATGTAAGTATTCATTATTCTCAATTAATTGCTGTATAAGATGAAATAATGTACAGCTAACAATCAGAATTAGAGCCACGTTACACCAAACTTGGTTCTTTCTCACACAAAATATGAAATTAAATGATCTAATATGGTGATTGATTTTAGAAGAAAGGTAATATGTTTTGAGGGGATTTACAGAGGACTAATTGATCATATATATTTTGAATTAATATGTGTGTAAATTGATAGTATTTCTGTTGAATAATATATATACACATATATAGTTGTGCATATATATCTATATATGTATATGTATTTATATATGTGTATATGCATATACACATATATCTTATAGACATCTATATATGTACTTGTGTACTACATGTGTTCTCATTTCAAGAACAATAGCAATAGCAAATTCTTTTGTAACAAAAGCAAAGAGAAATTTTAGGAAATGTACACCTATTCTTGTTTCATTCAATTCTTTTTCTCAATTTATGCTTGTGTATAAGACATCTGGAAATTAAAGACCTATAGATAAAAGAAAGTAAACATTAAAACTAATGCAAATTCAGGCCAGGCATAGTGGCTCATGTCTGCAATTTTGGCACTTTGGGAGGCCAAAGTGGGTGGCTGGCTTGAGCCTAGGAGTTTGAAACCAACCTGGACAACATGATGAAATCCCATCTCTACAAAAGATATAAAAATTAGCCAGGCATGGTGGTGCACACCTGTAGTCCCAGCTACTAGGGAGGCTGAGGTGGGACAATCACCAGAACCTGGGTAGTTGAGTTTGCAGTGAACTGAAATCACACCACTGCACTCCAGCCCGGACAACACAGTGAGACTGTCTAAAAAAATAATCATCATCATCATGCAAATTCAATAACAAAAGAACTGTTCACTTTGTAATATAAAATGAGTTTCTGTAAGTATGTAGAGGAATATCTTGCTTAAGATTGATAAATCTATGAAGATCATATTTTAAACCCACAGATTTTGACTAAAAATATCAAGTAATTATGAAAAAATTAGAATAAAACATCAAGTTCATTTTTACCATGTTTTTAATTATGACTTGTCTTTGTTACATTGGACATAACACAAACTATGATCACTGAAAATTCATACATTTCCTGATTGTATTTTGTTAATAATCTGTTTCCTAATGATAATAATTTTGAGAGTTTCAAATACCGGTTTTATAGAAAATCCCTTTTTGAAAGGGAAAAAAAATCGGAATTATAAATAATTGAGCCCATTATTGTCTGCACGTGGGCCGGCGAGTAGGAGAAAGTGGAGTAGTTAGCCTTAATTATCTGGATAATTTATTTCTGTCAACCCAGCCTTGGTGCCCTTTCCTTTCAAAACTGAAAAGTTATATTAGAAATTATAGTTCGTCTTAAAGGAACTATAACATTAGAGATGACATTTCAGCACATTTGTGGATAAGTTATTTTCACTATGTCACCTTTTCCTGTGATAGTTGTGCAGTGTTCCTATCCTAGGCTAGAGATTGAAAGAGTAGATGACAGGAGGGTCAGGGGACTCTTCTCTCTCCCTTGGAGGCTCCTACCATTGCCGTCTGCAATCAGATTGTTAGCATGTCAGCTCAGTCTGTCAGAATCCCCTTAGTGCTGCTCAGCCAGCTGAGAGAAAATACCTTGTGTATTGGCTGTGGATGTCCCTTAAGAACACCCAGTCACTCAGTCATGCAGCCTAAATAGGGCAGCAGACAGCACCTTCACACCAGTGTACGATAACTGAGCTTTCCATCGATGTGTCTTGACCTTATAAGAAGCGCTGTAAAGGGCCAGGGTGAAGAGCCCAGAAAGGCTTGATTGCTACTAACCTTCTCTTGTCTGTTAAAAATGGCAGCTTCTTTTACTCAAGTCACTCAGAAACAAATGTAATAAAACAATCTTTACTCAGAAAACCAATAAGGCATTTCTTTTATGCAGTGATGAAACACAACCACTAGATGACACCAAGAGATAGTTTGTATGTCTGATTAATATCCTGTACTCAGTTGTCTGTTCAAAGGTGACATTCTTGCTAAGATTTTCACTGAGATCACAGATGCAGGCCAATTAAGTGATCTAAGTTTTTAAAGTTGTCTTGCTTTGATATTATCAATTACCATCTAATCAAGAAGACAAAGTCAAACGAAACAAAATAAAACACAAAGCAAAAAGCAGATGTGGGGTCATTTGGACACTCAGACTTAAACATTTCCACTTCTGTTTCTTGTTGTCTGTACCATTAATAAGATACTCCAAGTGAGTCATTACTGTAATTTAGAAAAGTTCTGCCAAAAACCTCTATCATAAATCCTTCTTAGGCGCTTGAAATTCAATTGTAATATTCTCTCCACACTACATTTATAAGCCAAGCCCCAGCAATATACTAATACATTTTACATAGTTGTAAACAATTGGCATGCTTATGCATCTCTGTCAGAAAGAGAAAAACTATAAAGACTAATAAGATTCAACTTTCAAACGATTATCTGTATTTCCTTCAAAAAATAACCAGTGTTTCATCTCAGATTTTGTATGCTGATAGTTCTTTGCAAATTAACATAATTTGTATTTGGAGATCAGTCTTAAACTTTAAAACATTAGCTTTTGTATATAGTAGAATACTTTTATAATAGCAGGATATCTATACAATAAGAGTTGCATGCAAATTTCAAAATCTACTGCCTGACCAGTAAAATTCTTCAGAAGTCCAAGAGATGGCATAAAGAAATAGTTAATATTAAATACGTAATTCTAATAACTGCTGCTTGCAACTTCTTGGTAAAGTTTCTATGTGCAGCTTTGAAAATATAATGGATTTCATTATTTTAACAATTTCCATATGGTAAATACAATTGCATTTTTTCAAAAAATATATTTACTATTAGAAAAATTGTATATTGATTAAATAATGGGAAAACTCAATGCTCTTGGTCATAAAAGCAACATTTGAGGCATATGATTATCTGTAAAAGTAAAATGTGTGGAAATTAACAGAACACAAGATCATACTCATGTATTAAATATTAAGTTAGTAAATCACATGTACATCCATTAATTACAAATGTCAAATGACAAGAAAAAACAAATACAACTTCAATCTGAAATAACTATTTTTTTGAAAACCACAACATTCTGCTCTGATTATTTAGGACATCCCTTCTGTTTCCTTTGTGGTTTGTGGAACATTACATATGTGATTTTCCTGAGTTTTATGGGATTTTCTGAAATTATGGCAAGATTTTCTAATGTAAATAACACTTGTATCTTGGAGTCAATATACAAAGGCATATTTCACATTAATTCGTTAAAAAGTCTTAGTTAATTGGCATAAGAAATATGCATATCTATACAGACCGCATCTTTTTTTTTTTCTTGTTTTGTCAAGTGAAAAACTTAGGATGGATCCACTAAAAAAACGTGGTTTGTTTCCAATGGTAAAATGTAACTTTATTATAAATTATGTGTGCCTATTTTTCATAAGAATTCCTCTGAAATTCCATAAGACTGTAGAAAATTAGCCATTCAGAAATATTTTACTTTTAGGATAAATTTATGATTTTAAAAAATTAGCCATTTTGTTTTATTGAAATATATAGGTGGGAGGAAGGTCTTACAGTTTTATACCAATCACTTATTCTCCCTGAGGTTCCATTGAGTTACTTCTTCTCTGTTGAATTAACTGTATTAACTTTGCACTTCAGAGAAAAATATGGATTTCAAGTCTATAAAATGAAACACACACACACACACACACACACAAACACATGCCTTATTCTGAAATACCATGCAGAGCACTACAGTTTTGTAATGCCATGATGTGTTAACTCTTCCTTTGTGTTGAAGTCCTGGATCAGTAGGTGTTATCTTTGAAATTCCATTAATAGAAGTTATATAGAGACATGGCAATGGAAAGAAAAGTAGCCCTGAAATATTGTAATGCACAGTTGAAATGAGTGTATTAAAGATAAAATATCAAGTTTAATTAGATATTTTTGGCTTGTTTTGCATCTTTTGTTTTTTTATGTCCTAAACTTTGCAGTCATTTAAGCAGAGATATTTTGTCATTTGATTATATTTATGGAGAAGCTTCGATTACTAACCATCTGAGTTTTAGACAGAGACCTCACAAAGCGGCTTAAAATAATTTGGCTGTCTAATTTATTTTTCTTCCTTTTTTTGATAGAGATATTTTCTTTATTTTTCCCTCCATTTACAGGTGCAGAATTAAAGAACATGTTCACTCACTATATTATTGATGCACTTAAGTGGAGTGTTCCAAAGCATGTAATTACCATGTAGGCTTATGGCCCTGAAGTAGCCCAGGATAGTGGTGCTGCATATCCATGATTTGAAGGACATACAGTGATGATTATAGAGGCAGTACTCTACATCCATTCTGGCCCTTTTGTGTTTAGCTGGTTGTCATGGCAAATAATTGGATAGAATTTAAGCCACTTTCTTCCAAGTGGGAAATTCATAATTTTACCCTTCACCTAATTTTGTAGATACTTTTAAAGAATCTTAAAGTTTCTACATGAATGACGTAGAGCAGTGTGGGAAAAATTTTCACTTTCAGCAGGCACATCAGAAATTAAACTTCCGCTTAGGGGGTAAATAAATCAATTTCCATTTTCATTAAATGGCTTCATTTTCCTATAACTAAGCCACAGACTTTGTGTTTCTTCACTAAAACAAGGCCAATGTGGTTTACTTTGACAGCTTCCGAGAGAAATGGAAAAACAGAGTAAAATATTGAAATCTTATTAAATTTTAGCGAAAATGACATTTTGCCTAGAGTCCTGTCGGCAAAAGCTTAAAACCTTTTCAAAACACAGCTGAGGGAGGAAACTGTAACTAGAAATGGTTTATGCTAACAGCATAATAGGGTTTGTCATAGGGAGGATATTAATTGACCCAAAGGATATGTAAGTCATGTAATAATGATACATTTCATAATTAATTTCTGTTTTAGTTGTATAATATTGAAAGATAAATCTTTTATAATATATCCTCCTTTTATTTGTAAAATACAGTTATAAAACCTTCAAAAATTTAGAATTGATGGATTTTAGTCATTATTCAGCCCAGTTATTCTCTGAGAGGTATCATTCAGCCAAATTTTATTTTATTTTATTTTATTTTATTTTATTTTATTTTATTTATTATGCTTTAAGTTTTAGGGTACCTGTGCACAACGTGCAGGTTTGTTACATATGTATACATGTGCCATGTTGGTGTGCTGCACCCATTAACTCATCATTTAGCATTAGGTATATCTCCTAATGCTATCCCTCCCCCCTTCCCCCACCCCACAACAGACCCCAGTGTGTGATGTTCCCCTTCCTGTGTCCATGTGTTCTCATTGTTCAATTCCCATCTATGAGTGAGAACATGCGGTGTTTGGAATACTTTCCATGGTGTATATGTGCCACATTTTCTTAATCCAGTCTATCATTGGTGGACATTTGGGTTGGTTCCAAGTCTTTGCTATTGTGAATAGTGCTGCAATAAACATACGTGTGCATGTGTCTTTATAGCAGCATGATCTATAATCCTTTGGGTATATACCCAGTAATGGGATGGCTGGGTCAAATGGTATTTCTAGTTCTAGATCCCTGAGGAATTGCCACACTGACTTCCACAATGGTTGAACTAGTTGACAGTCCCACCAACAGTGTAAAATTTTTCCTATTTCTCCACATCCTCTCCAGCACCTCTTGTTTCCTGACTTTTTAATGATCACCATTCTAACTGGTGTGAGATGGTATCTCATTGTGGTTTTGATTTGCATTTTTCTGATGGCCAGTGATGATGAGCATTTTTTCATGTGTTTTTTGGCTGCATAAATGTCTCTTTTGAGAAGTGTCTGTTCATATCCTTCACCCACTTTTTGATGGGTTTGTTTGTATTTTTCTTGTAAATTTGTTTGAGTTCATTGTGGATTCTGGATATTAGCCCTTTGTCAGATGAGTAGGTTGCAAAACTTTTCTCCCATTCTGTAGGTTGCCTGTTCACTCTGATGGTGGTTTCTTTTGCTGTGCAGAAGCTGTTTAGTTTAATTAGATCCCATTTGTCAATTTTGGCTTTTGTTGCCATTGCTTTTGGTGTTTTAGACATGAAGTCATTGCCCATGCCTATGTCCTGAATGGTATTGCCTAGGTTTTCTTCCAGGGTTTTTATGGTTTTAGGTCTAACATGTAAGTCTTTAATCCATGTTGAATTAATTTTTGTATAAGGTGTAAGGAAGGGATCCAGTTGCAGCTTTCTACCTATGGCTAGCCAGTTTTCCCAGCACCATTTATTAAATAGGGAATCCTTTCCCCATTTCTTGTTTTTGTCAGGTTTGTCAAAGATCAGATAGTTGTAGATATGCAGCGTTATTTCTGAGGGCTCTGTTCTGTTCCATTGGTCTATATCTCTGTTTTGGTACCAGTACCATGCTGTTTTGGTTACTGTAGCCTTGTAGTATAGTTTGAAGTCAGGTAGCATGATGCCTCCAGCTTTGTTCTTTTGGCTTAGGATTGACTTGGCGATGCGGGCTCTTTTTTGGTTCCATATGAACTTTAAAGTAGTTTTTTCCAGTTCTGTGAAGAAAGTCATTGGTAGCTTGATGGGGATGGCATTGAATCTATAAATTACCTTGGGCGGTATGGCCATTTTCACAATATTGATTCTTCCTACCCATGAGCATGCAATGTTCTTACATTTGTTTATATCCTCTTTAATTTCATTGAGCAGTGGTTTGTAGTTCTCCTTGAACAGGTGCTTCACATCTCTTGTAAGTTGGATTCCTAGGTATTTTATTCTCTTTGAAGCAATTGTGAATGGGAGTTCACTCATGATTTGGCTCTGTCTGTTATTGGGGTATAGAATGCTTGTGATTTTTGTACATTGATTTTGTATCCTGAGACTTTGCTGCAGTTGCCTGTCAGCTTAAGGAGATTTTGGTCTGAGACGGTGGGTTTTTCTAGATATACAATCATGTCATCTGCAAACAGGGACAATTTGACTTCCTCTTTATCCAATTGAATGCCCTTTATTTCCTTCTCCTGCCTGATTACCCTGGCCAGAACTTCCAACACTATGTTGAATAGGAGTGATGAGAGAGGGCATCCCTGTCTTGTGCCAGTTTTCAAAGGGAATGCTTCCAGGTTTGTCCATTCAGTATGGTATTGGCTGTGGGTTTGTCATAGATAGCTCTTATTATTTTGAGATACGTCCCATGAATACGTAATTTATTGAGAGTTTTTAGCATGAAGGGTTGTGAATTTTGTCAAAGGCCTTTTCTGCATCTATTGAGATAATCATGTGGTTTTTGTCTTTGGTTCTGTTTATATGCTGGATTATGTTTATTGATTTGCATATGTTGAACCAGCCTTGCATCCCAGGGATGAAGCCCACTTGATCATGGTGGATAAGCTTTTTGATGTGCTGCTGGATTCGGTTTGCCAGTATTTTATTGAGAATTTTTGCATCGATGTTCATCAAGGATATTGGTCTATAATTCTCTTTTTTTGTTGTGTCTCTGCCAGGCTTTGGTATCAGGATGATGCTGGCCTCATAAAATGAGTAAGGGAGGATTCCCTCTTTTTCTATTGATTGGAGTAGTTTCAGAAGGCGTGGTACCAGCTCCTCCTTGTACCTCTGGTAGAATTCGGCTGTGAATCCATCTGGTCCTGGACTTTTTTTGGTTGGTAAGCTATTAATTATTGCCTCAATTTCAGAGCTTGTTATTGGTCTATTGAGATATTCAAATTCTTCCTGGTTTAGTCTTGGGTGAGTGTATGTGTCGAGGAATTTATCCATTTCTTCTAGATTTTCTAGTTTATTTGCGTAGAGGTGTTTATAGTATTCTCTGATGGTAGTTTGTATTTCTGTGGGATTGGTGGTAATATCCCCTTTGTCATTTCTTATTGTGTCTATTTGATTCTTCTCTCTTTTCTTCTTTATTATTAGTCTTGCCAGTGGTCTATCAATTTTGTTGATAGACCTGGCTCCTTGATTCATTGATTTTTTCAAGGGTTTTTTCAACCCTTCAAAAAAAAAAACCAGCTCTTGGATTCATTGATTTTTTGAAGCATTTTTTTGTGTCTCTATTGCCTTCAGTTCTGCTCTGATCTTAGTTATTTCTTGCCTTCTGCTAGCTTTTGAATGTGTTCACTCTTGCTTCTCTAGTTCTTTTAATTGTGATGTTAGAGTGTCCATTTTAGATCTTTCCTGCTTTCTCTTGTGGGCATTTAGTGTTATCAATTTCCCTCTACACACTACTTTAAATGTGTCCCAGAGATTCTGGTATGTTGTGTCTTTGTTCTTGTTGGTTTCAAAGAACATCTTTATTTCTGCCTTCATTTCATTATTTACCCAGTAGTCATTCAGGAGCAGGTTGTTCAGTTTCCATGTAGTTGAGTGGTTTTGAGTGAGTTTCTTAATCCTGAGTTCTTGTTTGATTGCACTGTGGTCTGAGAGACAGTTTGTTATAATTTCTATTCTTTTACATTTGCTGAGGAGTGCTTTACTTCCAACTATGTGGTCAATTTTGGAACAGGTGTGGTGTGGTGCTGAAAAGAATGTATATCCTGTTGATTTGGGGTGGAGAGTTCTGTAGATGTCTTTTAGGTCTGCTTGGTGCAAAGCTGAGTTCAATTCCTAGATATCCTTGTTAACTTTCTGTCTCGTTGATCTGTCTAATGTTGAGAGTGGGGTGTTAAAGTCTCCCATTATTATTGTGTGGGAGTATAAGTCACTTTTTAGGTCACTAAGTACTTGCTTTATGAATCTGGGTGCTCCTGTATTGGGTGCATATATATTTAGGATAGTTAGCTCTTCTTGTTGAATTGATCCTTTTACTGTTATGTAATGGCCTTCTTTATCTCTTTTGATCTTTGTTGGTTTAAAATCTGTTTTATCAGAGACTAGGATTGAAACCCCTGCCTTTTTTTGTTTTCCATTTGCTTGGTTGATCTTCCTCCATCCCTTCATTTTTAGCCTATGTGTGTCTCTGCACGTGAGATGGTTTTCCTGAATACAGCACACTGATGGGTCTTGACTCTTTATCCAGTTTGCCAGTCTGTGTCTTTTAATTAGAGCATTTAGCCCATTTACATTTAAGGTTAGTATTGTTATGTGTGAATTTGATCCTGTCATTATGATGTTAGCTGGTTATTTTGCTCGTTAGTTGGTGCAGCTTCTTCCTAGCCTCGATGGTCTTTACAATTTGGCATGTTTTTGCAGTGGCTGATACTGGTTGTTCCTTTCCATGTTTAGTGCTTCCTTCAGGAGCTCTTGTAGGGCAGGCCTGGTGGTGACAAAATCTCTCGGCGTTTGCTTGTCTATAAAGTATTTCATTTCTCCTTCACTTTTGAAGCTTAGTTTGGATGGATATGAAATTCTGGCTTGAAAATTCTTTTCTTTAAGAATGTTGAATATTGGCCCCCACTCTCTTCTGGCTTGTAGAGTTTCTGCTGAGAGATCCGCTGTTAGTCTGATGGGTTTCCCTTTGCGGGTAACTCGACCTTTCTGTCTGGCTGCTCTTAACATTTTTTCCTTCATTTCAACTTCGGTGAATCTGCCAATTATGTGTCTTGGAGTTGCTCTTCTCGAGGAGTATCTTTGTGGTGTTCTCTGTATTTCCTGAATTTGAATGTTGGCCTGCCCTGCTAGACTGTGGAAGTTCTCCTGGATAATATCCTGCAGAGTGTTTTCCAACTTGGTTCCATTCTCCCCGTCACTTTGAGGTACACCAATTAGATGTAGATTTGGTCTTTTCACATAGTCCCATATTTCTTGGAGGCTTTGTTCATTTCTTTTTATTCTGTTTTCCCTAAACTTCTCTTCACACTTCATTTCATTCATTTTGTGTTCCATCGCTGATACCCTTTCTTCCAGTTGATTGCCTCAGTTACTGAGGCTTGTGCATTCATCATGTAGTTCTCATGCTGTGGTTTTCAGCTCCATCAGGTCCTTTAAGGACTTCTCTGCATTGATTATTCTAGTTATCCATTTGTCTAATTTTTTTTCAAGTTTTTTAACTTCTTTGCCATGGGTTCGAACTTCCTCCTTTAGCTCGGAGTAGTTTGATCTTCTGAAGTCTTCTTCTCTCAGTTCGTCAAAGTCATTCTCTGTCCAGCTTTGTTCCGTTGTTGGTGAGGAGGTGTGTTCCTTTGGAGGAGGAGAGGCACTCTGATTTTTAGAGTTTCCAGTTTTTCTGCTCTGTTTTTTCCCCATCTTTGTGGTTTTATCTACCTTTGGTCTTTGATGATGGTGACGTACAGATGGCTTTTTGGTGTGGATGCTCTTTCCATTTTTTAGTTTCCTTCTAACAGTCAGGACCCTCATCTGCAGGTCTGTTGGAGTTTACTGTAGGTCCACTCCCGACCCTGTTTGCCTGGATATCAGCAGCGGTGGCTGCAGAATAGCAGATATTGGTGAACTGCAAATGCTGCTGCCTGATCCTTCCTCTGGAAGTTTTGTCTCAGAGGATTACCTGGCCGTGTGAGGTGTCAGTCCGCCCCTACTGGGGGGTGCCTCCTAGTTAGGCTACTCGGTGGTCAGGGACCCACTTGAGGAGTCAGTCTGCCCATTCTCAGATCTCAAGCTGCATGCTGGGAGAACCACTACTCTCATCAAAGCTGTCAGACAGGGACATTTAGGTCTGCAGAGGTTATTGCTGTCTTCTGTTTGTTTGTGCCCTGCCCCCAGAGGTGGAGCCTACAGAGAGAGGCAGGCCTCCTTGAGCTGCGGTGGGCCCCACCCAGTTAAATCTTCCTGGCCGCTTTGTTTACCTACTCAAGCCTAAGCAATAGCGAGTGCCCCTCCCCCAGCCTCGCTGCTGCCTTGCAGTTTGATCTCAGACTGCTGTGCTAGCAATGAGTGAGGCTCCGTGGGCGTAGGACCCTCCAAGCCAGGTGCAGGATATAATCTCCTGGTGTGCCATTTGTTAAGCCCAATGGGAAAGTGCAGTATTAGGGTGGGAGTGACCCGATTATCCAGGTGCCATCTGTCATCCCTTTTCTTTGACTAGGAAAGAGAATTCCCTGACCCCTTGCACTTCCCGGGTAAGGCGATACCTCACCCTGCTTTGGCTCACACACGGTGTACTGCACCCACTGTCCTGCACCCACTGTCCCGCACTCCCCAGTGAGGTGAACCCGGTACCTCAGTTGGAAATGCAGAAATCACCCACCTTCTGCATTGCTCACACTGGGAGCTGTGGACTGGAGCTCTTCCTATGTGGCTATCTTGGCTCCACCCCCCACCCCAAATTTTATTTAATGAACACCCTTTGAATACCAGTTCTCTGTTAACAATTGAGAACAATGAGATAAACAATCTTTGAAATGAATAAACAAAATAGTCTTGCCTTCAAGAAGCTTGCATTCTAGAGATATCAAGATATGGAAGATTATGGCCAAGACAATTGTAGCCATTTAATACAGACCAGAATCCAAGTTCATATTTCCAAAATTGTCATTCTTTGAACAAAAGGCCCCTGTGTCAAGGTTCCCTGATGTTTAATTACAGTGTTGCATAATCCCTTTTACATTTATCAGGACCTGGATGCTAAATCACATAGTGGAGCGCACAAGGTAGAAATTGTATGGAATCCTCAGGGATGTGATATGCTCCTCTAAGATTAGAATTCTTGTTCATGCCCAGAATCACTTACTTCTGGGTAAAGGTAAGGAAAATTTTCATAAAGAATTGGGAAAACATATAAACAGTGGAGAGAAGGCATAAAAGTTAAAAAAGGGAGACAAAAATGGAAACAAAAAGCAGATGATCTTGACAGCAATACTTAGGATACCTACTGTTTGTATCTACAAATTTGAATTAAAGTTTTGACTTACTCCATGTCTGACAGCCCACAATATTGAAAGAAATTATAAAATCATTCATCAGGAAAATACTAATATGATGTAGTACAATTTGTGAATGTCTAAGCTCAATCATGCTGTGACATGTGGAAAAAGAAACAGAATAACACCATTCAAGATACAACTAAAATTAGATCCCAGAGGTCCTGTTACAGCCTAAGAGTAATACCAGGTCATTGCTACAAAAAGTTTTATTGTACAGTCACTGAAAGATATATTTACTCTGCAAATCCTAATAAGAACAGACATCATTGTATACCTAGTGTAGTGTGGCAAAGTAGAAAAAAAGTTCTTGCAAGCTAGGAAATCTCTTTTTCCACCAATATGCTAGTTATTTTTCACTCATTGGAAAACCAAGTGTTCTTTATTTTCTACTTAGCCTTTTGAGTTTCTATTTGCCCTGACTTAAGTATTGTGATGAAAACAAAGGTAGCATATCAGATATGGGCTCTTTGAGATCCGTTAAATAAAAGCAAAGTACAATCCACTATCACAGTGTTAAACTTAAATATTATAAGAAAGGACATAACTATGAAAAACTAACAAAGAAACACAGCAAAGAAAAAAATGTCTTTGGAAAGACACATAAAACTTATGTCCAACAAGGAGAAACAAAAAAACTATTCAAAATTTTAAGTCTTTTCTTTGCAAAGGTCTATAAATGACCACAAAGTGAGCTAAAATATTATTATTATTGCCCAACTGAACTTATGCAAGTATCATATTATTCTAGTTTGCTGGTATGGAAGACATTTTTCCTAGGACAATTGAAGGTTAAGTGTAAAAACTAAAATGTATAGGTTTTGATAGTAACTGAATCGCATGCCAAAGAAGCTACACTGTAGTTCATCAACGCAGAAAAAAAAATTGTTTAGCATGAATTTTAAAACACTGGCATCTTTTTACTATAACATGTATCTAACTTCATTATTCTTACTGATGGGTAATGTCTGTTTACATAACTTTTGGTCTCATTTGCCATTTGGGATCTTCAGTAATGGAATATGTTTCTCTTAGAGATTTACCCCAAATACATATTTTTAAATTATCATTATGTTATTGCTTTATAAGTATGTATTCAGGATTTTAAAGATCATCTTGCCAGAACATAAAGGAAATAAAAGCTGGATGGATCAGAAACCAGAAAAACGAACTACATTTGCTGCAAAACAGTGGCAGTAGGGCAAAGGTTTATGTTCATTTTTAAATAAAGAATTTTTATTTCATACATAATTTTTAGTTTATATAAGAAAATATTCAAAGCTTACTCATAATTTCTCACCCCCTAGCTGTGAAAAACCCTATGTAGGATTTGCTAAATCAGAGCTTTAGTAAACTTGAAGCTTCACTTCAAGTTGAAGTATTGAATTGGTGAAATATTGAAAAGTTGATGTTTTATAGTTTTAAATCTTACATTTGTATCTCATCCATTTTGAATTAACAATGTAACATGAGTTCAGACCTCCCTGAATCCCCTTCATTTAGATGCTCCATGTAAACTACTTTAAGTAAAATCAAGAAAATGAAAGAGTTTGACATAGGAGAGTAGGAAATATGAATAACGTTGTTTGGTGCATATAGACATCAACTTTTACATGGCATGCATGGTGGAAAAATAATTTATAGAAATATTTTAACAACAAAATATTTTTCCCTCAGGTACTACTATCATCATTATCATTACTATTATTATTTCATAAATGGAATTGGCAAATACAGACCATGAAGCAAATATAGCTCATGGACTGTTTTAAGTTTTTTTAAACTTAGGATATAATTTATGCACTATAAAATTCACACTTTAAAAGTACACCATTCAGTGATTTTTAGTATATTCACAATGTGGTGCAACTATCAAGATTATTCCAAAACATTTGTATTACTCCAAAAAGAAATGCCATATCTATTAGCTATTACTCCCCATTACCCTTTCACCTCATACCCAGATAACCACTGATCTACTTTCTGTTTATATGAATTTGCCTATTCTGCACATTTCATATAAATGCAGTCACACAATGTGGCCTTGGTGCCTGGTTTCTTACACTTACTATGCATGTATCAGTAATTCATTCCCTTTTATGGCTGGATAATATTCCACTGTATACCTACACCACATTTTAATTTTTATTCATCAGTTGATGGGCAGTTGGGTTGTTTTTACTTTTTGGTTATTATTAGTAATGCTGCTATGAACAAATGGCCTTATACACATTGTTGTGTGAATATTGTTGTCAGGTCTCCTGCGTATATCTCTAGGAGTGGAATTGCTGGGTATATTTAACTTTTTTAGAAATTATGCAGCCATAAAAAATGATGAGTTCATGTCCTTTGTAGGGACATGGATGAAATTGGAAATCATCATTCTCAGTAAACTATCACAAGAACAAAAAACCAAACACCGCATATTCTCATTCATAGGTGGGAATTGAACAATGAGAACACATGGACACAGGAAGGGGAACATCACACTCTGGGGACTGTTGTGGGGTGGGGGGAGTGGGGAGGGATAGCATTGGGAGATATACCTAATGCTAGATGACGAGTTAGTGGGTGCAGCACACCAGCATGCAACTAACCTGCACATTGTGCACATGTACCCTAAAACTTAAAGTATAATAATAAAAAAATAAAAAAAAGAAATTGTCAAAGTATTTTCCAAAGTATCTGTACCATTTTACATTCTCATTAGCAATCTATGAGAATTTCAATTTCCTCACATCCTCACCAATACTTTTATAGTTCATCTTTTTGATTATAGCAATCTTAGTGGGTATGAAGTTGTATCTCATCAGGGTTTTGATTTGCATTTTCCTGATCCATCTTCTTATATGCTTATTGGATATTTATATATCATCTGTGCAAAAAATCTACATAAATCTTTGTCCATTTTTAAACTGAGCCATTTTATTGTTGAGTTGTAAGAGCATTTTATGCATTATTGATAATAGTCTGTTATCAAATACATGATTTTAAATATTGTCTTCCATTCTTAGGATTATCTTTTCACTTTTTCAAGCTATCTTTTTCAAAAAGATAGCTTCTGAATCTTCAAGATATCTTTTGAAAAGATATCAAACAATATCTTTTCAAGGTATCGTTTGAAACAGAAATATTTAATTTTGATAAAGTTCAATTCATCTTTTCTTTTTTGCCTTGGTTACTTTTATTTTAGCTGTCATATTTTTAAAATCATTGTCTAAATCCAAGGTCATGATGATTAACACATTTGTTTTCTTCTTAGAGTTTTGTAGTTTTAGCTCTTACATTTAGATTTCATTCATTTTGAATTAACTTTGTGTATGGTATGAAGTAGCGGGGCCAGATTAATTCTCTTGCTTGTGAACATCCAGTTGTCTCAGCATCATTTGTTGAAAAAAGTATGCTTTCCATAGTAAATTGTTTTTGCACCATATTAAAAATTTATTGACAGTAAACATAAGGGTTTTTTTTTTCAGGAATCCCAATTCAATTCCACTAATCTACATGTCTATCTTAATGCTTTTGTATTATGTTTAGAAATGGAGAATTGTGAATTCTAACTTTACTTTTCTTTCTCAAAGTTATTTTGGCTATTCTGGGTCCCTTCCATTTCCATATAAATTTTAGGATCTGCTTGTAAATTTCTAAAGAAATACAGCTGGGATTTTGATAGGGAATACATTATGTATATAGATTAACTTGAGGAGTTTTACTCCTTAAGTAATAAAATCTATTAATCCTTGTGCTAGGGATGCAATTCCATTTACTCAGGTCTTCTTTAACTTCCTTCAACTATGCTTTGTCATTTTCAGTGTATAACTTATTCACTTCATTTGTTAAATTATTCCTAAGCACTTTTATTTTTAAAACTATTTTAAAACAAATTATTGTCTTTATTTCATT
Source organism: Homo sapiens (assembly GCF_000001405.40). Lineage (NCBI taxonomy): Eukaryota > Metazoa > Chordata > Mammalia > Primates > Hominidae > Homo > Homo sapiens. The sequence goes on along the minus strand of NC_000005.10, from coordinate 51,947,237 downwards.
TTTAGATTGTTCATTTCTGATCTATAAATATACAATCAATTTTTGCATATGGACCTTGAATCCTGAAAATTTTATGAGCTTGTTTACTAGCACCTACAGTCTGCTGTTGATTTCTTAGGATTTTCTGTACACAAATAATATTGTCTACAAGTAGAGAGAGTTTTATATTTTTCACATTCCAATTCATATGCCTTTTTTCATCAAATGTCCTTTATAAAACCTCTAGCACAATGTGGAATAGAAGTAATAACAGTGGATATTCTTGTCTATTTCCTGATCTTAAGTAAAATACTTTGAGTCTTCCACCATTAAATATGATGTTAGCTCTGAATTTTTTTGTAGACATGTTTATCAGATTGAGGAAGTTCCCATGTATTCATGGTTTGTTGAATATTTTATCATGAAAGGGTGTTGGATTTGTCAAGTGATTATTCTGCATCTTTTGAGAAAATAGTGAAGGTTTTGACCTTTATTCTTTAACATGGTACGTGAGGTATTACACTGATTGATTTTTAGTATGTTGAACCAATCTTATATTGCTGTAATTAATTGTACTTGGTTATGTTGTATGGTACTTTTCCTATATTGCTGGATTGAGTTTACCAGTATATTGTTGAAGAAATTTGCATGTATATTCATAAGAGTAACTGGTCTATAGTTTTCTTTTATTGTGATATCTTTGTCAAGATTTGGTTGCAGGATAATAAAGCCTTTATATATTGAGTGAGGAAGTATTCATACCCTTCTATTTTTTGGAAGAGTTTATGAAGGGTTGGTTTTAGCACTTCTTTAAATATTTGGTAGAATTCACCAGAGAAGTCATATTGTTTTGGGATTTTTCTTTATGTGAAGTTTTTATACCAAAATCCCATCTCTTTATTTGCTATCGGCCTATTCAGATCTTCTGTTTCTTCTTAAGTCAATTTTGGTAGTGTACATCTTTGTATAATTTTTTTCTATTTCATCTGATTTATTTGACTAATTTTCTAGTAAGTAGTTTTTCATAGTATTTCTTTATAATCCTTTTTATTTGTGTAAGGTTAGTAGTACTATCTCTTCTTTCAGTTTGGCTTTTAATAATTTGAACCTTCTGATTTTTTTCTTGATTATTCTAGCAAAAGTTTTATCAATTTTGTTGATCATTTCAAGTAACCAACTTTGGGTTTTGTTGCTTTTCTTTATTGTTTTTCTCTTCTCTTATTTACTTGTTTCTGCTGTAATCATGATTAAGTACTTACTTGTGCTTATGCAAGTTTATATTAGTCCATTCTCACACTGCTCTGAAGAAATAGCCAAGAATGGGTAATTTAAAAAAAAAGTAGGTTTAATTGACTCACATTTCCACATAGCTGGGGAGGCCTCAGGAAATTTACAGTCATGGCAGAAGGCAAAGGAGAAGCAGGCATCTTCTTCAGAGATTGGTAGGATGGAGGGAATGCAAACAAGGGAAATGCCAGATGCTTACAAAACCATCATATTTTGTGAGACTCACTCACTATCATGAGACCAGCAGGGAGGAAGCCACTCCCATCATCCAGTTACCTCTACCTGGTCCTGCCCTTGACATGTGGGGATTACTGGGAATATTGGGATTACAATTCAAGATGAGATTTTTGGTGGGGACACAACTAAGCCATATCATTCTATGCCTGGCCCCTCCCAAATCTCATATCCTCACATTTTAAAACACAATTATGCACTTCCATCAGTCCCCCAGAGTCAACTCATTGCAGCATTTACCAAAAAGGCCAAGGCCAAATTCTCATCTGAGACTAGTCAAGTCCCTTCCACCTATGAGCCTGTAAAATCAAAAGCAGGTTAGTTACTTCCTAGATACAATGGGGGTCCAGGCATTGCATAAATACACCCATTCCAAATGGGAGAAATTGGCCAAAACAAAAAAAAATGGGAATACAGGCCCCGTGCAAGTCTAAAATCCAACAGGGCAGTCATTAAACCTTGAAGTTCCAAAATGATCTCCTTTGACTCCATGTCATCCAGGTCATGCTGATGCAAGATGTGAGTTCCCACAGCATGGGCAGCTCCACCCCTGTGGCTTTGCAGGGTACAGCCAACCTCCCACCTGCTTTCACAGGTTGGGATTGAGTGTCTGTGGTTTTCCCTGGTGCATGGTGCAAGCTGTCAGTGGATCTACCATTCTGAGATCTGGAGGACAGTGGCCTTCTTCTTACAGTTCCACTAAGCAGTGTCACAGTGTGGACTCTGTGTGGGGGCTAAAATTCCACATTTCACTTCTGAACTGCCCTAACAGAGGTTCGCCATGAGGGCTTTGCCTCTGTAGCAGCCTTCTGCCTGGACATCCAGGCATTTCCATACATCCTCTGATCTAGCCTGAGGTTCCCAAACCTAAATTCTTGGCTTCTGTGCACACACAGGATCAAGACCATGTGGAACCCACCAAGGCTTGGGACGTACATACTCTGAAGAAATGGCCTGAGTTGTACCTTGGCTCCTTTTAACCATGGCTGGAGATGAAGCAGCTGGGATACAGGACACCATGTCCCAAGGCTGCAGAGAGCAGGGGTGCCCTGGACCTAGCCCATGAAACCATTTTTTCCTCCTAGGCCTCCAGGCCTGTGATGGGAGAGGCTGCCTTGAAGATCTCTGACATGCCCTGGAGATATTTTCTCCATTGTCTTGGTGACTAACATTCGACTCCTCATTATACAAATTTCTGCAGTGGGCTTGAATTTCTCCCCAAAAAGTGGGTTTTTCTTTTTCTACCGCATCATCAGGTGCAAATTTTCCAAACTTTTGTGTGCCGATTACTCTCAAACGCTTTGCTGCTTAGAAATTTCTTCCACCAGATACCCTAAATCTTCTCTCTCAAGTTCAAAGTTCCACAGATCTCTAAGTCAGGGGCACAATGGCACCAGTCTCCTTGCAAAAGCATAGCAAGAGTGACCTTTACTCCAGTTCCCAACAAGTTCCACATCTCCATATGAGACCACCTCAGCCTAGACTTTATTGTCCATATCACTATCTGCATTTTGGTCAAAGCCATTCAACAAGTCTCTAGGAAGTTCCAAACTTTCCTACATTTTCCTGTCTTCTTCGGAGCCCTCCAAGCTGATTGAACCTCTACCTGTTACCAGTTCCAAAGTTGCTTCCACATTTTCAGGTTTCTTTATAATAGCACACCACTTGGTAACAACTTGTTGTATTAGTGTGTTCTCACACTGCTATGAAGAAATACCTGAGACAGGGTAATTTATAAAGAAAAGAGGTTGAACTGACTCACAATTCCACATGGCTAGAGAGGCCTCAGGAAACTTATAATCATGGCAGAAGGCAAAGGAGAAGCAGGCATCTTCTTCAGAGGGATGCAGGACAGAGTGAGTGTAAGCAGGGGAAATGCCAGATGCTTATAAGATCATCAGATCTTGTGAGACTCACCCACTATCACAAGAACAGCATGGGAGAAACTACTCCCATGATCTAATTACCTCCACCTGGTCCCACCCTTGACACATGGGAATTATTGGGATTATGGGGATTACAATTCAAGATGAGATGTTGGGTGGGGACACAGCCAAACCATATCAAGGCTTTAGTTTGCTCAATTGTTTTCTGATTTTTTAAGGTAAAATGCTAGTTCATTGATATGAGGTTTTTTCTTTTTTAATTATATATCATTATAGATATAAATTTCCCTCAAGGCAATTTTTTAGATTATATTCCATAAGATATGATATGATAGGTTTTTGTTTCACTTATCTCAATGTATTTTTAATTCATCTATGATTTTTTTCTTTGAATTGTTGGCTATTTAAGAGTTTTAATTTTTACATATTTGTGAATTTCCCAATTTTCATCTACTATTGATTACTAATTTAATCCCATTGTAATCAGAAAACATATTTTATATGATACTTACTCTTTTAAATTGCCAAGCTTATTTTTTTAACTAAACTTGGCCTATCTGTGTAAATGTTTCATGTGTACTTGGGAAGAATGCATATCCTGCTGTTTTTGGGTGGATTGTTCTATAAATGTCTGGGAGGTGTAGTTGGCTGGTAGTACTGTTTAAGTTTTCTGTGTAGTGTTAATCATCTGCCTTTTTCTATCCAATATTGGAAGTGGAGTACTGAAGTCTCCCATTGTTATTGTTAAATATTCTAAGTCTCCCTTGATTCTGAAAATTTTTTCTTTCATGTATTTTGGGGATCTGTTGTCAGATGCATATATGTTTATAATTTTTGTAAGTGTTTGATGGTTTAGCCCATTCATTATTACAAAATATCCTTATTTACTAATAACAATTTTCACTTTAAAGCCTATTTTCTATAGCCACTCTAGCTCTCTTTTTAGTTATTTTTGTTTACTATTTGCAGAATATATTTTTTCTCATCCTTTTACTTTAGGTTTACTTACGTCTTTGAATCTAAATTGTCTCTTTTAGACAGTATATAGTTAGTTTTTTTAAAAAAAAAACTTCGGCCAATTTCTAGCTTTCAATTGTAATAATGAATCCATTTTCATTTAATGTAATTGCTCATAAAATTGGATTTACCTGTTATTTCTGTTTTCTGTATGTCTTATTTTTTTTTGTTCCTTGATTCTATTGCTGCCTTTTTGTGTGTGTGTTAAATAATTTTTCTACTTTCTAAAGCTTTATTATAGTTTTCATTATATGTCTTAGTTGTTTCTTTGTGCTTGCCCTGGTAAATATAATTTGTATTTTAACTTAGAACAATCTAGTTCAGACTAATACCAGTTTAACTTCAATAAAGTATAAAAACATTATATACTGTTTTATAGTGTCAGCCCTCCTTTAGTCTAGTTGTCATACATTATATCTTTATATATTTTGTGCCAATAAACATAAACTTTTAATTATTGCTTTCTAAAGTTGTCTTTTAAATCAGAAGGGAATGTTACAAAAAATAAATATATTTATACTATCTTTTGTGTAACTGATGTAGTTAACTGATGTTCTTCAATTCTTCAAATAGGTTCAAGTTATTGTCTAATGTTCTTCCATTTCACCTGAAGGATAGGATTTTCTTTAATATGTCTATTTGATAACAGCATATTTTATGTGTTTTTAAAGCTAATTATGTTAAAAATTATTTAAATTTTTTTTGGAGGATAGTTTTGTCAATATAGAATTCTTTGCTGATAGCTTTTTAATTTTCTAGCACTTTGAATATGTCATCCTACTGCCTTCTGGCTATAATGTTTCTGATGATAAATCAATTGTTGATCTTACTGAGGATTTTTTATAAGTTATGAGTCCCTTCTGTCTTGCAACTTTCAAATTAGTCTTTTTGCTTGGCTTTTAACCATTTTATTATGACATATCTAGGTGTGGATCTCTTGGAATCTAGTGAGATTTTTTAGATGTGTAGATTAATGTCTTGTATCAAACTTAGAAAGATTTAAGCAATTATTTCTTCAAATATTTTCTGATCTTTCTCTTTCATGTTCTTTGAGTTTAACATTATGTTTATGTAGATATGTTTGATGGTATTTCCTAGTCCCTGAGACAATATTCATTTTCATTTTCTTTTGGAATCATAATACATAGAGTTCCCATGCCACAGAGTGCCAGAAATGTCTCTTTCCCACCCTCTAATCATTTTACTCACTCATATGATTTTATTTCAACTTTACCCCTTGGTAGGGGCCTGTAAGTTATGATTCAGACTGGTAAAGATATAAGCCAGGTGCAAAGTAAGCATTTACCTTAATATATTTTTGGTTTTATTTTTATTTTATTTATTGGTAGGAGAGTTGAGGCAAGAAGCTGTAATTTGAACCAGCCAGAATCCAAGCTTGGCCCAGTATCAGTATCCACTTCAATTTTTTCCCTTTCTTTAATTTTAGCTATTACAGATATCAATAACCAAGAAATTGTAGATTTAGTTTATTTCTTACTACTTTGCATGCCATTATGCATTCAAACTCTTCAAGAGTTTGATCCATTATTCCTTAACTCTATTGGTAACTTTTGCTTTCATTAATTGATCACAACACATCTGCAGCTCCATACTATTGGTAACCCCATGACCATCGAAAAATCATTTATCCTCTTACCACTTATTCATTCTTTTTTCAAACCACATGTTTCAGTGAGTCAGGGTCATTCTTGGAAACATCCACTCCACTCCTGGTACCAGCTACCTAGAGTTAGACAAACTTCAAAGTTTGAGGGCATTGCCAGGTCTATTCAAGATGTCTGACACAAACTGTAGGTTTGGGAAATTTCTAAAACCACCCTAAGTTTTGATGATTTGCTAGAAGCCTTCACAAAACCCATTAAAAGTTATTTTAGCCATGATTTTACTTTAGTATCAGGAAAAAATACAAATTAAAATCAACCAAAGAAAGAGTTGTTCAGGGCAAAGCCTGGAAGGGTTCTAAATATGAAGATTCTGTTGTACTCAAGACACATTGTCTTTCCAGAACTAATATATGACAATATACATGTAGTGCTGCCAACAAGAGAAGCTCACCAGAGATACAGTATTTGGAGATTTGGGGGGGGGGGATTAATTACATATGTATGATTGAGTGATTATCCACATGATTGAATTCAATATTGAAGTCAACAGATTATCATATGACCCAAAGACACCCCCCAACTTCTTAATCACATGGTTAGTGTTTCTGGCCTCGTCATTTCATGTCCTAAAACTTACGTGTTGCAAGCCTCAACCCATCCTAATATCTGGTATGGCCAACCCTTGGTCTAAACAAACCCTCCTTTGATGACAGAAGTGTATGATGTTGATTACTTCCCAGAATGTGAGGCAAAGGCCAGATCACTTTCTGACCAACAACAAATTCTTTATGACATGTTCTAAACAGATAAGTAAATTACAATTATCTGGAAATGAGGTTTGGATTATCATCAGAACAACCTGAGGCACAGTTCCCTTCACTAAAGCAATGATAATGATTAGAAAATTCAAGGATTTTTTCCCATATAGGCTTTGTTATGCAACAAACACCTGAAAACTTTGTGATTTAAAACACCAATTATTTTTTATCTCATGAATCTGTGAGCCTGCCTACCAGGTTCATGCCATTCTCCTGCCTCAGCCTTCCGAGTAGCTGGGACTGCAGGCACCTGCCACCATGCCCAGCTAATTTTTTGTATTTTTAGTAGAGAGAGGTTTTCACCGTGTTAGCCAGGATGGTCTCGATCTCCTGACCTCGTGATCCGCCTGCCTCGGCCTCCCAAAGTGCTGGGATTACAGGCATGAGTGCTGTGCCCGGCCAGTGGTCATTTGAGGAATACATTATTCTGGTCATACAGCATTAGCTGCTGCTTTTTCTCCAAAGTGAGAAATGATTGAGAGGACTTGAATGGAAATCCATTGTCCTGTGACATCTCATCAGCTCCAGAGAAAATTGGGCACTTTATGTAAAGCAAGTGTTTTAAATTCTTAACTGATACTCTGAAGTTTCACGGTTAGGGTCCAGGCATTTGGTATTTAGAAGCTCCATACAGGTTTTGATGAGCAACCAGGCTTGAATAACACTGTTCTAAGAAACACAAGTTAAAAGGAAAAACATATAAGACTTCTTGAGGGCAATGTCTTTTCACTCCATTTTATCTTTTCTATCACCATGTGAGAATGATGCTTATCTTCAGTTTAATGATGTGTGTCTTCAGTTTATAAAAGAGGAAACTGTACCTACAAAAGTTTAGAAAACATGCCCAAATACACACAGGGAGGACGTGGCCAGATAGGGATTCTACCTCATATCAATCATGCTCCAAACAGCTTATTTATTATACCATGCTGCCTCCTAAGAAAAAGGGACATTTTGGGAAATTCATTATTATGAACCATCAACCCTACAAATTTACTCATAAATTTTTGTGAGTAAATAAAAGAGACTGCAAATATAAGAGAATCTAATAATCATTTCTTATTTGGTGAAAGCGAGAAATGAATATTTGATTCTCTTTTATTTAGTCTGAATTCTATACTCTTCCTTCACAAGCACAAACAAAGTGATAAGATATTAGTCTTGTACCACACTGGCTGAACTCTCTCAAAATATCAAAACTGTACCAAGTGTTGAAAGGGGACAGTAGGTGGCAAACCCACTGCTTCAGTTTTAAAGGGTTGGCAATGAGCAATTTTCCTGTTTCTTATTGAAATTCATGAAGCAGAAGAAACATCATGGTAGTTAAGTACATGCACTCTGGAGCAGTCTGCCTGATTTGGATTCCTGGCTCTCCTACTTCCTGTCTAAGTGATGTGGAGCAAGCTTCTAAACTCTGTGGACCTTAGTTTAACCGTATATATGATGGGAATGGTGATAATAATAGCACCTATTTCAAGGCATTAAGTTCATGTTTGTAACGGATATTTAACAATATCTGGCTCATGGTCTGGAGGCCATTATTCTTAGCAAACTAACACAGGAACAGAAAACCAATTTCCACATGTTCTCACTTACAAGTGGGAGCTAAATGATGAGAACACATGGACACATAGAAGAAACTACACACACTGGGGCCTTTTAGAGGATGGAGGGTGAAAGTAGGGAGAGGATCAAGAAAAACAACTAATGGGTACCAGGCTTAATATCTGTGTGATGAAATAATCTATACAATGACACAAGTTTATCTATGTAACAAACCTGCACTTGCGCCCTTGAACATAAAAGTATTTTAAGTCTATTTTTTTTAAAGTAATGGCATGCCAAAATGAAGTTATAAAATTGTGGTATACATTTAGCAAAATTATGCTTTAAACATTTACAACACATTTATTTATTCACAAGACAAAGGATTTATTTAAAAAGTCATAGTGCTGGGGGGTCTAGTAATGGGATACAAATTTGAATGAACAGCGCCTTCATTTTTCAGTCATGTCATTGTATTTCTAACTATGTATGTATAATTAATTTGGAGATTATAGTCTAAATGAGAATCTTTCTGAGTGTGAAGCCTGTATTAGTTTCCCATTCCTACTATAACAAATTGCCACAAACTTAGTAGCCTAAAACAACTTGAGTATATTATCTTACAGTTCTGCATATCAGAAGTCTGAAAGCAGGATGGTAGAGCAATATTTTTTCTGGAAGCTTTAAGAGGCTTTTGCCTGTTTGACTTTTCCAGCTTCTAGACGTTGCCTGCATTTCCATTCCTTCCTGCACTCTGACCGCTGCTTCCATCCTCATACCTCATTCTCTAACTCTGACCTCTCTCTTACAAGGACCCTTGTGATTACATAGGACCCACCTAGGTAATTCAGGCTACTCTCCCCCATCTCAAAATCTTTAACTTAACCGCATCTGAAAGCCTCTTTAGCATTGTAAGGTAACATAGGTTTTAGGGATAAGAACATGAGCATCTTTAGAGAGCTATCATTCTGCCTACCACGGAAGCCCAAAACAAAAACCACTGCAAGAACGTTTCTGCTCTGCACTTTCTGCATCATAATTCAGTTGGGGTTTATCTTTTTTCTAAACTTTTCAGCTGATATCCTAGAATGGTTATTACCAGTGGGTCCCAGAGGATTTCATCCCAGAGGATTTCACTTTCCAGGGTATGTACTTTCATATGCTTGATGCAGAGATGATATTCTTATAATGTGGCTGCTATAACTTGGTATTAAGTAACAAAGAAGCTACTTCTGTACCCAAAGTATGCATAACATGGAACTAATTATTTATATTTATATGAAAAATACACAGAAAATAAATGTTGCTTCATATTGTATATAGGAATGAATACTATATTCTGACCTTTTTTTTTCACCACAAGTTGGTCTTCTGGACATTGTTAATATACTGTATGTAAGATCCAAGGATCTAACAATTCACGTAAGATCTAAATTGATATATTTGCTCTATAAAGAAAACTAAATAAGATAAGATTCTGGTTAAAAAAATCTGTCTCATGGTAAGTATTTGATAAATAGATTTATGATGATGATTATGATGATGATAGGTGCAAACTTAGATTCTCACAGAAAACATTCATACAATGCAGGTGGCATTTTATTACCTTTATCATCTTTCATAGTTCTACATCACAAATATATCACTCTCTTCTCAAAACTCTGGGAGAAGAGTTAGCAATGTTTTGCAAAATTTTGTTAGAAGACCACACAATTATTCTTCACAAAACAATTCTCATGCTGCTGCCCCTTATTGTTTTTGAATACACAATCTTTTATGGCATGAATAAGAGGAAGAAATAATTAAAATAAAAGCTACGTCAAATCTTATACTACAAAGCCTCATTAAAAATCAATTACCACCTTCTGCTTCTCTAATTTCTCCTTAAACCATTTTGTCAGTTTTATAACTGACTCATTTTTCTAATGAGAGACAATTTTTCACTCCCACCTGAATAAGGTTAATAGAGTCAAAAGAAACAAATTTTATTTTCTACCTAATAAAATGCTATATATATAGCATTTTTTTTAAGATGGAGTCTCACTCTGTCACCCAGGCTGGAGTGCGGTGGCACCATCTCGGCTCACTGCAACCTCCACCTCCCGGGTTCGAGCGATTCTCCTGCCTCAGCCTCCTGAATTGCTGGGACTACAGGTGCATGCCACCACGCCCAGCTAATTTTTTGTATTTTTAGTAAAGACGGGGTTTCACCATGTTAGCCAGGATTGTCTCAATCTCCTGAGCTTGTCATCTGCCCGCCTCGGCCTCCCAAAGTGCTGGGATTACAGGCGTGAGCCACCGTGCCCGGCCAAAATGCTATATTTTTATGTAAATCAATATGATTCATCATATTATTTGCTTTTAAAAATGTATGATTTTTTTCTTTTTTGAGACGGCGTCTCGACCTGTTGCCCAGACTGGAGTGCAGTGGCGCAATCTCGGCTCACTGCAAGCTCTGCCTCCCGGGTTCATGCCATTCTCCTGCCATAGCCTCCCGAGTAGCTGGGACTACCGGCACCCGCCACCACGCCTGGCTAATTTTTTGTATTTTTAGTGGAGACGGGGTTTCACAGTGTTAGCCAGGATGGTCTCGATCTCCTGACCTCGTGATCTGCCCATCTTGGCCTCCCAAAGTGCTGGGATTACAGGTGTGAGCCAACGCGCCTGGCCAAAAATGTATAATTTTTTGAATAAAATTTTGAGAAAAGTGATTCATTAACATGTCCATCTCTGTTCAGCTATTTGAATAAAGATTCTTTAGCTTGGGGACATTTTTTACTTCTCAGCATGCCAGTTTCCTCAGAAATGATCGACACACCTATCAGTAGGATCTTCAGATTCGCTGAACTTTTGTTAGTCTCCCTAATCAAGAAATAAGCCATATTTCACAAAGAAATAGTCATTTATAAATTTATAAAGGTAACATAAAGTCAGTTATTATGGACTCAAATTACTGCACAAACGTTCATATGCAAAAACAGGTGTGAATCTGATTTTAAATTAATAAGACCTGGCCAGGCGTGGTGGCTCACGCCTGTAATTCCAGCACTTTGGGAGGCTGAGGCAGGCAGATCACGAGGTCAGGAGATGGAGACCATCCTGGCTAACACGGGGAAACCCCGTTTCTACTAAAAATACAAAAAAATTAGCCAGGCATGGTGACAGGCGCCTGTAGTCCCAGCTACTCAGGAGGCTGAGGCAGGAGCGTGGCGTGAACCCGGGAGGCAGCCCTTGCAGTGAGCCGAGATCGCACCACTGCACTCCAGCCTGGGCGACAGAGCGAGACTCTGTCTCAAAAAAAAAAAAAAAAAAATTAAAAATAAATAAATAAATAAATAAATAAGACCTTCAGTGTGCTTGCATAATTGAATCTTATAATTTATGGAATAATGAACAGGTATTGGTCTTTGAGGTCTAAGATAAATTTAAATTATCAACTAAAATAATTGTGAGCCAAGATTTGGTATGTATGCTAAAAGATGTATCTCTGCTTACACGTCACATGTATTAAATTTGCTGTTTTGTGCTATGGAGAAAATCATTTCAAAATATGGTAGCAAGTAATAGAAATGGTTTAATTCTTTCTGAACTCTTACTTCCATCAAAGTAACAACAAAGTTTGAAAGTTTAGAAAATGAGACTGTTGGGAAAACAAACTCAGAATATAAGAAGTTCCTGGGATGCCAGTGATAATAAGGTTGTATAGTCATCAAAATTTTATTATTATTGATGTAAATTTCTTCAAGTAGTTATTACACTATCTTCCTGTGCCCAAAAGCTCCTGGTCCATTTTGTATCAGGCATCTCTCAAGTAGATGCTCATAGGCCACCCAATATTTTGTATGTAAATACTCCTTGAGCAAGTGTATGTGCCTCTTGCCGCAGAGCGGTATGGAAATATTTATAGCACAATTTTAATTTATTGTTGCTTTTCCCATTCTTCTGTATTTATCTGGGCCTGAAAATTATCACCCCTTACCATAATTGGAAACACACACACACAACACTCAAATTCTGTAGTTTCAGAGGAAAATAAAATGAAATTTCATGAGTTGGCATATGCCTGTTTTGGCCTATCACCTTCTTTGCTTGCCTCCAATAGCAGGGGTAATTATAAGTTCACTATATTTTATCACTTGACTTTATCTGTCAAAATGTTGTTTTAAAACGCATATGCCTGCTGTTTTTAAGTCCTTCTGCGTCCCAGCTGAGGCCTTTGTGCAGAAAATGTTACAGTTGTGCCTTTTTTTCCTTGCTATCTGGGACAGAAGGAGAGTGTAGGTAACCATTGGTGAGCTAACCAAGAACTTCAATAACTCCCACAGGAAGAGCCGGTAGGGAGTTTGTATTTTTGGCCATGAATCCAGGACTTTCATTTTAAGTTCCAGGGTGCGTCATGCAGTTGAGCACTGATTGAATGGGGGCACTGGAGGCTCTAGGGATCAAGCTGTGACATTTTTCTGATCCTGAAGGCTGCTCACAGTCATTACTGCACAGGCCTTGCTGACTGCTACTTCAGGGAAACACAGGGAGAAGGAGGTTGTGCTTCCGAGTGTGGGTGGTCGAATAAACTCTTTTAGCAGCAGCAGTTGGTCTATTTAGCCTGAAAAAGAGACCACCAGCAGCCCCCAAAGTGCTAAAAAAAATTACAATCAATTTTAAAAATATATATTATATTACATAAAAGACTATAAGAGCGAGTGCTGAGCATTGCTTTACAGTATTCCCAGCTGCTCAATGAGGCAGTCACATGCAGCCAAGAGGGATTTATCCTGTAACCCAGAGAATTTCCAGCTCTCCCATCATTTTATCCTTCTCTCAGGAGGAAGAGAGAAAAAAAAGTCTAAACAAAACAAAAAAATAGCAGCAGAAAGCAAAAAACACAAACTAGTTTAGTGAAAGTGTATTGACGGAAACTATTGAAATTTAGTATTCTTGAGGCGTACGCTTTGGTTGTGAGTGGTTTAAGGTTAGTTTTTATGTAAAGGGATTTTTAAGGCTCATATATTGGCCTTACATTTAGGTAGTGATTAGGGACCAGCTTATGTCTTCAAATTCATTTAGGATATTAATTGTTAGTATTTTTCTTTAATATTGGTGTTAACAAGGTTTTAAAGGATTGTCTCAAAGTTTTAAAAGACATAAACAAGGCCAGGCGCAGTGGCCCATTCCTATAATCCCAGCACTTTGGGAGGCCCAGCCGGGCAAATCACGAGGTCAGGAATTCGAGACCAGCCTGACCAACATGTTGAAACCTCGACTCTACTGAAAATACAAAAATTAGCCGAGTGTGGGGGCACAGGCCTGTAAACCCAGCTACTCAGGAGGCTGAGGCAGGAGAATTGCTTGAACCTGGGAGGTGGTGGTTGCAGTGAGCTGAGAATGTGCCACTGGACTCCAGCCTGGGCAACAGAGCGAGACTCCACCTCAAAAAAAAAAAAAAAAAGATATAAACAATGTCACTTTACTTAACATTAGTTTAAGAAATTCTTGGCTGCTAGATTTTTTCTAAATGCTAATTTATAATCATAGGTAATACATAAAATATATTGATACTTAAACCATCATATTAAAATAAAGATTTAAAAAAATCTATACTATCAGAAATTCAAATGTCAAGATTATTGCAAGCAACCTATACATAGATGGATTGACTAATGACATCTTAATTTCAAATGTACAGAATACCACCCCTTCCATACTTTGAGATTCTCATCAAACTCCAAACTTAAAGTGCAGTGTGTGAAAGAAATAACTTTTCTAAGACTGTCGTTATGAAAAACCCTCACATTTTGAAGAATTCAGAGATACACCTTGTCTCATAATTCTTCCAGCAATAGGAAACAGTCTCATAATTTTAAAGAACTTTACTTATTGGAACATGTATAGTTAAATTAAACTGAATTATGCACTAACCCCTCCAGGAATCATGTTGCTTTAAGAACCCATACCTGATGTACGAAGGTATTAATGAAATGGGAGAGTTCCCTGATCCCCAGCACAGGATGTACAACAGTGGTGTGGCTCGTCTGTTCAGCGGCCACACACTCAAACCGCTTATGGGAGGGAGAGCACATAGACATGATGATTCTGGCAAAAAGGTCAGATATTTTCAAGTTTTAAAAATGGTATGGAATACGTTTCAACAACACTCCACATGAATATAAACCCCTGATTTAATTTAATGATTTCGTCGTGGCAGAAGCATAGTTGGTTTTAATTTTTTAAAACAGATACTGGTATCATAGGCATTTCACATACACAGTATCTCAGTATGGACAAAAATACTTAAGATTGATTTTTGCCATTGTTTTAAACTTTCATTCTTTTAAATACAAAAAGATAGTCACACATATTTGTTTTTTCAATAAAACACAGTCTTCAAAAAGTTACTTCAAAAAGAGATGATTGCTCTTTAGGGTTCCTAGCCATACACCCTCTCTTAGTTTTTCACACAATAGAAAGTATATTTTTATGCAGGCTTGTGTTAAGATCCAGTAGTTCTTAAATAATGTTAGCAAATAACTATATAAACCCCAAATGCAGCAAGGCCAACATTTTCCATAGTGTACTTTCATCTCATTAAAGTTGAAGCTGCTTCTTTTGGGTATTTTTTCACTTCTATGTGAAGTAGATTGTTATGGTTTCATTAGTGGTTTTATTATGTGGCTTTTTAAAAGAAAAAATGGTTTTAATTTCTTCCACAGTTCAGAGCTCTCGGAAGAAATCTTTTTTTTTTCTTGTAAATTGTATAATCCAGGAATGTTTTGAATAAACAAATGCTCTTTAGTAGATTAAATCTCTCACTGGTAATAAATAAGCATCTACTTCCTTAGCTATATTACCAGTATATCCTGGAACCAAAGTAAGGTGGTTTTCCTGTTCTAACAATCCATTTAACTGTTGTTTTAAAATCTGAATGTTTCCATTATTTATAATTTCTGTTTTGGACAATAGTTCTGACCACCACCTTTTAATGACTGCTTGAAGCCAGTTTAAACCAACTGTTAGGTATTTTTCAAATTTGCTTTTACATAGTGAGTTTACTAGAGGCAACGAGCCTACCCAGCGTTCAAGTAAGATATATTGTTTTTCTCCCTGTAAACTACTGGTGAGCACAGGAAGGCAATCTACCTCAATGCCAAGATCTTCTATTCTCACCAAACAAGCTGCAAATTCACGTATACTTCTTTCTCCAGAAAGTTAAAGATACATTCAGTTTCAAATTCCTGCTGAGCAAAACTTGGGCCATTTGTTTCATGATCCTGAGAAACTTGCGAAAAATACTGACTGTATTGTGATGATGGGCTTTATATCTGTGAAAAATTGGAATCACTGGGGTTAAGCAAATATATTTGCCTACTCTGGCATAATTTTTCAGGCAGGTGGCCTGCACAAACCAGTTCATTTTCTTTATTTGCCACGTCACAGCCCCACTTCTAGGGGACTGTGTTTTTTTGTTTGTTTTGTTTTTCCTATAACAGAGGTTTGGAAAGGGATAATGAACTAACTTTCTATGAAAGATTACCTTACATAGTTTTTGTTTGTTTGTTTTTTGTTTTGAGATAGAGTCTCACTCTGTAGTCCAGACTGGAGTACAGTGGTGCGATCTCGGCTCGCTGCAGGCTCTGCCTCCTGGGTTCACGCCATTCTCCTGCCTCAGCTGGCTGACTACAGATGCCAGCCACCACACCTGGCTAATTTTTTGTATTTTTAGTAGAGATGGGGTTTCACTGTGTTAGCCAGGATGGTCTCGATCTCCTGACCTCATGATCCACCTGCCTTGGCCTCCCAAAGTGCTGGGATTACAGGCGTGAGCCACTGCACCTGGCCAGATTACCTTACCTAGTTTTATCTGGACTTTTGACAGTTCGTCCAACTGTTCTATTTATATAAGCAGCTAACTGTTGAGGTTTCTTAACTTCCTTCTTGTTCTTATTAATGAAATTAGAAATCCTTTTCCTAGGTCCATCAATTAAATGATCCTGAATATTATTTCAAAAGTTCTGCTTTTTAACATTGTGGGTTTCAGATGCCATCATCTCTTAAATACTGGTGTTTCTTGGTTTCTTAGCCCAGCCCTGGCACTGACCAACCATGCCAGGCAGCCTAGAGTTCCCCTTGGCTGTAGGCCAGGCCCTACTCAGGGCCATTTCTACCTTGAGTGTTTCTTAAATCACATCTCTACAAATTCAGTCTTATTCACTGCAATTCTAGATTGAAAAATAGAGATTTGAAAATCTTTTAGATCCATAATCCCTTATTCAATATATCGAGTGTATCTCCAGCAGCATCCAAAATTTGGAAAATGTGACATATATACCCTACAAAATTTCTATCAAGATTCATAAATATTTGTTAAGTGTCTATTGTGTTTATTTGAATACAATTAAATAAGACCTATTTTCTGCATTGAAAGACTTTATAAAACTATAAATTCCATGACAGAGGGACCATACCTGGCCAATTTTGCACTGTGACACTCAGCATCAGCACGGTGCCTGGCGCAATTCAAGTCCATGATGCCTTGGGAATTAATGAGTGGGTGTTGGAGAGGAAGCAGGAATATGAACAACTAATATGATGTGTTGTAACAAATGCCAATCCAATTTCTACCAAAGTTGGGTAAGGGTACAATTACCAAATCTATAACTTGCTGCTAGAACTTTTCCACTACATTCACTTTACTCTAATTGGACACTTCCAGCAAGTTACGTTTAATCCAGCTTTCCTACCAAGGGTATCAAGCACCCTGGTGAATTCAAGATACACTGTGTCCAAAATACTATTCTCAAAACAGACTCTTGATATCCAAGTATAGACTACCTATTAAAAATTAAAATTTTATATATTAAACATCACCTGAGGACCTCCTCTTATAGCTTAGCCAGTGAAGATTTTGTAGGACTGTTAAAAGAAAAACTTCAGATGAATTAAATTTAAAGGAATTTAATTGAACAATGGACAATTCGCGAAGCAGGCAGTCCCCAGAATCACAGCAGATTCAGAGAGACTCCAGGGGTGACTCATAGTCAGAACAAATTCATAGACAAAAAAAGCAAAGTGACATACAGAAATTGGAAGTGAGGTACAAAAACAGTTAGATTGGTTACAGGTTGATGTTTGCCTTATTTGAACACAGTTTGAACACTCAGCAGTGTATGAATGGTTGAAGTATGGCTGCTGGGACTGGCCAAGACTCAGCTGTTGTTACAGGCACATACTCCTAAGTTTGGTTTCTAATCTTGTCTACTTATTAAGTTAGGTTGTAGTTTGTCCACAAGGACTCAAATACAGAATTGTGGAGCCCTTCTCAGGCTATATTTAGTTCACTTTAACAATTCCCCCCTTTTGGTCATTTTCTCAATTTTGAGAGATTGACCAAAACTTTAGTCATTGATGTCACTATCACCATTGCAAATGTACTTATTTGGTCTTGAAACCTACTGAGAAACAGTAGAACAGTGAGTTTTTCAAAGGCAGGAACAAGGACTTGAGTAGAGGGTATCCCTCATACTGTAACATCTTGTTTACAGGAGCAAAACAAAACCTGGTCTCTTCTAGGATCTATGTGTTTCCTTAATGTCTTCGTTTGATTATGTCACATTTAGCATGAGTGACTCCATTTTGGTTTAGTTTGGTCTGTTGGGGCCTAGTGCATAAGCTCAGTCCAAAACAAGGGCCTCCCATAATTTTGTTTAAAAAATTTCACCCCTTTCAGCCAGGTTTTCATTTAGGTGACAGTGTGACCAAAACTTAGGGCCTTAGCACCACTCTCAGTTACCATCATTTTAGGTTTCCAGTCTCAGCATGTCATTCATAGGTTATGGTGTCCTCATTGTTGCACGTTTCTTTTAGCTCTGCATGGTATCTGAAGAGATACCATTTGACATCCTAGAGATGGCTGCATGCAAACATTTAAAACCTTTGAGAGAATACAGAACATCAGGGAGACTATTACGACTATTGGGATGATAATACCAAAAGTTTGGAGTATGTTCCTTACCCAGGGTCCCCATAAACCAAACCATCTAAAACTAAATAGATAAAAGAATGAGCTAAAGAGTCTACTTGCTTAACTAAGTGGTCTTTTCATTAATTTCCTGCCACTGAATCTCTGCAATACCTGATGTCTTCTCCATAGGCCATAAGTGTCAGCAGATACACAGATACTTCTCTGTTTAGCCAATTCTATTATTTAGCATAATTTTCCCAAGAGAATTTAAAGTCTGTTGTGTAAGTATAGTCTTTACAGCAGAATCTGCCATAGAGTCTATTGTGAGGTATACATTTCTATTCATTGCCTCTTTTATTCCAAACCATGGAAAAAGGACCTAACAAACGATGCCCTTCTAGAAGATCGAAGGCCCTCTTGGCAATGTTCTCTTTAACTGATGATGTGGGTTCAGAGGAGTGAACAAATGTTCTGTTTCTGACTGATTATGAGAAAACATATGTACCATTAAAGTTTCTCACATACACTGGGCCTTCACCTATCAAAGTATAAAGTTATCTATGTATAAGGGCAGCTGCAAAATCGGTCACAAATGAAAGTATACTCCATAAGTGCACACAACAGACCCCCTTTTCACTTCTATTGTTCATAAAGGCATAAGCAAGGAAAAAATATTCAAAAATAAGGGTCTCATGATAGTAGAAGTCCTGATCTGTGATCTTGTGAAAAGCTGTTCACATAAAGGATGCCATCTTCCCTGGTTAGCTTTACCTTAAGTGTTCCAGTGGGTATACAATTGCAAGAGTTTGGAGAGACTCTGTTCTCAGTTGTGGGATTATAAATCCAGTTTCAAAGTCCCAAAGTTTTTGCTGTAGTGTGCATAGCAAGGACAGTCTTTTTCTGATGTTCTCAGAGATCCAATCTTCAGATTCTAAATTGTGAAGGGGTTGATTATACCCAGTCAGTGAACCATGAATAGCTTTCTTTACCTGATGAAAATACACTGTAGCACAATAATTTAGTGATATAACATCAGCTCTTTTGCATGGGAAAGCTTTTATATGACCAGAAAAAATATGTATTGAAAATGACAGTTGAATGAAATCTCTCTATAAATGTTTAAATGGTCCATCAGGTAGCCAGATGTGCCTGAAGTTTTTATTGTCTTCCCAGGAATATGGGTTTGACAAACTAAACATTGGTTATAAACTATTTTAGCAATTTAGAAGTCACTACACCAATATATATTTAATTTGGATAATTTTATCCTTTCCATGATGAGTCATGGAATGCAGAACCTTTAATAACAAAAGCTTTAAGGACTCAGGAAGGAAAAGGCAGCCACCCTGGTTCTCCATGAATCCATGCTTAACACTGGACTTATGTCTTCTTAAATATCAGTTGTTTCTCCAATTTAGGTACATAGCACTGATAACTGATGGGTTATTAAAGGTAATTTGACTTAGACCATGGAGTTTATTCAGATATCAAACAAGAAAGTACTCATTCCCTAAGTGGGGAATTGAACTCTGAACCTGGGCTGCAATTGTGATGATGGAGACCAAAAGAAAGTGCTGCCACGTGGTTACAAGGTCAAGCTCCCAAGGACATAACAGACCAGTTTGCTGGGCCATCTTGAACAGTGGGCTTATAGGGTTCTAAGACCATGTTCTATCCTAAGGTACCCCTGTTTATGACAGAACAATACAGAAAGACACTCAAAGAATACCAGATTCACTAAGCTTAAGATTAGCCTAACAAATCTTTTTTCCCATTAATCAAAACATATTGATGACCTACACTAAAATATAACCTGAAGGAGGTTAAACATTATTTTTTATTTTGACAATGCTTCCCATGTAACTTAACATGTCAAATAGTCCTGTTTACCTCTTTTTTGGATGCTTCAGGGGCCCTCCATAGCACCCCAAAGTTAGAGGTCAGGAAAGACAATTCTGAAGCTTAAATTTGATTTGGGGAAGCCTATCAAATATGTTACAGGTTTAAAACACTTGATATTATGAAACAGAATTCCAGGTCACCATAAGTCAAATGATGACTCAAAAATTTTAAAAAGGCAAAAACCTTTACTCATTCATAAAGGGAAGACTTAGCTTTCCAAACAATCTGTCTTTTGTCTTTCCCTTCTCTTTTTGGTAGTCTATTAAAAAAGGCAAACAAAAATCTTTCATTATCTTGTAATATTACATGAAAATCTTGTTCAAGAGAGAACATCAAATTTCACCTTTGCTTTAGTCTACTATTAATGTCAACTGTAATTTTTAATAAAACCTTGTAAGACAAATTGATTCAATCTTAATCAGTTTGACCATAAGGTGAAATTCTTATAAGCCTTTGTATAACCCTTTATAATTTTTGTGAAAGAGCAAATCAGCACTTTAATAAAGTCTTCTTGTGCTTTTATTTTAATGTTCAATTTACAGTAAAACTGAGTAATATCACTTTAACTTTAGCCAGTGTTCACAGGATTTCTTTTACAATTAATTTTATAAAACTTTTACAACTTGTTCAAATGTTTAGATTTTTCCTATGTCACTTAAAACAATCATTTAACCCTCTAAACTTAGGCAAGAAAATTCACATTTCCATGCCTTTCTAAAGTATTTGAGGAAACTAAAAACACATTTTACTTTCCTTAAATACTTTGCAGGTAAAGCTGTTTTTTCAGTAGTCTAAATTACATGTTATAATGGTAACTCTTAGAAATTTTTAATTTTGGTGAAAAACCTTGGTAACTAAGAGATTTTAATTATGTAGTCAGTATGGAGCCTAGGACATCAGATAAGGTCTGACTTTTTCCAGCATAGCTCGGGGCTGGGCTTTCCACATGTCCCCAGGCTTTATCTAGAATCTAATGCTCCAAAATAGGTAAACTGAACAATTTTGAGAAGTCAAAGAAGCAGTTTATGGCCTTAAAGCATTTAGTAAACTTAATATCCAGCCTGCTGAATTTAGACCAAATGTCTTTATTTTTGCCAATAATCTTTAAAACTTTTTATTTCCCAGAGATTACCAAAGTCATGTGAACTAAAAGGCATTACAGTTTTTATATTTCTTTCAAAATATTCTATCTAAACACTTACTTTTCTTTAAGCCAATTAATTAGATCTCTTTTATGTAAGCATTACACACACAACACATATATAACTACACAGACAGACAGAAGAAGATCCAGTAGTTGTAAGACTTTTCATTTGCCAGTTTCTAAGTTTCTTTTTAAAGCATGCAGTTTTTATGGCCTAATGATCAGGCACAGCTAGGTGCCTGATATAAGTTAGGTTTTCAATCTTGCCTACCTATTAAGTTAGGCTGTAGTTCCTCCACAAGGACTCAAATAGAGAAGTATGGAGTCCTTCTTAGGCCACATTTAGTTCACTTTAACAGGCCCAAACTAGTGAAGAGATATTTTCTTTAATCATAACTGTAACACTGAACTCAAGAATGAAGACATAGAGAGACCAATTTCCCTAATGTGATTATTAAACATTGTATGCTTGTACCAGAACATCATGTGTACCCAATGATTATATGTACCTATTATGTGCCAATAATAATTAAAAATCTTTTTTAAAAACAGTAAATACAGAGCCATGTTGAGTAGAAAGCCAAAGTAATACATTAGATTTAGGAAGAGGTCAGAACTTGGTTTAAATATCTGACATCCCTACAAGAGCTCTTCTTGCTTAAAAGTATATCAAGGCATGCTAGAAAAAGTATGTTCCACTCTATGGAAACTGTGCTGGCTTTCAAATAATCATGCATTTGATTTACATATACTTGGCATTTAAGAATATTATTAGGGATTAATTGCAAGTCATTCTTCATGAGTATACCCAATTAATCTACCTCATTTTTGGTAAAACAGGCCAATATTTACTATATATACTCTTTGGTTAGTAAGTCTATTCTACAGGATATTTTTTAGAGATGGTCTTTAGTAATTTTTATCTGTAATACACGTTTTCATACCTAGAGTAATATTTAAGTGAAGTATTTTATGAAAATCATAAATTTAAATAATTATATTATTTCAGGAGGAAATAACAATGATTTGTATTTCTGAAATTATATATGGTATGTAGTACATGCTGCCTAATTTTTAAAATGAACCTTTGAAGATATATTTTGTTTTCAAAGTTACCTTGTTGTGTCAAACAACCTTATAATATAAAAAACTTACTTAGCATATAACCATGTGAAATGCTGAGATAGTCTCAGTAATGGACTTATTTCTTCATTACGGTGGCTTTTTAGTCTGTTTTTTGGTGGTTGATCTCTTCAAGATTTTGAGATTTGGAAATCTTACAAATGATCCAATTTTAAACAAGAACAGCAATGATAATACAAATAATGAACATAATAAAGTTTCTGTGATTGAATCAGGATGGGATTTAAGACAGGAAATTCCCATCCATCCAAAGGTGTCAAGTTCACATTCTTTCTCTAGTTCTAAAACAGATTTAACAATGCTCCTGGAGAAGACTTGGGTTAAATACAAAACACTGGCCAAGGGAGAGTTGCTTCAATATTTACTGTCTCTGGGCTTGTTAACTATTCCTTGTGTCTTGTTGAACATGAGATTTCATAGGTAGCTCAGGTGAAAGTGACCTCTGCACAGATCAGTGCTAGAACACCTAGACAGCATTTTGGTAGTATTCTCCCAAACCACTTGATGATTCAATAACAGCCATTTTATTGTGTTGACCCCTCACCACACAGAGAATAGACTTATTCAGATGTCAAGTGCATGCTGACAAAGGCCAGCTTAGTGGTGAGTGGTTGTACTTTAAACCCCTTTAAACAGATTTATCCTCCATCAGATGTGAATGCTTAAGTATTTTTGAATGTGTATTATAAAAACAACTATTGTAACAATATTTCAATCTTGCAAAACTTGTTTTTTTTTAAGGGTTGATCTAACTAGCCAATATTTTTCATTAAATGTAAAGTGCAATAATGTTTTGAATTATCATTTCTCATTTTCAAGATGACTGTACAGTGATACAAGATAAAATTCATTGAGTACTAGCCATATCAGACAGGAGCAGTTCAGCTCCTTTCAGAGCTTAGTTTCACAAAATAAACATTTATTATTGCTTTCCATTTAGTTCTTTAGATAATTTCCTAGAAAAACTGTTGTTGTGATATTTTATTTTTGTGAGTTAATGACTAAATAAAAAGGGATTCTCAGACAATGAATTACGAAGAAAGATTCATAAATTAAAATTAATTAGGTATCCTTAAAGGTGAGATAATTTTACATGTTTGGAATAGTTCAGGTGCATTCTTGCCAACAGGAAGAAAAATTGATAAACTAGAGAATTCTCAAGATGTCTTACTGAAATTCACATCTTACATAATGATTCCCCAACTATTTTACTTATTATTAAATAATGTAACTTACTCTAAAATTAGAAAGAGGGTCACCTTTCCAAGCTGATCTAAGTATTATGCCAATTAATAATAATAATGTCTGAATAATATATTTTCTTTTAAGTTTTAGGGTTTTTTTCAGTGATCGCTTATTTTCTGTAGCTTAGTAGATTTGTTCTTTCTCATTTGATTTTCTTGGCCATCATCAAAGTAAATTTGATGCCATTATCTATTACTATAGTTTGCTCATTTTTCTATGTGTGCCTCCATCTGAAACTTGCATGTAAAGTAAAATTATTTTATTTGTAACATTTGCTAGTAAGATTTGTGATGAAAAAATTTGAAATGCCTCATTTCTTTCTCAAAAAAATAATTCTTCACTATCTGGAAAATATTTAATATCATTTTCAATTTCAATTCCATGTTACACAAGGGCCAAAGTATCACCAATCTTTTCCTCCTACTTTGCCACATTCAAGTACTCTTTTAATATTTTCATCAAATTGCTAAGCACTAGAAAGTAAGAGCTATTGGATATCTCCCTATATTAGATGAAAATCTCTTGTTGAATTGTTAATGTCTTACCTTGCTTACATTAAAGCTTTATGATAATATGGGAAAACAAGAGAAACAGGCAGTGGCTCAGGCCTGTAATCCCAGCCTTCTGAGAGGCCAAGGTTGAGAGGATCGCTTGACATCAGGAGTTCAAGGCCAGCCAGAACGAGAGGGCTAGATACTGTCTCTACAAAAAAATTTGAAAAATTGGCCAGGCATGGCGGCACACACCCGTAATGATAGATACTTGAGCTAAGGTGGGAGGGCCTCTGAAGTGCAGGAGTTAGAGGTTACAGTGAACTATGATCAGGCCACTCCACTTCAGCCAGGGTGACAGAGCGAAACCCTGCCTCTAAAAAAAAGGAGAAAAAAAAAGAGAGAGAGAGTGGTCCTTTCAAGGGAGTAACAGTGTTCATTGAATGGTAAAGCAGAGTTATTGGCCAACAGATGTACGCTGACGCCAGATAGCCTACTGATTATCCAGCTGGCCTGGGTTCCAGTTCCATTTCTGCCTCCCATTTAATGTGTTACTTTGGTTAAAATATTTAAACTCTGTGCCTAAATTTCCTCATTGCCCAAAAGTGTATGATGATGATGACACTTCTCTGCAAAGGCTTGTGGTGAAGATTAAATACATTAATATAAGCACTATATTTTGGACTATGATTGGCACTTAGTAAGTGCTATACACGTTTTCTATTAACATTTTAAAATATTATTTAAAATTAATAGGTCTTAAAATGTGTTGGTTATCTCTGAAAGTCATTCAAATGTAAATATTATTTAGGGCCTTTAAAAAAATGCTCCTCAAATGAAAACTAAAACCCATCTAATTAGTCATTAAATAATAAGAATGTAGTTAGATCTAGGTATTTTCTAGGGAGAAAGAAAATTTTTTAAAAATACTGAGAAGAAGTTATGTGGAGTAAGATTTACAATGATCAAGCTACTTTATGACAATAAATCAGGGGTCATAAAACTCTTATAAATGACCAAATAGTAAATATTTTTGGCTTTGCAGACAGAAGGTCTCTGTCCCATTGACACAGTTCTGCCCTTGTGGTGAGGAAGCAGCCATTGGCAATATGTAAATGAATGAGTATGGCTAAGTTTCCATTAAACTTGATTTACAAAAACAAAAGCCTACGTTTGTCCTTGGCAGTGGCAGTTTTCTAACCCCTGCAGTAGATCACTGAGTGCCATAAACAGGGGTTGAGCCTTTTCTTTTATCACTGCCCTTTATCATGTGTTTTGAATACCCATAAGAGTTCTTAGGGCTTTGAATATGAGAAATTCAAGATAGTAATCATAAGAGACAAAGAACCCTAAGAAGGAAATCAAACAGATGCAAATATGTCTAAGAATGTGTCAGATTATTAAAAAAAAAAATCAGGTGTATAAATGTCCTCTATAACTCACTAAAGTTTAACGATGATAGCAATGGTAATTTAAGATAAATTCTCTTAGAAGACTGTGAAAGAACTTGACACAACTTCACAAAACATCAAATAAACTGATTTTATAATTATACACATAATTTAGGAAACTTTTAAATATTCTATCATAATTATAATACTATATTATTATGCATACTATACAACCAACTTGTTTTTATGTATATAAGTTCCAAGCGTAATTTGCAAAAGCATAAACCTATTCTTGTATTCCTATTATTCCATGTTATTGCTTTAATTTTATCACTAATTAATTTTTTGTGTATCATATATTCAATTTCTTAGATGCCTATTTAACAACAATTAGAGCTAATTTTATAAAAAGTAAAAAATTGCCAATGAATATATATTGTCATATCTTTAATATATATTCATTTAGGTAATAATCTTACTTCATATCATTTGTCTGGCTCCATCTATCTCTTAGCAATCTGAAATTAGCCACATAATTGAATGTATCAAATACTCCATCTAGTATCAAGGATTGTAGAAAATGTCATAAAAAACTAGCTACATTACACATTATGAGTAAAATGTTTTGAGAACCTATAGCATTTCTCTCCATGAATACAACTCAAGTGACTCTAATCTGGCCTATTTTTTATCTTCCTGAGTGCAGCAGAAGCATTCACCACAGTAGCGCTTCCCCCATACTAATGGAAAAATGTTCACAGAACATCAGATAAAAAAGGGCCGGAAAGACATTTTCTTCTTTGAGGAAGAGAAAAATATATAAAGCCCAATTTTATTCCTTAAACTGCATGCTATCTGTGGTATTATTACTACTATTAAGCATTTACTGAATGCCAACAACATCAATACTCAGAGCACCTCATCAGTACTGATGGAACATTTTGTCATAGAAAATAACCCCTGCTTAATGCAGGTATATACAGTGTTTTTCTTGACAAAAAAAAAAAGAAAAAGATGATGTAAGAAGATCTGTCATAGCATACTTGTATGCGTGTTGCTAATGAATGTTTTATAGGATAAAAGTGACAAAAAATGTAACACCAGCAATAAACATTCAATGGCTGCATCTTTCATATTTTCTCTTCTCAGTATCTCTCAGTTCCTTCAGTCAGTGTGGGCACAGATGCTCCCTCTCTCTCTTTCCTCTCCACCATCATCTTTCATGTATTATTTCTGACTTGCTTCAAAGGAACTCCTAAACCTTTATCTTGCCTACATTTACCTTTTTCATGCTCTTCTTTTAGGTCATAAATTTGTCAATACAAAATGAAAAAAAAATGCGATCAATATGGGGTTATCTGTCCTGCAGGTGTATGTTTATTATCCTATTCCAAATTTTTGACCACCCTATCGAGTATGCAGTAGTAAACATCGCTGAAAATAGCACAGTATTTATATCATTTGCTTTTATAGATGTATATTCTTATACTATTGTTCTTTCCTTTATGTAAAGCTATGAATATAGCACACAGTTACATCAGTACAAAGAATATTAGCTTATAATTTTAGAGTCAAAATGACAAATTTATTACTTAAGTGGTGGTTGGTTGCACACATTAGAAACAAAGAATTGGTTTTTGGCTCTATTCGACAACTTACTGCATGCCATCATAATCAAATAGTGATCAAACTGTGTGCTGCTGCCTTTCTTCAAACACACATTGCCAGAATTATTTTTTACATCAGTTTCCTTTAACGGAACAATCCTAGTAGTGTTCAAAATTTACTTTCATTTTTCCCTTTTGACCTTGAAGCTACGTTTTAAGATCTTCATTTGTATGACCCCTATCAATCCTTTCGTCAGTGACAGACTCGTCACAGAATTCACCATAGTTGATCTCTTTCCTCTAAGGACACAGCTGTTCACTTCTTACAATCTTTTGCCCTAAGCACTAACAACTAGAAAACTTGCTTGTAATATTGTTAGAAATCTTGATACAGCTGGTGACTCCTTTTCAACAATGAAGGTTACTATGAGCCCCACAGTACCACTTAGGATGAAAAGTTCTACAGTACTTCAGGCTCCATATGGTAGCCCTTTAACCTTTATCCTGGGCCCAGTGATGGCCCTCAAGCATATGCCTACTACCAAGTGTAGTACATGTATATTCTTGGGTATGTTTATCTCTTCGTCTTGCTCTCTCAGTCTGTCTCAACTATACAAAGGCATAAAATTTTTTTAAAAAATTAAATTTTTTAAAAAAATTTAATTGACAGTGTTATGTTGAAAAAAAAGTCTAATACTTTTGTAACTACTTAGTTGCACAGAGTTTAAACTCTTAGAAGAACAGCATTTATTTTACGCTTCAGCCTATCCTGTTTCACGCTGGAAATCCACAGCATTTTAGCAAATCCCAATTCTCTTGTAACACTAAGGAATTTGTTTGCTGTAGCATTCAGCATAAACTTATTAACTTGCAAGAAAATGAGTGAATGGCAATTGAAAACATAATTGTACAATTAAAGTTTTAACAAGTTTTTAACATTGCACAATAAAAGATGTTTGTTTTATAAAGCATTAACGAAAGTTAATGACCATAACACCTAGCTTCATCTTATATTTTAATGGGTCAATTTTTATTTTTTAATAATTTACCTACATTGAAAAAGCAATTGATTCATTTTTACATGTTTACCATCTTCTATTTTTCAGTTCATAATTCATCAAAATTATAACATTTTTAATTTCTTAGAAAAATATAGTTTATTCCCAGCTGAATTTTTTAATGTCAGTAGCAGAATCATACAGCTGGTTGGAATGAACTTTATTTTATATTTATTTGCAAAGTATTAAAACTACTAAACTCATTTTCACTGAAAGAGCTAAAAGACACTAGCTTGCTTTGTTTTGTTATGTATCATGTTTAATAGAATTGAAAAATGACATATTTTTCATATAAACATATCTGAAGTTGAAATAAAAGTTATTGAAAAATTGCTTTAAAGTTCACATTCACAAAAATAAATATAACAGACCGCATAAATGAATCTTGTTTTTTATTCATCAGACAGGTTGGGGTCAGAAATATTAGTGCTTATTCATAATTATGCATTCCACTTTTAGATAATTCCTAAATATTAATTACCTTACAAATGAAGTCAATCTAGATTCTGTTTATACATATATATAAAACCAAAGTATATTAATTTTATTTTAACTTTCAATGTTCATATTGAGGAAAAGACTGACAATAATTTGTTACTCTTAAAGCATTTGGAAAAAAACACAAACTAATTGAAATTTCTACCTATGTATGTAGTGGAAAGAGGAAAACTAGTGGATGAGAAAAATAAATAGGTTTTAATGTTGTAATAGCAAATGATGCTTCAACAAAACTATTTAATTTTTCCATTAGAAAATTTTAATTTATGTTTCTTCCTTTCACATTCTTATATAAAATAATTTTATGTGTTCTACTGTGTACGAAAAAAATACAAAGCATGTTTAAGATAGGTGTTGTTTGCAGTGTATATATAAACACTTAAGTACTTTGACACAGCATGACCTGGCCAACTAGTTCATCCTACTGGTAGTAGGAAACTAAGGAATGTGTTAGAGCCAAGTTAATTCAAACGCTGCAAAGTTAACATCAGATTATGAAAATACTTGCCACTGTGATTAACAGCAAAAATTGCTGGAGGAAAGTCTCCCTACTCTGAAGGATATTGGCAGAATTATTTACTGCTATAGATCTTATTTAAGGTGTTCCCTCTTTTTAGAGGTAAAATTTACAATCAATTACTAGCTATTTGGTATAGAGGTTTTATGTTTTCCCATCTAACATTTGATGATACCACAGACTGTTCTGGTTTTTGGAATCTAATGGAGCCTTGCTTTACATTATTTCATAGAAAAATTTGGAACAACAAACAATATTCATGAAATAACACTTCCATTATATATGTTGACTTTATATATGCTGCTTGTTGGTTTGTTTTGCTTTATTTTGTTTTGTTCACATTTTTTTCTGGCTGTAATTTAAAAATATTTGACATGTCAGAGATTTTGAAATTATAGATCTCACTGAGTGACATTCTGAAATATGAATGATATAATAACCATTTGAATTATTAAGATGCTGATGTCACAATATCATTTTGGCATTTGCCTCCAATTTAAATATATGTGCATATATGTGTGTCTATATTTGTGTATATACACATGCACATGTATATGCGCTTATATACATGTATATACATATATAATTATATATGTGTAACATATGTAACTATATCTTTTAAATACTAAAGGATAAGTCAGGCTGATAAATGCCACGAAGAATTTGAAGACAAGGGAATTTTGCACTGTTGCATATAATACGTGGCACCTAATTAAAATATGTAGAAACATGGAACTTCATTTATAATTAGAGAAATAATATGTGACATGTTTGAATAATTTAGAAAGTTCATAAACATATGAATAAAAAATTTAAATAGCCAATAGTGCCAAACCAAAACAAAAAAACATTATTTTCAGCTTCTTGGTATCTTGTTTTAGAGGCTGTTCTAAAACTACTAGAAGTATTTTTGAAAATTTGAGGAACTATGAAACAGAATTTTGTCTTCTGATTTTAACTTAAAGTTCTTTAAGTTATATTCATGAGAATATTTCTACATATTTCAGTGTATTTCAAAAACATTTTATTTTTTATATTGCGGCATAAATATTTCTAAGAAAACGGTTTTTCTGTATCTTATTATTTTCTTTGGATAAATTCTTAAAAGTAGATTTATCCAATTATAGGGACAGAAGGTATATGTTAAAGTTCTTAATGCATATTGCTAAATTTCCTCTTAGAAAAAAGTAACATCCCTGGCCAAAAGTAAAAAGAGAGCCTGTTTCCTTGAGTGCTTGGCTATTTCATACGCAGAAAATAATTACCTTATGTTTTATTTCGCACTTAATGTTTTCTAGTGACAATGAATATTAATATATATGTTATTTCCAGTTATTTTTATTTTTGTTATGTATTTGTTAACTACGGTATATCTGGTTTTAGAGATTTCTATCCAACTTGTAAAAACTTATTTTGTGTTATATTAAGGCATTGACCTCACTGAATATTATTCCTTTCATTATCTTTTACACTAGGAAAAGTATAAATTCTTACTTCAAGAAAAAAATTTAGCTGGGTGTGGTGGCTCACACCTGTAATCCCAGCACTTTGGGAGGCCAAGGTGGGCGGATCACTTGAGCTCAGGAGTTCAAGACCAGCCTGGGCAACATAGTGAGACCTCATCTCTGCAAAATATAAAAAATTAGCTGGGCTTGGTAGTGTACGCCTGTAGTCCCAGCTACTTTGGAGGCTGAGGGTGACTACCACAGGAGCCCAGGAGATGGAGGCTGTAGTGAGCTATAATTGTGCCACTGCACTCATGAGAGCCTGTCTCTAAACAAAAAAATAAAAAGAGAGAAAAAGAAAGTAAAAATTTATGTGAATAAATAAATAAATACATTTCAATAGTTTTCTTTCATATTTTTAAGACATCTGCGTTATAGTGGGAAAAATCAAATAGTGGTTTTCCTCTGTTCTCACATTGCTACAACAATCAAACCAGAAGACTACTATTACCAGGCCGGGCATGGTGGCTTACACCTGTAATCCCAACAGTTTGGGAGGCTGAGGCAGGTGAATCACCTGAGGTCAGGAGTTCAAGACCAGCTTGGCCAACATGGTGAAAACCCATCTCTACTAAAAATACAAAAATTAGCTGGGCGTGGTGGTATGTGCCCATGATCCCAGCTACTCAGGAGGCTGAGGCAGGAGAATCGCTTGAACCTGGGAGGCAGAGGCTGCAGTGAGCCGAGATTGTCACCCAGGCTGGAGTGCAATGGTGCAAAGCGAGAGCTTGTCTCAAAAAATAAAAAAATAAAAAAAAAAAAGACTACTACTGTGAAATGTTTAGGGGTTTCTGCCTGCACAGGGAGTAATCATTCAATTCTGCAGCAGACACCAATGTCCTTCAATTCAATACAATTCTGATGCTGTCTACCAGGAGATAGGCTCACAAACTACACATTGAAGGCTCAGTCCCACAAGAAGGCCCCCTCTTTCCCACCAGTCACATGTCTGAGCCTCTGGAACATTTCATCAACCAATTTCAAGTTCATATTCCTTTAACCTTCTCATTGGGATTTGATTAATTTGCTAGAGTGGTTCACAGAACACAGAGGAACATGTTTACCAATTTATTCCAAGGGATATTTTAAAGGATATAGAAAACCAGCCATACCTCACGCGAAGCTCAGGAGCTTCTGTCCATGTGAAGTGTGATTGAGTTCTAGTTCACTATCCTGTCCTGTCAGCCTCCATGTGTTGAGCTCTCAAGAAGCTCTCTGAACCCTGTCCTTTTGGGCTTTTACGGAGGCCTCATTACATAGGCATAATTGACTAAACTATTGGCCATTGGTGATCAACTTAACCTTCAACCTCTCTCCCCTCCTGGGAGCTTGAGGGGTGGAGCTGAAAGTCCCACCTGCCTTTGTCTTTCTGGTGACCAATCCCATCCTGAAGCTACCTAGCCTCTGCCAGCCATCAGTCAATCATAACTTTTGAGATTCTAAGGATTTTAAGAGTTTCATGTGGGAGGGAAGCAGGAGGTAAGTGTTGAAGCCTAGTATCTATTTTATAATATCACAGATGGATTTATAGAGCATTATGTTGCATTATCTTTTTGTGTTATAGGCCAGATTTTTTTCAGATGGTCAATGGGACATTTTTTGAAAATATCATTAGTATCAAATTTTCTGTTTTTAAATGTTATAATTATAAGTTGTTTATGAGGTTGTCAAAATTTAAAATTGCATTGTTAATTTTATTGAAATTTGCTTTTTCATATGTAGTGTGGTTAGCATCATTGATAAAACAAAATTAAAATTTTAATATTTTCATTGTTCATATATAAATTATAAAATGTAATAATATCACTCTAAAATATTTTTCTGAAGAAAAAGTCTTTAAAAATTTTTTTTAAGCTGTGTTTCTCTCTCATATCCCAAAAGACTACCTTTCTGGAGTATATTTGAAAATGAATACAAGACAACAGCTCACAATTATTAGGCACCACCAGTAGTTACCGTACTTTTCTGGCACTGTACTGTAAACAATACTATGATGAAATTCTGTCTACTTTCATTTAGGCAGCTCTAAAGAGATTACTTGTGAACCAATGACAGCAAAATTTAATTAGCTCACAATACTTTTTGTTTTTTTTTTGTTTTTTTTTTAAAGAGACAGGGTGTCTGTCACCCAAGCTTCAAAGCAGTGGTGAGATTGTAGATTACTGCAGCCACAAACTCCTAGACTCAGTGAATCCTCCATAACCTCCCAAGTAGCTGGAACTACAGGTGTGTGCCACCACACCAAGCTAACTATTTTTTGTAGAGACCAGATCTTGTTTTGTTGCCCAGACTGGTCACAAACTTCTGGCCTCAAAGGATCCTCCCACCTTGACCTCCCAAAGTGCTAGGATTACAGGTGTGAGCCACTGTTCCCAGCAATGTTTTATGTTGGATGAATAAAATGCATTTACTTCCATGTTTAAAGTACAGAAAATTATAGAAGGTATATTCAGAAATTTATCTTGCTAGCTTGTACAAACATGATTGCTGTTTCTGAATGAGCCTGGACCCTTTTGCTGCTCAGCCCAGGCCACTTTGACAAGAACAGAGCATACAAGAGGTCATTGACATTTCCCCTTTCTTCTGGCCTCTTCTATTGCTTTGGCCCCCATCGCCTACACACCACCTTTTGCTTTTTCTCCTCGTTCTGACCCTTCTCCAAACCCTCTTCCTTTCTCTCCACCAGTCTTTCCCACACGCAGTCCAGGTCAACACCCACTCATAATGTCTTATAACATAGTTGCAGGCAATGACCAGCCTTGCTGGCTTTATGGTTTTAAGTCTTAATCAAGATTAAGTTGCTCTATTTAGTTAAAGACTTTCCTAACTTTCAAAAGTAAAGACAAAATTTCACTGAAAATTTAGTATAGCCGTTGAGACATTTAGTCCTGAAGTATCCTCTTGGAGCCAGAGGATGCTCAAACTTGCTTGGAAAAATGAGAGTGAATTGGTTACCAAAATGGTATCAAAATTTAGGTATGATTTGAAATTTGGTCAAGGATGCATATGAAAAGAGTACAGAAATAGAACAAGACCTCTTAGAAGTTGTCACAGAGGTATTTCCTGTAAAAATTGATTGGCCAATAATCCAGCCTATAAGCAAGGGGGAAAAGATTGCACCCGGTATTAGGGACTATCTAACACTTTCAGAAAATATTCTTGTTCCAATTAGGAAGATGTTACCACTGTCCTATTCACCTTTGTTGTTCATTATCTTAAATCTGAGGTGGAGGATTTAGTAAGAAATACAAAAGTAGGATGGTAGACTTCCCCTTCTCTAATATACAAAAACTACTTTAGCGTCTTGAAGAATAACCCTTCCGATTAAGCATTAGATAAACCAAAGAACAAGGACATCTCTAAGACTACTCTTGAAAAGCAAAACAAAACAACAAAAAAACACATACCTGTCAATATGAATAGTGCAAAAGACATTGAAAGGGCAATTCCTCTGCCTTAGTTTGAAAAATAAAATCTAAAAAGACACACACACACACAAAAAACCTTTGTCTGACAAATGATACCTCTTCCTTGACCCAAATTTTCTTTTACAAAATAAGGAGAAATTACCGTACAGTGGTGGAAACAGAATGTTTTATTTCTAATTGATGCTGGGGTTACTAAACCCTGTCAGAAGCTATAGATAGGAGAGAAAATGCCAATGCCAATAGCAGTTCTCTTTTTGGGCCCTAATGGTTTTGGTCCTTTGGAAGCAACACAGATTCTCACTGGAATTGGTACAACAGGTAAACATGACAACTGTTTCAAAACCCACCTAAGTGTTTTGCTTCTTACAAACGAATACATTATAACTAAGTTTGACACACATACTAAAAGAATGCTTTAGCAAAATCAAGTAAGGAACAATGCTTTAGCAGATTCATATGCCAAATGAATTCCTGTAAAAAACATCCAGACTGGCTAACTAGTTCAAAAATCAAAACCAAAACTAATCCTGACTGTGGTCATCAAGTCTTGACTCAATGCTAGTTTTAGGCACTTCGTTATGGGGGGAAAAATACAACTTTGGTAAAAATCACATTCTTTGTTCCACCTAGTGGCAATAAGATAGTCTTCCCAAATAGGTTGAAATAAAGTCTATGAAAATTGGTATATGGTTTAATCCATTGTGTATAGAAAAACCTCATAAACATCCTAAATGGGTTTTGCTGGAAGAAAATTCAGTGAGATTGCACAGAATGTTTATCTTTTATCTTTCAAGCCCACAATCCCAAGAAAATTTTAAAATGAGAAAAACACATAAGTTAAAAAAAAAAATAGGCTCACTTGAAAATCTACAAATAATGCTTATTCCAGCCCTTCTCCTCATATGGTTAGGAATACATTCTTAATATTGTCTGCCCATTTTCTGGTTGACCAGAAGCCTTTCCTTGCTCCTTCTGTCCTTTGCTTAGAATCCCTAATAAAAAAACAACTGTTCTGACTAAAGCAAAGCAATATTAGACCTCACATTTCACACTTGGGGAAGACTCTCCTATAGGCCTAATAATAGGGGTGGCCATTTCACTGGAAGGGTAATTAAGGAATGCTATAGTCCAGAAGCATCACTGCCTTTACCATTCTCAGTCCTCAGATAAAACAGAATGAATGACTGACTCATCAAAACTGAAGGTGTCAAAATTATCTGAGAAACTTTAGTTACAATCATGGCCAAAGGCTTTTTAAGATGGAGTTTCACTCTTTTTGCCTAGGCTGGAGTACAATGGTGCAATCTCAGCTCACCGCAACCTCCACCTCCGGGTTCAAGTGATTCTCCTGCCTCAGCCTCCCGAGTAGCTGGCATTATAGGCATGCGCCACCACCCTGGCTAATTTTGTATTTTCAGTAGAGACGAGGTTTCTCCATGTTGGTCAGGCTGGTCTTGAACTCCCGACCTCAGGTGATCCACCAGCCTCAGCCTCCCAAAGTGCTGGGATTACAGGCTTGAGTCACTGTGCCCAGCCCAAAGGCTTTCCTATTAGCTTTCATAGACACTGGGTCAACTCCAATAGGAATTCATAAACCATATCCACATGAACTGAGTTCCAGATGGCCCATGTGTCTGGGGACCTAACTCCTCTTCTTGATGTTGCTGTTTAAGAGACTGATATGACCAAACATGGTAGAAATTTAATGTGTTTTACCCACACTTACCATTAATAGGTTCAGGTGGCTTTTCCAAAGTATAAACTACATATGGCTTGGTTTTCTTGAAGTATCCTCATCCATAAAATGAAGGAAATTCCTCTGCAGCCAGGAGACCTGATGACGGAAAATGATACCAATATAAAATTACTTTTAGACCACACTGAACATTATAGCTCATTAGAACATCAAAGTTACAAGATTGGGTATTATTAACCACAAACACTGCAGGAAAAATTTGGGGAATTGACAAATGCCAACATGTACATATAATCTTTTATTCATTATTTTTTATCTCAAAAAATTAAAAAGGAATTTCAAGTTATGACTTTTTTCAGCCTTAAAAACAGGAAATTCTGACACATACTATAATATGGATGAATCTTGAGGACATTATGCTAAGTAAAATAAGTAAATCAGAGAAAGACAAATATTGTACGATGTCACTTAAATGAAGTATCTAAAGGAGTCAAATCTGTAGATACTAAAAGACTCAAGATTCATCCATGTTGTAGTATGTGTCAGAATTCCCTTCCTTTTTAAGGCTGAATACTATGCCATTTTACGTATATATCACATTTTGTTTAGCCATTTATCCATCAGTGGATGAGGATAGCCAGTGTCAACCAGAACTGTCCCAAGAAAACCAGGCCCTATGTCTACATACTGAAAAAATCCTGGTATCTTTAGTACTTAATATAATGCCTGATCCATAATAATCATCCATTTGTTGAATACATTGATAAGAAAATGACTCAATGAAAGCTCTTTTTCACTATTCTCTTTTTCATTATCATTTTTCTCCTAGATGCTGGAGACATCAAACTAATAATTATCTCAAACTTAACCTTCTAAATGTCCTTCCCTTTTGCTCTCCTTCCCTATGCTCACTAGAGCTCAGTTTGGACTTCTATTACCTCTCAAATGGACTGGCTGAATATAGACCAGCTCTTCCTGCCTCCAATGCCTCCTGTCCATAAAACATCATTGACGTCTTTTGCCACCGTGATTTTTCCTGAAACAGAAATCTCATCAGAGCCTCTCCCTCCTAAGTACTCTTCAAGTCACAATTCCTAAGAGTTGAAGATGAGCTTTATTCTAAAACAAAAACCTTTGCATTGTCTTCTGTCAGCTAAGCTCTTCAGCATGCCATCTCCTACCATCCGTTCCATGTATAATATTTCTTGATCATACCCAAATTATGCCCCATTACCAAAATGTATAATAACACTCTCTTTGACACTTCCCTGCCTTTAAACTGCTATCTTTTTGTCTGGAATGCCATTCTCTCAACTGTTCCACCTCCCCTCCTTCTTTCCACTCCCCAACCCTGGCCCCTTCTTCCAGACTCACCTTGGTCCAAATCACCTCAACTTCCATTTCAATCCTACAGTCCTAAGACAAATGAGTTAGAGGTAAGGCTAGAAATGTGGCAATGATTTAGTAGACTATTAATACTTAACTCTGGATTTCAGTGAAATTTAAGGCTAGAAAGACCCCTTCTAGGTCATCAGAGCCATTTCTCTTCTTCATCAACGACTGCACCTTTGCAGCTAACTAAAATAAATACATAAATAAATTATACAACTTCAAGGAGCACACACGTTTTGTAGACCACTCAGGAGACTTTAATGATGTGTAACAAACCTGCTTGTTAAATTATTGTTTAAATTCCATAAATTCTCTATTCTGAGATTTAAATTTATTTCCTTCTTTTAATTCACGAAGAAGCATGAGATGAGATCGTATATTTTTAACTGGAAGATTTAAATAACCTCTAAGTTCTTGCCTCCAAATTGAATAATTCCAGATCTTTTCACCTTTTCTTGTAGGTCTTACTTTACAACCAATTCATTATCTTTGTGGCTGTCCTCTGAACCCTCTTCAAGTTTTCACATTCCTCTTAAGATTAGGAGTCTTTGCCATGCTGCAGAATTCCAGGAAGGGTTTGACAAGTTGTCTGTTCATTAAGAAGATTACCTCATAGTTCGTACACATTATGTTCTTCGTTTTATACCCCAGACTTAACTTCACCTTTCAAACCATGATGCCTACACTGCCAATCCACTGCACTTTGGTTTCCTTTTTGTACGCTGATTTTTTCTCCATTGCTTCCAAATATAATCAGTTAATGCCTCCTCCTTCTTTCACTTCCATCATCTTCAACTGTTCTAATTTCACTTTATCCTGATGAAGCTGTAATCTGTTTATACCTGACTGCCCCTCATATTTACTGAAGTAATATTGAATTGGAAATTTGTCTTCCAAAGCTGCCATTTGCAAATTGAGATAGTTACTCTTTAATATAACAACAATAATTATTATGCCAAATATTCTGAAGAGAT
The DNA here is from genome assembly GCF_000001405.40 of Homo sapiens. Lineage (NCBI taxonomy): Eukaryota > Metazoa > Chordata > Mammalia > Primates > Hominidae > Homo > Homo sapiens. Next base: position 51,908,900 of record NC_000005.10, on the reverse strand, counting down.
TATCACTATTAAGAGTAATATTAATAGTAGTGGTAATAAACATGCAACTATGGTGTTTATATTAACTCATTTATCTTTGCAACTACACTGTGAATTACTCATTTGCATCACAAGGTTACAAAAAGGGGAACTGAGGTACTGAGACCTAAGTAATTTACCCATTGTTTTGTATAAAAGTGAATTCAGGAATGATTCAAGCATGTTTTATGACTTACCCCAGAATCTATATTCCAGCACAGACATTGAGAAAACCAAAATTTACTTAGATCAATGTTTTGGGGAAAAATATACTTTTCTGGACCTTTAGAATCTTAAAAATCCAGGGAAGAAATGAATTTGGATCTCTTGCTGCCCTGGGAAAAAAAAACTACAACTAAATAGAGAGATAAGTGAGGGGAGAGCCAACAGACTGAACACTTCTGTCTGCAAAAGGAATTACTAAATTGCTAGAGGAAAGCTCTGCTCCAGACCTTATTAGCAGAAGGAAGCAAAAGTGATGCCTTACTTGATAAGATAAGCAGAAGCTTACAAGGATAAGCTGATAACCAAGAGAGCTTTGAAATTCTCTCAAGCTTCTACTTGCCTTTTTTTTTTTGAGGCTAAAAATTACATTAAAGTTGCATTAAAATAAGTATTTTATAAAGTTTGCTAGTGAATTACAAATGTAATTTATTTTTTTCTTCAATGATATTTCTATTAAAGTTAATATACAGATGGTAACTTATTTGATTTGATTTTTTAAGTTATATTTTATATAAAAATTTAATAGAACAATAATATAATCTCTGCAATATTAATGGGATAACCTAGGAGTGAATATAAATGTTGGAAGAATGTTACCAAATCAGTCCTGAATTTCCCTTGTTGCACAGCAGAAAATGCATGCTTAGACTTTCAGTACAAAATAATAAGCCTTTAAATTCAACTGACTTCAAACAAATACTATCTGAATGGTTATTAAATGAAAGATAGTCTATTTAAATTTAGCGTTATTCAGAGGCAGAAATTATCAAAAGTTTTTTTAATTCTATCAGTTCGACATTTGATGGCAGGAACCACAAAGGGAATGAAATGCTGCTCTTTTGTTCTGCTGATAAATACAAAATAATTAAGTGCACAACTTCAGAAGGTTTATAGATATAAAAATGACTCTAAGTGTACTGCAATTTTCTGATACATTCTTATTTTTTGAAAATAAATGCCACATTGAACATTTTAAAATTATCTAACATTTCTAGGCCTTTGGAAATCTTCAAATAGTAGGTATAATGACACTGTCATTTTGTCAACAAGTTCCCTCACCACTTAACTTTTCCTCTCTTTACTTCCTCTGTTTTTGGAACTTACATGTTATCAATTTCTCAGAACCTCATTGACCAAGTACAAATAATCAGGCCAACACCTAAGCACAATTTGTAAAATTGAAATCATATTTTTGAATAACTCAAGGTGGCTGTGTGTGGTCTGCATCATGAAAGTTTGTCTTGACACCTGGTGTCATGGGTCCTTAATTGTGTACAGCCTAATTCCTTCTGTATTTTTTTTTAAAGCTGGGGATTCACAATCTTAATTTTAGACTTATATATAGTAGATAGCAATTTTTGGTTATTTCTTAAAAGTATGTGTGACAGAAATTGCCCCATATTCTTGTTTATTAATAAAATAGCAAGAAAGTCTGAAACTGTTTCATTAATTTCCTTCTATTCCCAACGAATCTCTTTTTGGCCTAAAAAGTGGTGACTAAACCAGGTTAATTTATCTCATAATTTTAATTCTTTAGTTAAAAAAAAGATTTCTAAAGCTAATTTTTATTTGTTTGAATTTTAATACAAGAAGAAGAAAAATATTTTGCCTTATAGTTTTGTACTTTTATTGGCAGTGTTTTGTTTGGATCTTTTGTGTAAGTGGAAAGGATAATCATATTTTGCATATTGAAGTTTCAAAAAGATAATTTTTGTCTCGTCAAATTCTATGGAAAAACATTTTCACTGTTTTAGTAATTAAAGGAATATAAATTTAAACAATAAAAACATAATGGTTATTTCCTATTATATTTTAAAATATTTAAAACATAATACCCAGCATTAATGACAAAAATGAGCAATGCAATGGGTACAGGCTTTCCTTAGGGCAGCTTCAAGAGTCTGAAAATGCCTTTCCCTATTGTAGAATTTATCACAAAGAAATTATCATAGATGTTTCCAGTGATTTTTACACAAGTATGCTCCCCATATTACTATGAAAATTTTCAAAATATCAAAACAAGTTTTAGCGCACAAATTGGTTGGTTAAATGCTTTAACACCCAGGAACACAATGTCCTATGCATTTGTAAACCAGATATATGTGGAAATGTACCAAATTGAAAATAGTGATTAGTTATTTTATTAGTCCATTCTCATGATGCTAATAAAGACATACCCAAGCCTGGGTAATTTATAAAGGAAAGAGCTTTAATCGACTCACAGTTCCACAGGGCTGGGGAGGCCTCACAATCATGGCTGAAGACAAACCAGGAGCAAAGAGATGTCTTACGTGCCAGCAGGCAAGAGAGTGAGTGCAGGGGAACTCCTCTTTATGAAACCATCAGATCTCATGAGGCTTATTTACTTTCATGAGAACAGCACAGGAAAAACTTGCCCCATGATTCAATTACCTCCCACCTGGTCTCTCCCACATGTGGGGATCATTATAATTCAAGGTAAGAACTGGGTGTGGACACAGAGTCAAACCATATCAGTTATCTATGATTAGATATAGAAAATTTTTATTTTTTATATGACTTCCTTTAACTGATATTCAAATTTTTCCTAGAAAACTAAGTTTATTTTATAATTAGAAACTTTTTAAATTAAGGTATAATTAGCTAGCTAATTAAGAAAATTAGACCAAATGCAGGTACTTATATTTTTACTGCTTAAACTGAAGAAAATCATAGGCTGTTTTAAACATTAGTGTCATTTTTATTCTTCTAATTGTGAAGACATGTTATGAGTGGAAGAAAGAATCAAAATTTCAAATATTGATATTGGCAAATTGAAATGAAACACCTTTTCTCTCCTAATTGAATTCACTTCGCAGTCTTTAAAAGTATCTTTGCTGTCCCTTACATAAATATAGGCCCCTGGCTTTTTCTGCAGTTTATGTCCTTAGCTTTTGTCTTTCATTGTCCAAACCACTTTCAGTCTTTATTTTTTTTTTTCTATGTGAAAATTTGACTATGGCTAAACTCATAACTGACTCTCCATCACCTTCAAGGAAAAAAAAATAATTCAAATTCTTAACATGGCAGATTTGGCCCTATGTTTCTTCTCAACCTCATCTTATCAAATATTGCAATACCACATTGAAGAAATTTCCTCAAAAGGTCAAATAATTTCATACATTTTGGCTTTTGATGGGAAAGACCTTCTTGCTCTATCACTGGCCCATTTCACTTATATTTTTCTTTTAACTCTATTCTTATTTGTTAATTATTCTTTCAGGTGCTTACATCCTGAATAGTCCTTCCTATACGTGACAAATGTTTGCTCAATCCTTGATACTTTCTTCTCTTTATGGGCATTTTCCATATTCCAATAATTGTTTATATGTGTGTTTTTTTTTTCTTAAATAGATTCACTATGGCTTTTTACAATGAAGACTTTTTTCATTTTTGCATTTCCATCATTTTGCATGGTGTCTGTCATTGTTCTTGCACTTTGCGGCCACTATGGAGTACAATAAGGGTTACCTGAACACGAGTACTGCAAAACAATGACAGTCAAACTAATAACTGAGAAGGCTACTAAGTGAATACTAGGTGAAGAGCATAGACAGTATGGATACACTGGACAAAGAGAAGAGTCACATCCCTGGCAGGACAGAGCAGGAGGACAGCATGAGATTTTCATCACGTACACAGAATGGTGGGCAATTTAAAACTTATGAATTATTTCTGAAATTTTCCATTTACTGTGCTTGGACTATGGTTGACTATGGGTAACTGATACTGTGGAAAGTAAAACCCTGCAGAGTGAAAACGTGGATAAGGAAAGACAACTTTAATACTTTTTAGTATATTAAAAGTAAAGATTTTGTTAACAGTTTTCTAAATCTTACATCTGAAAATGTCAAATAACAAAATACAAATTTGTTAATAATCAGAAAATGTGCCTTTAAAGCTAGTACGAAAGAGAAAATGTGTTAAAGCTTACATAATTCAAGACGATAAGAGAAAAACTATAATTCTGTGTTTTTAAAACTCAAACCATGCAACTGATAAACTCCTCATATTACTTCCATTATGTACATTTAATTGTAAATTATATGGATAATACCACATATGTAGGATTATTAGAAGGGAAGACAATGTGCCCCAGTATCAAACTGTAGAAATTAATTTTATTCTCCAACCCAAAATCACTCAATAATTTTAATACAAATGCCCTATGACTTTCATATTATAGTCCACAATATGGAAATTCATATGCTCTAATAGTAAATAATACTTTAGTAAATGTCCATAAATCACTCTATTTTCTTCTTTGTAATTTGTATTTTTTATTTATTTAATTTCTTTAGAGATAGCGTATTGCTCTGTAACCCAGGCTGGAGTGCAGTGGCATGATCCCACCTCACTGCAGCCTCAACCTCTGGGGCTCAAGCAATCCTCCCACCTCAGCCTCCCCAGCAGCCGGGACCACAGATGCACACCACCACATGCAGTTAATTTTTTAATTTTTTGTAGAATGAGGTCTCACCATGTTACCCAGGCTAGTCTCAAACTCCCGGGCACTAGTGGTTCTCCTGCCTCGGCCTCCCAAGTGCTAGGATTATAGGTGTAATTTTTAAATAAGTGCCATGTACAATTTCACAGAGTGCCCTAGTTTTGTAACAGGCAGTTAGGCATGAGTGGGGCAGGAGAGGGCTCTCCCCCAACCCACTAGAAATGTCAGGTGATGATTCCAGAATTATTTCTTTGCCTCTCTTAAAAATGATAATTCACCTACCAGGGAGAAATCTCCTGATGGTCCACACCTGTTAACATTAAAAGTGTTAACTGAAGGCAGATCTCAGGGAGAAACAGTTTCTGGGCATGCTTGTTAAGAGACGAAAATGGTGAAGTATGATATTCCAGGTACACTCCACTGGAAAAAGGAAGAAAGCCTCAGATGGGCATATGTATAACTCCGTGAACACACTGTGTTTGCTCACTTTCCAAGGGTAAGGAGGGCTCTGCGCACGCGGGAAGCTCACTCTAAGCAAAGAATTATGGGAAAGAGGCAAGCTTATTAAGTCCTAGGATCAAGGTTAAAGGCTCTTTTTTTTTTTCTGTTATCTTTTGTCCTTTTTTTCTCTCTTGGACCTTCAGGCGTCTGCTTGGGTCTCTTTCAAGCGAATTTTCCTTTCCCTCCTGTTCTAAAGCCTTTTTAAATAAACTTCCACTCCTGCTCTAGAACTTGCCTCTCTTTTTCTGCTTTATGCCCTCAGTCAAGTTCTTTCTTCTGAGGAGGCAAGGACTGAAGTTGGGAGGGACACATACGGATACACTGTTGGTAACTTGGGATAACTCAGATCTCTGGTAACAGTTTCAAGGCATTGGTAGAATACTTTACATTCAGAAATCCAAATAATTTTTGTTTTAAGTCATCAAATTTGTGGCCCAGCATAATAAAAGATACGGTTGTTTCCTCCCTTTCAGTTTGAGAATTCCTACAGGAAACATTTGTGTTAAAGAAATATGATTATCAATGTTAATGATTACATAATTATTAGTTATTGTTTTTTCATTGTGGAAAATGAATTTCAACTCAGATTTACCAACAAATATTTACTTATTCTATTCTAATGGCATTTAGTTTAGTTTGTTTGTTTTTGGGGGTAGTGGTAACATGAAAAAACTAAAGGGCTTCTGTGATAGGATTTTAAAATATTCACATATATTTCTACTTCAAGCAATAATTACTTTCTCTGTTCACATCAAATACAGACTGGGTGAAACACAGTAAAGAGGACTTATTTCCTGTTAATAGATATTACTTGACATTTAGCTTTAATGCTGGAAAATAAAAGCAGTTTATAATGTCCAGAAGAGCTTTTTCTTTTTTGCTTACAGAGCACTTAAGTGTCATCTTAAGCCTGAGGCAGGTCTGTCTAGAATTGTGTTTACTGTATTCTTTTCAAATGCAGCACAGAATCTTATCACTTATCAGTGCATAAAGTCTAACAGATTGCAGACTCAAATTTCCCCTTCCAGGCAATGTTGGGTTTCACTATTGTTTGCCATGATAAAGGTTTTCATGAATTCTACAGCTTAGATTTCTGTCTTGTTTTCCTTAGCATAACCCTCTAGGCAACCAATCAGCATTTTTCACTGGCTAGAAATTGCTCAAAATGTTACTACAAAAGCTGTACTTAAAAATTCCACGTTTTGCTTTGACTCTTTCTTTCTTTTTAAAGTTATACTGGGTAGTTTCAATTAGATTGAAAAGAAGCAATTAAATATTTTCCACAGATGTTGCTACTGTAAATGAGGTTGCCTGAGTTTGGTGAAAGAAATTGTCCATAATTCACATTTGGATTGCCATTTAAAAAGTGTTGCAGGAGAAAACTATCTTGGCTAGGTGAAAAGTTGGCTATGCAGTATGCTAAGTTTGGCGTATTGTATGGCCTCTTTCAGATAATTTAGAAAATTGTACAAATGTATTAGCTAAAGACTTAGAGAGCCTTAGGGCTTGGGTGAATAATTATTCTTTTCACCATAGAATCGACAATTCCAATTTTTAGATGCCATCCGAATGGAATAAGCAATTTACATGGGCTGAATACTGCTAGTTGACTGAACTGTTATTTCCAGTCCATTCACATACTCCAGATTTTGCAAGCCCTGTGGATTTGGCCACCTGGTTATTTCTGTAATCTTTCTCCTCCACACTGGCCCGCTTCTAATACCTGAGATGAGGGCCTTCCAATTTCTTGCCAGGCAGTTAAATAGTCTTTTTTTCAACCTCCAAATCATCTTCACATTGCTGGAAATACATGCCTTATAAATCCCTAATTTGATCATATCATTTCCCTTTTAAAATCCTTTAATGACATGGTGCCTCCTACACAATAAAATCCAAACCTCTTAGGATGACACAACATGACTTTCATGATCTGACTCTGCCAATGTTTTAAATTTTACCACCCACAATGCCTTCTTAGGTCATCTCTTACCCCAAAACAAATATGCGATTCTCCAGTGTATTTACTTCTTTCTTCCTCATTCAAACTGTTTTGCCTTTGCATTTGCTATTGCATACATAGCCTGAAATGTTTTTTCCTTATTGACTGTCACCCGAATATCATCTTTATATTCATCCATTATGTTTCAGTTCAAATGCAATTGCCTATAGGAAGGCTTCACTAATATTATCTGAGAAGGTCAAGGGTATTTTTATTCTGTGTTTCTACAGCGACTGCTACACCCCTGGGTTTCAGAATGCATGTACCATATTGGTGGAATTATGATTCAACAAACATGCACACACAAACATGCATTGCACTAGATTGTAAACTTTTAAAGATTAATAATGCTTTGGCAGATAGAAAGAATTTAATGGATCTATTTTTTCATTAAATAGTGAGAGTAATTGTTCCACCATAAACAAAAATTAGGAAAATTTTGATGGCTTAAACTTCACACATCAGTGTACAATATCCTAGACATCTTCATTCATAATCATTCATTGAAGAACTATTTATTGAACACCCCAAAGCATAAATCCTTAAAACTATAAGAACACTGTGTTTCTCTGGGTATTTGTGTTTCTCTGGGTAATACAACTGGAGAATGAAATGAACTGTAAGATGCTATTCTACACAAAGACTAAGAATGTACCATTCTAAGAACCTTGTCAATGCCTGAGAAAACAATTCACAAAATACAATTTTTCTAAAAGAATCAATTTTTACGCCTGGCACGATGGCTCACACCTGTAATCCCAGGACTTTGGGAGGCCAAGGCGGGCAGATCATCTGAGGTCAGGAGTTTGAGACCAGCCTGGCCAACATGGTGAAACCCCATCTCTACTAAAAAAAACAAAAATTAGCCAGGTGTGGTGGCATGCACCTGTAATCCCAGCTACTCAGGAGGCTGAGGCAGGATAATCACTTGAACCCAAGAAGCGGAGGTTGCAGTGAGCTGAGATCGCGCCACTGCACTCCAGCCTGGGCAACAAAAGTGAAAATCCATCTCAAAAAAAAAAGAAGAATCCATTTCTAAATTATAATGCATATTTTGCAAAATTAATCATATCTCTTCATTTTATTAGTGATCTCATATAGATGTAATACATTCATTTTATAAAAAGGCAAATACCAAGTACATGTAGGAAATATGAAATCTTCAGGCTTATAATGAAGATAAGGGAATATGATTTAATTAGTATTTTTTAATCCCTCAATGGTGAAAGAGAAGAGACATTTTAATTTTATTTTAAGAATTACTATATAATTAAAATTGACTTTATTTTGGTGTACAACTTTATGAATTTTAACACATATGTAGATTCATGTAACTAACCCTACAATTAAAATACAGAAAAATACCATCACCCAAAAAACTCCCTTATTCTCTTCCTTTATAGTCACACTCTACCTCCACACATAAAGCCTGGAAACTGTTAATCTGTTATCTATCAATGTTGTTTTCCCTTTAAAGTATATCATATACATGTAATCATATGTATACCATTGACTCAAACAACAAGGGTTTGAAATGTGTGCGTCTACTTTTATGCATGTCTTTTTAAGTGAAATTACAACTGTAACAGAGTACCCCTAAGAAAAAGAGAATGTTACTATTATTATTATTTTCTCTTTACTTTTCTGTTTTCCCCTGCTGCCCACTTCCGACTTAGCCCTTTAGAAATGCAATTATAACCTTTTTACTCCCCTTCACCGACACTTTTACAGGGCACTGAAGAAAGTGGGTGGACCCCACCTGCTCATTTCTTCCCTTGCAGGCCATTCATGCCAGCCATCCCCCACCCCTACCTTTAAAAGCACCTGCTTTCTCCTCCAAAAGTGAAGTGGTACCCTTAGGTCTAGAAGCCTTTACTCCTTTTAACATGGACAAGAGGCAGAGAAATACTGGGTAAAAAAGGGCAGAGTCCCTGGCAGTGTTCCACCCTCAAGCCTGGGCCCACAACCCTAAATGAGAACTTCACATGTCTGTTTTCCCACCCGAATGTTGCCTTTTGCCCTGCCATGCCCTTCACCCTGTACCCTTCTCAGCACAGCAGAGAAGGAGAGAAGAGAAGCATCTGAACATCAAGAGGAGTTTGGCCCGGGATGATCAGAGAGGAGGTCAGCCAGGGACAGCCAAACTCCACGGGAAGATTATCTTCCCACTCCATCCTCTTTCCAGTTCCCCATCTCAGTAAAAGTCACTTCCATCACCCAATAAAATCCTCTGCATACACCACCCTTCAATCTGTTCATGTGACCTGATTCTTCCTGGTCACCAGACAAGAATTTGGGACGCACTGGGTGCGGGAACCCAAAAAGGCTGTCACACTGACTCTTCTCTGAGCTTTGTAACGCTTAAGCTATCCATGGGCAGCAAAGCTAAAAAAAACATTGTAACACACACCCTCTGGGGCTCCAGAGGTCATGGGCAACCCCTAGACACTGCTGCAAGCTGGTACAGGGTTCATTCCTGCTGGCACCCATAGGCACTTGCTGCAGCTCCTGTACCTGCTCACCTGTATGTTCCCCCACCCACAAAGGTTTTAAGCATACACACCTGTCGCAAGCCCCACGAAGGGGTCAAGGGAACTCTCCCATCTCACTTTCCCTAAGCCGGCTTTGGAATAAAATAACACATTCTTTATACCAGACCTCGCTCTCGTTAATTGGATTCTGCAAGCAGTGACCTACTGAACCTGTATTTCGGTTACACACCACGTGTGCTGGCCTCACTCACTTCCCCTTCCACCTTCTCCACCTCTTCCACCTCTGCCACTCCTGAGACAGCAAGACCAATCCCTCCTCTTCCTCCTCTTTCTCAGTCTACTCAACATGAAGTTGACAAAAATGATGACGTTTATGAGGATCCACTTCCACTTAATGTTAATAGTAAATATATTTTCTCTTCCTTATGATTTTCTCAGTAACATTTCTTTCTTTAGCTTACTTTGTTATGAAAATACAGTACATAATATCGATAACATATAAAATATGTGTTAATTGGCTGTTTATGTTATAGGTAAACCTTCCAGTCAACAGTAGACTATTAGAAGTTAAGTTCTGGGGAAGTCCAAAGTTATCCACTGATTTTTGACTTTGTGGAGGGTTGCACATTGTTCAAGGGTCAACTATATAAACTTTTGTTATTAGCTTATTTTACTCAGATTTGTTCAAATTGTTGCATGTATCAGTAGTTCTTTTTTTTTTGAAACGGAGTCTCACTCTGTCACCCAGGCTGGAGTGCAGTGGCACAATCTCCGCTCACTCGAACCTCTGCCTCCTGGTTTCAAGCAATTCTCCTGCCTCAGCCTCCTGAGTAGCTGGGATTACAGGCACCCACCACCACACCTGGCTAATTTTATTTTATTTATTTATTTTTTTTTTTAGTAGAGATGGGGTTTCACCATCTTGGCCAGGCTGGTCTCGAACTCCTGACCTCGTGATCCACCTGCCTTGGCCTCCCAAAGTGCTGGGATTACAGGCGTGACAGTAGTTCTTTTTAAAAAACTAATGAGTATTATTACATTGTATGGAAGAATCATAGTTTGCTTATTCATTCACCTATTGAAGAACATTTGGGTTGTTTCCAGTTTTTTATTATTATAGATAAAACTACTGTGAACATTTTTGTACAGATATTTGTGTGAACATGAGTGTTGTTTCTTCTGAGGTAAATACCCAGGAGTTAGAGTTCTAGCTCATATGGTAAGTGTATATTTAATGTTATCAGAAACAGCCAAACTATTTCCCAGAGTGGCTATAAAATTTCTCATTCTCATCTGCAATGTGTGAGACTTTCAATTGGGATTGTCAGTATTTTAAAATCTTAATCATCCCAGTAGTTGAGTCATAGTAACCTATGGTGGATTTAATGTACATTTCCTTATATTTCATTTTTCATTCTCTTGGGTTTTCATTTTTTTTCAGTTTTATGGGAACACAAGCCTTCAAAAAGCTCATAATTTGTTGGTATATCAGACAGAAAGTATTATTCATGCTATAAGTTGAATAAGACACAAAAAATATTTATGTGTTATAATAAAGGATTTAGGAAAGTCCATGCAAGTGAAGCTAGCATTTGGGCTGACCTATCTAAGAAATTGGCATTCCTGGTCCTCTTAAGTCTTATCACAGGTCACTTATGCAACTGCCTTCCTTGGCAGAGAAATAAGTTCCCTGGCTCTAGGACTAATAAATGACTATTATTTATCTACCAAATAATTATCTACCGAATGCATAACTATCTACTGCATGTATCATACTTCACATAAGAAGAAGTGCCCTGTTATGTGAAGGCCGTAGGCTTTGGAATTAGTCGTACCTGTGTTTGAACTTCCAACTTCTTTGCCCATTTACTAAAGCAACTCTGGCAAGCATTATGGGTTGAACTGTGGCCCCCATCCCCCATTCCTATGTTGACCTTCTAACTTCTAGTATCTCAGAATGTGACCTTATTTGAAGATAGGGTCTCCACAGGGGTAATCAAATTAAAATGAGGTCATTTGTTTGTCTAATATGACTGATGTCTTTATAAGAAGAGGAGGTTTGGACACAAACATGAACAGAGGGGAGATATGAGGACCCAGGGAAGAGATGGCTATTTACAAGACAAGGAGAAGGCCTAGAACACATCCTTCCTCACAGCCCTTGGAAGGAGCCAATCTTGCAGATACCTTGCATTACAGACTGAATGCTTGTGTCCTTCCAAACTTCAAATGTTGAAATATAACCACAAATTACATAGTATTTGGGGAAGTGGGACTTTTGGGAGGTAATTAGGTAATGAGGGTGGAACCCTCATGAATAGGACTAGCACCCTTATTAAAAGAAGACAGAGAGCTAGCTCATTTGGGCCATGTGAGGATATAAGGAGAAGTCAGCAGTTTGCAACCTGGAAGTGAGGTCTCACCAAAACCCAATCACGCTGGCACCTTCACATCAGATTTTCAGCTTCTGGAATGGGGATAAATCAATCCTATTGCTGAAAAGCCATCTGGTCTATGGCACTTTGTTATAGCAGCATGAACTAAGACGCCTTGATTTTGGGCTTCCAGCCTTCAGAACTGTGAGACAGTAAATTTCTGTTGTTTAATCCACCCAGTTTGTAGTGCTTTGTTACAGCAGCCCTAGAAAACTAATGCAGCAAGTTACTGACTTTTCCCTGTCAGTTTTCTCATCTATAAAAAGGGAATACTGACTCTTACCTCACCATGTTGCCAGAAAGCATGAAACAAGAATAGCGAAATTACCTAGAGCTCAGTGGTAATGAGGGCTTTACTCCTTTTATGGTATTCCCATGTACATTTGTTTTTGTGTTGTTAGAAAGTTTGTAATAAGCTAAAAAAGGCATTCCTTGATTTCCTTAGGTCTATGTATTTAAGAATTTCAAAGTGTTCATAAAAGTCTTCTGGCAAAAGTCATCCATATTATAGACTGAGAATCATGGCTAAATTTTTTGGTAATACACTTATGATTTCTGAAATCTTAGTTAAAAGAGGTTCAAACCAATGTTTTAATATGGTGACTTTAATATTTAATATGATAACCTTACCATACTTGTTGAACATCTTTTTAGCTTATTTTGCAAACCATGTGAGTGATTTGTCAGAAGAAAGGCTCAGTTTGCCCTACTCCAACACAAGAGAAAGAGGAAGTGTGAGCATGTGGACTCTGGTCAGATTCTCATTTCATCTAGCCATGCCTTTGGAAAAGATATCAAGTCAAAACTAAACAACATAAACAAATAGCAATATAATAGTTTTGACTTCCTATGTTTCAAATTCCTATTTTCACTAATTGTTACAATTCTTAGAAATTCAGGTTTTCTTTGAGAATGCATTGAAAACCTCTTCAAAGAACATAAAATTATACAGATATCCACTTTGGTTTTCATTCAAAGATCTACTGAACAGACTTTCTAGACGTTTAGAATTACCAAATAGCAGGAAAGAAACGTTCAACCGGAGACTAAAATTTAGAATGAAAACAGTATTTGATCTTCCTTGCATCTTACCACTCATTTCTTTCTTTCATTTGCTGTTTGAAAGCCCCATGTAATCCTATTTTATAGTAGATTCTTGCCTTACAGAGTACTTTCAGATGCTATTAAGAGTCAGAGGTTAAAAAGAAGTCTTAAATCATCAGACACATAAGCCTAGATTTCTGAGGTTGAACAAATATACAAATGTTTGCATGCTGTTCCAGGTCTGAATAATTATATAGTCTGTACCTCTAGGTTGATGTCATGAAAAAGACATTTTGTATCCCTACATTTTCCTCATATATATTAGAAGCATTATATAAACATTTATGCGGTACTGTATGTTAAATATTTCAAGAATAAATGATAGTCAATATAAACATTTTTTGCCACCAAACTATTTGAAAATAAATATTCCAATTATTTTATTTGTTTCATAAACGGAATTCTATTCACTTAATTTTTAGTAAACATTGTATACATATTACATATATGGCAATTACTGCTAAAATGTGTTTAATATAGAAAGTATACATGTGAAAATGTTTGTAAAACTATAAAAAGTAGGAAAATATGTAATTCGTTTAAAGAAAAAACATGTGTTTTGCTTTTGACAACCTTCTGTGTATCAAACGTTAAAATTGTTGAAACAATTGATTGCATTAGAACTTACTTCCAACCTGTGGTTTGCTCTCTTACCTTCTGCCAGGTGTTACTCCTGTGTCGCCTGTTCAGAAGGCCTTCCCTGATCACCACATTTTAGACTGGTCCCTCCTCACTGCTCCATCTTTAGACTGGGCTACCATTGATACAAACCACCTGAATGCAGTATTGTTGTTCTCCACACATAGTTTCTTTTAGATAGTACACCAGTAAGTACTGGTACTGAGAAATGAATTTAGTACTGACAAAATGAATTTGAACCTGTATTACTTAAAATCTTTATTTTAAAAACATTTCTTTAGGAAGCTTGATCTACATTCTGAAATATGTTTCATACACATTACAACAAATTACTAAAATCTATCTTTTCAAACTGAATAAAGCAAAGAGAGAATTTGTTTTTGTCTTCAAACATAGAGATCCAGCATTTATTAAATTAAATCCCACTGCTAAAATCTAGGGCATTTAAATCGTTATAAGAAAACTAGGATCAAAGTCACATCCTTAAATGCAATTTTAAAAAACAAGTAAAGAAAATGCTGAACATGGAATTGTACCCAAATTTCATATTGAATTTGAAATATAAAAAGGAAGTTTATGCATTTTGCTATATTACCTATAATTAGAACAATGTTGAAGAAACTCAACTAATGATTTATGTTAACAAATCTAAGGAATATACTGGCATTAATATACAGACTTTTAAATTATGGGTGGAATACATTCTTAAAGACTTGGATACAAATTAACTTTTGTGACGTGAGTATTGCTGGACCCCCATTTCAAAGCAGATTGCAGCATTAACACTGTTGAAAATTTTATCGTTAGTACTTCAAGGGCTGAAGGCACCACAGATGATCTTCCTTATGGATCAACTGTCTCATAAAATGTCTTCTGCAATAACATTTTTTATTTTGATTAATAACTTTGTGAGTTGATTCAATAAGATAACCATTACAGTTGACATAAAAATATTAAAAATTAATTATAATTTAATGTTGTTCCTTTAGGCTAGTAATAGGAAAGTTTTTACTCCAAGATCAAAGATTATCTATCTATCTATCTATCTATCTATCTATCTATCTATCTATCTATCTTTCTATCTATTTTTTTCTCACTCTATCACCCAGGCTGGAGTGCAGTGGCATGATCTCGGCTCACTGCAACCTCTGCCTCCTGGGTTCAAGTGATTCTCCTGCCTCAGCTTCCTGAGTTGCTGGAATTACAGGTGCACGCCACCATGCCCAGCTAATTTTTGTATTTTTAGTAGAGACGGGGTTTCACCATGTTGGCCAGGATGGTCTCGATATCCTGACCTTGTGATCCGCCCGCCTCAGCCTTCCAAAGTGCTGGGATTATAGGTGTGAGCCACCGCTCCTGGCCCAGCTTTTGGTCTTTAACATTTTCTAATTGGTTTTAATTTGTGTGGGACACTGGTATTAGCACACACTATTAGCACACACTAAATAATAATAATAATAAGCAAATAATAAAAGTTATGCTCTGATCTTGCTTCAACCTAGCATTACTTGATTTATCATCAACTGCCAGGCTGGAAATTGGAAAGTCATATCCTTATCCTCAAATTTAGTTATAGTAACTTAGTAAACTATTTTAGATGACAGATTTGCACAGAAATTATTTGTCTGCTAAAGTTACAAAACAATTTTACAGGCACACATCTTGTTAACTGTGAATCACTAACTATATGTACATATATGATGCTATGTCAACATCAAATAGCAAACCTTCATTATCTGAGTATGTTAATAAATATCTTAGCTTTTTGAGCTATCTTGGTCAGGAAGCTTAATATAATGGAATTAGCGCAGACTATGAAGTCAGACTTTAGTTTGAATTTTGACTTTGTTACTTCCTAGCTACCTCGCTTGGGCAAATTACTGTATCATTGAATTTCAGTTTCCACATTTTTAAAAAGGAGACCATAATAGCTATATTGCTAAGAAAATTTAAAGAATGAAGCATGTTTGGGAGAATACTAGGCATTTATTAGGACCCAATAATTAAGAGCTGTCATTATCGTAGACAAGCATTATGACATATTACACAATTGCTCTAGTAAAGTCACAGAATTATATAGATTTACTTCTTGTCAACAAATTACTCAATCTGTGGGTTTCATAAACTTCCCACTTAGAGCCTTTGTATCACACAAGACAAATACTATATTGAGTCATTGTTTTTTATGTTACTCTCTTTAAGTTGAAAGGCTTTAGGAACATAATAGTATGGTATATATATTTCTGACTGTGGCTGGAAGACATGGAATATTAATCAAGATTGTGAAAAAAATACCACAACCAGATGAAAATTCAGGAACAGTAACTGCTTAGCAAGGACCTTCCAGATTGCAAGCTTGTCCTGGTGGGCTAACCTTCAAAGCAGGGCAGGGACTTGTCCTCTCTTCACAGCAACCCCTATGGCTTCACAGAGTCCCTGACACCTAGTAAGTGCTCAATAAACATTCGTTGAATGAGTTAATTAAACATACTGTCTATTCTTTTTTTTTTTTGAGATGGAATCTTGCTCTGTTGCCAGGCTGGAGTGCAGTGGCATGATCTCAGCTCACTGCAGCCCCCATCTCCTGAGTTCAAGCGATTCTCTTACCTCAGCCTCCAGGGTAGCTGGGACTACAGGCACATGCCACCACGCCCGGCTAATTTTTGTATTTTTAATAGAGATGGGGTTTTACCATGTTGGTCAGTATGGTCTCAATCTCTTGACCTCGTGATCCGCCCACCTCGGCCTCCCAAAGTGCTGGGATTACAGGCATGAGCCACCACGCCCAGCCACATACTGTATATTCTAATAATGGTCCATAAGGTGGTGCCCAGGTGTCCCTTACATACACAAGAAAGAAAAAAGAAAGATTTGGTTTTTGCTGACACAACAAATTCAGGGTTAGGCCTGGGTTGTACATCTCCCAAGAAGATACAGATTGGTATGAATTAAGTCAAGGGCAGGGAGTTGTGGGGAGCTCACCACACCTCTGCCACCATCACCAGACAGAAATTGAAGCCTTCTCTTTCCTTTAGTTTTCTCTCACTCTCTGGACTTTTCCTTCTCATTTTATCTACCAAAGCCTCTTTTTCCATGCATTCTCACAAGTGCTGTAGCTCTTTTATCTCTTCCCTTTCCTGCTTTCTTTCTACACTTGACTTTTCATTTTCTCATCTCTTCTCTCTCCTCCAGCTTCTCCAGCTTCTTGGTTCATTCACACACTCACTGAGTGAACACACACTGACTCACCCATGCCTCACATAACATACTCCCCTTATACTTCCACCCACTCACTCACTTATTGGCTTGGCTTTTTTCTTTTAAGTCAACGATTAGAATGCTCCATACTCACTGATGAATAAGGTGAGTTTTTTTTAGTATTTGACTTATCTCAACTGTTTTTGTTTTTCTCTTTTTTTCCTAAGCATATGGGGCTGTTTCTTTATTATCTTCTTTTTCCCCTTCCCTCCTTTTTAGGAAATTATTTCAAAAAAAATATCTGCTGGTAAATTTGCGAATCATCAGGGAGAAGAGATGAAGTAGGTAGTATTGTCTTACGAGTGCCCCTACCTTTACAGATGATTGTCACTGAATGCAAAGCAGCCAACAGAGACAAGTGTACTCATTTAAAAATAGCTGATAAAATGTCCTTGTTACCTCTGTCTTTAATAATTTCAATTTTGAGTGCCTACTCTTCTTTATTTTTCCTACTTTTTTATTCTTTATGTTTTTGCTTCATTTTTAAAAATTTCATGAATATATAATAGTTGTGCCTATTTATGGGCTATATTTGATATCTTGATACATGTATACAATGTGCAATGACCAAATCAGGGTAATTGGGATATCCATCATCTCAAGCATTTATCACTTATTTGTGTTAGGAATATTCCAATTTCAGTCTTCTAACTTTTTTGAAATATATTATTTTTAACTATAGTTACCTAATGTGCTACAAAACATTAGATCTTATTCCATCTAACTGTATATTTGTGCCCATTAACCATCTACTCCTTATCCCCCTCCCCACTACCTTCCCCAGTCTCTGGTAACCATCATTCTACTCTCTATCTCCATGAGATCAATTTTTTTTTTTTTTAGCTCCCACATATGAGTGACCACATGTGATATTTGTCTTTCTGTGTCTGGCTTATTTCAGTTATACATGTTTTTTTCCTCTTCTTCACTCTGCTACTACTCCAAAATTTGAGCGTTGAGATCAGGTCTTTACATTTCTTAAGCATTCCAAAATAAAAGTGGTTTATAAGTTTTAGTCTGAGGCCAAGAATACTTCGTTATCAATGGCCGGGCTTGTGTAAAAATATTATTTCGTTCAAATGCTGATTCTGTGAGGCTGGAGAGAACCCAGGAATCTGCATTCTTCATAATTATCCAGTTGATTCTGGCATGCAGCCAAGTTCAGGAATCACTTTTAAGACGTCTGAATCTACCCAATCCTGGAGAGAGTGTGAAGTTAATAACATACTCCCAGAGAAAATAGGACCAGTATTTTTATTCTTCAGATAAGTAACCTAAAACTCAGAAGTGAAATGACTTGTTACTGACTAGAATAACTTCTTCATTATCTTAGAGAGGCAGGAAATGCCTCTCTTGTTTTTGCTGAAATTAACACCAGTATCTTTAATAGAAAAATGTTTCAAGATGTTTTATAGAATAAATTGAGTTTACATATTTTTCTTAGTAACATTAAAAATAATCTATTTTTTAATGTAGAATGAATGTTTTATATTATTAACCACAGAAATTACTGTTTGGCTTTTCTGTGAAGGAAAATAAGACTGATTTGTAAGTTATTTATATTTTAATTTTTATAATACATGTAATATGCTATTATCCAGGTTACCCAGATTGTGTCAGGGGAGATGATTTTCTGAAGATAATTAACAAATAAGGGTGAAAGTATCTTTTTATAAGATTACAACAAAATTCTTCTTTTGTAATTTGAAATGTGAGGTGTCCTCTTCTTGTATTTATCAAAGGTGGCTGCATAACACCCCGGCCCCTTTGTTTCCTTTTCTCTTGATTGCTCTGTGTTCTGCATGCCAGCTTCTATGATGATTAATCATCTCAGCCTATTAGAGTCAGGATGGATTTGGAAGTGTAAGATGGGATGACAGATAAGGAGACAAACATGTGGAAGGAAAAACAATTTCCTGGCTTAATAAAATTAAAAATACCCCACCTGCAAAACCTGACAGGTGTCTCTTGAGTTCTAAATAATGGCACGTTTCTAATATCACATTCAATGTGAAACAAACTTCTTACATTAATAATAAAAGATTAATATAAACTGGAAATAGATTGTGTTAGAATGAGTATATAATATATTAAAAGTATACACAAGAGTATCATATATAGGTATATTCTTATATATGTATATATATGAATATGAATATGTATATATAAAAGGATATGTGTTTGTGTATATAGTACACTCAGCCTGACAAGATTTATGCTTTAATCATCATAGGAAAAAAAAATTGATGGTCTTTCTATAATGTACAAAAACAATGTGAACATGCAGCTAAATTTTAAAATACAGTTCATTTATTCAAAGTTGCACTTAGGCCACAGTGATTAAATACAAACAAGTCCTCAGGGTGTAGGGGAGGGCATATAACTTAGTAAAGTCACTTAATTAGAAAATTGATTTACATCGTCCTCAGGTGGGTATAATATTCAGCAGTGACCCTTGATAGTGATCTAATGTTTGTGGAAGCAAAATCATAAAAATTTGCTTATACAGGGGACTGGAAAAAAGAGCTTTGAGTCTGCGAGTTAAATAAGAATGAGAATCTAATCTGGTGTAAGATAGTTATAGAGGGGGTTCTGTGGGAGATAGAACTGAGCACTAGGCTTAAAGGTGTTCAGGTTCATTTAAAATAAATTAGAAAAAATTAAAACCCACCCTAAGCTCGAACCAAAAATAATCATTGGGTCACTATTTCAAGATTTAGTTTCTTGTCTTTATTTCTCCTCTAACTACGTTGAGTTGTAACTTACTTACATAAAATTCACCCATTTTAAGTACACTTTGATGAGTTTTGTTCATCTTGTAACATTAGCTATCCACCACCACAACTGAAATATAGAACATCTTCCTCCAGAAAGTTCCCTCAAATTGCTTCCATTTTGAAAGTGAGCAAATCAAAATGCAGGGGTTAACTGTCAAAACAGACTTATGACAGAGTCTGGCTTAAAGTGTATTTAATTTATAATGTTGTATTTGAAGATCTGATATGCTCCAATCTTTTATTAAGAATAAAAAAAAAGGAGTTGAGAGAGAAAGAGACTGAGAGAGTCTCTCTACTTTCAAGGATAAACAGAAAAAGTGGTTAAACAACTGGTTAAAATAAGATGCAAAAGAAAATATCAGAACAAGGAATGCCAAAAAGGCAGACAATGAGACACATCCAACATCCTGAGAAAAAGGAGGAAGCCAGAGAAGACTTTATTTGGGAAGTGACCCTTGAGCTTGGTGACTCCCAAAATAGTGAGTAAACACTTTAAGGAGGATTCATTCATTCATTCATTCATTCATTCATTCATTCATTCAAGCAATATTTATTATAGGCTCAATATGCATCAAGTACTCTGATAGAATCTGAAGATTTAAGCATCAACCAAAACAAGGCACAGTCTCCTATGATTAGCAATTAGCAGGGGTTCAGATGTTGGTAGATTTAAGAATCCCCAAAGCAAATCCTAATCAAAAGTACATGGAAATATTAGAACACAGAATAAAGAAGGGTATGGATTCATGGCGGAGGAAGATTCCCATAAGGAAGTAACATTTATGTTGTAAGCTAAATTAGGAGTAAAATTTAATAAAACAAAAGGAGAAAAATATTATTTCCAGCAAAGGGAAAATATGGTGAATACTTGAAATAGAAGAGAATATTTAGCTGTAAGAAAACCAGTATCATTGGAGAACAGTGATCAACAAGAAAGCAAGCCGAATTGAAGCCAGAAAAAAAGACTGGGCATTCAGTTCGTTCAAGATCCTGCTCAATGCTTCTGAAACTTCAATGTCAATTCTGATTCAGTAGGCCTGTGCTAGGGCTCTACAACTGGCATTTCTAATTAGGCCTCAGATGATGTTGTTGCTGCCCCTTCTCGTATAGCACTTTAAGTAGCTCGGCTGTAAGCTGTCTTAAGCATTTGCAAATAAAAGTGGCTAAAGGATTGTACACAAAAATCATATTTGTGGTTTAGAAAGATCACCCTGGCTACAGTATAAAAATTTTTTCCTAAAACAGAGAAAAATCAAATTACTCAAATACAAAATAAATTATCCCTATTGTGGAACCCAAATGAAAAAATTAAATAAGCCTAAATAAAACTATTAACTTAGGAATCCTTAGGTCTTCCATATTGATTTCACAAAAGTGACCAAAGAAATAATGGATCAGTTCTAGGCAAAACAAAAAAACAAAACAAACAAATTAAAAAAGTATATATGTGTATATATATATGTAAAACAACAGTCATATGATTTTAATTAAATATATACATGCCCATATGGGATATTTTAAAATTGGGAGCCTCAACTTGATTTGTAACTATTGTTAGCGGAAAGAAGTGACTGAGAATACTGCCAAGATTGTTTATTTTTTTTAATTAAAGGATAAATAGTATATAAAGAGCTCTGACTAATTACTAAGAATTCAAAGATAAAAATCTTAAAGAGAAAAAAGAGGCAAAGGATTTGAATGGGTTAGAAAAACAGGAAAATATGAAAGACAAAAAGGCAGGTGGCTATTATTAATACATTCATGAACAGATATTTGATATAACTGATAATAAAATAGATAAACTTATTTTCATTTCATTTAATATATTTATAAATATTAAAATTATTGACATTAGCTAGAGTTGTGGATAGTTTGGGCAAATAGATATTCTATACCGTTTCTGGTATTCTAATACAGTATGTTTTGGGAGGATAACTCAACAATATCTTTCAAAATTGTAAATGTGCATGTTGTTTAATTTAGCAGTTCTACTTCTAGTAAATTGTTATAAATGGACACATTTACTGTAACATGCAAATAATTATCTTCAAGTTAGTTAATTAAAGGAGTTCAGAGCACACTGCCCCAAAATACACCACTTTGGCCTAAGAATAATTTTGAACTAAAGGCACTTTAAAAACAGCAGGTGAAGGAAGAGCTTCCTGACCTTTCTCCTGTTTCTTGAGAGAAGGAGATGAGACTTTCATGTGAAAGATGCCCTCTGTAATCCAAGTACTAACCAGGCCCAACTCTGCTTAGCTTCTGAGATCAGGCACAGCAACGCTGGTATGGTCACAGACAAGATGCCCTTTCTGTACCAGAAGGAAAGCAACATTCTTATCATCAAGGGCAGGAAGCTGAGACAGAGATAAGTTTGTATATACCTGGTTAAAAAAATTTGCATATATCTTTTCTTATAGCCTCCTGTGATGGTTAATATTGAGTGTCAACTTGATTGGATTGGAGGATGTGAAGCATTGGAAGATGTGAAGACTGGGTGTGTCTATGAGGGGGTTGCTAAAGGAGATTAAAATTTGAGTCAGTGGACTAGGAGAGGCAGACCCACCCTTAGTCTGGGTGGGCACCATCTAATCAGCTGCCAGCGTGGCTAGAATAAAGCAGGCAGAAGAACATGGAAGGACTAGACTTGCTGTGTATTCTGGTCTTTATCTTTCTCCCATGCTGGGTGCTTCCTGCCCTTGAACATCAGACTCCAAATTCTTCAGCTTTTGGACTCTTGGACTTACACCAGCTGTTTGCCAAGGCCTCTCAGGCCTTTGGCCACAGACTGAAGGCTGCACTGTCGGCTTCCCTACTTTTGAGGTTTTGGAACTAGGACTGATCCACCACCAGCTTCCTTACTCCTCAACTTGCAGACAGCCTATCGTGGGACTTTAACTTGTGATCATGCGAGTCAATTCTCCTTAATAAACTCCCTCTCACAGATACATATATCCTATTTGTTCTGTCCTCCTAGAGAACCCTGGCTAATATACTTCCCCACATAATTTTGTTGCTTTTTCATAACTTACTATTGTTTGTCCCCTTCAGTGTATAAGTGTTCAACTCTGTCTCTATGGATCGTCATTTCCTTATGAAGGCTCCCATGCCACATAAAAGTTGTATCAAATAAATATATGTTTTTCTTCTGCCAATCCATCTTATATCAATTTAATTCCCAGTCCTAGACAGAAAATGAATGCCAAAAAAGTGGAGGTAAAATTTTGCCTTACCTACATCATTATTACTTTCTTTTTTTTTTTTTTTTTTTTTTTTTGAGACAAAGTCTTGCTCTGTCACCCAGGCTGGAGTGTAGTAGCGCTATCTCGGCTCACTGAAACCTCCGTCTCCCGGGTTCAAGTGATTCTCCTGCCTCAGCCTCCCAAGTAGCTGGGACTACAGGCACGTGCCACTAGACCTGGCTAATTTTTTGTATTTTTAGTAGAGACAGGGTTTCACCGTGTTAGCCAGGATGGTCTCAATCTCTTGACCTCGTGATCTGCCCGCCTCAGCATCCCACCGTGCTGGGATTACAGGCGTGAGCCACCATGCCTGACCTACTTTCTTTATAATAACAAAAAATGAACCAAATACAAAAGCCCATCAGTAGAAGGATGGATAAATAAATATGGTATAACTATTCAGTACTATGCAGCATAAAAATAACAAAAACTAAGAGTGAAATTGGACTGTTCCTAACACAAAGAAATTATTAGTGCTTGAGATGATGGATATCCCAATTACTCTGATTGGGATAAGGGTACATGTGACATTTTGATACAAGAATACAATGTGTAATTGTGTACACTGTATGCTTGTGTCCAAATATCACGTGTTGCATAAATATGTACAACTATTATATATATAATAAATACATTAAAAAGGTAAATCTGAAAGCAAACTTCTTTTAGAAAGCTATATATACTAATATGAAATAATAATAATAGCTAATATTACTAAGCAGACATATGCTAGAAACTTTACATTACCTTAGGAAATTTCTCCTTATCATACCATTATAACGTGTGTAAACCGAAACACAAAGAGGTTGAGTAACTTACCTGAAATCACAAGGAGAACCCCAGATTTCAACCCAGCCCCTTATTTATATTAAATGACCAAAATTTTGTAATACTGTAAAGTTCTATAATAGTTCTGTATGTATACACACACATGCGCACACCCCCATATGTGCATATACATACATACAGAAACATATGTAATCATAAATTTGCATGAAATACTTAAGAATATATATTTTTATGTGCACCTAAAACACTGAGAGATAAATATTACATACTATCTTATAATACTTATCCGAGGAAAGTAGGGTTGGAAGTTATAGGACCCTCACTTGTTATTTTCTGCACCTCTATAATGTCTTTATAAACTTTTATTACAACTGTGCTCTACTTTTAGGTTGGAAATGCAAAAATAGACAAAAAGTAAAAGAACTTTTGGTATCTAATGAAGTTATTTATCAAATGGAGTTTGGAAAACCTTGATAGGATGTAACTGTTTTTCTTTAAAACAAATAAAATTTTAAAAATCTTCTCTGTAGGTCTCTCAAGAGAATCAGAAAATTATTGATCCGTTTTGGTTGTCACAAGTATATGCCTTCACTGCTGCTCCTAAACTGCGTTTGCAGTGGTTTACACAGATTAAGATGGTGAGATGAACTGTGAAGGCAATCCTGGGTTCATTCATTCTATCACTGTGGATACAGCCACACTACCTCATATCACAGCAACAGGAAAAAATATTCACGGCCTACCAGCCAATAAATTAAATTGTTATAATAAATTAAATTACAACTAAGCTTCACATTGATGGATAATACAAAATTAAAATTATGTTCACTCAATTCAATGTTACCTAGAAAATTAACTACTGAAAAAGATGAGATTATAAACTTGGAAAACATTCACTACATTTTGACTTAAAGTCTTTAACTCCTTTTTTTGTAAAGCCATCTATCTATATGAATGCTTTGCATGAAAAAGGAAACTAATATTTGTGGAACAAACATGTATCATATGTTTTATATCTGTGAAATAATTTGATCCTTTACAACAATGCTATATGGTAGAAATTATTTTCTATACCTTCTCTACCCTAGCTCACCGACTCGTGGGGAATGTTAAGAAAGATTATGTAACTTCTCCAAGGCCACAGTGTCATGAAAGGTAACAGTGGTGTTTAAATAAAGGTGTGTTTGGCTGCCCACTAAACTCTTATCTTATATGTTTCTCTATGGATACATTATTTTTAAAATTTTTAATCCAATTCTATTTAACTCATGCTTTGTGTAAAATATGACT
Organism: Homo sapiens; assembly: GCF_000001405.40. Lineage (NCBI taxonomy): Eukaryota > Metazoa > Chordata > Mammalia > Primates > Hominidae > Homo > Homo sapiens. The sequence continues at coordinate 51,883,666 of NC_000005.10, read as the reverse complement.
TTTGGTTCAAAAAGCTACTGAAGAATTCACTCTTCATAATTTAGTGGAGTAATTCGTGTGAAAGTTTTTATTTAAGAATACATAAGAGCGAAATTTACTTTTTTGAATCAAACTTGCTATACATATTTTAGTGTCTGGTTTTAATGTTACTATGAAAATCAATATTTCTCTTGTCATAATTTTCCATGAAAATCACATGAAATAATTATATATCTTCAGCGCTAATGGGTTATCTTATTTTGCTATAGTTCTAAAATCTGAAATCTCCTACAATGAGTAGTATTTATTTCTACTTTAAAATGTGTCTTGTAAAATTAAACAGTATAGATGTTTTGATTTTGCATTTTAGTTGTAAATACAAATTTTCCTTTTTATAAAAATCTATAAACCTATTTGTGTTTCACAGTATGATACTAGCATTTAAGTTTAAATTTGAGTTTATTATTGATAACTATGTTTTTAAATTAAAAGCTGCTTTTAAAACTGTATCTTCAATTTTAGTATACAGATATTTTAACTGATAAATCAATTCTTGCAATTTCAATGGTTTTTTAAACCATCCAATAAATTACTCACTTTTAATACTTTACTTCCTAGATTAAGATATAAACAAATCCTGGATCATGAAAAGATTTTTATTTGATCAGATATGCTGTTTGAGTTTAGTATAGCCTTTTATCATTAGTGAAGACTACATCTGTTTGTGCAAAACAGCATCTCTGAGGAGTGAAGTTCTTTGTTCTAGTGAAGAATAGTCCTGATTACTGGCAATGGCAGTACCTTCCTGCCCTATTATTGACCTCGACTTTGACCTGGCTGGACCACCCTCACAGGAATGGAGGGTAATAAAGTCCTTGGCTGACTCAACCCTGAGTTTAAGCTAAGCAGAGATAATCAATCACTGAAAATTAAGGGTTGTGGTTTTGTGATGTGGACATTTACTGGGGACTGAGCTGAGATTGCCAAACACCATTCATTTAAGTTTTCAGGACTGTCTCAGAGTAGGATCAAGGGTATTTTAACTAGTACTTCAGGAACTGTTTACCGGATTCGGAGTACAGAGATATGATCTTACGGGCAGAGGGAAAAAAAGAAAATGAGCATTCCAAATAACAATGATAGACTGATTGTAAACAAAGGGTCAAGCAGAATTGACTAAAATAGCCTTTGGGAAATATTACTTTTCTTATTTATCTCAAACTTTGATTGAATGAAACTCATTAACGTCTTACATTTCTCAATTGATAAGCTGTGTGTCTTTGCTAGCCCAAATATTTTGCTTCCTAAAATCAATTCTAGAATATTAGAAAAAAGATCGTGCTAGGCTTAGATCTTCTTTTCAAGATGTTATTCCTAATGTCTTGCATCTTCTTCCTCCACTCATCTTTTCCAAAGTATGTTAGTGCTTCTGAAGATCAAGATCCTCTTGCTTTGTTTTAAATGACTGGGGCTCCTAAATTCCAATCCATCTCTGACCTTTCCCTTTTTAACATTACCCCTGAAACTCACATACCTTTGTTAACATAAAAAAGGAACTCCTTTACCCAGGCAAAGCAGAGCTGCTTGTAGCATTTGAATACACTTAGCAGGAGGCAGGGCTGTTTCTTGTGTATAAAGGCTTGAAATATCCCATGAGATGAGTTGTCACTGATGAATGTACAGACTACATTGGAGAATAAAACCAAAACACTAGCCTGTTTCTCTCAGACAGAAGTTCCACATGCTTCACTAGCAAATCATTGAGCTGGAGACCCTGTGTTAAGATATTTTTAGAGCCGGTTGTGTATACATGGTTACTGAGATTGCATGTCCTTTTGTCTTGTCAAAAGTAGATAAGTGCCTTTAGAGATTTATCTTGGATGTTTTGCAACATCCCACAAAACCTATAGTAATGCTATATATATACTCTCTAGGTACTTGGTATATATGAGTTAATGAGTTAATAAGATTTATTCTTTTAACTGATACTTTCAATAAACAGCTTTATTCTTAAAGTCAGAGATTCTACCTGCATGATTTAGAGGCACTTGAAAAGCTCCTTGTCATGTTGGCATTTTAAATCAAATACTACACCATCTAGAAGAGAACAAATATCTGAGTGCTATAATAGAATATCAGTAGGTTTCCAAATGACATCCTCAAAAGTTGTATTACTAGACTATAAGAGTTCTGATTTAGGAAAATCAGGAATTCAAGCTAGCAGGAGTAATTGGTTGTTGGTTACAATTGAATCAGAATTTTTAAGTGAGACTTGGTAGATTTCTCTGGGAAGAATATGTTATTTCTCTGAGAAGACTTTCAGCATCTCACTTATCCAAAGTTGGTGGATTTCATGGAATGCTTCTTCTAGACACTGAGCAAAATTTGAGCCACCTGCTCATAATGTCTCTGAAGTAAATATGGCTATAACCAACATTTCTATAATCCTGAAACTTGCTTTTACATGTCACCTCAAAGTATCCAACTGGGGTATGCCATTCAGTTATGCTCCTCGGGAAGTATAACCTCCTACCACAAATAATCCTCACCCCTACATTTATAATTCAATTTCCAAGCTGTCACTCACACACCAAGGGAGGTTAGCTTCTAGGCAAACAAAATAAATCCTTTAAAAAAAGATTTCTTTCACATAGACATTGATGGTTGGTTTATCATTCCTATAGCTATTGTAATTTTAAATGAGTAGATCATCAATTTCATTACTTTAAAGGACTTGGGCTCTTTTATTTTGCTTCGTTTTAGCAAAAAGACATTTCTCAGATCATTTTCTATTTTAGACCCTGTCTTTCTCTCTCTACCCTAATACAGAACAAACAGTTATAAAAAGGTCTGTGGAAAGAGTCAACAAATTGTTTTGATAAATAGATAGTTTCAGGTCACTTTATTTGTGTTTGTCACATTAAAAGAAAAAATATTCTGAAAGCGTGTGTTGATTTATACTTTCCACTGAACAAAAATCCCTTCTATATTGTATATTTTATCATCTATTTAGCTTTGCAGTTTTTCTTTAAATAAAATTTGTGTTTTAGAATATATTCCACAAGTGTAAGTTAATAAAGTAGAAGAGCTGAATGAAATCAGAAGATTCTAGCTAGCAGTGTAGTTTTTAACATGTTATGAAACACTCTGCACCTCAGTCACTTTATTTTAAAACATATTTTAAGGGGTAAAACTAAGAAATCTCGACAGTCCTTTCAAGGCTTCTTACTTTCTTGGTCTAGATGGAATTCATAAAATGAGACCAAGGTGATGAAACACAAAGTAGCCTTTAGTAATTTCAATTCTGCTTTTGGGTGCTTTATCATGTTCTGATATTAATTTATCTTTGATTAATATGAGACAGGTTTTTATAACTTTGAAAATATGTAATCCCTTTTTGTAAATGCCAATATTTTTAGTTATGAAATCAGCACACCCGCATATTAAATATGATGATTTTTCTTTCACATAGCTACTCCCATTGAGGGCCTTTTTTTTTGTTTTAGCTTTTTCTCCTTTAATATTTCATATTTAAATAGTATTTCAAGAAAATAATCAGTTAAATCAGCTTCAATTTAACAGTAGTGTAATATGAACCTTCTCTGACCTATTTAATTGGAAATAGCTTTTAATGAAGGCACTGAGCACTTTTACACACACACACACACACACACACACACGCATCTGTAGATTGTATGTATTTATATACCTATAAACCCATGATCTTAAAGTTAGCCAAATGCAGTTAAGAAATAATTCTGCTTTCTGAAGAGTAGCACAGGCCGGGCGCGGTGGCTCACGCCGGTAATCCCAGCACTTTGGGAGTCCGAGGCAGGCGGATCACAAGGTCAGGAGATCGAGACCATCCTGGCTAACACGGTGAAACCCCGTCTCTAATAAAAAATCCAAAAAAATTAGCTGGGCATCGTGGCGGGCACCTGTAGTCCCAGCTACTCAGAAGGCTGAGTCAGGAGAATGGCGTGAACCCGGAGGCAGAGCTTGCAGTGAGCTGAGATCATGCCACTGCACTCCAGGCTGGGCGACAGAGTGAGACTCCATCTCAAAAAAAAAAAAAAGAAAAAAAGAGTAGCACGGAAATAATGTTTAATTTAATCTAGACTGGAATAGCAGATTTAGAGGTTATTAAAACATGCTTCCAACTTATTAGGTTTAAGTTATGAAAAGTAGTTTGGAATGACATTTGCTATATTTAAAATTTTTACTCAGGTTTCCACAAACCATTTAAGTTTTTATTTTTTGATTTAAAAATTTATTCTTTTTTTTTTTTTTTTTTTTTTTTTGAGATGGAGTTTTGCTCTTGTTGCCCAGGCTGGAGTACAATGACGTGATCTCGGCTCACCGCAACCTCAGCCTCCCAGGTTCAAGCAATTCTCCTGCCTCAGCCTCCCGAGTAGCTGGGATTACAGGCATGCACCACCACGCCCAGCTAATTTTGTATTTTTAATAGAGACGGGGTTTCTACATGTTGGTCAGGCTGGTCTTGAACTCTCGACCTCAGGTTATCCACCCACCTCAGCCTCCCAAAGTGCTGGGAATACAGGCGTGAGCCACCGCGCCTGGCCAAAAATTTATTTTTTTAATAAAACCCTTCAGAAATAGAAATTAAAACAGATAAAATATATCTATAAAAATTGACAAATATATTAATGCATTTGCACATTCACTCATTATTGAATACCTACCAAGTGCCAAGCACTGGGAAAGGTACTAAGAATGTAGCTGCTGACTAAACATATGAAGCCCCTATTTTTATAAATTTACTTTTAAGTGAGGGGAGAAAGACCGTAAATATTGAAAACATTTTATACAGACACATCCATAATTTTATGTATATATAAAATAAATTAAGTGTGAGAAAGAGTGTAGAGTGTACTCCACATTATTATTTTACATTGATAGGTCAGGATGTCATTTGAATCAATATATATTTATATGGGTGTTAAGTATATATTTGTACATAGAGCAGATATTTATATTAAAATAGAACAGGGATTCCCATCCTTGGCACTATTATTAATTTGGACTGGATAATTCTTTCTTGCAGGGGACTCTGTTCCATACTATACAACATTTAACAGCTTTCCTGGCCTCCACCCATTAGACACCAGTATAACTTCCTCAGTTGCAACAACTAAAAATATCTCCAACCATTGTCAAATGTCTCCTGGGGGAAAAATCACCCCTTTTGAGAATTGCTCAGGTAGAGTATTTGCATATGTTAAAATTTAATAAATAATTGTTTAGTCTTTTACATTATGTAAACATCATGCTATCTCTTGGAAGACATTATGATGAATAAAACAAGGTATTTGATGTAATTTATTATGTGAAACTACTTGATTGTCTTTCTTTTACTTCTTCACTCTCTATTTCTCTTTATATATGTCTCTTTCTTAAAATCTATATCTATACATTTAAATTTGTATGCCTATAAGTATCATGAGTATCTATAGACATATACAATAAGTTCTCACGTAACATCACTGATAGATTCTTGAATACTGTAATTTATAATGAAGCCAGTTTTTTTTTTCTTGTCAATGTTATGACAAAACAGTGTTGAAGAAAATGATTTCATTCGAGGACCAGCTGTATGTTATTTTTCTTAAAGACAGTTTCTAAGAAACTACTGATGACATTAAGTGAGGAAATAGTGTGTATGAAAATGAAACAAGGTTATATTAGAACTGCAACTATAATAAACCCCCTCCTCCAGCATCTCAGGCACTCAGTTGACACCACAGAAAGAAAGACTCCTTTAATGGTAAAATTTGTGTCCTAAATTAAGGGACAAGACCTAGATAAAGGTGACGAAAGGGGAAATGCATAAAATTAGTCTAACAAAGAATAAACCAAGCCTTAACAAAACTCCATACATTTTAAAGTAACATAATCAAAGCTTCTATGTTATTTAATCCACATTTTCACACATACCACAAAAGATTACTGGACATTAGAAAATATGAAAACTGACTACATCAGTTTTCATCAGAGGGATGTCTCAAAAGCAAGTAGAAGAAAAGGACATATTATGTGCAGAAGATCAACACCACAAATAAGTGTTGACTTCTAATCTGAAAAAATGACAGCCTAATATCAGTAGCTGTAATGATTAATCAGGTTTATTTAATTCAACACCAGTGACTAAAACTAACAACCAGAGGAATTACTACTTACGAGCAAAAGGAAGTTGAAAGAATGAGTATGTCTATTGCTGAAGTAGTGATGAAGATGTTCTTGCAAGAATGAATGGAGATAATTCTGCTTTCGATGTGAGATAGTGAGTGGTGCTAGACTCACTCTCAGAGTATATACGACTATAAAATATGTGAAGACAATAAATATATGGTTACTATTTTCAGACATTGGAAAACAATCATCTTAGAACTTGGGTGCCTGACAGAAGGGAAACACAAGGCATAAGCTACATCTTAGCTCCAATTTCCTGTCTAAAGATTCTTTCTGAAATGCAGTACAGGTCAATGGAACCCAGCAGAATAGACAGACTCACTGTGCTGAAGAGGCAAATATTAAGCTTGATGCTTCTGAAGCAGATGGAATTTGAAAAACAGAGGAAAAGTTTACACAGAGAGTGGATTCAAATATTGGGGGTGGAGTGTAGTGCTCTGGTCTTGGCTTAGGGCTGAGCTGCACATGTGCGAAGGTGTACTGAGAAATAGACTAGAGATAGTATAGGGCTAGGAGACATTAGCATATGCAGACCCCACCTCCTCCTCCAGCACCTCAGGCACTCAGTTGACCCCACAGAAGGACTGCTTTAATGGTAAAACTCATGTCCTAAATTAAGGAACAAGACCTCGATAAAGGTGACGAAAGGGGAAATGCATAATATTAGTCTAACAAAAAATAAACAAAGCCTTAACAAAACTCCATACATTTTAAAGTAACATAATCAAAGCTTCTATGTTATTTAATCCACATTTTCACACATACAACAAAAGATTACTAGACATTGGAAAAAATGAAAACTGACTACATCAAGAAACAAATAGTAGTTCACTGAAACAAGACTTCAATGTGACCCACGTAAATGTATTTAAGGTGTTCAAGAAAAATATATTGAGTGGCTTGTTAAGAAATCTCTACAGTGAAATGGCAAAAATAAATAATATTCTAAAACTAAAAAATGTAATATCTTAAATAAAAAATTCACTGGGTTGGCTTAATAGCAAATTAAACAGCACAAAAAAAGACTCAGTGAACTTGAAGATAAATTTAATAAAAGGGCAGTAAAATTGAAAAAAAATCAACAGAGGCTTATAGCCAATGTACAATACTAATAGTTACAACATACTTAATTGGGATATAAGCTGGGTATAATTGGAGTCTAAGAAGAAAAAAGAGAATGGTACAGAAAACAATATTTGTATAAATAATTGTTAAGAAAGACTCCAACTTACGTGTCCAAGAAACTGAGTAAACTTAAAGTAATATAAATTTTTTAAAAAACAATCCAGGCATATCATAATCAAATGGATGAAAACTAGAAAAAAAGAGAGATGTCTCAAAAGCAACTAGAAGAAAAGGACATTTTATGTGCAGAAGATCAACAACACAAATGAGTGTTTACTTCTCATCTGAAAAAATGACAGCCTAAAAATAATGCTACAAGTTCTTTGAAGTGCTTTATAGAAAAAAAAAACACACAAATTAATAAACCTTCAGTCCACAATTAGAAATCAGACAATGCTAAATAATACATAGGTCAAAGAGGAAAACTCAAGAGAAATTTTTAAAAATTTTGTATTAATTAAAAATGAAATTAAATTGAACAACTTATTAAAATTTGTGGGATGCAGTGAAAGCAGTGCTAGAGGGAAATTTATAGCATTAGATGCATTATATTAGAAAAGAAGGGAGATCTAAATTCAATCATCTAAGCTTCTTCTTAGGAAACTATAAAAAGAAGAGCAAATTCAAAGTAGAAGGAAAGAAATAATAAAAATTAGAATAGAAATAAATGAAATTGAAAACAGAAAAATCAATAAAGAAAATCAATAAAACCAAAAGCTAGTTATTTGAAAAGATAACTAAAATAGGTCAGCCTCTAGCCAGGCTAAGAAAAAAGAAGAAAGGACAAACATTATTAATATTAGAAATGAAAGAGGGGACATCACTACATATCCCATAGACATTAAAAGGATAATGAGATGATATTATAAATAATTTTATATCCACAAATGTGATTACTTAGATGAAATAAACTAATCCCTTGAAAGACACAATCTACCAAAACTCACACAAGAATAAATAGATAATCTGAACAGACCTATAGCTATTAAAGAAACTTAATCAGTATTTAGTAATCTTCCAAACCAGAAAGTACTAGGCCCAGAGAGGTTTCCTGGTGAATTCTACCAAGCATATAAGTATGAAATTATTCATAGTTTCTACAATTTTCTTTTAGAAGATAGAAATAGAGGAAATACTTCTTATTTTGAGGCCAGCATTAACCTACTACCAAAACCAAAGGCATTACAAGGAAATAAAATTATAGAACAATATCACCCATAAAATGATGCAAAAATCCTCAACAAAATATCAGTAAATCAAATCCAATAGTATAAAAAAGAATTATATACCACAGCTAAGTGGGATTTATTCGAGATATGCAAGCATGGTTCATTGATTGTCAGTAGACAGAAAAAAGCATTTGACAAAAATCTAACACCCATTCATGATTTTTAAAAAATTTTTCAGTAAACTAGAAATAGAAGGAGAACTTCTGCTGGGCACGGTGGCTCATGCCTGTAATCCCAGCACTTTGGGAGGCCAAGGCAGGCAGATCATGAGGTCAGGAGTTCGAGACCAGCCTGACCAACGTGGTGAAACCCTGTCTCTACTAAAAAAATAAATAAATAAACACACACAAAAAATTAGCTGGGCATGGTGGCACGCGCATGTAATCCCAGCTACTTTGGGCAGGAGAATCACTTGGACCTGGGAGGCAGAGGTTGCATGAGCCGAGATTGCGCCATTGCACTGCAGCCTGGCAATAGAGTGAGACTCTGTCTCAAAAAAAAAAAAAAAAAAAAAAAAAAAAAGGTAACTTCTCCATCTTGGTAAAGAATACTTAGGGAAAAACCTACAGCTAACATCATACATAACTGTGAGAAACTAAAAATTTTCCCACTAAGATCAAATACAAGGCAAGGATGTTCCCTCTTACCACAACATCATCCTGGAGGTCCTAGCATTAAGCAATCAGACAAGCAAAGAAAATAAAAAGTATATAGACTGGAAAGAAAGAAAGAAAACTATCTTTGTTCTAGGATGACATGATTATTATTATAAAATACCTGAATAATTGAGAAAAAAAAACTCTCCAAACTGGAACTAATAAGCAATTATATTAATAGCAAGATTACAGGTTAAAAGGTTAATATTAAAAATTCCATTGCTTTTCTATATACCAGTGTATTAGTCCATTTTCATGCTGCTGATAAATACATACCTGAAACTGGGTAATTTATAAAGAATAAGAGGGTTAATGAACTCACACATTGTTGGGAGGCCTCACAATCACAGCAGAAGGCAAAAGGCACATCTTACATGGTAGCAGACAAGAGAGAATGAGAGGGAAGAGAGAAGTGGAAACCACTTATAAAACCATTAGCTCTTGTGAGACTTATTCACTACTACAAGAACAGTATGGGGGAAACCATCCCCATGATTCAATTATCTCCCACCAGGTCCCTCTCACAACATGTAGGAATTCCGGGAGCTACAATTCGAGATGAGGTTTTGAGGGAGACACATAGCTGAACCATAGCATTCTGCCCTTGGCCCCTCCCAAATCTCATGTCCTCACTTTTCAAAAGCAATCATGCCTTCCCAAAAGTCCTCTACATTCTTAACTCATTTCAGCATTAACTTAAAAGTCCACAGTCTAATGTCTCATCCGAGACAGGGCAAGTCCTTTCTGCCTATGAGCCTGTAAAACAAAAAGCAAGGTAGTTACTTCCTAGATACTATGGGGGTACAGGCATTGGATAAATACACCCATTCCAAATGGCAGAAATTGGCCAAAATGAAGGGGCTAAAGGTCCCATGCAAGTCTGAAATCCAGCGGGCAGTCAAAACTCAAAGCTCCAAAGTGATCTCCTTTGACTCCATGTCTCACATCCAAGTAATGCTGATGCAAGAGGTGGGTTCCCATGCTCTTGGACAGCTCTGCCCCTGTGACTTTGCAGGATACAGCCTCCTTCCTGGCTGCTTTCACAGGCTGGCATTGAGTGCCTGCAGCTTTTCCAGGTGCATGGTGCAAGCTGTCAGTGAATCTACCATTCTGAGGTCTGGAGGATGGTAACACCCTTCTCACAGATCTACTAGGCAGTGTCCCAGTTGGGACTCTGTGTGGGGGCTTCAACCCCACAGTTCCCTTCTGCACTGCCCTAGTAGAGGTTCTCCATGAGGGCCTTGCCCCTGTGGCAAACTTCTGCCTGGGGATCCAGGCATTTCCATATATCCTCTGAAATCTAGATGGAGGTTCCTAAACTTCAATCGCTAACTTCTGCGCACCTGCAGACTCAACACCACATGGAAGCTATCACAGCTTTGAAGCCATGGCCCAAACTGTGCCTTGGTCCCTTTTAGCCATGGCTAGAGTGACAGGTGTTTAGGGCACCTAGTCCCTAGGCTGCACACAGAAGGGGGGCCCTGGGCCCAGTCCCAAAACCATTTCTTTCTCCTAGGCCTCCAGAACTGTGGTGGGAGGGGCTGCTGCAAAGGTCTCTGATATGCCCTGGAGATATTTTTCCCATTGTCTTGGCAATTAATTTGACTTCTCATTACTTATGCAAGTTTCTGCAGCTGGCTTGAATTTCTCCTGAGAAAATATGTTTTTCTTTTCTATTGCATCATCAGGCTGCAAATTTTACAAACTTTTATGCTCTGTTTCCCTTTTACAACTGAATGCTTTTAACAGCACCCAAGTCATCTCTTGATTGCTTTGCTGCTTAGACATTTATTCCGCCACATACCCTAAATCATCTCCTTCAAGTTCAAAGTTCCACAAATCTCTAGGGCAAGGGCAAAATGCCACCAAATCTCTTTGCTAAAACATAGCAAGAGTCACCTTTACTCCAGTTCCCAACAAGTTCCTCATCTCCATCTTACACCACCTCAACCTAGATTTCATTGTCCATATCACTATCAGCATTTTGGTCATAGCCTTTAAACAAGTCTCTAGGAAGGTCCAAACTTTCTCACATCTTCGAGTCCTCTTCTGAGCCCCCGTAAACTGTTCCAACCTTTGCTGGTTACCCAGATCTAAAGTTGCTTCCACATTTTTGGGTATCTTTACAGCAGCACCCCACTCCTGGTACCAATTGACTGTATTAGTCCATTTTCATGCTGCTAATACAGACATACCTGAGACTGGGTGATTTATATAGAAAAAGAGCTTTAATTAGCTCACAGTTCCACATGGCTGGGGAAGCCACACAATCATGGCAGAAGGCAAAAGTCACATCTTACATGGTGGTAGACAAGAACAAATGAGAGAGAAGTGAGAAAGCTGAAACCCTCTATAAAAGCATCATATCTTGTGAGACTTATTCACTATCACGAGAACAGTCTGAGGGAAATAGACCCCATGGTTCAATTATCTCCCACTGTGTCCCTTCCACAACATGTAGGAATTATGGGAGCTACAATTCTGTATGAGATTTTGGTTGGGACACACAGCCAAACCATATCAACCAGCTATGAGAAAGTGGAATTTGAAATTTAAAATATCATACCATTGACTTTAGCATCCCAAAAATGAAAAGGGAAGTATAAATCTAACAAAATAAGTACAACATCTAAATGAGGAAAACTACAGCACTCTGGTAAATCACAGAATTAATTATATGAAGCAATTCCATGTTCATAGATAGGATGACTCAATATTGTCATGATGTCAGTTCTTTCCAACTTGATATATAGATTCAATGTAATCCCAGCAATTTACATTGTGCGTATTAACAAATTGTTTTTAAAGTTTATATGAAGAGGCAAAAGATCTCAAATAGTCAATACAATATTCAACAGGGAAAAACAAAGTCAGAAGATTGACACTATCTGCCATTGAGATTGACTATAAAGCTATAGTAATCAAGGCAGTGTGGTATTGGAGATCAAACAAAATATCTTTCAAAATTAACATTATATTTTGATAAGCAAGAACTGTGGGAGTCTAGCCACAGAAGATATAGAACTATAAAAAATGCTTAAGTTTTACAAGCTAAAGAAAATAAATAGCACAAAAAATTAGAAAAAAAGGAGCACTGAAATAGTAAATATATCAGTAAACATAAAACCAAAGTTTATCTTTTCTTAATTTATTTAAGGGACAAACTGAATATGTAAGAAAACAAATAATAACTATGTGTTATGTGGTCATTAATGTATGTTGAAGTAAAAGATAACAATGATGGCACAATGGATGGAATCATAAATGGAAGACTTTTTAAATTTAGCTCTAATTACACTTGATATGTAATGTTAAGGATTCATCTGGTAATCCCTTAATCTCAATAAAACTACAAAGTAGTATGGCTAAATGCCAATAGAGGAAATGAAATTAAAAATAAATAACATTAACTCTATCACCCCTGTATACACACACACACACACACATACACACACACACGTACGGACACACAAAGGAAAACAGAAAGCCCCAAAAGGAGGAATTTAAAACCAAAACAGAAAGGTTGGGGGGAAAATAAAACAAATATTAAGTTGGTAGACTTATATTCAATTATATCAAAAATTGCATTAAATGTAAATGGTTAAGTATTCTAATTAATGTTAGAGATTGTCAGACTAAATATGAAAGCAAGACCCAGGTATATGCTACTAACAAGAGATAAACTTTAAATATAAAGACACAGGTTGAAAGTTTAAAACTATTCAAATATAAACATTATCATATGTAAGCAGTAAGTATAAAGAAGCTACTATGGCTATTTTAATATCAGACAAAATAGACATTAATAGACTAAGACTTAGTAAACATAAGGAAGGACATTTCTTAATAAAAATGATAATTTCTCTGAAAGACATCTTTTGTGTGTGTCTACTAACAAAGCTTCAAAATAATAAAATAGAAGTTGAAGGAACTAAAGGAAGAAATAATGAAATTAATATCCATAGATAGAGATCTTTACATCTTTCTGTTATTAAACAGATAGGTCCTTTTTAACAAAATAATCAAGAGGAATATAAAAAATTTGAACTACAATATCAACTAACCTAATATAATTAATGTTTCAAAAAATTACACCTCTAAATGCAGAATATGCTTTCTTTTAAAGTACAAATGTAATTACTAAGACAGAGCATATGACAGCTCATTTAAGAATCTGCAGTAAATTGTGAGTGTTTAATATATTATTCAATATGTCTATGAGTAAAATTTTGATCAATAACAATAAGAAGTCTATAAAATCCTCAAATATTTGGCTATAATACATATATCCAGAGAAAGACTCATGCTTATAATATATAAAGAATTCAAATCAATAATAAAATAGCACACAACCCAATAAAAATAGATGAGGGACTAGACCGAGTGTTGGTAAACTACAACCCACAGGCCAAATATGATGTGCAGTCTGTTTTTATATGATTGAAGAACTAAGAATAATTTTCAAATTTTTAATGTGTTTAAAAAATTTTAAAAAGATATGTTACATAGATCCTCTTTGGCTTTCCAAGGCTAAAATATTTCCTATCTCTCCCTTTATGGAAAAAGCTGTACTAAACAATTAAAACAAATATAGGAATAGGTCAATAAGCACATGTAAAGGTATTCAATATTATCAGTCTTCAGATAAATGAAAATGGAAAACACTATGCAGCAATAAATGGCTAAAATTTAAAAATAAAAAGATGGACAACATTAAATGGTGACAAGTATGTGGAACAACTGGAAGTCTTATACATTGCTTGTGGTCATGTAAAATGATACATCCATTTTGGAGAAGTTCTTTGGCAGTTTCTTACAAAGTTTAGCATACATTTATTCAATTGCTAAGCAATTCTACTATTTGTATACCAAGAAAAATTAAAATATATCCATATATTTATGAAAACATTTGTACAAAAATATTTATAACAGTTTTATTATGAATAGCCAAAAATAGAAAGGACTCAAGTGTCTGTAGGAGAAGCCAAATGCCAGTGATAGCAAAATGAATAGACAAATTTTGGTGTATTAATAAATGGAATATTATTCAACAATGTAAAATAATGAACTACTGATACACTAGATTATAATACATACAGCTAGATGATAGGTTACTTTCATAATTTCAAAGCTAAATGAAGGCACCTAGAATAGTGACGTTTGAACAGGAAATTGACATGGAAGTAATATTTTAGGAAGATCATTTGAACTACAAAGTACTAGAGTATGGAGAAATTAACTGCCAAGGAGAGATGAAGAAGAGCAGAATTGCTGCAAAATTTTGTGAATAAGGTCTCTGACTATTGGCGTGAAGAATATGGGTTGTCTGTTATCAGAATGAAATCATTCAGTGGAAATTTTTGGAAATTTACCCATGCATCAGGCAAATACTGAAAAGAGTGCCTTGATATATGCTCAGAATTGCCTCGATATTTGTAGTTTCCACCTGGATGTAGTACTGGTGAAAATCTGCTAATCTTAAACTCAGATTCTGGTCTTATTATATGAATGGACAGGTGGTTAGATGAAAGGATAATCTTCTCCTCTCTGGTTTATCAGTGTGTCCTGTACGAATTATTGACCTTTCTGAATCCCGTCACTCTTGACATACTTCTTTGCTAGAGATGGTGAGAAATTGTCACTAGGTAATTTTATAGAGAAATAAATAAACGTACTGAATTTTGAGAAAATTCTAGTTATATCTCATTCAGAAATAATTGTAACCTATAACCCTCTTATAAATAGAAATGAGATTTGTAATATTTCTATGCTTCACAGGAATGACTTGCAAATTAACTCATTAAGAACTCTAATGTGTACTTAGAATTAAAATTGCTATATTAGTCTGACTAAAGCATTATTATAAACTTTAAAATCTGCCACTTTCATTACACTTTGTAAACCTGAAATGAAACTCCATTTCACTATTAAAATAAATTATTTTCATTTTGTTCTCTTAAACTGTGCTGCCTATTATGCCATATCTATAGATCATTATTTTAGTAATTGCAGGAGATGGACGCTTATAGGGGCTTAAGATACACAGTATAATATTTGCTTCAAAATGTGTGAAGGCCAATTAAGTTTGTAGCCTACAACTGCTTTGTCAAGTGACAGAAGCACTGAAAGTGCTTTATAATTGATTAACAAAAGTAACTAGACTTAGTGTTGCCATACACTTTTATTGGCTCTCCAATAGCAGCAGGCAGGAACACAGAATAATTTATACATTCAACAGTTGGAAATATTTTCCCTGACACTTTAGGCACCCAGATAAGTGACTTTCAGACTTGGGAAAGAAAACAAAACTTTGTTAATTATTTTAATGCATTCATGTCGATGTGAGACTAAATCAGTAAATAAATGTATAAAATAAATGCGTCATTAATTTATTAATTAGTGTAACAACATTTTGATCTATCCTTTCATAGCACAGGCTACTGTAGAGTATTTTATAGTTGAAATATTATTGTCATACCACAGCTTCCTGTATATAGGGAAACCGTATATAGGCATATTAGCTTGTAGGACTATGCAAAATCGTAAAATGGGTGAACATAGTCATTAGGTACCCACCTTGCCTTTCTACTTTTTTCTCCTCTTAGGTATAAATATCTTTTTCCTCTGCATATTTCATAGACATGAAATGTGCCCTTACTGCACACTCATGTTGTGTAAACATTGTTCTTCTCACCCTTTTAACTTCTCCTCTTTCCCATTCTTTCTGCTATCCACCATATGAGACCGTAGTTATTAAATTACCCAATCTGAACCAAGATGATAGTCCAGGAGGGTGTCGCCGTCATTTCTTGCTCTTGCATTTCTATCATTTGTAATAGAAAACAATGTAGAATGTACACCAACATAAAGGAATGACAAATACTTGAAAGTGTATGCAAGTTGGGGAAAGATTTTTAAAGTTTGAAAATCTACAACAAATATTTGCATTTAAAAATAAAAGTCAGCAGTACAGTATTCCTAGGAAGAAAGAAGAAGAAAATGTGCTAGATACAGCAGATGGGTTGATTAACATATAACTTTTTACAAAGCTTTTCTACACCAAAATTTTAAATTAACAGACAACTGTGATTTCACTATTGGAAAATAAAAAAAACTTATGAACTAAAATGTAGAACTCTCTAAGGTGATGGATATGTCAAGTACACTGATTTGATCTATGCAAATTATATAAATATATTAAATTAGCAGTGTACCTTGAAAATATGTACATCTATTATGCATCAATAAAATATATTTATGTATAGAGAATAACCTTCCTAAAAGCTCAATAAAATAAAATAAAATGTTGAACTTATTAGATAAAGAAAAAAATTCTAAAGAATAAAAGGTACATCAAAATAAAAGTAGAGTAGGAAGGTGGGGGGGGAGAAATTGGTGAAATAAATTAATAGAAACAAAATCAATAAATACATTGGAAGACTGATGCATAACAGATAAAAATACAGGTAAGTAGAAAGAAACACACACACACAGAAGTACAGATAGAGAACTGCAACTAACAGATTTAAAATGCAATTGTATATGAAAGAAAATGTATGGTTTATAATGCAATCATTAAAATTAAAGAACCCTGTACAACTGGCAAAATTATATACTGATAAATCTGAAAACTTCACTGATCTTATAAAAATAAATGAATTCCATTATAGCAATGAAAGTAAAAATAAAAACATGGACAAATATATTTGCAAGTTATTTCTAAATGGATTCACTTGTGCAGCCTAAGAACAGATAATTATGCTTAAAAATCATTCCAGTCAATGTAAAATTAATGAAAACTAACTAATTCATTTCACAGAGCAAATATTGCCTTGAGCATATAAAAGTTCTAAGATGGTAAATTCATAGAGAAAAAGTAATAAATGGAAAATAATAATTAAAATACTAACAAATATGATATGAACTATATCAAAAGCATGAATTATCATGAGTTGGGAATACCTTGTCTATATTTTTAAGGGTATCTTGCTATTTGGAAATATTAAATCTTTAAAAATGAAATTAATATACCATATTACCACCTTAGATTACAAAGATAATTTATATTAAGTTAATCTTCCTACTCTTCTCTGATGGAACATATTTCAAACTTACTTTCAACATTTTATTTAATGGTAAATATTGAGTATAAGTTTTTTACCTGTGGTCTATGACTGAATGTCATAGCATCTGAGAACTGCATGTAAAAAATAAAAGTATTTTTCCCTCAAATATACTTTTTGTTACTTAGAAAATTATCTTTTAAAAATAATTCATATCACATTATGCAAATAAGGTATTACTATTTCTTTTCGAAAAAATTAGAGATGGTGTGAGACTCAATTATACATAGCCAGGTAACTACCTATCACAATCTCTTTTCTTTGATGTTTAGAATACTTTCCTACTATAAGAATAAAAGACAACGTATTCTGCCAATAATTATTGACCTCTAGTATTTGTTTAAAGTAGCCTAACTTAGTTGGCAAATGTCAAAGTAAAGGTAAGATTTACATTTGTATGTCCTTTACTTGCATTACAAAACACAAACGAACACAGAATTATCAATACTGCTTATAAGCAAGTAACATTACAAAATTCCATAGGGGCCAGGCACAGTGGCTTATGCTTGTAATCCCAGCATTTTGGGATGCCAAGGCAGGAGGATCACTGAGGCCAGGAGTTTGAGACCAGCCTGGGCAACACACCAAGACCCATGTCTGGGAAAAAAAGAACAAAAATAGCCAGGCATGGTGGCACACGCCTGTAGTCCTAACTACTCAGTAGGTTGAAGTGGGAAAATTGCTTGAAAACAGGAGTTTGAGGCTGCCGTGAGGTATGATCATGCCAATTCACTTCAGCCTGGGTGACAAAGACTCTGTCTCTAAATAAATAAATAATAAATAGAAAATTCAATGGGAAGAACAACCTAACTGTGTCCATGAGAAAGTGTAGGTTATTTTTATGATAGAGAAGATCTTACTAAAGAGGATGAGATGAGATTTATCCCATTAAAAGAATCTTGTCCTAGAGTTTTGTGAAAGGTTGTTTATTCACTAATTGAGCAAAAAAAGTCTCTTGTGATTGAAAAGTCTTTCCAGGTCCACTTGAAATGGTCTCTGTGTTTTACTTCTTAGTGCAGAGGCTGAATTCTATCAGTCATCTGAAAACATACAACAAACCAACCAAAATTTAGTGGCTTTAAATCTCTGGTATTTATCACTACTCATCAATCTACAGGACAATTGAGTGATTCTCTCAACTGGACTGGACTCAGCTCAAATCAGTTGGCTTTTTCATGTGTCTGCAGTCCTCTGGTGGCTCAGCTGGGACTTGGATATTGTAAAATGGCCTTACTTAAATGTCTGACAGTAGTCCAGCTGTTGACTGGAGCAACAGGGGTAACTGGGCCAATTATCTCGCATTAACTCTCCGTCTAGTAGGCTCTACCTAGCTCACTCACATAGCAGTGGTAGGGTTTGAAGAGCAGAAAGGAAATTCCCAATGGGTAAGTCTTTTCAAACCTCTCTTTACTTGGCTAAATCCCTTAGTCAAAACAAGTCGCATGGCTAACTCAGATTCAAGGGATGAGGAAACAGGTATTTTTTTAAATGAGAGGTGGGGGGAATTATAGATATTTTTAATGTAATTGGAAAAAACACCAAAGCAAAGCCTCTGTCAAATAACACCATCTACTCTAGCATTTCTGACACCCTTTAATATTTTGAAGCAAGAACTTTATGGAGTAATTGATAATTATTCAGTTTTTCATCAATTCCTCAGTTTGGCCAGCTCCTCATTTATTTTGGTTGTACATATATGTTAAGTCAAGTGAATGATAATTTCAATTTTTTACAACTATTTTATATTAACAGAAGATTATTTTCTTTCCAAAATATCCTAAAATTACTTAGATTACAGTTGAAGCATTTGTTTTAAAATTGAGAATGAATTCATTGATAGGGAGAAATTTATTCAAGTTGGCTTACTTGGCAGATATTTTTGACTACACAGATGAGAACAATTTCAGGACCTCATAAGTGGCATTATGGACATTGCTTATAAACTACAAGTTATTTGGCAAAGCTTCTTCTCTTCAACTTTCAATGCAGAATAAAGAATTTCTGAAGTAGTACACCCTATCCATTTATTGACAAGCAAAAATGTCATGTAAGTACTAACACCACAAAATTATTTTGAAGATTACTTCAGCTTAGACAACCTAAAATTGAACTTTGAATTTGAATTTTATTTCCTATGACTTGCCAGTGTGGTGGAACTTACCAATAACTACTTATCAATCTGAGACTGAAAAACTAAATATATGAATTTAACTCAAGAGTCTCAGAGAAATGCAGTGATTCTTAACATAAGGTGTTGACTGGAAGTAGACATCCTTTATGTTGTGGGTCCTGCATCGGTTCCTTATTAGACCTGTCCCAAATCTAAGGATAGGATGATCTGCCTTACAGGGATAGGCACTTTCAGTCAGGCTGCCCAGGGGGGTTACTTTCCTATAAGACAAAATCATCACTGCAGGGTGGCCTCTGTGGCTTAGAAATAAAACAAGAGATTACACCCCAGAGGTTATACAAGAGCTGGAGTTTAACCTGTTTAAAATGTTGGATTCAGTCATTAATTCATTAATCCCTTTAGACCTTCTAAGTATATGAGCTAAAATTAATTGTTAAAAATTTTAAGCAACACTGAGTTGATTACAAACTACATTAGAACTAAAACTATTGATTTTATTCTGAATTTGGGTTCTTTGCTTGCCATCACATTAATAACAAAGATTAAATACAAGATTATTTTTATATCAAAGAAATTTGAAAGCTGTAGAATTTTAGCCAATTCAAGAGTTTGTTTAAAAACTCATTTTTATTTTTACTGATAGTAAAAAATTAAAATAAATACCTGATTGAGGAAACACAAATGAAAAATGGAATTCCATACTTATCACATTTTTTGGCAGATATAACATAGCTTGTTTAAAAGAATGGGGAACATATTTGTAAATGCAAAAACAAACGCATCTATGTAAAATAAAAAGGAAGACATTGTAGAAAATATGAATAATTATTATAATGTAACAGTTAATAGCTTGATTATATAAATAACTAAATAAAATACATAACATAAATACATAAAAGACCTAAAATAAAACTACTGAATCATAGGTGAGTAAATGAATGCCATATATATTTTACAAAGGAAGAAATGCAACCAACAACATAAACTAAGCAAAAAATTATAACCATCATTAGTAAATGAAGGAAGGCAATAAAAATAATCATGAGGTTTTACCTATCCAATCAACCTGAAAAGGGAGGAAAAAAACAGAGAAAATACAGTGAAATTGATATTTTGTTACACTGTTGATGGCATTTTCAATATATATTTAACATAACATTTTACAGGGACGTTTTGTGAATATCTTTCAAATCCTAAGAAAAGTTTGTATACTTTATTTTTATTATACCACCTCTGGAAAGCTAGAATATAAATCTGATACAAACTGAGAAAAAAGTACAAGTAGAAATTTGTTAATTTCAACAATTTTTATAATGTCGGAAAACTGAAAGCAATGTAAATGGCCAGACATATGAGTCTATTAAATTGTGTTATATCCTTTATAGCTATAACGAACACCTTATAGACATTAAAAGTGATGGTTTTGAAATAATAGGAAATGAAAAAGTGTATACATATGATGTGCAAACTATGGACATCGCTATGTTAGAACAAAGCTAGCTGTAATATTTTTATTTAAAATTAGCTCTAGGAAATTGGTTAGCTCTTTGAATATCCAAAGAAGATTGATTCCATACCTCATATAATACAAAAAAGTAACTGAAATGACATCATATAGTGTAATTGGGGAAAAAAATAGAGCATAAAAACTAGAAAAATATGGCACCATATCAATTGGGTTTTGGATGAAAAAATACTCACTTAGCTTTAAAGTGTTAAAGGAAAATATATTGTCATAAATATATTGATATTTAAACTTCTAATTGTCAAACAAAAAGATAACTAAAATTAATAATAAATTAAAATGAAAAATATTTGAAACAGAATAAAATTAAAATTCTTAAAATAAGAGTAACAAGAAATTTATAACTACATATGAGATTCCAGTAGATAACTAAAGTAATTCACATAAAGGAGAAAAAATAATCTAATGAAATTATGAAAATATAAAAATATTGAGCTTAATATTAGTGAAAGAAATGTTAACTTGAAAATAAAACACTTCCCTTTGTTTTTCAAATTAGGAAAGCTTAAATGATAATGTATGACACAGGGAAAGGTAGGGCAAAATGGGCATTCACAAAAGGCTGAAGATATTAACAACTGATATAACTTTTCTTGGAAAAAATTTGGGAATATACATCAAAATGTATACTCTTTAGTTCAGTAATTTCATTTCTAAAAATCTATGCCAAGGTAAAAACTTGAAATGTAGTTAAATAAAGATTTTGACATGACAAAGTTTATTGTAGCAGTATTTAACTGGAAATAATCATTGTGTCCAACATAAGGTTAATGATAAAGTAAATTCTAGTGTCCATATGATAGAATAATATAGAGCTTCTAAGAATCTGTATGTTTAAAGAAGTAAATGTAAACTGAAAATTAAAATAAATATTTAATATTTAATTGTTTTAATTTTTAAATTTCATAGGAAATTAACAGAAATTCAACTGTTAAATTTCTAATGGTAGTTTTTTTCTGAATTTTACAATCACAATAAAATTACACTGTATCCTCTCTGTTTTTTCCTCCCTTTTTAGGTGGCTTGGATGAGTGAAACCTCATGATTACTTTTATTACCTTCCTTCAGTTGCTAATGAATAAAGTTCTAACTCGCATAGTTTTTGTTGTTGGTTGCATTTCCTCATTTGTAAATATTTTCTTTTTATTATACACCATGCAATAATAGCTACTGTTTTATAATCATGTTTTTATAATTTGTTAATGTAGAATTATAATTTTTAGAGTGCATTAATAAAGTCATAAAATGCCATTCAAATATGTCTGTTGCTATTTTTAAAGTCCATTGTATCTTTGAACTACCATCATTTCTTCGTCTGCATCTTTTGAATTTTTAGTTCCAGCTCCAATAGAAAAAGTGTCTTTTACAGGGCAAGTGATAATCTGTCAATATTGGTTAGTTGAGTCTCAATTTTTACATCACTTCCTTCCATCTTTGTGATAAAATATCAATTGGAACAGAAGGAATAATATCATAGGGGGTAAATAAAAGTAGTCAATGCATATTATTAGTCTTTTATTCTCTTGAACATGGCTTTTAAAAATCAATATTACAAAGGCAACCCAACATAAACCTCTTCTCTGTTGTTCTTGACACAACACTGAAAGGAAAAAAAAGTACATGCAGGCATTGTTCAATCAGAATAAATAATTCATTCAAAAAGAATGCTATGGTATGCAACAAAAGCCTGTATAAATATGGGTACCTGGACAAGCAATATATTCTATGACAGTAGAAAATATACTACATTGCTTCCAAATGGGTGGTAACCATGATCTCTAGTAAAATAAATATCTGTGGCAAATGACACATACCTATTTAATGACACTTTGAGTTCATGTGAAGTTTGGCAGTGTAATAAATGTCTTATCTCTTGCTTTCACTGTTATTGCACAGATTTAAACTGCTGTCTCAGAGGCAGTTTTACTATCTTTTTCAATCTACCCCATAAAAGTGAGACTTGATTTGCTTAGCATGAGAACAGATCAATAAAAGCTAAGTTATACAGCAGATTAGATCACTAACTCAGAGATCAAAGATGTTAAATACAACTTGTGTAGAGAAGCTAGATCAAAAGTTGAGCTCAGACACACGGTACATATTTGCAGAACTCAAAATAGCCTTCACTCTATACCAACAATTTACCTTCAGTCTTGTCGTGATCATTTTATGTTGAAGTAGTTTACAAATGGCTGACATTTTAAATATACATAATGTATGCATATTTTAAAAAGGCTTTTTGTATTGAATTTCTGAATTATTCCTCTAAAACAAAAGATGGAAGGAAAGGGTGTTCTCAAAAGCACCAAAAGTTCGTTTTATAAATAACTTATTAATATTAAATTTGTAAAGTTAGATTTTTTTCACTGAAAGCAAAATAACATGGTATAGAAACACAAGTCATTAAAATTATTATTATCTTCTAATTTTTAATTTATAGTAAATGTACACAGAATTGTTGAAATAAGAAAACTTGGCCTGTATTTCACAACTATGATCTTGTCAAATTGGTATCAAACACACAATTGTTTAAATAACATAAGAAATGAAAAATTGTGTTTTACCTTGCCATTCTCTCCTCACCATGTTTAAGCCCCATTAAGAATATGCATAGGTACAAGTATAATGTATTCATTCATAAGCTTTTTACCACATTAGGAGGAAAACAAATTAAAACAGGAGGAAAAAAAACACAACAACCACAGCAACAAAATCCTCAAATTATCACCTCCCAATGTGAAAGTGCAATGGTCTTAAGCACTTTTTCCCCCAGTATATTCATAGGGCCTTAAATTCAACCCTGCTATGTATGCTCATTCAAGTAAAACCTCAAAGCTTTTCTCATGGGAGGCCATTCGCCACCTCACTTTCTTCTTTTAAGCGTCCCTTGATTCTGTCTTTGTTTCATCATTGTGGTGCAATGTAAATGCTGCAGTTCATGGCAAAACGAGGCCCAGTTGCCCCAGAAAGATCACCTTTCCCTCATTCATTCATTGTCAAGTTCTCCACCACCTTTAAACGCTAATTTAACATCCTGATCTGCTGTGCCTTCCAATGTCTCTCCAAGAAAATTTGCCTCCAAAATGTAAGAAACATTAATATTGAAATACAAAGAAGAAAAAATGACAAAAAATATTACCCATAATCACAAAGACCCACAATAATGATGCTTAACATTTCGGTGTTTTTCTTTTTGTACATATCTTCCTTTTTAATCACATTACACATCGTCTCTAATTTGACAAAAATGGCAAGATAATTAACATTGCCTATATTTATAGCATGCATATGTATGTATTTGTAAAGTTGTTTACACATTTTAAACATACACAGGTATTTTAACATTGTTAAATATACACTGTTATTTCTGGAAAAGTTTGTAAAACATACTAAATTCCCACATATATTTATTACTCACCAGAAAGACTTTCTTTTTACAAAAATTGCCAAATTGTGTCCAAACATATTTAAAAGCATATTACAGTTAAATGATTATTATTAATAAAGAAAATAACTATCTTTTTAAAATGAGAAAACTTTAATGATGCTTTACTTTAAGAAAAAAATGAGAATGCCAACGTTTTGAAATTTTTTTTAAAAAAACTGAAATTTTAAATTGCAACGAGCTGACTGCTTTGTAGCACATTAATGCTTTGTGGTCTTTGTAGGTGGAAAATATGATAGAATGTTAATAACATTCATTCAATAGAGAACATAATCAAAATTCTGATACCAGTGATTACATTTATTTTTATTTTTTAACACAATTGTCAGTTGTTTGCACTACCATTAACTTTTTAAAAGTACCTTTTGTATTTTTATGTGAAATATGTAGATATTTTCTGTAAGCACAGAATTGGACTTGTGTTGTTGCTTCTTGCACATAGGTTTCATAAATCTGGGTGATTTCTTGGGAAAAATGGTCATGCAGAAATGTGAGGAAATTGTTATGTGATAATTATTAAAAATAAAAGAGACTTAGGTTTTTAGTTTTCTCTTAAAAAAATTTCGTTTTACAAATTATGATCAGATGGCATTTGTTATCTGTGACTGTATTTTGAGTTTCTCAGACTTGCATTAAAATCTGAGGTTCACTAAATATCCATTGTTTCAATAAAGTCAATGTATTTACTGAGAAGATCCATTTTTAGAAAAAGGAAACACAATACCAAAGAAAGAAACACCCAGGATGAATCTTTTTTCTCTTATGTAAACTGAGTGTAAGTAGCTGATGTTGGAATTGAATCTGACAGGCAGTGATCATGATGCCAAATTATGGTTGTTTCACACATACCTTTTAGAGTAAATCCTGCCACGGAGATGGGATATGAAATTCTAAGAATTGTCAGTTATGTTTTCATTATTTCTTTTAACTCTTAAACTCTTTTCATAAGGCAAACGCTTAATTGATATAATCAAAATCCTTTTTTTCTCAATTACATTTAAATATTTTGTTCTTTTTTTCATCACTATAACCAGGTCTCATGATTGTCCATAAAAATAGTTAGTTTGATAATATTTCATTTTCCACCTTGTCTGCTTACTAACAACCCTGATTTTCTTTTAGTATTTTGGTAAAAATAACTATACATAAGTATGTACATGTATTTTTTGTGATAAAAAGTTTTACTTTCTAAGTTAGAAATGTTATTCCTTCTGTTTACTAATGATTGACATGGACATAATGAATACATTTCCTGGGAACAATCTATCATTCTAAATCTAAAGGCTTTCAAAGTGGTAGTAGTGGGTAGTCATCCTGATATGATTGCAGAAAGGAGATGGTTTCACAAAAGGATTGAATTTTTAAGTATGAAGAGGTCAGGAACAAATCCAATATGCAAAAGTTTCCAGATACTTTGTTTTGTACGGATAATTAAAGTTAAATTTTGATTTCTGCATTTTTGTTACAAACAATCCATACCAAGTAATTTTGAAATTGCCCTTCTATTTGAAATTGGATTGAAAAACATAAATGACATCAATCTACACTGTATTAGAGGTATTTAAATATTTAATTAAAAATTAATATGCCATATTTTAGTTATTCTGAGGTTATAAAATATGGAATAAAAATATATACATGAAACTTCTTTATCTGGAAACTTTTATTGCTAAGTCTGAAAGATAGCTTTTTCCTACTGTTTCTCTTTAAACAGATTAGATAAGGATACTATGTAATCTAAAAGTGAAGAATTAATATTTAAGATCATTAAATAAAATTTACCATCTAATTTATAAACTATGTTTGACACACTATTGAAGAATCCTGTCCATCCTCAATTTTGCTTCTCTACCAATATGAGGGGTGAGAATTTGTAAAGCAGTGATAAGAATATTTTTGTTTTTGTAGATAGATAAATAATACAGACTCGAAGCTCAAAAACCTAAGTAATTAAATGGTTGATTTGAAAAATTTAGAGAGAAAAGGAATAGTGTTTCCAGCACACAAGACCAATGGTGGCTAGAGAGAATAAGCTGGGTCCTTAGAAAGATATTACTCGTAAGTTCTTCTCTGTCTTTTCATAAGAAACAAAACTCAGCTTCAAATTTGAAAAGTAATCTCTTTATTCTTTATGCCGATGATGAAATCCCAAAACTGAAAACTATGAAAGAGCAATGTCTACATTCCCTTTATGAGTTGCATTTAACCTAATGTAGCTCTTCTACAATTTAGACCTAGAATGTGAGATATAGCTACATTAGACAATTAAAGCTAAATTGAATGAGAGAAATGAATAAGAGTCCGAGAGGAGTTGGTAGGGTGAGATTCGAATCTAGCACACACACAAAGGACAGAAATTAGAAGATCAAAGGAGGTACACAGAAACTTGTGCTTAGCAAGTATATTGTGAATATCCCAGGGGATTTCTTGAAAAAACTATAAGAAATTTTTATAAAATTTGTGATTGCGTGATAAAGATCTCGATAACAAATCCAATAACTAACAATCAATTGCATTTAATTTAAACAAAAATTTTCGGAGGTGTTTGAACCAGAACAACTCCACCTTGAATAGGGGCTGGATAAAGTAAGGCTGAGACCTACTGGGCTGCATTCCCAGACGGTTAGGCATTCTAAGTCACAGGATGAGATAGGTCAGCACAAGATACAGGTCATAAAGATCTTGCTGATAAAATAGGTTGCAGTAAAGAAGCCGGCCAAAACCCACCAAAACCAAGATGGCGATGAGAGTGTCCTCAGGTCTTCTTCACTATTACACTTCCACCAGCGCCATGACAGTTTACAAATGCCATGGCAACATCAGGAAGCCACCCTATATGGTCTAAAATGGGGAGGCATGAATAATCCACCCCTTGTTTAGCATACAATCAAGAAATAATATTTAAAATGAGCAACCAGCAGCCGTTGGGGCTGTTCTGCCTATGGAGTAACCATCTTTTTATTCCTTTGCTTTCTTAATAAACTTGTTTTCACTTTATGGACTTGCCATGAATTCTCTCTTGTGAGAGATCCAAGAACCCTCTCTTGGGGTTTAGATCAAGACCACTTTACAGTAATGAAATAATATTTCATAAAGATAATTTTGAATAAACTCTAAATTGGCACAGAAAACTGAAGAAAAATAATAATATGTTACATATTGAAATAAAAATGTGAATGAAACATAAATGTTTACAAAGCTAAGTTTTGATAACTGAATTCACAGATATAGCCTTGGGATGTTAAACCAATATCTTTCAGCATTAAATTCATCCCAAATGTGATATTTTACAAATGTAGAAATTTAGTTATCTAATTAGGAGTGACAGCAAGTGACTGAATGATTAAGCAGGAACTCCATAAGCAATTTGCCTCATTAAAGGTTTGCAGTTTTATATCTGCAACAAATTTATTCAGTACCTATTTTAAATAATAAAGAATGAAAATCAAGGTTAGTTGACATTTTAATAGAAAGCATATCAATTAAAATTATCTACAAAAAGGGCTCTTCCTAAAACAATTACTGTTAGAAGTCTTTCATTGTCAACTTGAAGGAACAAGATGGAACTGAATTTGATAGCAACATAGGGTTTGGGAAATTTGGCATAGGCCCTCAATCTTCATCAGCTACACAGAGCATTTGGATTAATTCACTGCTATTATTATCAATGTTATGATTTATTTATTTCACTAATTTTATATGTTACGAGTTTTGCAACGTGCTATGTTATTTCACAATTTTTTCCATTGTCCTGTGCTATAAAATGAGAAAATGTATTAAACATGGAACTAAATAATCTAGTTGAAATCATAGTTCTGCAGATGGCCATCTTTTCCCTGTATCTTCAAATTGTCTTGCTTCTGTGTGTCTCTGTGTCCTAATCCCTCTTCTTATAAAGACAGCAATCATTTGGATTAGGGCCCACCCATAAGACTGACTTCATTTTACCTTATTTACCACTTCAAAGGTCCTATCTTCAAATACAGTTACATTCTGAGATACTAAGGGTTAAGACTTCAACAAATGAATTTTGGGGAACACAATTGAGTCTATAATAGAAATAGGCATAGAAACAGAGAATGTCTAGATTTTTCTCTTGTATTTTTTTTCAAAAGTCTTAAAGAAATATTCCTCGTCTCAAGCATTTCACCTTTGTGTGTAATATATGACAATAAAACACTAAACACCAACGTTTAAAAAATCTGTATGCCATGCCCCTCTCCCTCAGTCATTGAGGATGATTATTAGGTAATATGCTAAGAGAGGTGACATATTACCCTGCAGTTAGAAAGAGAATTATCCCTTTCTTCATCCAGAGCAAACCTAATTCTGTCAACGGAGCCATATAGATTGGCAAAATATGAGAGTGCACGTGAACCAAATAAGAAAATCAATGCATTTCTTTTAAATCCTGAGTATGGCTTTGACTATTAATGTTCCAGAAATATATTATTTGCCTTTTCATCAATTCACACTTGTCTTTGTCCCTGCATAATTTATACATATAAAAGGATAAGAGTGTAGCTATTTTCCTAAAGCTGTGTTGTCCAAGTGTGTACCACAGGTACAAAATGTTTCCTTTTTTCTCCTCCTGTTGTTTCAACGCTACTTAATGACAAAAACTGAATACCAAGGACAATCATGAGCACTTAAGGCCCAATTCATAAAAAAATGATTCAAGGCATTTATGCACAAATGTTGCTACTTTCATATGGAAACAAGGTACATAAAGAATTCTCCTTTGTGATTCATAAACCCTCTTTAAGGTAATTTTGTTGCTCAGTTTTGTACCTCAGGAGAGCAAAACCCCAAAAGAGAGAGGTAGGAAAGAAAAGAAAACCTACAGATATACTTATGGTCCTATTTGCATAAAAAACCACAGCAAGCCTTTTATGCAATATTAATTAAACATGTATTAGACAGTGATGTGTGGATTGTATAGTCATTACCCACTTTAGTCAAGATTATAGAATATCTACAGTAAACATTTTAAAACGCACACACAGCTCTTTCTCTCTTCTGTCTCTCTGTCTCTCTCTCACATTTAGACAGGTCTAGCATCTTTATCATTCTCAGTTGATTGGCCCACATATATTCCAAGAGGATGAAGTGCTGGTATAAATACCCAGATTTGATGTCTGTTCTTTTTATTGTTTACCCTGGAAAGTCAGAGGCTGCAAAATTTCCCCATAATTTGCTTAGAATATGTCCGAGTATAAAGGTTATTGAGTCTGATGTTTGCCTTCTATGAATGCTAACGCTTTAGATGTATTCAAGGAGATTAGAAACAGAAGTGATATGACTGACAGAAAGGATTTTGCATGTCAGATGTGAATACATTATTACTGACCATGACTGGATTCAATATTATTATTCGAGAGCCTGAAAAACAAGGTCAGTATTATTTTGATGTCTTCAAATTCAAAATAAACATGAACTTTTTATTAGTACCTCTCAGTGTGGCCAGTGTCACTGTTTACTGACATCTTAACTCTCCATTTTTCATAGTTCCAAAATAACAGAGCACATCATGCCCTGAGGCAGAGTCATATAAATGAAAATTATGAGGAAAAGTTGAAAACTGCAGTGGAAACACAGTAGATTTTAAGCATCGTGCTTGTGCAACTGTTCTGCTTCTTTCCCACTTCATGCCCCATCTCCACCCCTTTACACTGTCGGAACCATCCTCAGCCTTAGCAGTTCTGTCCTATGCCCTAGGAGAATAACCTTGCTGGTTGACTCCCCATTAGGTTAAGCTAATGGAAAAGACTGGAAAAAAAAATGAGGGGCAGAAGGAGAAAGCGATTGGAATCTTTCTTCCCCACTACTTCCTGCTTCAACACTGTGACTCTGTCTCTGTCTCTCCATGACCACTTCTCCTGTTGGGTGACACTCCTCTGTGGCTCAGCTCTCTCTGAGCTCTGGGAACACCACTTTCTTCCTATGTCCTCCTGAACCTTGAGAGTGGAGACAGCTTTTCTTCTGCTGCCAATTTGGGAGTGTCTCGTCATCTCTTCCTTGTTCCCTCAATCTTGTCACTTTAGAAATAGTCCTCTTGGCCAGGCATGGTGGCTCATGCCTGTAATCCCAGCACTTTGGGAGGCCAAGGTGGGCATATCATGAGGTCAGGAGTTCAAGACCAGCCTGGCCAACATGGTGAAACCCTGTCTCTACTAAAAATACAAAAATTAGGCCAGTGTGGTGGTGCATGCCTGTAGTCCCAGCCACTCCAGAGGCTGAGGCAGGAGAATCGCTTGAAACCGGGAGGTGGAGGCTGCAGCGAGCTGAGATCACCCTGCTGCATACCAGACTGGGCAACAGTGTGAGACTTCGTCTCAAAAAAAAAAAAGATAGTCCTCTCTCAGGGTTTTCTGTGGAAACTGTAAATAATAGACATCCAAGATGTTATGTTTCTAATTAATTTTTATTCGTGTATGGCTAGTGCATGATTAGTGCATAATTGCCTCTACTGTTTTAATTTTGTGTGGTTTATATGGTCAACTTTAGGTAGAACCTATAAGAGGCCCTCATTCTATAGCACTTGAGCCACAATTATATAGTACTTAGGTTAGGGGCTATCAATCTCTGAGTAAGCAATGAAGAGTTTGATAATGATAATGTTCAATGTGCTGTACTTAACAATTAGATGGTGCAACAATTTATTCAAATAACAAAACCGTATTGACTGACTACAGTTGTAAAGCATTTAATAAGGACAATAGATGAATAAGATGCTATACTTAGATATTAATAGAAATACTATTAATAATAGTAATGATAACAACCTCAACAACTACTATCATAAGAACCATAGCTAACACCAGCAAAGGTTTTATTTTTGCCGGGCACTGAGATTTTATCTTATTTAAACATAACATATCCATATGAGGTAAGTAGAAAAGTATAATTTTCATCCTTTTGCAATGATGAATTAATTGAAGCTTAAAGAAGTTATAAAAGTTGCCCAATATTACTCAGTAGATAAGTAGCAGGTTGGTGCTTATGCCTACAACAGTTTCAATTTCAAAACCAAGTTCTTCTTTTCTTTTTTTTATTTTAGACGGAGTCTTGTTCTGTCACCCAGGCTGGACAAAACCAAGTTCTTAACCACCATACCATCATGACTACACTTAAAAAACTTAACCATTTTTGGAATTTTTGTTGAATTTTTTATAAATGATTTTTTCTAGGAGGACTTTTATTTTCCTTGATTTATAAAAGTATTATACACTTTATGGTTATTAAGCCATTGCCCTATCTGTGGTAAATATTAGTTCCAGGTTTTTCAGTCTTCTTCTTCTTCTTCTTCTTCTTCTTCATTTCCTTCTTCTTCATATTATTATTATTATATTATTTTTACTATTTTAGAGATGGGATCTTGCTCTGTCACTCAGGCTGGGAGGCACTGGTGCAATCATAGCTCACTATGGCCTCAAACTCCTAGGCTCGAGCGATCCTCCTACCTCAGCCTCCGGAATAGCTGGGACACAGGCTTGCACCACCACATCTGGCTCATTTTATTTTATTTTATTTTATTCTATTAGAGACAGGAGGCTTGCTATGTTGCAAAGGCTGGTCTCGAACTCCTGACCTCAACAGATCTTCTTGTCTCAGCCTCCTGAGTAGTTGAGATTACAGGTGTGAGCCACTGTGCCTGGTATTAGTCATATTAATCTTTTCAGAGTAGTTATTTCCATTGCTTTTGTGCTAGGAAAATTATTAGTTTTGCTCGTGTTGCCCAGTTGCTCAGGTTGGCGTGCAGTGGCACGATCTTGGCCCTTCGCAACTCCGCCTCCCGGGTTCATGCAATTCTCCCGCCTCACCCTCCTGAGTAGCTCGGATTACAGGCATGCGCCACCACCCCTGGCTAATTTTGTATTTTTAGTAGAGATGGGGTTTCTCCATGTTGGTCAGGCTGCTCGTGAACTCCTGACCTCAGGTGATCTGCCCACCTTGGCCTCCCAAAGTGCTGGGATTACAGGCATGAGCCACTGTGCCCAGCCATGAAAAATTCTTAACCATTTGAAAATTGCTTAAATAGTAACCCATATTTATATGCTATGGAATTTTTATATTTAATCGTTTTATTTCTGCGGAATTGATTTGTCTGTGTAGTAAGACAGACACCTGACTAGATTTCTTTTCAGTAGTCAAAGTTTTCAAACTTCAACTATTCTGTCTCTTTCATAAACATCCTTTCACCTTTTTACTCAAAGGAAATGTGGCTATTTCCTGAGGACATTTCTCCTGAAGACCTATTAAATAATGGATGTTTTCTTCCCAAATGTCTCATGTGGTTTAGATGTCCTTGATCCTTAATATTACTTTTAGATCATTCTTCTTATCTCCTTAAAGGCATCCAGCTCACATCTTATGTCATAAAATTACTTCACCCACAATCCTTTCTTTTGCAGTTACCTACAGAATTCTGGGTCACTCCCTTTAATTGCTTAAGGCAATTTTTTCTACTTGGTCTTCTCTCTTCAGACCTCAAATATCTTCTCCACAAAGTCATGCTTAACTCTTTACCTTGCATCTCAACTCACTTAGAAAATTAAATCAATTGGAAGCCAATTGTACATACTGTCATGACTATCTACCCACTCTCCTGCAACTGTATCTTCTTACTTATTAAAGACTAATCATCCAAGAGCCTAGCAAAAGCCAATCCTGCCATTGTATCTTATCCCCTCTTACTTCTCAAGGACATTGCTCTAGAAAGACTCCTTTCCATCATCATTATTTTTTCCTTTTTATTAGAATTTTCCCCAAAACCCTGCAAAGTTACTGTTATTTATCTCTGATTAAAACAACATCTCATCACCCTACTTTTTTCTCCAGTTACTAACTATTCTTGCCTTCCTTTTAGAACAAACCTTCTATTACAAAGGTCCATATTCACTATCTTCAATTTTTCTAGCCCTGTGAACTCTTATACCCACTCCAGTCATGTTTTTGTCTCTACCACAATATTTCAGCAGCTTTCACCTAGATTGCCAATGATCAAAACAATGTTAAATGTTAAATCTAGTGGTCAATCCTTTGTTCTTAATTTATTTGATCCATTGGCAGCCCTCGATTCAACTGACACACTATACAATCCTGGTTGATCTTTTGTGCCTTATAAGCTTTCTTGCCATTTCCACCTGATCTTCCAGTCCTGTAAACATTAAGATATTCTCAGGGCTTAGTCTACTGATGCTTTCTTTTTCTTCCCCTAAATCTAGTTTTAAATACCATCCATACACTGATGGATTACAAACTAAGTCAAAACTGGATTTTCCCCTTTGTATTCCAAATCTGAATACCTGTGTATTTAACTGCCTTCAAGACATCTCCACATATGTATCTAAAAATAATTCAAACTTAAAGAACCCAGAATTTATCTTCCAACCATCCCCCCAAATACTCATTTCAGCATCCTTCCTAAGTACTTTGAAACTTTAACCAATTTAAACTTCCTAACAGCTCTATAAAATAAGCAAGATTATGCCTCAACTTTATGGATAAAGAAATGGAGGCATTAAGAGATAACTAACTTGCCCAAGGCCACACAAGTGACTGAGTAAGAATTGCAAAGCCAATGAGTCTGGCTCCAGAGATTATGAGCTTAATCACCACACTGTGCCACCTCCTGTGTTTTCTGGCTTCCAAACCTGGGAATTCTCCTTTACTCATCCTGACCATTTATGTAAAATTCTTCAGCAAATCCTGCTAGCTCTAATTTGAAATGTCTGGATATAGTCAGAATCTTTGTTTTCTCAACACTTCTCCCGAAACCACCTTTTTCCCAGCTACAATCATGTCTGCTCTGAATTACTGAAAGAGCCCCCATTTGGTCTTCCTGCTTCTTCTGTCACCCTTCTGCTACAGATATTAATACTCCTTTGCTTGGACCTTTGCAATAGCTTCATTGTCAGGGTAGATATCCACATTTTTACAGCAGTCTAAAATGGCACTGCATATTGTCCATATACCTAACCCACTCATTCTCATTTCCTCTGACCTCTTTTGAAACATCTCTCCTTGCTCGCTCTATTCTAGCTACACTGGCTTCCTTATTTTCTTCAGATACTCCAGAAATGCTTACATCTTGGGTTTTTTAACTTGCCATTCTCAAATATTCTCATGGCTAACTTTCTAGACACCTTTAGACATTTCTCAAGTTTCACCATTTTTAAGGATTTCTCCGGCCATTTATTTGCAATATCCCCTCCTCTAACAATCTTCATTTTTTTCCTGCTTTTTTTTTCCTCTATACCATAACACATGGTATCTTTTACTTATTAATTTCATTTATGGAAATGAAGTTCTCCCCTCCCCCCATTGAAATGTAGGTTAAATGAGGACATTTTCAGCTTAGTTCACTACTGGGTCTCAGCTCTTAATGGTGAGACCATTATTAAGACCATAATGGTGCTTAGCACGTAGTGAGTGCTAAATCAGTCTTTCTTGAAAGTATGACAAATAGGCTTTCTCACCGTTATTTCTTGTTTCTTCTAGAGTATTTTAAATCCTTTTATGTAATTAAGATATATTTCAAGGAAAATTAATATCTTGGGTCTGTGCCACACAATTTTAATTGCAATTTTTCTAATATATTTCATTATTGCAAGTCCTCTCTGATGTCCTTCATGGTGCTTACAACAACTAAGGCTTTTCTTGTCTGGGACTCCCATGCTTCTGTTGGAACCACAAGCTCTCTATTATTTCTTCTCTCTTTAAAATCATGGGCTCACTACATCTTTTAAATTCTATTATTTAAAAATTATTCTCCCCTATCAATTTGCTTGAGCTGTCTACTCATTTTCTTACTATCTACTTACTGCTAAAATCACTTAAATTTTAAATTTTACTTGTATCCCTAGCATTCTACCAAAAGCGAACTTTCTTTTTTTGTTGTTGTTGTTGTTTTTTTTTTTTTTTGAGACAGAGACTCGCACTGTCGCCAGGGCTGGAGTACGATGGCCTATCTCAGCTCACTGCAAACTCCACCTCCCAGGTTCACATGATTCTCCTGCCTCAGCCTCCCGAGTAGCTAGGATTACAGGTGCATACCACCACACACGGCTAATTTTTTGTATTTTTAGTAGAGACAGGGTTTCACTATTTTGGCCAGACTGGTCTCGAACTTTTGACCTCGTGATTCCTCCACCTCGCCCTCCCAAAGGGCTGGGATTACAGGCGTGAGCCACTACTCCTGGACAGAAGCGAACTTTCTTAATCAACCTATCAATGACCTGTAGGCTACAATGTATAATGAACTGTTTTAATTTCCAGCCTTAATTTAGCAATAATCCTCAGAATTTGGTTTTCTCTCTTTCTTCTGAAACATTCTCAACTCTGAGCATCTGCAAGGACATGTGTTTATGGTTTTCCTCTGACCTCATTGGTTCTCCAATTTTGGGCTCTTCTTCCAATTTTTCTTCCTCTCCTTCATAGGGTTGCTCAGGATTTGATTAATTGGGGCACTTTTCTCCCTAATTGCATTATACAAATAGGTGATCAAAAATACTTTCACGAATTCAAATATTATCTTTTTTTGTTGTTGTTTGTGTTTGGTGGAAGGGAGCATTGCAGCGGGGGGTCGGGGGAGTAGAAACAAGGTCTCGCTTTGTCACACAAGCTGGAGTGCAGTGGTGTGATCAGGGCTCACTGAAGGTTCAGCCTCCTAGGCTCAAGCAATCCTCCCACCTTACCCTTTCAAGTAGCTGTGACTACAGGTGCCTGCCACTACACCCAGCTAATTGGTTTATTTTCTGGAGACAAGTCTACAACTCCTGGGCTCAAGCTGGGCTCGAACTCCTGGGCTTGAATTCCTGGGCTTAAGTAATTCTCCCACCTCGTTCTCCCATAGTGCTGGGTTTACAGGCATGAGCCACCATGCCCAGCCAATTCTTAATTCTGAAATTTATATTTCTGGCTGGACTACTAAAACAAACTCTAACTGCACACTCAACTCTCCAATGGGATATTTCACAAATACCCAAGCCCAGTATATCCAAAACTTAATTTAGTTTTTTTCTTTCCTTAAATTTTGCCCCCAAAGTTTCTTATTTTATGAATGGAGACACTCGCAAATACTTCGGCCAGAATAATGGAAGTAATTATTATAAAGCCCCTCTCCACACCAAGCAATGGCCAAATTCCTGTAGATTCTACTCTCTAAATATTTTATAGACACTTTTTTCTCAGCATCCATAGTCAAACACCTAGCCCAAATCTTCATCATTTTTCTTTAACAATTAAAAGAACATCCTAATTGATCACTCTGCCTCCATTTGTGTTACTTCTCAATACATTTATACAAGAAGAGTAATCATTTTCAAAACTAACTCTTGATCTGTGTCACCACTGCTTTAAATTCCTCCATGAGAATTATGGCTCATGGAATATAGAAAATTTTCATCATAGTCACCACCTACCTCTCCAGCATTATTTTAAGCCACTCTTCATGACTAAGGATTAAGAAATATTGCCTCATTTTTCTATTCTGCCCCTGAGTATGCTGTTTCTGAAGATAAGGCACATTTGCATTTGCTGTTCATGCTCTCCAGAATACTTGTACTATCACTTCAAGGTATTTCTACACCTAGTCTAATGCACATTTATAACTCACATTTTAATTTTGTATTTTTTACATATAGGTTCCACATATTTCCATTTGAATGATTGCTGGTATTTTTGTTCACTTTGCTGCTTTCAATGTATTATATTTTTCTTATAAAATGTATAAACTGATTGTTTCCAGCACATAGGAAACCCTATCAAATTGGATTCATCTTATATTTAATAATTTTTGTAAATTCTAAGGGTCTTTTGATAGGTTTCCTGAAATTTTTTAATATACAGTCATGCATGGCATAATGACATTGTGATCTACAAGCAGAGCTCATATATGATGGTGGTCCCGTAAGACTACAGTGGAGCCAAAAAATTCCTATCATCTCTCTAGTGATGTAGCTGTCATAACATTATTGCATAACACATTACTCATGTGTTTGTGGTGATGGTGGTGTAAACGAACCTACTGTGCTGCCACTCCTATAAAAGTATACTACATACAAATATGTACAGTACATAATACTTGACATTGATAATAAACTATGTTACTGGCTTATGTATTGACTGTACTATGTTTTTTATTGTTATTTTAGAGTGTACTGCTTCTGCTTTTTTTTTTTTTTTAAATGAGTGAACTGTAAAACAGTCTCAGGCAGGTCCTGCAGGAGGTATTCCAGAAGGCATTGTTATCACAGGAGGTGACAGCTCCATGCGTGTTATTGCCTTCCAGTGGGACACCTTCAAGTGGGACAAGCTGTGGAGGTGAAGACTAATATTGATGATCCTAGACAAAGGTGTGCACTTTTGTCTTGGATTTCTGTTTGTTTGTTTTGTAGATGGGGTCTTCTTATGTTGCTCAGGCTGCTCATGAGCTCCTGAGCTCAAGAGGTCCTCCTACCTCTGTTTCCTGAGAAGCTTGAATTGATCATAGGTGCAGACCACTGTGCCTCACTGTCTTAGTTTTTAACAAAGAAGTTTAAAAAGTAAAAAAATAAATATAAAAATTAAAAATAGAAGAAGCTTATAAAAAAGGATATAAAGAAAGAAAATATTTTTGTACAACTGTGCAATGTATGTTTTAACCTAAATATTATGAAAGAGCCAAAAACTTTGAAAAATTAAAATGTTTATAAAGCTAAAAAAGTACAGTAAGCTAAGGATCATTTATTTTTTAAGAAATAAAAGTATTTTTAAATAAATTTAGTGTAGCTTAAATGTACAGTGTTTATAAAGACTAGAATACTAGTGTACAGTAGTGTCCTAGGACATCACATTCATGTGCCACTCACTCACTGTTCCATCCAGAGCAACTTCCAGTCCTGGAAACAACATTCATAGTAAGTGCCCTATAGACATACCATTTTTTATCTTTCATACCATAGTTTAGCTCTACCTTTTCTATGTAGAGATATATTTAGATATGCAAATACTGTTGTGTTACAATTGCCTACAATATTCAATATAGTAACATTCTGTACAGGTTTGTAACCTAGGTGCAAACAGGCTACACAATATGGTCTAGGTGTGTAGTAGGCTATATCATCTTATTTTGTGTACACACTCTGATGTTCACCCAGTGACAAAATCGCCTAATGAAACTGATATGGTTTGTCTGTGTCTCCAACGAAATCTCATCCTGAATTCCCACGTGTTGCAGGAGGGACCCAGTGGGAGGTAACTGAATCATGGTGGGAGGTCTTTCTTGTGCTGTTCTTATGATAGTGAATACGTCTGATGAGATCTGATGGTTGTGAAATGGGGAGTTTCCCTGCATAAGCTCTCTTCTCTTGTCTGCTGCCATGTGAGACGTGCCTTACACTTTCAATCTGATTGTGAGGCCTCTCCAACCACGTGGAACTGTAAGTCTCAGGTATGTCTTTATCAGCAGCACGAAAATGGACTAATAAATTGGTACCAGTAGAGTGGGGCGCTGCCGAAAAGATACTCGAAAATGTGGAAGCGACTTTGGAACTGGGTAATAGGCAGAGGTTGGAAAAGTTTGGAGGGCTCAGAAGAAGACAGGAAATTGTGGGAAAGTTTGAAACTCCCTACAGACTTGTTGAATGGCTTTGCCCAAAATGCCAATAGGGATATAGGCAATAAAGTCCAGACTGAGGTGGTCTCAGATGGAGAAGAGGAACTTGCTGGGAACTGGAGTAAAGGTGACTATTGTTATGTTTTAGCCAAGAAACTGGCAGCGTTTTGCCCCTGCCCTAGAGATTTGTGCAACTTTGAACTTGAGAGAGATGATTTAGGGTATCTGGCAGAAGGAATTTCTAGGCAACAAAGCATGCAAGAGCTTACTTGGGTTCTTTTAAAGATATTCACTTTTATAAGGAGAGCAGCGCATAAAAGTTTGAAAAATTTGCAACCTGACAATGGGATAAAAAAGAAAAATCCATTTTCTGGGGAGAAATTCAAGCCGGCTGAGGAAATTTGTGTAAGTAGCAAGGAGCCTAATGTTAATCCCCCAGACTATGGGGACAATATCTCTAGAGCATGTCAAAGACCTTCACAGCAGCCCCTCCCATCACAGACCTGGAGGCCCAAGAGGAACAGTGGTTTCGTGGGCCCGGCCCAGGGTCCCTGTGCTGTGTGCAGCCTTGGGACATGGTCCCTGTGTCCTAGCCACTCTAGCCGTGGCTGAAAGGGGCCAACATACAGCTCAGGCTGTGGCTTCCGAGGGTGGAACCCCCAACCTTGGCAGCTTCCACTTGGTATCGAGCCTGTGGTTGCACAGAAGTCAAGAAGTGATGTTTGGGAACCTCTACCTAGATTTCGGATGTATGGAAATGCCTAGAAGCTTAGGCAAAAGTTTACTGCAGGGGCGGGACCCTCGTGGAGAACCTCTGCTAGGGCAGTGTGGAAGGGAAATGTGGGGTCAGACCCCTCACAGAGAGTCCCTACTGGCGCATTGCCTAGTGAAGCTGTGAGAAGAGGGCCACCGTCCTCCAGGCCCCAGAATGGTAGGTTCATTGACAGCTTGCACTGTGTGTCTGGAAAAGCCACAGACACTCAATGCCAGCCCGTGAAAGCAGCCAGGAGGGAGGCTGTACCCTGCAAAGTCACAGGGGCGGAGCTGCCCAAGAACATGGGAACCCACCTCTTGCATCACCGTGACCTGGAGTCAACGGAGTGTCATTTTGGAGCTTTAAGATTTGACTGCCTCATTGGATTTTGAACTTGCATGGGCGCCTGTGGTCCCAGCTACTCGGGAGGCTGAGACAGGGGAATTGCTTCAACCCGCGTGGCGAAGGTTGTAATGAGCCAAGATCGATTGCACCACTGCACTCCAGCCTGCGCCAGGGAGCGAGACTCCGTCTCAAAAACAAACAAACAAACAAAAAAAAAGTAGCTCTGGGAAATGGTAATGAATATAGCATGCATCTAATTGCTTCTCCGCCAGCTGTAGCATTTGGAATGGCTGTATTTATCCAATACCTGTACTCTCATTGTATCTATGAAATAACTAGCTTGCTTTTGATTTTACAGGCTTATAGGCAGAAGGGACTTGCCTTGTCTCAGATGAGACTTTGGACTGTGGACTTTTGGGTTAATGCTGAAATGAATTAAGACTTTGGGGGACTATTGGGAAGGCATGATTGCTTTTGAAATGTGAGCACATGAGATTTGGGAAGGGCCAGGGGTGCAAAGATGTGATTTGGCTGTGTCCCCACCCAAACCTCAGCTTGAATTGTATCTCCCAGAATTCCCGGGTTGTGGGAGGAACCCTGCGGGGGGGGGGGGGGGGGGGTAATTGAATCATGGGGACCTGTCTTTCCTGTGTTATTCTTGTGATAGTGAATAAGTCTCCCAAGATCTGATGGGTTTATCAGGGGTTTCCACTTTTCCTTCTTCCTCATTTTCTCTTGCTGCCACCATGTAAGCAGTGCCTTTCCCCTCCCGCCATGATTCTGAGGCCTCTCTGTGGAACTGTAAGTCCAATCGAACCTCTTTTTCTTCTCAGTCCTGGGTAGGTCTTTATCAGCAGCACGAAAATGAACTACTACAGTACTATCCCAGACTTGTTCTTTACTTTAATATTTTAATGTAACTAGCCAAAGTTAACAAAAATTAAAATGCCCTTGACAGTTTAGAAAGGTACATTTACCATATACATGATACGTAAGAATTTTGTTTCATTTTGCTTTTAAAATTCAGTAATGATAGTACATTTATTGAATGCCTTTCAGGTAGCTTTAAGTGATTTTGCTTTTCTACTCTCTTTGACCACTTAAACTATTATGTTTTAGTGATGTGTTTCCCAAAATCAAACTAGCTTTGAATTCCTTGAAGAGCACTTGATTTGTCAATGATGTACTTTAGGTTTTGTATCTACATTTACAAATACAACTAATCTTCCGTTCTCTTTTTTGTTTTTTCGTTACATGTTTTGACACATGAATTTTAGTAACTTTGTAAGGTGGATTATTATTCCTACTGATATTTATTCTCTACAAGTATCACTGAAAATTTAGAAGTCGAATTTTGTACCAATCACTGATGCTGTGATAAATATCATCCATATTAGTTTTCCTAATTATAAAAACAGTAACGCTGGACTGGGTGTGGTGGCTCATGCCTGTAATCCCTGAGTTTTAGGAGGCCACAGCGGGTGGATCACCTGAGGTCAGGAGTTTGAGACCAGCCTGACCAACAAGGTGAAACCCCATCTCTACTAAAAATACAAAAATTAGCCGGGCATGCTGGAAGGTGCCTGTAGTCCCAGCTACTTGGGAGGCTGAGACAGCGGAATTGCTTGAACCCAGGTGGTGGAAGTCACAGTGAGCCAAGATCCATTGCACCACTGCACTCCAGCCTGCGCTGAGGGAGCAAGACTCCGTCTCAAAAAAAAAAAAAAAAAAGTAACACTGGGAAATGGTAATGAATATAGCATACATCTAATTGCTTCTCCACCAACTGTAGCAATGTTTTATTTAAAGCAATTAAGAAATTGTGCTTTGACAGGTTTCAAATTTCACCCATCTGCTTACATATGATTTTCTGGATGGATATATGAATATTAATAGCAACTCTGTAAACAGGTGCTACAATTCTCTTCGTGAAACAATTTTGTCACATATGCATAGTCCTGGTCAGTAATGACCTAATTTTATTACTGTTTACTATCTAATAGCTCAAATGGCAGTGACATCATTTATCCTATGGGTGGCATCTGCTCCCCATGTCATTGTTATGTGTGTGTGTGCGTTTGTGTGTACATATGTATATATTCTTAGCAACCATTTTTGTAACAAACAGCAACTGTAGTTGAGGGTGGGGAATTCAGAATCTGAGAAATGGTAATTATTTATTTGTGACATATATATGAGTATAATAAAAATGCATTTGTATTTATACCAATATTATACATTGGTTTAATTTTCTCTTTTTAATTAATTGTTTATTATAAACAGGATTGGTGATACTTTTCTTGAAATGTTGAGTGAACTGACTCATAGATGAGATGAAAGTTCATATATTTCATGCATTTTGCTCTCAATAAGAATAGTATAAATATTCCAAGTGTTTGAATGTACAAATTTGACATTCCTGACCTGCATTTCTTGCTTTCCACTTTTATGTTTAAAGTTCATCACAAAATTTTTTAAATGTTTATTTCAATCTTAATGTTATTGTGAACTTGATCTATTTCATTAAATATATTATTTGGAATTATGTTCTACTTATTTGTTTATGGGTTCTTAGATCTTTAGGTATTATTTCGATTTGGCATTAGCAAGTCTAAGAAAGTACTGCCTTATGACAAACTTATGTCACAAGAACAGAATTTAGTATTACAAATAATATAGAATAATCAAACAGAGGCTGAAATATTAGTGAAAGTAATAATTCATTCACACAGAGAAAGAGAATACTGTATTTTAATGCTTCTACTACTATTTTAGGACCAGAGGTCTTTCATGTGTAATCTCTTCATTTGCTCCAACCAGTGCCCTCACATCCTCTGACATTTAAGGAACTGACACTACTAAACTGTGAGAAATTAAATGCAAACATTATGGATAATAAATTCAGATATCTTCAGAAATAAATGGCAATAAAGGAGATGCTTACCTACTGTAGAAGTTTTATTCTTCCACTATGCAGCATAATGCCAAAATATCTGGAATATTTCGGGTTGTGATTGCAAAAAATATATAATTCAGGTTCCTGCCTTTAAGAAGCTTACAATCTGCTCATTCACAAAGCATAACGAGTATATAATAGGCAATAAATGTTTTTATACAAACTGCATACGTAATAGCTTTTATTACATATAAACATAAAGAAAATAATAAAACTGAAGTTGAACATCAAGAGCTCTTTATAAGTCACAAGTTTTATGATGCAGTATAGGCTTTCTATAGTTCTTTAAAAGAGAATAGAACAAATACAACAGATTAAAGTAAAACTAGTTTTCAGTCAAAAGTGTTTAACATTTGTCAAAGTATTAAGCACCACGTAGAAAAAAAATATGGAGCACTTTTTAAAAAATTACCTTTGCAAATACTTTGAAAAACCTATGATTTCAACAATTACTTTCTAAAATTTGGTATAAATATGACAATTTTCATTGCAATTTATAAATTCTGAGAGAAGAGAAAGAAGGAAGTAAAGATGTAAGATGATTGACAACTTTGGATCAATGTGATGATTGTATCAATTTCAGATTCTCTGCTAACAATAGGTGCCTGATTGGATACCCCTGACTTTATTGGGAAGTGGATGGAATGTAATATGCCTTGCAGTGCATTAGTTGTTTGCGTTGATTGAATGAAAGACAAATCTCACATGGAGGAGAGTCTGAATCCCATCACTGTTACAATTACATTGAACACCAGTGGGAAAATGCCCTGTTGCTTCTGCAGTCTGCTGCAAAGTAGTAGACTTTTCTAGGCCACTGGCTTCCAGAATTCCAGATGATTTATTTTTCAATAAATTGATATGTATTTACATACATATACTTAATAGTAAATTAAATGATTGAGTTTAGAAAGCACTCTGTTTTAAAATAGGCATCTCCATCTCTCTTTTCAATTGCAAGCATTCAATAGTGTGTAACAGCAGATGGGCCTACTGACACTGAAATACACAAACTGTGTAATATTTTATAACTTTTTTTCTCCTGTATTAAGTGATGACATAAATGAAAAATATGGCAGGAAAGCAAATCATTAGTGTCTCTTCCTAGGAGTAAAATAAAAACTTTGAACTGTTGAGAGTTGAAACCCATATTTTCTTTGTGACCAATTTATAACATCTTTGCACCATGTTCCATGTAAGTGCTCTTTCTAAGAGTA
Organism: Homo sapiens; assembly: GCF_000001405.40. Lineage (NCBI taxonomy): Eukaryota > Metazoa > Chordata > Mammalia > Primates > Hominidae > Homo > Homo sapiens. The sequence goes on along the minus strand of NC_000005.10, from coordinate 51,839,375 downwards.
AAAGAAACTAAATACACCATTGATTGAATTAATTTAGCATAGTATGCCACATAAATGCCTTGTAAACAAATAAAGACATGTATTTTTTAAAGCTTTTATTTTAGTCACCAACTTGGTGCCATTCATGTTTACCTACTAGATGCTGGTGGGCTACTGGGATTCTGAAAACAAACAACAGAAAACTAATCTGATTGAAGTGGCTTTCTAAGTAACATTTTAAAAAACTATTTATCAAACCTCTTTGCTCTGTTAGGCTTCACAAATGACAAGGCTATTTTAGAGTCATAAACCTCCATGCCCTGTGCAGTTGTGGCATGCAACCAAAGACGACTCGAGAGAAAATGAAGCTCTAATTGACTACAGCTGCTCACGCCTAACATTTCCCAACAGCATCCCAAGATTCTTAGATTGGTGTTTCTTCTTCCCTCCCAAACACAGACCAATGTGAACCTCCTGTGATCTATCAACTGGGTAAACTGAGGAATCCTTACGGTGGTCCCTGGGGTCCCTACATGGCCTAAGGCATGAGTGATCCTGCACCCAAAAAGCCAATGATTGATATGTGTTTGATTGCTATTCACTTGTTACATTCAGCACTCAGAAGGAAAGTAAAATGACAGTAATTTTCTTTGCTCACATATCATTTCTAACCTGGTACAAGGCTTTGCCTTCAAATCATAGGGAAGTGTTCTGTCCTTCGGAAGTTGCTATTGAAATATAGAATAGAACCATTACATTTTATTGGCTTAGCCTTTCCCTGCACTGCCTATAAAAACAGACACCGCTTTAAAATCTCTCCCTAATGTCCACTTTCTTGAGGGTGGAGCTGACCTCAAGAAGTTTACTACTTGTCTGTTAGTTAAGACTAATTAACTTTGACTTTGTTGTTAGGGCATCCTAATCTGGGGGTTCATCTTAAATAAACTGAAGAAAAACTGAATTCAGACCAAGAACTGGACAGTGACTGTTTATAACTTTATGTATTGAGACTTCTTTTTCTTTACTGCATGGCACTTACTTGTAAGGAAATTTTGTAAATGCGTAATCAATTCACCATTCTTTGATAACTACTCTACTGCTAAACCTTTTTTTATGATGGTGTTGCTTGCCCCTTTTCAATAAGAAATTCATCTTCAATGAAACCCGCCTTGAAATATAGAAAATAATTATTTTGCTAATTATTATGTTGTTTTGACATTAAAATACTAGCACTTTCCTGGATGTGAAATGATTTGTTCACATTGATTTTTAATGGTAACATTAATCTATAGACATTAGTGGGATCTTCTGAAGAAATAGGTCACTTAAATTTTTATTTCCTAAGTGAGAATCTGGGTTACATTTTAGTTTTTTTAAACATAACTTATATATGAAATTAATATATACAAATATTGTATCATTTTATTAAAATTACTATAATAATTTTATACTAATTTATACAGAGTTTTTTTGCATTACACAAGGGTTTCATAACAAAACATTTTAATATAAACCTTATCAGGTTCAAATCTGAATAATAACTCTAAAAAGTAGTGTTTATACAATACCTTATATTTACATGTCAATTATATCAATATAACTGAATAGCATTTTAACTTAACTAATGGTCAAAATAATCCTAAACAATAAAGTTATTATATAGCCAGTTTTTTAATCTTAATTTTTTATTTTATTTTGATCCACTTATATTTAAAAGTATTTACCATAAGAAAAATTTATTTATAGTCTTTCTCAGTGTAACAGAAAAATAAAAACATTCCAGAAATGCATCTTTGATAAGAGAAACTTTGTTTTCCCAAACACTATAAATCACAATGCTGAATCTCATTGACCAATGGCCAAATCAAAATGTGCTATTGGTCAAAAGGGAATCAGTGCTCTGAGATCTAACATAAGCTCAAGTTTTAGACAGAATCTTTTGAATCTAACCATTGGATAAGATTCACAGATAATGGCAGGTGCTGTGAGATAGACTTATCTGCTCTTGGCTGTGTCCTTGGCATATGCAGTTTTTGATGAACATCAAGGCCATTACAGTTTAGAATGATTGAAATAAACACTTCTTGCAGTCAGGTACTAATATATGTATATTAGGAGGTATGGATACAATGTGGGTTGTCATCTATCTATCTATCTATCTATCTATCTATCTATCTATCTATCATCATCTATCTATTTGAATGATTTATTTTAAGGCATTGGCTCACATTGTGGGATCTGGCATATCAAAAACATGTAGGGAAATCCATCACGTTGGAAGTATACGGGAGTTGATGTTGGAATTCTAAGAATGAATTTTTTGTTATTCAGGACACCTAAATTTTTTCTGTTAAAGGCCTTCAACTGCTTCTATGAGGTTCACCCACATATTCAAGGGTAATCTCCTTTACTTCAAGTCAACTGATCACAGATGTTAACCACTTGATAAAATACCTTCAAAACACCTAGATTTATCTTTGATTAAATAACTAGGCACTATAGCCTAGCCAAGTTGATATATAAAATTAACCATTACAACATTATTTTACTTTGATGCTTATGTCCCCTGCTGCAGAGCTTTTGGGTCCATGAACATCTCCTTATTTATGTTTGCTGTCTCTATCTCCCCTCATCTCTAAGAATTAGTACCCTAGAGAACCTGTGTTGAGTCTTTTTAGAATCTCTCCCTCTCCCGTTATTTTTCTTTCTATGAATCCAGAGTATTTTCTTAAGTAAATCTTTCATAGTAGTGGTTACACAAAAACAGAACACCATCATGTGGGCCAAAAGATTGTTTCTAACTTGAGTTACACATAATTTTACTGATTATAAAGGAAAAACAACATTTCAGCAGATATTACACTACGGTTTTGTTACCATCTGGTCACAGAAAGTGTAATGGAATATTGAGATAACTGCCTGTATCATTGGTACTCATACTAGTAGAAGAAAACGTACTAACCAACTGCTTAAGCCTTCCTTCCTATGTGTTCATGCCCCAAATCTTAATTTCACTTACAAACATTCTGCAGGCCCTCACTTATGTCTTCCTTGAGTTTAATCACAGCTCTAGCAAGATCTAACAATACGAAATTATGGCAAGTGATCTAACCATTCTATGCCTCAGGGTTTTTTTTTTTTTTTTCATCTTAAAATGGTGAAAATAATACTGGGCTGTTGGGATGATCGAATAATACATTTGAAAAATATTTTCACTGTCTCTGGCACATAATATATATACAACAAATATCAGTTATTATAATACAATATTACCTTCCTAATATTGCTGCATATTTACCTTGATGTTGAATTAATTTCAGTGTGACACACTGGAATAAATACAGATTTGCAAATCATACAACCTTGCTATCAATACTAGCTCTGCCATTTACTAGCTGTCTGACATTGGGCAATTTATTTAACATGTCTGGACCAAAAGTTCACTATGGGTATATTGAGAAAAATTAATCACATAAGTTGCTTAAAAGGATTAAGTAAGATAATGTAAAATTTTCAGTACTTGCTTCCTGGCATATGGTAAGTGTGCAAAACAGCCTCATAATTTCATTATTTTCATTAATAACTAAATGATTATATAAATAAAAAAGACTATGGATTTTATGTTGTACATTAAGTGTGGTAACTTACAAAAATTTTTGTCCCACAATTCAAATATAATTCAACTGTCTTGAAAGAATTTCATTACTTAATATCAACAAGGGAATGCACTTATAGTAAGTTTACTCAGCTCCTAAAAGGGGTAAACAATGTTGTAGGTAGAGATATTTATCTTATTGGCACATACTTTTTCTCTTACCCTAAATCCCTTACCTGCTCCTGACTTGCTTTTCCACTAGTTCCTTCAGGAAAACTTTTCTTGACATGTGAGTTTTGTCATAGCAGATGATTTCTTTAGAGAAAGTCCCGGCAATGAAAATAATCATTTTTCAAGTCTACTTTCACTTTATTGGTAAGTACTGAACTTTATTACAGAGGAAAACATTTTTGGGAAAAGTGATCAAGTATTTTGTTGGGTACTATTAAAGCTATTTCGTTGGTGGCGATTTTATGCAAGAGACAATTTATAATATGAAAATATTAAAAGCATCCTTTTTGAATTGTGTGCTCCCTCTCTTCCTTTCTCCCTTTCTCTTTTTCTCTTTCTGTACAGGAATCAGAGCTTAGACCTTTCATTAGCTGGGATGAATGAATGTCATTCTAACCCAGAAATTACGCTTCATTATTCAAAAGAAGAATTTAAATAGGTTTCACTCACTAGGTTTCTGTGCCTTCTGGAATTAGGCAGTGCTTGTCATAAATGAATTTGATCAACTTTCAGAAATAACCAACAAGTTTTCTCTTCTTATTGTACATTGCTCCATGTGAAGCTAAAAATATTATGTTAGAATAAAGAATTATATTCTTATAAAACCATTCTTTGTCCTATAAACAACTTTTTAAATGATTAACATATAAGAAAATAAAGGCCTTTATGCCTTCTCTCTTTCTGGGTTTCTCATGGATAATAAACATGTAGTGTTATAAAATAAAATATCCTGTTAATTGAATATCTATTTGTATAATATAAAAATAAGCTATACGTATAACGATATCTCAATGTTAGAACATAATGAAGTACATGCATAATGAACATTGAGATATAGTTAAAAATATAACTTGTTTATATATATATGTAACCATTTAACTTTATTAATAAGTAAAATTATATATTTGTACATTTTAATTATTTCTATAGGTAATAAGAAATGATAAACTTGTGACTTGAAGTTTCCAGTTATTTTTGGATCACCTTAATCACAAAAAAAGATTAATAAAGATTGATTTTACTCTGTCATTATATAATACGTACTGAGATACTGCCTATTTGAAGAAATCATATTACAAACATCTAAACTCTCAGAAAATCAGTCGTCTTGAAAGTTTTTTTATTTTGTTTTGTTTTTTATAAAAGCTACATCATGTTTGCATTTTTTTGGAAGATGACTGATACAACCCGAAGTTTTGTCTAAAATGTGAGATAACTTTATTTTAAAATATGCTGAATAATAGTTGATTAGCATTTAATTATATAATCTTCTACTCTTAAATTACTTGAAATATAGGTCTTATCTTCCTGAAATCATTGTAAATTCATTGGAAACAGGGGCTTTTCAAGCCACCGCTCATATATCAATCTAATGTACATAAGAAACTTGCTCAGTTCCTAGAACTAAAACAGTGTTTGGTGTGACCATAATTTCATAATAGTTTACATAAAGAACTTAATGAACCTGTGAAAGTAAAATCAACTATTTATAAAGTAATCTAGCACTTATATGAAACTTCAATAGATTAAAATTATTTAGCAAAGTAAAATTATAGCCTCAGACTATGAGAAAGTTAAGTAGTGTTTTATTGTAAAGTATTTCGTTTACTAGAGGCGATTCTGAAAATATGTATAAAACGTTTCTTGAATATTACACTTATTTGTTTGTTTTTGATATAGTTCAAAATATAAGGAATTCAAAATATAATAATTCAGAATACAGAAAAGAATACAATAAGAGAAAAAGAGAAATGCTATGCCAATTAAACTTGATTACGAATAGAATCATTTATCTAAATTGAGAACAATTTTTACAAAGGACATATATTTACCTGAAAGTTTCTTTCCTTTTTATATGAACATTTTACTCAAATTATGAAGTGACAATTTCTCCATATTATTAAATAAAGAAGTGCATCAATTATTTTCTATGAAATATTTTATATACAATCAAAATATAATATATACAATACAATCTTATTATTATAAAAATCTACCAATCAAGGAGAACAGTGTAATTCCATTTTGATTGTAAAAGTGTTCTATATTTGTATGTATATGTTTGCATTTTTTTTCCTGTGTGTGAACCAAGATGTGGAAAGACACACATCAAACTAATTCTATGAGAACTCAAAATGGAGGTAAAGTGATGCATCAGGTAGGTTAAATTATACTCAGGTGACGAGTGGCCCCCGAAGCTCAACGTTTAAAAACAATAAAGACATTTCTCACTCCTGCTACTCTTCTATGGAGGATTACAGAAGAGTTCTGCTCATGATGACAGGCAGGATAATGGAGCATAATGATGGAGCATACACCATCTCATATGCTGCCAGTTTCTGAGGCAGACAAAAAGACAAGTTGTACTCTTACCGACAATTAAATACTGTGGCCAGGGTGTAACACATTTACTCACAACCCACAGGCCAGTGCTGTCACTTTTTCCAACCACAAAAAAGCCAGCAAATGCAACCCTGTCACATTCTTAAAAAGTGTAGAGCCAGAAATAATGGTGACCAGCACTAATGACTACCATAGGTAGAGAGCAATTGCTAGTATGTTCTTCATTCTTTTTGGTATTGCTTGTGTTTTTTTCTTAAAAACGTAGAAGATACTTCAAATACTTACAAATTAGAGGCAATTCTACTCTCATCATCTCCTCCTCTTTATCACTGTCGCTTTAATTATACACAGAAAAGGGAGGTAGAAACACATAGGGAAAACCAGGCTTCATTAAGCACCACCTATATTCTTACACTTTGTTTAGGAAAGTTCTATGATGCAAAATACATGACATGGAATCTTTCTCGGGTGGCTCTTACTCCAGGTGGCAAAACTGGTGATGGAAGAGCATAACATAAATGCAACAAACTTAAGGAAGGCTGGGAAGTCTCGCTAGAAAAGAAATGTTTTTTTGTTTGTTTGTTTGTTTGTTTGTTTGTTTGTTTTTTAATATAAGACTTGATTAACACCACAGATCCCGGTCCATTATTTTCTGAGGGTATTTTTGGTTAAAAAAAAAAAAAGTTAGAAATGATGAGGCTTATTCTAAGGGAGGGGAATGGTGCAAGTAGAACTGTTTGCGTGAGATGGAGGACTCAGAAAATCTATTAATGACAAACAAATTTAGAAAGATTGAGGGGCAGCTGGGCCGGGCACAGTGGCTCAGGCCTGTAATCCCAGCACTTTGGGAGGTCGAGACGGGCGGATCACAAGGTCAGGAAATCGAGACCATCCTGGCTAACATGGTGAAACCCCGTCTCTACCAAAAATACAAAAAATAGCCATGAGTGGTGGCAGGCGCCTGTAGTCCCAGATACTCAGGAGGCTGAGGCAGGAGAATGGCATGAACCCGGGAGGCGGAGCTTGCAGTAAGCTGAGATCGCCCACTGCACTCCGGCTGGGCGACAGAGCGAGACGCCATCCTCCCCCCACCCCAAAAAAAAAAACGAAGAAAAGAAAAAAAGATTGAGGGGCAGCCAATAAAACACAAAACTATGCTAAGAATTGTGGGCTCCATAAATCTAGAAAGTATGAAAGAAAATTATTACAGGTATATATAATTTAACATGAGAGATATTGTTAATATGAGGCCGTATTCCCTAAATATGAAATGAGTAATAAAAACTGGGCATTACATCAATGTTCCTCCCTAAACTTCAATTCTACGCAGTGATTTTATAGCCCCAGTGTTATCAGGAGTAAAATGCTATGGGAGAAAGCCCTCTTCCTACTTACATCTCAAATGAACATGGCTCCTTCTGCGGAAGTGGGAGTAAATTCAGGTCATTTCTAAACAGGCTCCGTTTCCATATCACTGCCCATTTTCTGCCATAATTTACAAATTCACTATCCTGTCATTGTTACAGAATGAAATAGTGAATTCTTTTATAACGTGCTGAAGCAGTAAGTTAGGGAAATGAACGCCCCCTACATTTATTATTGGATCTATGTTCATAGTTACAAGGAATACATATTTGGAATATGATTTGTAATATCTGAGTGGCAAGTAGCCATTATTATTCCTAATATAAGGGGATAATGTGGTCAAAATTTGCTTATTTAGAGACTACTTAATCAATTGAGAAAATTCAAGGTATAAATAATGAAAATGTTATATTCAAAGACTCTATTTCTTTTTCTTTTTCTTTTTGAGATGGAGTCTCACTCTGTAGCACAAGCTGAACTGCACTGGTGTGATCTCGGCTCACTGCAGCCTCCGCCTCTAGGGCTCAAGCCATTCTCCTGCATCAGCCTCTCAAGTAGCTGAGACTACGGGTACACACCACCACAGCTGGCTAATTTTTTTTTTTTTTTTTTTGTATTTTTAGTAGAGATGGGGTTTCACCATGTTGCCCTGTGTGGCTGGTCTCGAACTCATGACCTCAGGTGATCTGCCTGCCTCGGCCTCCCAAAGTGCTGGGATTATAGGCATGAGCCACAGCACCTGGCCCAAAGATTCTATTTCTATGTTAGAAAATAAACTAAGAGCCCATCATTTACCATTATTTGTGTGTATCTGGGGGGAGATAGGAACTTATTTTGTCATAAAGTTTTTAAAATTGCCATTAAAACCAGCTTATATATGTTCCTAATTCTTTAGGATGTTCAAATTCATACAAATTATCTTATTCTTATTTTGTCAAATTATTCTCATTTTGTCAAAGTTTTGCTTTATTTGCTTGTTTTTACTGAATAGGGAGGAAATTAATTAACATAAAAAGGGCTTGCATATGTTATAAATACTTTTCAATTATGGTCTATGGTTGTATAACACATATGATTTAAATAAGACACACTGTCTATATGTTAGCAATTTATTATGAAGGATTTGCATATGCTCCAATTACCACTATGAATAATTGTTATTTAAAGTCTCATAAAATATTTAATCATCCAAATGTATGTGGTTTAAAGAATTTAGATATAATATGAAATAGAAAATTGTACTTGGCTAGTTTTAACTTTCTTCAGCTACAAAATGTCATGATGGCAAGTTACCTAATTAAAGGCAAGTACCCAGGACTCATGAAAACCAGTAAGTTGGTAATGGTTGACTCCCTCAGTTAAGGTCCCTTTATACAGCTATGGATTCTATAGAATGAATCTTTGATTATGTAAGAAGCTTCTTGGATGCAGCTCTGATTTTAGAAATTTAGGAAAGAAGAAATTATTCAGGCTCTACTGGTAGAGTTTGTAGTGTCTCTTCATGTCTGATAGTTATAGCAGCTAATGAAAACTTAGGACATTGCAAGGAAAAACAATGAAGTATTAGGTTGTTGTCTCATTTTATGAAATTAACTCTCAACTGTCGTTATCAAGTTTTATGCTCAGAATTTCACTCTAACTTTGTTCTGATTTGATTTTTTATAACATGTTAAGATCGCATTGTAAGACTTTTCACTGGCCTTTAGCCAAAAATAATAGAATTCTGACCTGATATAACTCTCTTCTGAAAAGTAGAAAAGATCCCAGGAGAATGCAATTTTAGATCTCACACATAATTTTCCATTCTCCTCCTATAAATCAGACTTCTGTAAAATACTGTTATACCATCCACATTTCTGCAGATACTAAAATTCACCATTTATTTTCCAGTCTGCATTCTTCAAGAAAAGGGATGTTAGCAGAGGTTGTAAAGAGTTGTGGTAGTCAAAAAGAATTGGCAGGATTCCAGTTTGTAGAACTTGTTGACATTCTGCCAATTCCTTTATTAATACATGTTGCTAAGCAGAGCTCATATTCAGTTAGTGTGTTCCAGCACAGCCAAATTGATTGTTAACATTTTGAAATATTAACATTTCAGTAGGTAAATGGCCACCATTCTGTTCTTCCTAGTATCTCCTTCCTTATCTCAGTTTGATAGTCAATCACCTCCCCCAGCACCCCAGCCCAATGTACTGTTTTGCATCTACAAAATAACGTGTAGCACCAGAAGTGGCATTTAGGAGCTTGCCTTAGCTAGCATACGAATTTTTTCTGGTTTGATTGGTTAGTGCCCAATCTCTAGCAGTAGTTGAATACTTCGAATATAACTCTTGCACCTAAGTATGTTTCTAGGTACAGGTGACAGAAATAGAAATATGGGAAAGATGGCCATGATGATTCAATGCTGAAGCAGCTGAGATATCTCACAATCAGAGTTGAAATATTGCCTGAAGCCTGTGTGTCATCATGAAAAATTTTCTTTCCTGCAATTGTGGGGTGTTGCCCTGTCATTCATTGAACACTTCTTGATGGCTGTTTCCCAAATACTGTGAATGCAAGAATAATACAATGAGTCTTTTTTCAAAAAGCTGAATCAAGAAAAATAAAATACAATTTACATAAAAAAAGTTTATGGTGAGGGGCAGAGTATATGAAGTGCACATTGATGTGGGGATGAGAGGGAGAAAGTAGGAATGGGTGTTCAGTCCTCTCTGGACAAACTTTTAGGTGGCCTGCTTGAATCATGTGTTCATTTGTCCAACATATAATCATTGAGCATGGGTTCACATAGGACTAGAGATACAGAGGCAAACAAGAGAGGTATTCCCCTACCCTCCTTACCCATTGTATTATTTACCATCCAGGAAGAAAGACTCTAAAACTAAGGACATTATTACTAAATGTATAGCACCATTTTGAGAACTTACCTAAAATTTTAATGTGCTTGTTTATTTTTTCCTATAAAAGCAATGACTTTGATGATTGTGTTATTATTGCTTGGGATAAATAAAGTATTTTGTAGACAACTATTTTCTATTGATTGTCATTGTCTTTCTGGTAATTCTATAGAAATAGGATACTTGGCCACCTTGAAATAAAATGTAAAATTTATTGAGTGAAACTAACAGTTCATCATACCATTCATATTTATCTTGTGGTTTTCTCCTACTTGGTTAAGAACACTTGCCTCATTTGTCCTGTATGGAGAGGTAAGAGTTTAAAGACTTGCTCAAGGTGACAGAAATAGTGGCAGTCCTTATTTTACCAAATCCTTATTGCCTGGCTTTTGGTTGTTTTTTATAGCCCATCTATAGATTGATTGCTGTTAGTCTCAACCAATTACGAGCATTTCTTCTCAAATCTCATTTTGCTACAATATCAGCACTGCATTCCAGTTACTATTATAGGAAATAGAATGAAAGACAAGAAAATGTCATAATTTGTTATTTTCTGGGCAGTAGCAAGACAGAAATAATTATTTACTGAGTGACTGTATGTATTGAGTGACTACAGTGTGCTAGATTCCGTACCACACGCAGGACATTAACTCTCCATGACTCCATGAGGTGAGATCACTTATAATTTACTCTGTTTCTTGAGGTTAAGAGAGATTAAGAATTATCTAAGAGTTCAACGGTGCTAAGTGACACAGCTGGGATTCAAAGCCTGTCCTGTCTCTCAAGAACTTTCTACTACTCTGTGAAGATATACTGATGCATAAAAGTCCATTTTTTCTCTACTCAATAATATCTATAGGTACAATAATTATATTTACTTGGAAACATTCTAAATCATGACATTTTTTCTAGAATAGATTCCATTGCAGTGGTAGAGACCACATTAGGTATTTAAATCTTGAATAAAAGGACCTTAAAAATTGTTGGTGCTTATTTAGCCATTGAAATCTTCCAGTAATAATGAACTCACTAAGAAGGTTACTGATTCCATGTTTGAACAACCCCTTTGTTTTGAGCGTTGCTGTAATTCTGTTAGTGCTACTTCTACTATTGTGAGCCATGCCAAAAAATGATAATTTATAGAAAACTTAAAATGTGCCACATGATTAACCAGTGGTACTTTCAATCATCACAACAACCATATAATGTAAGCTTAACTATTTTTATTTTTGATATTGAGAAACTAGGGGTTCAGGGACCAAAACCACACAGGTGGTCCATGTCTGCACTAGAACTGAAGTCAGCTCTGTTTGACTAGAATGCATGTGTTCTCTCCATTATGCCAGCCACTACTATGTTGGAACAGTGTAAGCCTTCAAGCGAAATGATCATACAAATATTTGAAAGCAGCAAATATATTTTCCCCTACTTCTTTTCCTTTTTAGACCAAGCACACTTAGTTTGTTCAGTATCTATATGACTTTTTTTCCAGACCATTCAGAGCTGCTGCCAACTTTTGACATGAGAAGTCAGCACAGTTACTCAAATATTGTCTGCCAGTACATACTATAATAGGAATGGTAAGTCCTAGTTCTGTGCTAAGAAGACAACATCGTCACTTATTTTGACAAGCCATTGGCCTATTATATATTTGCATAAATGAACTATCCTACATCTTGTTTTCCATTAATTGCTATTAAGCAAAGTCTTCCCTGTCATATATATATATATATATAAATTTATATATATACATTTATATATATTTATAAATTATGTATGTGTGTGTGTGTGTGTGTGTGTGTGTGTGTGTATGTATATATATAAGTTTGACCATGAGTGTAGGAATTTAAACTTACCACCTTTAAATTCCATCTTACTATTCCTGGCTTGTGGTTTCCCACTTGATTGAGGTATTTCTCTTCATTTTTGTAACACCTGAAAAACTGTTATGCATGCCCTTTATTATTTATTCTTCTGAACTTTAGCAGTGCTTTAAATTGAGAAGGTACATCTTAAGTCCTATCCTCTAGGACAACAGAAGAGCCTGAAGGAGTAAACACTTTGGCCATTTGGCAAGAGTGGTGTATAACTGGGGAACTTTGATAATTCATTCTTTCAACAAATATTTATTGAGGACTTACTATGTACTAAGCAGTGCTCTAGGTATTGGTGCAGAAGCGGTAAAGCAAATGACAGAAGTCCCTTTTTTTCTGTGAGCTTACATTCTAGTAAGAATATGCAGGTAATAAACAAATACACAACAAAAATGTGTAACATGTTAATAATGATGTTATGAAGAGAAATAAACAAGGAAGCTATATAGGGAGTATCATATTGAGAGGTCACCTCCTAAGTTCTTCACATTAACCACTGTCATAGATATATGGTGTACTGTAATTATTTTAGCATTATCTGACTCCTCTTTTAGACAAATTATTTTCCCAGGAAATGTCCTGTGTCTTATTCACGCAGACACTTTCAGCACCAAGCCTAATGCCTAGCATACAATGTTTCAATAAAAGATTAGTGAATCAGGATAGGGCATGGTGGCTCACGCCTGTAATCCCAGCACTTTGGAAGGCTGAAGCGGGTGGATCACAAGGTCAAGAGATCGTAGACCATCCTGGCTAATAAGGTGAAACCCCGTCTCTACTAAAAATACAAAAAATTAGCCAGGTGTGGTGGCATGCACCTGTATGCAGTCCCAGCTCTTCGGGAGGCTGAGGCAGAATCGCTTGAATCTGGGAGATGGAGGTTGCAGTGAGCTGAGATCACATCACTGCACTCCAGCCTGGGCAACAAGGTGAGGCTCCATCTCAAAAAAAAAAAAGAAAAAAAAAAAAGATTAGTGAATCAGTAAAAGCCCTTAGTATCAATAACAAAAGTAATAGTTAACATATATTGACTGCTCACTATGTGCTGTACATTGTGCTCATCTCATTGAATTCTCACAACTTTATGAAAACATTTTCTATACATACTATTATTCTCATTTTACCAACGAGAAAACAGAGCTACAGAGATGTGAACTAATTTAAATGAAATCATGTAGTAACAGAAATTCAAACCCAGATTTTCTGTCTCCAGATCCCTTGTTTTACAAATTTTTGCCACGTAGAGCAGAAACCAATACCTTGTCAACAACCATTCCCCTAAAGATTTTATAAGGCACTATCAGAAATTATAATCTCTATAATATTAAAATAAGAATTTAGCTCAGGTAGAAGGTAGAACAAGATAAGTCAAAGTCTATCAAGCAAACAAATTTAATTCATTCACTTAAAATAGCATAATATCCAAATGATTGTTTCTAAATTATAGCTTTCATTATGGTGGATTTGAGAAGAGAGAAATGAGAATCAGGAGAGAAAGAATGATGGAACATTTCCATTCTATATTAGAACTTGAAGTATGTGCTTTTTTCTAAGAAGGTATGAAGGTGGGGGATGGGAGACACCAGGCAGAAGCGACATTAGCAATTGATCAAATGTATAAATCCAAACAGGGATCAAGGAATCATCAGGGTCTTATTCATTGGTCAAGCAGTAATGGGGCTGATTTTAGTGATAATTCTACTACCCTGGCCAAGCTGCATGCAGGTTCTTAAGGGAAATAAAGAGTAAGCGAGGGCAGTGATAAGCAAAAGCAGCAGGAGACAGATTACACTATAGAAGTGAATAGCACCTTGCCCAGTTATCTTTGCTCATTGCTCCATTCTTCTATCCCAGAATCAAGCAAAGTGGTGGATTATGAGGACCACTGTCTCAACCGTGACACTGAGAAAATGGTTGAATGGTATCTTTATACCCCAATTTTAAAATTAAAACTTTGAGAAGTCTATGTGGGATAAAAGAACATTTGTTTAAGCATTCCATAATCACACACTTTGTATATGATTTTGCTTTTAAGATTAACATTGCTTTTTGTGAGAGACATTTAAGCTATTTTATAGCTACATTCCTGCCACATCCTCTATATTTTAAATTAAATGTCTAGTGCTTCCATAATAAAGAAAACTGAAATCTGGATGGAAACAACACAATTCATGGGACTCATGTAGTTACAAATCAGAATTTCTATTATAAATATTATATATGTCATAATATTTTAAAATGTTTGCAGTTCTTTATTTTAGGGACAAAGGTAAAATCTACTAAACTTTAAAGATAATCCATGGTCATATTTCATACTTACTTTCCCACTAGGATGGTATGTGATTCAAAAGATGGATTGGTCTGTAACCAGGTTTTGGTTTGTTTTGTGTTTTTGAAATAATACTATGGTATTTTTAAAGGCATAAAGACAAGACACTTACAGAACATCAGATGAGGATTTATTGCAAGTTACTTACTAACAAAGTGCTTCTAAAACACACTTGTAAGGGATTGGGGGGAACAGGAGAGGAATGAGGGGATGCCAAGAAAGGACGCAGATCAGGACCAACCTCATCCCCAGCCTGATCATGCTGCGAGCTCAGGAGTGTGAAATATGACTCAAGTTTATTCCAACTCAAGAAAGAAAACTGTGGCTACTGTGCTTTCTTGCACCACCAGCCACTGGCCTTTAAAAAGGTGATGATGCCTAAAGCCTCATATATCTCTTAGCTTCTGCATATGCAGTCAAAGCTGACCTCATCACCACTTACACAGTTCTCCAGACAGTTTCAGGTGTGAGGCATTAGAAGCAATAAACACAAAGTGAATTAAGTAAAATAGGGTCCCAGAGTTCTGAACAAGACATCGACTATGTCTACTCTAACATGTCATGTAGGCAGTTACAAGGAAAGTATCATTTACTATTTGCCTAGTCATCTTAAGATTAATTTAAAATGTATACATTCTGGAAGGTTATGATACTTTTTTGAATTTTTAGAATGATGGCTTATTTTTTGTAACAATACTACATATTATGCAATAGAGAAAAGTACAAATAAGAAGTAAGAAAGCATCTAATATCACTTCTCAAAATGTAATCATTAATATTTTTGTATGTCAATAGATTGCTGGATAGGTATAAATATATAAAAATGGGATCATAATATATGCTTTGAAAGGTGTCAGTTATCCTCAGAGCAAGCTATAAATTCAGTAGAATTCTACTCAAAATCTCCACTGTTTTATTCCTAAAACTCAACACATTTATTTGAAAAGTATATGGCAGAGTACATGTCTGACAATATCTAAGACAACCCTGAAAAATGGTGATAATGAAGGGTACCTGCCATAGTAAAAATGAAAGTTATTTTATAAAGTTACAGTAATTAACATAATGTTACATTTATAAATAAAGTGAAATATATGCTGTTGGGGCGGAATAAAGAGCTAACAGATATCCAAATACATGTAAAATCTCAGTATATAATAGTAAAAGCATGTAAGAAATTCATGTAAAATGTGGATTACTTGAGTTTAGATGGATTAAAAATCTGTAAGTAATAAACACAACATAATATTATTAGAATAAAATAGGATTTAACAAGAATTTCTTAGCTAAATACTAATTTCATAAATGACTAAGACAAAGATCAATAAATGTGACTACATCAGAATTTTAAGTGTCTGGAAAAAATGCTTAAAGGAAAAAATATATATAATAGGTAAAGTGTTAGCATCTAATTAATCTGAGAATACTTCACATCAATAAGAATAAGACAGAAAGCCAGATAAAAGTTAGACAAAGGATATAAACAGAATTCACAAAAGAAAAACCCCAAATGGCCAACATACTTGGAAAAAGATCCAAGCATGTTCTTGTCTTTTTCCTTTTTTTTTTTTAGACGGAGTCTGGCTCTGTAGCCCAGGCTGGAGTGCAGTGGCGCCATCTCAGCTCACTGCAAGCTCCGCCTCCTGGGTTTCACGCCATTCTCCTGCCTCAGCCTCCCCAGGAGCTGGGACTACAGACGCCCGCCACCACGCCCGGCTAATTTTTTTGTATTTTTAGTAGAGACGGGGTTTCACTGTGTTAGCCAGGATGGTCTCGATTTCCTGACCTCATGATCCACCCGCCCGCCTCGGCCTCCCAAAGTGCTAGGATTACTGGCGTGAGCCACCGCACCCGGCCTTCTTGTTTTATACTTAAATTTTACTAAAGTTGTAAATGATTTTGAATTGATATGAATGAAAAATGCATTTTCATCCCCATCCAATTGGTTAAACAAAAAAGACATGATTGTCAATATCAAGTGTTGGTGAAAAGGTGTTGACAAGGAAGTTCTTATAAACTTTAAAGATTAGCTTGACATTAAAGTTGAAGTTACTTGTAGCCTGCAAATTGTCAATTGTATTTCAGTAGTTCATCTCACAGCTATTTTGAACACAAGGACTGGGCCAAATGTATTCACTGTAGCCTTATGTGTAACAATAAAAATTTGGAGCAACTCAAATGATCATAATCAGGGACATAAATTAACTCACTTATTAGAAAAAATTTGAATGTCTACTATTTGCCAAACTCTGTAATAGACATTCATAAACCACTGAACTACATGCAAAAATTCACAATTTCAATAAATACATTGGGTGGTACATTCGTAGACTATCATGCTATAAAATATTTTTATGCATGAACTAGATTAATACATAACAAAGTAATTAGAATTTTGAAAACAATGTTGAGTGAAAAAGTAAGTTACAGAATGTTACATATTATTTGAAATATTAAAGGAACATTTAAAGGCAAACACAACCAATATGGAACCCTATATGGTTTGTGGATATATTAATATTTAATAAATATATGTTATATTTTTGACAAACACATTTTATAATAATAATAACCTTTTGAGAGAAATGAGGGAAAGATACTGGTAAGGATGCATGGGACATATCAATTTTATCTTTAAGATTTTATGTATTCAAAATGTGTCAAAGCAATTACAAAATAATGCTACTATTTATCTAATTTATTTGTTGATGTATTCGTATGTTCTATACATTTGGCTACCATAAGAGGCATATAAAAATGAGAGGGTCATATTCAATCTCTGGGCTGGCAGAGTGGCTTTACACAGTGTCAAGAGGGTGAAGCTCTTTCTATTTAACTTCTCTGCCATTCTCGGATGCCATCTTGAGCCAAGATAAATACTTCAGTTTCCACATCATATTTGAATTCCAACCAGCAGGAGGAAGAAAGGAAAACTGAGGGAATGTTTATTCTTATTAAAAGCACAACCTAGAAAAAACACACCTCCCCTCTTGTATCTTACTTGCCAGAACTTAGGCTCATGATTACCCTAGCCATAAAAGATACTGGAAAATGTCTTTACGTGAGTGACCATGCACCTAATGTAATCATTTTGTTATTATGCAAAAGACAGAGAACAATTATTGGAGGAAAACTACCAATTTCTGCCATAGGTATTTGTAAATGATTAACTGCTGTTTTTTCATTACTTTATGTGATTCTGCTATGTAGAAAATCATACTCTTTGAAAATAAGTACAGGTGGCATCTTCCTGTCCAGTCCTTATATGTGTCTTCCCTTTACTGGTTTTATCAATTGGTTATGACTCAATTACAATGTTCAATAGGAGTAGCAGTGGTGAACAATTTGTCTTTCACCTTTCTTTCACAGCAACACTAAAATTTTACCATTGGCTTCTTTTCAAAGATTGCTCAATCTATGTGGAGAATACTTCTCAAAAAGATGGGTGAAGAGTATATGCAGAAGACCAGTTGATATGTTATTGCAGAACTCGAGGCAAGAGACAGGGTTTGGACCAGAGAGTGATTAGCAATGTGAATGGACAAAATTGCTTAGATTCCAAAAAAGAAAAAAAAAATGATCAGGGAAGAAAGGAGTGCTTGAATTCAAGTTATATTTTGAAGATAGAATCAATAGTATTTGGTGATAGATTATACTGTAATATGTATGTGAAGAATATAAGGAGAAAATAAGAATAAACAATGATTCTTTGGCTTCTGACTTGAGCGTTTGTGTAAGTTGTGATACCATTATTCAAGGTGGGAAGAACCTGGGAAGAATCAGAAAGTGGGGAGGGATGCAGGAATTAAGAATTGTGTTTTGACCTAGTTATTTAATACATTTGAAATAATTATTAGAAATTAAAATAGAGATGTCCAATCAGTATTTGGAAAATGCAGTCTGGCATTTAGGGGCAAGGTCTTGGTTAGTTACATAAATGTTCAGTTTTCAGTATATAGATGATATTTAAAGTTATATACCTGGATATATGCATCACTAGAGAGAGCATAGAGACAAGTAAAAAGTCAGAGGACTAAAATACGGGGGACCCCAGAATGTAGAGGTCCAGATATAAATGAAAGACCCAATGTGTGAAAGTAAAACTCATAGAGCTATAGTCAGGAAGGAAAAACAACAACGGAGGCAGTACTCTGAAAGCTTCATCAGAAATGGCAAATACTGCTTAAAGCATAAAATAAAACAAAAACTGAGAGTAGACTTTTGGAATGGGCTTTATGGGGGTTTTCACTACCTTTGTAAGTACGTTTTCAGTAGAATAAAGGAAATGATAGCTTGATTAGATTGAGTGGAGGAGAAAAGAGAGAAGAGTTGGAAAATGGAGACAGAATAAATTTTGGATTAGAATGAAACAGAATCAAAGAGAGTTATAGGATGAAGGCAGAGGTTGAGGTTTTCTTTTTTGTTTTAATAAAAGAGAGATTTTCAGTATGTTTCTATCATGATGGGAGTGATCCAGCACAGAAAAATTGATAGGGTAGCTGAGAAAACAGAAAAGACCAAAGTAATAATCTTCAAACGATAAGCAGGAATTAAAATCAATATTTATGGAAGGCTTGGCTTTAGAGAAAGGCAGAACAGTTTCTTTTCTTGCAGCAAGAAAGGCATGATATATGGGCACCAATACAGATTGATAGATTCAGAGATGAGAAAATGAGGACTTTCTCATCTACTTGTCTTGGTTTTTCCAGGGAAATCAGGTCCTCAGCTAAAAGGGTAGAGAAAAAGAATGTTGAGGTGTGAGAAGATAGGGGAAAGTATAAAATACCCACCAAAGACTAAGGGAGGGTGAATTGAATGTGGAAATGTGGAAGGATTACTGGACAGCCCTGGGGAATCACTTGGGTTTATGGTCATAAATATAAAAAAAGACAATGGATGGTTAAAGTTTTCCTTGGGTAGTTTCTGCTACTCCCATACAGGTATAGAACCGACTGAGTAAGAATTAATCAGGAATGAATTATTCTGATAATCAGTCAGAAGTAGAGAGGGTCAAAGGAGTAAGCGACATATGCAAGAGAATAATTATTTTCAGGAGACAATGTCATGTGTCCCTGATAACATTTTCTCTTTTTTCTCCCTAAAGGTGATATTTACCTTTTCATTTTTAGTAATCATTTCCTTGCTTTTCTTTATAGTGGTATCACCCATGGACCCTTCAACAGGATAATTTAGTTTTCCCTGTTTCTGACATTTATATAAAAAGGATTATATGGTATTTTTTGCTTCCTTAAACTAACATTAAATTTTGGTTTTTAATTTTATTATTATTATTATTATTATTATTTTGAGACGGAGTCTCCCTCTGTCGCCCAGGCTGGAGTGCAGAGGTGTGGTCTCGGCTCACTGCAACCTCCGCCTCCCGGATTCAAGCAATTCTCCTGCCTCAGCCTCCTGAGTGGCTGGGATTACAGGCACCCGCCACCACGCCCAGCTAATTTTTTGTATTTTTAGTAGAGACGGGGTTTCATCATGTTGGTCAGGCTGGTATCACACTCCTGACCTCATGGTCCACCCACTTCGGCCTCCCAAAGTGCTGGGATTACTGGCGGGAGCCACCGTGCCCGGCCTAAACTTTGTTTTTTAAAATATTCTTGTTTCCAATAGCTATAGTTTATTTATTACCACTGACATGTAGTAGCATGCAACTAAATGAAAATAACACAATGCATTCTTATACTGATTGATATTTTTTTAAAAATAACTTTTTCTAATTTTTCAACAATAAAACAGAGTCTACCTACAAAAATTTCATAGCCTTCCAATAAAACTCAAAGAATATCACTAGTCCCATAAAAATATAAATACACGCAGAATATTCTGTATATTAGAAGTGTAGAATGAATACTTAAATATGTGCTATTTCTTCTTTCCCACCAATGACTGTTTCTAATGATAATAGTATTTGTTTTCCAAATGTATTTGAGATGACTAGAAAAGAATTTCTGAATACAGTAAGCTGTTTTGGTTAAGTCTCACATCAAAGACCTCACATTATAAGAAATTAGGTCAATGTTTTTAATAGTGTCTGATTAGAAACAATTGACCAAAATTTCCAACATAATAAGATGATGATAAAGGTAACTGAAAGGCCGAGCAAGCTTCTGCCTGATTGCTTGGCACTTTATTTGTGTGAATTCAAATATAGCACTGATTCTGTTTCTTCCCAAAATAAGTGCATTGATTCCATTTCTTCCCAAAATAAGTGCATTTAGTGACAATAAAACTAATGCTACAAGTACATTGCTCGGAAGCACTTGCTTGCTCAGCCAAAATTTTTCTTCTTGAAACTTTCCAGAATGGAGTGATGTAATTTGCAAGTGAAAGCCATGTTATAAACCTAGAAAATTAAATAGTATTCACTTTCTAGGAAACACAACATCCTCTTTTACCAGCACACTTTTTCCTTTAAATTCTGGAAAAATATATATGGTGACAGTAGGTGCACTGAAAATTCAGTAGACTTCTTAGGTTGTTATTTTTATTAGCTTTTTTCCTAGTTAGTGGTTGAATTTGGAATTGAGGAGGAGAGTCAAAATTCAAATACATCAATAGAGTCTTCATACCTGAATCATATAGGATGCCTATATTTACTACTAACCAATAGAATAATGATAAAAGTATTAAGAATATAATAATTATAGATTATATAGTAAGATGCTGCCAGGTAGCAGCAATGTGTAATACATGATAAATGTGTCACATATATGATACAATTTAAGCGTCATACAAAATTGGGGGTTGATTTTATCATCCCTAATTAATACAGATTTGGAAATGGAGGTTTATGTACAGTAGCCAGGGCCCAGTGATATTCCAAGGCAGACATAAAGACTCTGAGCTTGTGTTTTTGGCCACATCCTGCGCTGCTTTTCTGCACTCTATGATCTAGTGACTTTATACCCTATCTCCAGGACACATGAAGTTGCTCACTCCTTTAGCATATCCACATGCTGTTCTCACTTCTTTGCAGATTCTTTAGACAGGATTCTTCCTGCCCAGGCTTCAATGCTCACCAGGTCTCATTTCTTCCATAATCTGCCAAAACGAATCTAGCAAATGTGATGTCTCCCTTCTCTTTCCCCCTCAGCACTTAGTCAGAAGCTTACCACAGAGCGCAGCTCTCTGATTCTTGTTCCTGTGCTAATTCTTTCCTCCCAGCTGGACAATAATGCACTTGACAGAGAAGACGTTTATTGCTCATCACCCTTTACAGCCCTGGGGATAACACTGGCTATTTAAAATACATTCATCAATTATTAATTATGTTCCAATTTTCAGGTTGTACACTTTGACCGTCTAGGAATATATAGCTTATGGAAGCATGATCCCTACCACAGGAGTTTAGAATCTACTAAAGGAAACTTATTTAACTTAAATAAGTTACATAAATGCCAAGTGGGACACTTTATGATCTGAGATCCCTTCATACGTGTGCATCACATTCTCTGATCTCATATGAACCCTGTGAGGAAGGAGACTTTGCAAAGGAGGAAGGTGAAGCCCAGAGCCCCAAGTCAGAGGAACAGTAAATAGTAGTGTGAGAACTAGAGACTGGGTCATCTGGCTTTGGGCCCAAGACTTTCAGCTAAAACTGGACACCTGATCAAGAGCCTATAATCTGAGAATGGAGCACTCATTTGTTGAACAATTAACTGCCAGACACAAAGTTACTGGACATACAGTTGTTGTTTTAGTTTGGACTCTCCGAAAAGGAGATCCAGAGACAAGGAATTGGTTGCAGGTAATTTATTTAGAAGGTGACCACAGGAAGCACAAGTGAAAAAGTACAGAAAGTGAGACAGGAAACATTAGAATATCTATAAGGGGGCAAATGGGGCTTAATTCTGTTGGAGACACACTGAGGAACCCTTGAAGCTTGGAGATGGTGGGTAGCGGGGGACCATATGAACACCACCTCTTATCTGCCATGGGAGAAGGATTGCTGGAGGGGAGGAAGTGTCCTCTTCCAGCTGTTTTTAGTTGCTCTCTGGCAGGGAGGTAGAGAAAAACAGGCACTTGAAGTGGGAAGATGTCAGCCTTCCAGGAAACTCTACACAGCTGTAGATGAACTCAGAGGTGGGCAGAGGAGATATGAGGCAGGCCATCAGCAATATCTTCTATGGTGATGAATAACACGAACGTGTTTAAACATGAGCTTTGCCTTTTTGGAACTGATACACTCAAATAAGAGGTTTATAGCAAAATGTAATGGGGACTCAGGGAAGAGAGAGTAATCCAGATGTTGTGTAGTGTTGAAGCAGGGCATGAATTTACCATCCTCCACCCTCACTGTCAGGTGTAGCACATGCAGACACACTGCTTCATAATACCTCTATGAATAATTTAAATGTTTCATGTTTGTTTAACACACATTTGCTTCAGCACCCAAGTATTAATGATTCCAGAAGAGGTAAATGTGCTGGCCCACCTTGAGAAGCAACAGTTTATGCTCTGTACGTCCACGTTTTTGGCCACAAACACTATCAACTTAAAAATCACTCATACAAACATCAATACCAGAAAGAGTTTGCAAATAAGTTGGACTGGCTATGAAGCAATCTTGGCAAACAGTCATTTTTCTCTTGTAGGGAAGTTACTGGCCATATATCTTAGTCTTTGGGAAGTGTGGTGAAGGTTGAAATAGAGATGCACTGGCCAGATTTCTCTTCAAGAAAGGACTTGCAAAGCATCACCCTGTGTGTAGCTGGTGGACAACTCCCAGCTGTCACCTCCTTCAAGAGGAGGAGGGAGATTGTTTCTGCTATAGAGAGCCACCTTGTTTGGGATCAAGCTCCTATCAGGATAGCCTGCATTATGTGACTTAGCAAAGTGGGGAGGAGTGGTGTGTGAAGGCTCAGTCAGTTCAGTCCCCATGGGAAAACACTGACAGGCAAAACTCAGTCCAGGCTGCTGAATTTGTTGAGCCTGAGAGCAGTTTGACTTCTTCTGCCCCAGATTGGTTTGTTTGTTTGTTTGTTTGTTTTGAGACGGAGTCGCACTCTGTCGCCCAGGCTGGAGTGCAGTAGTGTGATCTTGGCTCACTGCAATCTCTGCCGCCCAGGTTCAAGCAATTCTCCTGCCTCAGCCTTCTGAGTAGCTGGGATTACAGGCACCTGCCACCACATCCGGCTAATTTTTGTAGGTTTCAGTAGATGGGATTTCAACATCTTGGCCAGGCTGGTCTTGAACTCTTGACCTCATGAATCCTCCTGCCTCGGCCTCCCAAAGTGCTGGGATTACAGGCATGAACTACAGCACCTGGCCACCAGATGGTTTTTATCCTTCTCCTTCCATAGTTGTTAATTTCTAATAAATGTCTTCTACCCCAAACTCTGTATCAGCATCTGCTCTAGAGAATACAAACTATACAAGGAAATGGGGGGCTAATTGTGTGCAATTTAATATTTTTAAAAAAACAAAATCAGGCCTGGCATGGTGGCTCACGCCTGTAATCCCAGCACTTCGGGAGGCCGAGGTGGGTGGATCAACAGGCCAGGAGATGGAGACCATCCTGGCTAACATGGTGAAACCCTGTCTCTATTAAAAATACAAAAAATTAGCCAGGCCTGGTGGCACGCACCTGTAGTCCCAGCTACCCAGGAGCCTGAGGCAGGAGAATCACTTGAATCGGGAGGCAGAGGTTGCAGTGAGCTGAGATCACACCACTGCACACTAGCCCGGGCAACAGAGCTAGATTCTGTCTCAAAAAAAAAAAAAAAAAAAAAAAATCAAATGACTCATAGAATGTCATAGCTATAAGGAATTTAAGAAATAATCCTAACCCATTGTTTTCATTTAATACAAAACAAAAAAGATCTGAAGAGGCCAGGTGAACTGTCCTAAGTGACAGAAACTTTAAGTTGAATTAGTATTCCATCTCAAGCAGGTCAATAATTTAAATTAATTCCTAAATATGGGTTTTGGTGTACACATAGTTTGAAGGAAGGTGAAAGACAACCAAAAAATTCGAGTTTAATTGTAGAAACACTTGAATTTCTGAGTAATATACTAGTAATAATACTAGTATTATTACTATGCTAGTAATAATACTAGTATTAGTACTAGTATATTACTATGCTAGTATTATTACTAGTATATTACTAGTAATAATATACTAGTAATAATACTAGTATTAATACTAGTATATTACTATACTAGTATTAATACTATATTACTATACTAGTAATAATAGTATTGTATTATTTGCAGGTGTTGAAACTGGAGCTTAGAGAAGTTAAGTGTTGTTTTGTACCTCACACAGCTAATACATGGTATTGCCAGGGGTTTAATCCAGTCTTTCAAAAACTAGATGAGAGTTCTTTCATTGTGCCATCCTGTTACCTTAAAAGAGCATGGTGGTCTATCAGCCATAAGTGAGAAAAAATATTGACTGTGAACCTTATATGTGGTAATATTCTTTGGAATAGAATTTTAACTGAGTGTTCTGTAGAATAATTTTCTCAGTATATGATCCATATGAACCACCTGCATAAAGATCCCTGGAAATGGGTTTGGTAAGCCAAGTTGTTATCAAGTGCCCTAGGGTGATTTTAATGCACACACTTAAGTTGGGTAGCTATTGTAGAAATCGATTTATTTAGTGTTACTAAGAGTAAAATCAATTCATATGATGGATTATAGACACATTAATATAGGCAAAGCAAAATTGCTTTAGTGAGTATGAGTATCTTAATGAAGTTACTAAAATGTTTGCATAGAATAGAGAGAAAAATTAGAGGGACTAATGTATTAATATATTCATAATTGCAGCAACAAGTCCACACCCTCTCGTTTCCACTTTAGTGCATGGTGACCTGACTTCCAACTGCCAATAACTGATGAGTGTGATGCATCACTCAGGTTGCCTTAGATAACTTTGAGACACACTTTTTACACCAGCCCACAGACTTTTTCCAGCTCTCTAAAGTGGTGGCTAGCTTGATAACCCAACCTGTATTCTCCCTGTTCCTTTCTCCCTCAGTTCTAAAATTTCTTTAACTCCCAAACAAACGACTTGCAGGACTTCTCTTAAAACATCCAAGGCATAAACATCTATATAAATGGAATCCATAGACAATACAAAAGTTTAATTTAATTTGTAAAAATGCTTCTTACATTTTACATATATATGCTGTAGTATTTTCTATTAATTTCTTTCTAATCAGTCATCCAGAGACAGACAGTGATAAGTTATCTTCTCTCTGTGTAAAGCAATGTCTTTAATCAACTAAATTTTTGAGCAAATTTCCTTCTCCATGTTGAAAAACTTTTTTTTAAGTTTATAGATATTTTGTTAAACTCCTATTTTATTGTTCTTTGATAAGGAGCCATGTCATGAATGTCCATGGTTCTAGTTCACTCTGATATCTGGGAAGAAACTCAACAGATCTGACTCTGTAGACCTGTCAAAACAAAACATTGAAGTGAAATGGAATTTTTAATCAGATTACTCAGATAATTTGCTACTAAAATAATTGAATTCCAGGAAAGATTAAAAAAATATGAAAATGAGTTGTCTCCTATATTTCCAAAACTGTTCCTCCTGTACATGTCAAAAATGCAAACATACCAAATAGATACTCACATTCACATGAAACATACACACACACACACACACACACAGAATGACAAAGGGTCATATCATCCTGGAAATACAAATAAATAGCATTTTATCGCTGATTAATCCTAAATTTAGGTGATTTGTATGGGCTTTGAATTTGAACTGCAGTACAACAATGTAGCCTAAAATACATGTTGGATTCAATTTGGTAATTCCTTGTCTTGCTAATTAACAGTAAGATTTAAAATTCCTGTTTAAAAATCGGGCTTTGTAAATGCCTAAGCCTCAATTGTATATGCAAATTCCACACATTTTCATACTGCTTGGAATAACTGCATATGCAAACAGGTAATTTGACAGTTAATGATTCATTTGCACGTGCAAACCCACAATTTAAACATACAGATGCCAATTGGTGCATGTAAATAATATTCCATGTGGACCCTATTTGCCAGGTTTCTTTTTTCTTTTCCTAAAGAAAATGACCCTTTAAATAGTTTTCCTTTTTTCATTTTCAGTACAGAAAATGTATTAATATTTAGGCAGGAAAAATATTTTAAAATTTTAAATATATTTGAAAAAATACTCCTGTTTGCCTATTTGATATTCATGAAAGCAAAGTTTATTCATTTGGTCCCAAATTTATAGGATATACTGTATTTATTCATGCGATGCCTGTATATGTTTGATTAGAAATATAAAATTATGACACAGCTGACTTTGTGTTTATCATCTTAACACTTTTCAACCTGAAATAACATAAAAGCTTTTTTCTTCAAAAGACCAATATTTAAAGGGTGTTGATTTATGTAAATCAATAATTTATCAACTTGCTGTCTTTCCTTGCTGCTAGCCAGATGCTTCTCGCTTTGCTCGGCCAGACAATGTCAGCTGCAACACATAATGGCCTCTGCTTCATGTAGAAATAAGAGCATAAATATTTTAAAAATCCTGCTACAGGAAGTAAGGAGGGTTGGGGTGGGGGTGAGAGATTTTACTGGTTTATTGTGAGAGTGGAACAAGTCTACATATTTTATGGGTTGGTTTTATCAGAAGTGGAGGCAGGGACGTCTCTTAGCCTGATTTTTATCTCCTAACAAGGCTGACAGACCAAAGTCTTTTCATAGCAATTTGTTGAAGACATCTGGTGAAGCTTTCTAGGGGATGAACGCACTGCAGAGTGTTCCTCTGGTATCAGTTGGCATGGCAACCAGTAAAAGACTATTCAACATCAGTAGGTTTCAAAAAGGTTGAGGCCTAGTTGAAAATCCATTTGGGCTCCTACCTGCAAAATTCTTTTGAAAATGCACTAAATCTTTTCTTAGGGCTCTAGAGACTGAACCAATATGTACAACTGTGGCACCTTCAATCTTAAATAATTTTCAAAACATGGGATTAATGATTCCAGTCACTGGAGGTATTACAGAAGATAGGGAATTACTGGCACTGTGTTGGAGAGGATATTAGTAGAAACACGGTTGTTGTTTCTCTTTGTGTCTTATCACACAGGAAACAAAGTGTTACTTTCAAATTTCAAGTTAATAGGATCAAATGAATGAAAGAAAATCTTTACAGGCATTTTAAAAATATATGTATTTGTCCCGAAGGACTAACTATGATTTTCAATGCTGAAAGTGAATAATCTATTTTAAAATATTTGTTACTATAAAGAGTCTTTTCAAAAGATTGCTACTATTTTATGCTAGAATATTCTAGTTCCAGGACATTTTTTATAATGTTATTATCTGTTTAAGCATTATGTTTTGCTATCAATAAAGTTATAACTCTTTGAAAGACAAATAAACACTGACGTTAACACAATTTTTATAAGTTATAACTAAACTAATATTAACTTTAACTAAAATGAAAAGTTCTTGTGATATTTCATCCAAATACATGTTGCATTGCATTGCTGATTTACAGCCAGGATCCTAAAATGAAAAGACAAAAAAAGGAAATAACTTTCTAAAAACATATTCTAAAAATTTATAACATGAGAAAAATAAATAACAGCACATGACATCTTTGCCCTGATCATGAGTTAAGATATAAATATTTCATTTAAGCGAAATATTCCATTCAACAGAGGGTAGTCATCAAACTTAATTTTAAATTAAAAGTTTACTCAAAATTTAAATGACAATGTTATTCTTCAGTGATTTTCACTGGCTCATGAAACTTGTGTAATGGAGTCCAGCAATAACACCACCAGCATCCCCACAATATTTAGAGCCGATTTGTATCAGTATCAAATGATACTAGTGCTGTTATCCCCCTCACCTCAGAGGCATGTGAGAGTGAATGAGGTGGCACAGGATGTCTGTGAGCTGCTTGAAATCATGCCATGAGGCATATCCAAACAGGAATTTATTTGTATTACGGACGAGTAATTCTGGTTATACTTTATTACATTCTATTGCCTCAGAGGCCATAACAATATTGGCAAGTGATGATTCAGCCTACTACAGGGGCCAGGAAGCCAAACAATTTGGGTGCTTTTCCTGGTCCTAATACTGATCTGAGTAAGAGGGAGGCCTTCCCTTCTTGCAGCCTCCTAAATTCTTTCTCAGGAGAATGAGGACAGAAGGCAGCCCTTGCTGTTCCCACAGAATTGTGATAAAGAGGGTAATTCTGCTTGATAGGGTTTTGAAAATTATAGAGTTCTGAATTATAAACTGTTTTTGTTGCTGATAAAGTAAGGAATGAATTGAATTAAAAATATTCAACATAATCAAATAATACCATTAAATTTTGAAGGCATTTAGAAATTCAGTAATTTTATAGCTTCCCAGGAAGCACTAAACAGCAACTTTTCTTCTTGAGTCTGGAAGTTGCAACTTGCTCTTGCTTTCTTTCATTCTCTCCTTTCCTTGAAAATGGACTGGGGACTACTGGCTGTTTTTCTGTGACCATGAAGCAGCAGAAAGGAAGACCTCTTTGCTCACTCTCCAAATTACATTGATGTGAAGCTCCTTCTTTTACAGTGTACTAGGGCAAACGCCAATATATCGCTTAATAATTGCAACAATTTATAAAGCATTTATGAAATGCCAGGCACTATGTCAGGAGGTCAATACATATTATTTCATTTATTCATCGTGACCTCCCCCAGAATATATTATTATGCCTTTTTTACAGATGAAAAAAACTGAGGCTGAGACAGGTTAAGCAGAATCATTATGAAAAGCCTTAAATCCAGTTCTGTCTTTCCCCAAAGGTGCACATATTTGGACAAATCAGAAAGGCCAGAGAAAGGATTTTTTTCACATTTACTCAAATCAAAAAGTAAACACATCTGTGGATAAGTGAATAATTTACAGGTGAAAGTCATAAGAAGGAATCTATTCTGACTTCCTGCTCTTGGTCCAAGCTACCTACACAAAGCAAGTCTTAAAAGCTCCCAGAATTTTAGACTTCTCTTCAGGCATTTATAGATGATGGGTCATTGCTGCTAGAAAGAGTACAAAACTCTCCACCCAGTCTTATATGGCTGTGTGGGGATCAGTCGGCCCCTGCACTTTCACAGTGAGTACTCAAAGCAACAAATACTGACAATAAATGACATACAAAGCTTCTATTCCCCTCTTCTGTTCCATTTCTCATTTTTCAGCCCTTGGTAAATGCCACATCCCCCAACCCTAGAAGATGTATTTGCGTCCAATCTTTTGACACAGGACCTTCAGGTCAGTGGATTGAAGGACAAAGAATAGGAAGAAATAGACAATCAGAATGACTAAGAACTAAATTTAAATAGACAAAAATTAATTTTTAATAAGAACATATGTTGACTACATGGCCCCAGGGAATTGACAGTTGAGCTTTGTGTCTTGTTAAACTTGTTTCAGTCCTTGCTACAAGGATTGAGTCTTTCACCAAAATGGAAAAGTTCCATAAGCCAAGAGGCTTCAGCTAAACATTTTTTTAAAAATTAATTTCCAGAATGCCAGGAACATCCTGCTGCAAAACCACAGGTGTAGCTCACTAGTGAACGTTTGAGTGATAAATTTATTACACAGCCTAATATCTACTAAGTCACATGATGAGACATAAGATGTGTTGTACCATCATGGCTTCAACCACCATATGCACAGAACCAGCCAGTACTCCAAATTAGAGCTGAAAATGTATCTTGCAACCAAACATGCTGCACTCCTCCCACCATAGTCTCATTCTGGAAAACAACATGATCTACTTCAATATTTAGCAATTTACTGCCCATAACATGAATACAGCCCATTTAGCTAAAATACGGAGGGGAGAAAACAGTATCAGCATGGGTCAAGAGCACATCAATAGATCAATAGATCAACTATTAAAAGGTGGAATATTATATTATAATAGTTTCAGCAGGAATCAGGTATCCACACAAAACTAATTGATGACAAGGTCACATAAGGAATATGGCAATTTCCTAGGTTGCCATGTGAATAGGTACGCATTATCCAGTTTAAGAGATTTCAGGGAGACTGGGGGATGGGCACATAACCATGTGGATGCCCACCAGATACCTGAAAATACAGAGACAGCATGTATAGTGCTTATGATGTGCATAATGACAGCACATGAGCTTTGGGGGTCTTGAACATTTTCCTGGAGAAGTTTTGGTCTGAGATAGAGATTCAAGAATGGGTAACTTTTACCCAGGGAAGTGGGAAGCACAACCAAGAGGGGCCAGTGTTTCACAAACATGAAAGATGACATGGTAGTGAGACAGTTTGCTCTTGTGGGAACAAAACCATTTTATTGTGAATTTGATGAGATTTTATCATTTCTGAAACAGGCAAAGGTATGTGCTAAAGTACATATTCAAAGAAATATTATTAGATAATTCTTCATATTGGACTTAATGGAACTATAACAATGAACTCAAGTGGTTGATCTGCAATGAAAATAGAATTGCAGGATAAAGCTTTACACTTACACAAAGCACCCACTATACTGAGAACTAGCTGTGAGATCTTGGGCAACTCGGTTGATGGTCCTACGACTTAGTTTCCCTATTTATAGAAGTATCTCCAAGATCCTGCCCATCTCTCTCAATTTCTACATCTGTGGTGGTGGTGTTGACATTTTTATTGAATGGAGCTCTTTTGCACAAAATCGGGGCAATGCTGCATTTGCTTTTCAATTAATTATTTCTCAACTAAATAAATAACCATCATTTTAAGTCAGATTACTCTAACTTCGAAATAACTCTAATAAGTAATTTGCTGCTTTAGTGGCATTTTAATCTATATTTATGAAAGAAGGTGGGCACCTGAGAATAATTCATTTTCTACTTATTCCTTAAGTTCAAAATTTGATAGATTTGACATATTTGTTCTCAAATATGCATGGATTAATTTCCTCTGCCAGTGAAACTACACACACACACACACACACACACACACACACACACACACACACAAATTGATTAGAAACCTCAATGTTTCTGTCATTAAAATGAGGGAAGACCATAGTGGCCAGAATTTGAAGTTAGATCCTGGATGGACATTAAAATCTAACATCAGGCCAGGCGCGGTGGCTCACGCCTGTAATCCCACCACTTTGGGAGGCCGAGGCAGGTGGATCATCTGAGGTCAGGAGTTCAAGACCAGCTTGGCCAACATGGTGAAACCCCCGTCTCTACTAAAAATACAAAAAAAAAAAAAAATTTAGCCAGGCATGGCACATGCCTATAGTCGCAGCTACTTGGGAGGTTGAGACAGAATCGCTTGAAATTAGGAGGCAGAGGTTGCAGTGAGCAGAGACCACACCACTGCACGTCCCAGTGACAGAGCAAGACTCTGTCTCAAAAAAAAAAAGAAAAGAAAAAGAAAATAAGGAAAAAGGAAAAAACATCTAACATCAAAGAATGCATCAGTTTCACACCTTTATAAACTAGGAACCACTGTTAACCTGTTTAGAAATTCATTAAAACTGGAGACCCAGAATTTTGCCACTATATTGAATGTCTTAAATTTCAGTTAATAGTATCAAGCTTGAGTTTCAAACTATAGTTCTTTGGTTTGTTGCTAATTTATCATTTGAGTTTGGTTCTTTATATAGTTATATTTAAACCCAAAGAACACCTAAGAAAAAATTCACAAGCTTTCACCTGCTTCAACCAACAAACATTTATTAAGTACCAAGTATATTATCATTGTTCCAACTTCTGGGGATATAAAATAAATAAAACTATGGAGTCTTCTCCTCCCAGAGGTAATACACAGGGCTGTATGGAGGAGGGGCACCCACTGACTGCCTCCCATCCACTGCAGCACAATGTCCCAAGTGCTAAGAGAGCATGAAATAGGAAGTGATCTGTTCTGTCTGAGAGGTCAGGGAAAGGTTACACGGAGGAAATGATATCTGAGCTGCAATTTAAAGGATGGATGGGTCTTAGCTGGATAAAAAAGGGCCAGGGGGAAGAGAATTCCAGGGAGAGGGAAAAGCGACTGACTTAAGAGCATAAGCCTTTTTTGAAAGAAATATGAAATCATCTGAAGATGTATTCCAGAGAATAAGTTTAGAAAGATAGTGACTTTATTGTTAAGAACATTAGATCCCAGGTATGGAATTTGAGATTTTATTCTCTAGAAAGTGAGAAGAGTGGGTCAAAGGAGCTAGCCAGTCAACAGTGGCCTTGAGTGATTCTAAAGAAGATTTGAACTGAGAGTTTCTCCCTGCCCTTCAAATTTGAAGTCATCATCTGGAGAATAGGGATATAGAAGGAGACCATGGGAAAAACACTAAAATAAACCTTCAGGAACAGGGCTAGTTTGCATTTATTCCTTTTTTTAAATTTTTTATTTATTTATTTTTGAGATGGAGTCTCGCTCTGCTGCCCAGGCTGGAGAGCAAGAATGCAATCTCAGCTCACTGCAACCTCCGCCTCCCGGGTTCAAGTGATTCTCCTGCCTCAGCCTCCTGAGTAGCTGGGATTACAGGCATGCACCACCACACTTGGCTAATTTTGTATTTTTAGTAGAGTCAGGGTTTCTCCATGTTGGTCTCAAACTCCTGACCTCAAGTGATCCACCTACCTCGGCCTCCCAAATTTCTGGGATTACAGGCATGAGCCACTGTGCCCAGCCTATTACTTTTTTATTTCATACATGTTTACTGAGCACTGTACTGTTTATTTGGGAAAAACAAGACTTAAAAAGTGTTGTGCCTCCACCCTTAAAGAACTATCCCAATAGTGAGGAAGAAAATAGAGTAGAGGCAGCATCTGGCAAGACAGTACAGGATATCATGGGAAGTATATCTGCCTTTGACGTGCTGGAGAAGTATTTTTTAGAAAAGACAATCAGAGAACTAAATCTGAATTGATGAGAAAAAAAACACTTAAAATCTGCGTGGTCCTGAGCCACATTTAATTTCTCTAGGTCTCAATTTCCTCATTTGCAAAGAGTTGAGTGTTAGGTTAGGTCAGTGGTTCTCAACCTTGGCTACACATTAGAATTACCTGGGGAGATTTTAAAACTACCAATGCCTGGTACCTACTGCAGACCAATATGAAATCAGTGTCTTTGGGGGTGGGCCAGGCTTTGGTAGTTATTTAAGGCTCCCCAGGTGATTCTTAATGTGCAGCCAGCATTGAAGATTGCTGAATGAGATGATCGCTGAGGTCATTCTCATTTGTAAAATAAGATATTCAAGACTAGCTTAAGTAGAAACCACAGAAAGCGGATAATCTGTTCAACAATGTCTTCTACACTGTTAGCACTTCCCATTCCTGTACCTCAATTCTATGGCTCTCATGCTGCTCAGGAAGCACCACAAAGAAGCTTACTTACACCCTGGACATGCCCAGTACTAAAGATTTTTCTTCATCTTCAATCCAAAATATGCCTGTGTCACATCCAATTCTCTAAGAGAATGGTCTCTGCTGAGAAGTTTTCTTTTTTGATTAGTTTTTAACAAGTCTTCCCCAATTTACCTTTTACCATTTCCTGTCTTTATAATGTTTAATTTAGGCAAACGACTCTCTTACTTGGTCTCCTAATTGCTCCTTCCTATCTCTGAGCTTTCTTGCTTGTGAAATTATGCATGTACTTAGTCCCCTTCTAACATCTTAACCCCTACCTAAATGTTATCCAATTTTCCAAACCCAGTTCACCTCTTACTTTTTTTCCAAAATCTGTCCAGATTTCACTTTCCTAAATTTATGTCACTATTCTCCAAGCTATAATTAATATCTGTATAACTTATTTATTTTATAATAAATAATTCTCTTCCATGTATAATTTTTTATTCTTGTGGATAACACGTAGGTATTACTTGAATATTCTTTCTATGATTACTTTGCTTGGGAAGAACTAAAAATAGGAAGAAAAATTAACAACAAAATAAACAAAATATATATATATAGGAAATTTAATTTAAAAGGTAGAATGGATACAAGAATTTTTAAGCTGAAAGGAGCTATAGAAATGTGATTTATTTACTTATTCATTCATTCCTTCCTTCATTCATTCATTATATATTTGTAAATGCCTTAGCATGTGTGGGTTCTATTTTAGATGCTGTAGAGTTGGAGTGAAATCCCTGGGAACATGAATTTTTGCATTCTGTTGGAGACACCAAACACTATATAACTAAATAAAACATGCCATGTCATAATAAACTTAATGAAAACCAATAAAATGAACGAATGAAAAGCTGAGTGAGGCCCTAGATAAGGACGAAAGGAAGTTGCCTTCTCAGGGAGGGTAGACTGAGAAGTCTTCTTTGAATCATGTGGATATCCTGATAGGTTTGTTGCAATATTTGGATAGGCTTAGACTAATTCATGTAGCCTGTTTTCCCATTCTGAGAAATAATAAGAATATCTCATTCTTTTTCAGAGAAAAGCTAAATTGTCCTATGATTATAGAAGAGTACCAAGAAATCAGGGTAACTATTGTGCTGGCCTTCAAACAGAACATTCCTATTCTTTGTCAGATATCTGTAACTTTCCCCAACCTGTGCAGGGAACAAATGCTTTTACATTTGATTAGTATTATTCCATGGGTATTAAATTTATTTTTGAAAGAGAAGTAGCTTTAGTGGCTTGAAATTTCTGGTGGTTTTCATACACACACAAAGATATACCTTGAATTTATTAGCATTGAAAAAAATTTCTTAGTGACAATCTCCCACAAATATTTTATAAAAATTACAAATATTTCATGAAGTTACTAAATAAAAATTTTATTCAAGTTGAATAAAACATCAAGCAAAATGAAAACAGCTTCTTGCAGGTGTAATAGAATAGAAATTCCACAGTAAAACAGGTAATTCAATTATTTGTTCTTATTTGTTGATGACATCCAGCGGTGTCAGACAGTATAATTGAGTTGAAAATGTAAAATAAAAAGTTCTGTAAGTTCCTTCCACACACTAGAGCATAGTATGGTTTAAATTTGGTGGAAAACCACAAGCCAGTTCTCATAAAATCAAATCTGGTTTGCCATTTCTGCTGCTGACAGGAAATGTCATTGCTAGGAAATAAGGCAGTTAGCTGCCGTCTCCAAAGTATCAGCACCTCAGAGACAGATGAGGAGAAGGGTCTCATGTGTAAACAAGAGTGACCTGTGCCCTGGATGAATATGTGTGACTTCCCGGAGATTGTTTGTGTCATTTTTGGCTAGAAGGGAATTGAAAGAATCTTAGGGGAAAGTATTCTGCTCCTAAAGACTGTGAAGCAGATTATTAGAAAATAAGCAGTAATAAGGGGAAAAAATTATAAGGGAAGGAAAAATGGTCAAGGGAGTATGCTGTTTGAGTTCTGGGGTGATCATTTTCAAATTCATGGGCAGTTAAAGAGTAGCCATGAGACATTTTTGTACAGTTTGTGATATTGAAATACTCTTGAAAAAAATGTGTGTATGATATGCAAATAAACATTTACATACTATATATATATAAAACACTTAAGAGTATTCTAGTCAGAAACAATTGGGGTATATTTCATGAAAAGAAATATTGTAACTTTCCTTCCTCTGTGTGTGTCTATGTGTGATGAATACGTGCTATGTGAATTGAAGTAATTCACATAATATACAGCTATAAACACTATAAACTATTAGAAATGTAGGCTGGAAAATCTCAGGTATTTGTGTATATTCAGTCCGTATTAGAGCACATATCTGTGATCAATTTATATTTCATATATCTTGCCCAGGGATTTGTACGTTGGCAAAAAGGGTTACAGAGTCCATTAGCTGATCTGAATTTATGACAATAAATCCCTTGATGTTTGGCTATGACAGGAATTACTCTCCTCTAATGAGTAATAAATGTGGATAAGTCATGTGTCCCATTGGATTACTTGGCTAAAATCACATTTAGAAGATGGCTAATTGTCTAAAATTTATCCAAATTCAATACAAATTTTATTGCCACTAATTGCCTTTGCAGGTTTTGGAACATCAAGCTTATTTAAATGTATTTGTCATAGCACTTCTGTGCATATGTAACACATGAATAGCATAGTCACTGCTATCCAGTTTAAGCTTTTCAGCTATTTTGGTAATTTAACTTTAGATTTTTATGACTTGAAATATAATTTTCCATTTTTAGAACCATGACATATTGTATTTTTAAATTAAATGTTTTTGTCATGAGTAATCTACTACTGTTTTGAAGTTTTCACGTGACTTAATTGTAGTATCAGTGTTGCCAATAGGTATGAACTTACTGTAGCATCTGTTAGTACCATTGCAGATTCAGTCGCATTGCCATCCTGAGTCAACTAAACTGATTCACCAGTGCCCGCATGCTAAACAATTGCATCCAAAACTTTTGTATATCTTAAACATGATCCTTTATTTGAAACTTCACATAAGGAGATGTTAACTAAACAAATTTAAAAATCATAGAAAATCTATACATATTTAGAAAAATAAATGAGATAGCATAACTATGTAAGAAAACATATTCTTTAACAAGATTTCTAGGGAAATTTTAGAGTTTTTTTCTGTATTAAACAAGCTTATAAAATAATATAGTAATAGTTATTCAAAGGGTTTTGGGGTGAGATGATTTTATACTGACATATTTTCCATAGTGGAAAAGCCCCAGGTAGAATTGTTTAGATTGAAAGCAGAAAAAAAGAGAATAAAATGAGATGAGTACTTCTTCTCTTCTAGCTAGTTTGAAATGTAATGCTTTTAACATAAAAAGAGATAAATGTTTGAAATGATGGCTATCCTAACTACCCTTATTTAATCATTTTATATTGTATACATGTATCAAAATATCACACGTACCCCCCAAAATGTACAACTATTGTATATTTTTAAATGAGATGAATAAATATGTTTTCTTTACTAAAAATTCAAAGAGATAGCAATTATAAGTCAAATGACAGTATGATAGCATATTCCTACTCCAAAAAAATAGGAATAATGGACAGAATATAAAATTATTTAATACATAGATAGGTTATACTGTACTATAAAGGGAAATCTCCGTGTACCAGAAATGGAGAGGGAATTCATGGAAGAAATAAAAACTCTAGCTTCTCTGTTAATTGGAGCCAGGGCTTGAAACAAGCCATCTCAGTTCTGGTCCCAAAGCCTATATGAAGATGAGACTAAAAATACATTTGATATGCTGATGGTCAGAACTACAGACCCCCGCCTATACCCTATGGTCTCAGTCTGTTTGTTCATAAATCAACCCAGAATACCTCCTACTAAGGCTGGGGAAGAGGTAGTATCACCTAAAGGAAATGAAAATTCATGCCAGGCTGTCCCCAGTGTGGAGCCTGATCTGCACAGGTGATAGGTGTAAGCTCTAGATGACTTAAA
This sequence comes from Homo sapiens, assembly GCF_000001405.40. NCBI lineage: Eukaryota > Metazoa > Chordata > Mammalia > Primates > Hominidae > Homo > Homo sapiens. Next base: position 51,801,401 of record NC_000005.10, on the reverse strand, counting down.
AACCTTGTAGATGAGGAACAATTTGGAGGAATCTCCCTGGGAAAGTGAAATTACCAAAATGAATTACCACATGAGGAAATCCATTAGCAAAAAAGAGAGATTATAGACCAAACAATCTTAAAAAGTTTATATCCAAAAAAAAAATAATGAAACAATTTGGAAATGACTTTAATATTGAATGTTTAAAATTTCTAAGCTATAATAGAGGGAATAGCCCCCATGAAACAAGAGTTTTTTCCCATTAAACTATTTTAAAATGATTTTAACATAAGCCATTAGGATTGAGAATATATTATTTAAAACATATAATCCTCTATGAAAAATGACCTATTTGAAATATGTAAATAAAAAGTATAATCCAAATATCAAAAATTAAAAGATGAGCTTAAAGTCACCAGAAAGCAACTAAAGAACTAGTGACTGAATTAAAAGACAGAACATAGAAAATGTGCAATAATGTATCTCAAGGAGATGGAAAATCTGAAAGAAAAATTAAGATATATGTAAGATTAATTAAGAAACTCCATTTTATAGCTAATATTCCAGAAGAATAAAATGGGGATAATGTTGAATAGACAATATTCAAGGGGTTTATGGCTAAGAATTGTCCATATTGAAATATTAGTTGTATTGAGAAAGCCCAGAAATAGGATAATTATGTTTAATCCACATCTGGTCACATAATAAAATTGCAGGACATCAGAGATAAAATAAATCCTAAAGCCGCAAGAAAAGAAAATTAGACAACTTACAAAGAATGGTAGAAAACCAACAGCCAACTTGTCATCAGCAACTAGAATACCAGAATACAGTAGAGTGATAGCTTTCAAACATTATGGGAACATAAAACCCATAAACTGAGAATTTTAATTCAGCCAAATCGTGATTTGATAATCTAGGGAGGTAATGTAGTGGGTACTATTTTCTGAACACTGTAGTGGGTTAAGTTTTCTGAATACTCCTTTTCCTGTATTAACATGAAGTGAGAAAAAAAAATGAAAGTAGATAGAAGGAAATGTGAGGCAACAGGCAACAATGAGAAAAAAGTACTAGTAAATTCAGACAATAAACCTAAATGAATATAAACAAAAATAACTAAGATAATAAAACATACAAATTTAATAATAAATTTAAAAATACATGATTGGCATTCAGAGGAAAGCTAAGGCACACTATATTTATAAAACCAGTAGCTTCATCTCCTTCTTTATTTAACAAATATTTTCAAAGTTGGGGGTAATTTTAAAGTAATTCAAGCATAATGTGTATTATATTAATCTTTTCAAATAGCTTTTGGTAGTTTTAGTATTCTCTATATTTTGAGTTTTTGATCTGTTTTGTTTCTTCATTTAGTTTAAGTATTTCTTTCCTTTTTGAGTTTGCTCTGTTACTGATCTTGATTGGAATAAGCTTACTTATCTTTATCTTTTTTATTTTCTCTAGAATGTATTTAAAGATTTTCAATACTATGTATTATTTCATTTTATGAATAGTTTTAGCCATTAGTTATACTGTTGCTATGAATTGCTGAGTTATAAGATATGCACATATTTAGCTTTATTAGATGTTACTCTATATTTTTCTGTAATAGCTATGCTAATTAACTTCCACCAGAAGAGTATAGAAGTTCTAACTGCTCCAGATTCTCACCAATACTTGGTATTGTCTTTTTTCCTTTTAGCTGCTGGTGTGTCAGTAATGATCTCAGATTAAAAATGCTCTCTCTAATGACTTTATTTTTTTACCGTTTAGATATATGCTTTTGTGAATGGCCTGAAAAATGAATTTGTCCATTTTTTCCAATGGGTTGTCTGCTTTGTTTCCTGTTAATTGGTAGACATACTGTTTATATTCCGGTCATAAGTACTTCAATATATAAATGTATTGCATACCTATTCTCCCATCTAGAGGCTTGACTTTTTACTTCCTGATATTGCTTTTTGATGAACTGAAATTTTAAAACTGAAATAGTCCAATGTAGTCCAATTTAGCATTTTTTTAAATGTATGGATAATTGCTTTTTACATCTTAAGAAACCTTTGTCTACCCCCAAGACCAAAAACTATTTTTTACCAACACTATTGTTTTACCATTCAATTTTAGATCTATAATCTGTTTAGTTTTTATTTTAGTGTGTTGTATGAGTTAGAGGTATTATACATACACACATATGCACACATACATGGTATACATGTAGATACCCATTTAACCAGCACAATTTATTGAAAAGTTTACTCTTTTCCCTACTACAATCCAGTATCACTATTCTCATAAATTGGGAAACATATATGGATCCGTTTCTAGAATCTACCTGCTATATTGATCTATTTGGCTATCCTTGAGAGATGGTGCAAAAGTAATTGCAGTTTTGCCATTAAAAGGCCAATACTTCTGCACTGACCTAATATCATCATACTGCTGTAGCTTTTTGTCTTTATAACTGGTAATATAACTTCTGTAGATTTGTTCATCTACTTGGCCTTTTCCATTTCAGTGAGAATTTTTGAATCAGTTCACTTTGTACACACACACATACACACACACACACACAGATGTGATTATAAATAAAATTGTATTGAACTTATCAATTGACTAAAAACAATTGACAGATTTAAAATATAGTTTTATAATCCATGAACTTCATACATTTGTTTATCTAAATATTTTAAATAACTCTCAGTAGAATTCTATGCATTTTATGTTATTTAGTATAAAGGTCTTATATAGCTTCCACTGAATTTCCTTCTAGGCAAAAGAAATAATCAACAGAATGAACAGGCAACCTGCAGATTCAGAGAAAATTTTGGCAAACTAGGCATCCAACAGGACACTAACATCCAGAATATACAAAGAAGCCAACTCAAAAACAACAACAAAATACAAAATTCCATTAAAAAGTGGGCAGAGGACACGAATAGACATTTTTTAAAAGAGGCATGCAAATGGCCAACAGGTATATGAAAAATGCTCAACATCACTAAGCATCAAATAATGCAAATTGAAACCACAATGTGATATCATCTTATACCAGTTAGAATGGCTAAAAATAAGAAGACAAAAAAATAGGAACAGATGTTAGCAAGGATATGAAGCAAAGGGAACTAACTCTTACACACTGTTGATGAGAATGTAAATTAGTACAACCCCTATGGAAAACGGTATGGAGATTTATCAAGGAATTAAAAATAGAACTACCATTTGATCCAACAGTCCCAATGCTGGGTATCTACTCAAAGAATAATAAATCAACATATTAAAATTATACCTACACTCTTATGTTTATCACAGTGCTATTCACAAAAGCAAAGATATGGAATCAACCTAAGTTTCCATCAGTGGATAACTGGATAAGGAAAATATGGTGTATATATACACAGTGGTTCAGCCACGAAAAAGAATAAAATAGTGTCTTTTAAAGTAACATGGATGGAGCTAGAGGTTATCATCTTAATTGAAACAAGCCAGACACAGAAAGTCAAATATTACATGTTGTCACTTAGAAGTGGGTGCTAAAAAATGCATATACACGGATATAGAGAGTAGAATGATATACAATGAATATTCAGAAGGGTGATGGGTTGAGGGCGCTTGGATGATGAGAAATTAGTTAATGGGTAATATATATATATATTATTTGGGTGATGGATACCCAGAAATCCTGACATGACCACTACCCAATCTATGCATGGAACAAAATGTACTACTTGTACCCAGCAAATTTAAACAAATAAAAAGATTTCTCCTAGATATTTGATGGCTTTGTTGACTATAAATTGTGTCTTATAGGTTTTTTTTGCTGTTCAGATCTGGTTATTTTCTCCATTTCTGCTTTTCTGTTAAAGTCTTTTTCCACTTTACTTTTAAAAGATATTTTTGACTGCAAAGAGAATTATGAGTTACAATTATTTCCTTTTAGCGATTTGAAAATGTTATTTCTAATATGACTTCCACTGTTTCTGTTGAAAGGTCATCTGTAAGAATTGTTGCTCATTGGATGACAAACTTACTTTTATCTTCTGGCTACTTTTAAGCTTTTTTCCATGTCTTCAGTAATTAGTGGTGTTTCATAAAATATCTTAGTGTAGTTTTGTTTTTGTGTATTTCGTTTGGGATTCATAGTCTTTCTCCTCTTTGTGGCTTCATGTATTTGACATGTTTGCAAAATCTATTAGCTTCTACTCCATTTCTTCTTTTCCTTTTTTGGTATTACATCATGCACATATTAGACCTTTTCATTAACACCTACACATATGTAATATATTTCCTGTATTTTCTTTTATTCTCTTTCTGTGTTTGAGTATTTTATTGTTGACCTACCTTCTAGAACATTAATCTTTTTTTTTTTTGTTTGAGACAGAGTCTCACTCTGTCACCCAGGCTGGAGTGCAATGGCGCAATCTGGGCTCACTGCAACCTCCGTCTCCTGGGTTCAAGCAATTCTCTCACCTCAGCCTCCTGAGTAGCTGGGACTACAGGTGCGCGCCACCACACCTGGCTAATTTTTTGTATTTTAGTAGAGATGGGGTTTCACCATGTTAGCCAGGATGGTCTCGAACTCCTTGACTTCATGATCCTCCCGCCTTGGTCTCCCAAAGTGCTGGGATTACAGGTGTGAGCCACGGTGCCCGGCCCTAGAACATTAATCTTATCTCCTGCTGTGTCAAATCTATTGTTAAGTTAATCCTGTTTAGTTAATTTTCATTCTTTGTTTTTCATCTTTAGAATGATTACTTGATTCTTTTCTTTCCTTAAATAGTTTCCATTCTCTGGTAAAACTTCTTATTTTTGTTTATTTTTGACTATTTTCTACATTCATTATCTTGAACAAATTACACAGTTACTATAAGGCTTTTTCTGGCTAATCCAAATATCCTGACCATATTTGGATATGTTCCTATTTTTTTCTCTTGTTTTTAAGTTGTTTTGTTATATATTTCCGTGGCATAATATTTTTGTAAATAAATGCTAGGAGTTGTATATTAAAAATTTTGTAGTATCCAAATGATGGCTTCTCTAAATAGTAAGAGTTCCTCCTTCTATTCTCGCAGGAAGCCAATATTGTCTCTGAACATTTTAACCAAGTAAGGTTCTGTGCTGAAATATGTGCTAAGGCTGTGTTAAGTTTTAATGCTAGTAAGGCTTATTCTAGTTCTGGTTTGCTACTGAACCTGCAGAGTTTTCTGCTGTTTATTTGAGACAGTTCCTACCAGTAAGACCCAAATTCACTGAATCACAACTGCCAAAATAAATTGCTCAGCTTTTCAAAAACTTCCTGCTTTGGTTTTTAATCCCCCACCTGCCCCATCTTTGTGTTTGGCAAATGGCTGAAGAGAAAAACTTGCGGTGGGCTTGTTCCCCCACCCCAGATCTCTTTCAAAAACTTTGCTTGATTCTGACCCCAATATCCTACCTCTACCAGCATTTGTACCTGACTTACCATAAAATTCTCAGCCTTCTGCCCATGACACCAGCTCTCCAGGTTTATCAATGAAAGCCTATTTTACCTTCTGGCCTTTCTTCCTGTACGTTTTTGAAATTTAATCTTCACTCCACAGTCTACTGAAAATAAATGCTCTCCTTTATAGAGACCTTTGTATTGCTTATATTCTGAAAAAAAGTGATAGCTTAGTAACGGTTTTTAATTACATATGGTAACTGGGATCTTTGTTATTTTCATAGTTTTCTATACATTTTTTCCCATTTATAAAACTTTTCATAACTGAATTTAAAATTAACACATTAATAATAAACAAAACTACAATAAATGGAAACAGAACATTAATAACAAAAAAATAAAGAAAATCAGGGAATATAGTAAAAAAAAGAATTTCAAAATAGTGTATAAGAAAAAAATTTAAACAATAACAAAAATAATAATACAGAAGACATTAATTAGTCTAAACATTAATAAAGTTGATGTTCTTAAATTAGAGATAAAAAAAGGAATAAAGCCATGAGACAAAAAAGTTTTACTAACATTAGTTAATACCCAAGTCTTCAATTTATTCAAACACAATTAAATCATACATATATATACCAGTTATATTTTTTGAAATTTAATAATTAAAAATTTATAAGGAAGCAAAAAGTTATCTTTAAAATAATAAAAATTAAACTTGCTTGAGACTTATCTTTTATTATATTAAATATCAGAAGACAATGGATTAATTAAAAGATAAAATTATATCACTCAGTTTTTAATATTCTGCATTATTTTTGTTACAGGATAAAGCAATTGAAAGGTACCTTGAATTCTATAAGGATTCAGAAAGTATTCCACCTAAATGCCTTTCCTGAGTAAAGTCTCAAAGATTCAGTGCAACTGACTGGGTAAGGAATCAAATAAGTTAAAAGCAGGAAAACTATATTGTAAAAGGACTACCAGTGAATGTGGAAAAAGCCGTATTTTCACTTAAGATTAGTTTTGTATACGTAATTTTAGAACAAAATTTTGATACTAAAATAGAAAAACTTGAACAATATAGAAGTAAAACAAAATATTCTTCTGGGTCTTAAATTTCTAAGTGAAACAAACCGTATCAGCAAAAAGATGAGAAAAATTAAACCAGCTCTCATAAAAAGTATTCCAAAAGGCAATATTTCATTAATAACTTACTAATTAGAGAACTACTGTTTACATTTTTTTTTTCAGTTTTTATTTTACAGTCAGGGGGTACATGTGCAGGTTTGTTGCCTGAGTATATTGTGTGATGTTGAAGTTTGGTGTACAAATCATCTTATCACCCAAGCACCAAGCATAGTGTTCAACAGTTTTTCAACCCTTGACTCCCTCTCTCTTCCCCCCTCTAATAGTTCTCAGCATTTACTGTTACCATCGTTACGTCCATGAGTGCACAATGTTTAGTTTCCACTTACAAATGAGAACATGCAGTATATTTTTTTCTTCTGTCCCTGTGTTAATTCACTGGGGATAATGGCCTCCAGCTGCATCTAGATTGCAGCAAAGGAAATAATGTAATCATTTTTATGACTGCATAGTATTCATGGTGTGTATGTACCATATTTTATTTATCCAGTCCACCATTGATGGGAACTTAGATTGATTCCATGTCTTTGCTATTGTGAGTAATGCTGTGATGAAATGTGAGTGCATGAGTATTTTGGTAAAAAAATTTGTTTTCTTTTGGATACATACCCAATAATGGAATTGCCAGGTTGAATGGTAGTTGTGTTTTAAGTTCTTTAAGAAATGGTCAAACTACTTTCTAGAGTGGTTGAACTGATTTACATTCCCACCAACAGGGTGGAAGTGTTCCTTTTTCTATGCAACCTTGCCAACATCTGTTGTTTCTAGACTTTTAATAATAACCATTCTGGCAGATGTGAGATGGTATCTCATTGTGGTCTTGATTTGCATTTCTCTAATGATTAGTGATGTGGAACATTTTTAAAATATGTTTATTGGCCCCTTGTATGTCTTCTTTTGAGAAGTGTCTGTTCATGTTCTTTGCCCATTTTTAATGGGATTTTTTTTTGCTTAATTGTTTAATTTCTTTATAAATTCCAGATATTAGGCCTTTGACAGATGCACAGTTTGCAAATATTTTCTCCCATTCTGTAAATTTTTGTTTACTCTGTTGATAGTTTCTTCTGCTGTGCATAAGTTCTTTAGCTTAACTAGGTCCCACTTGTCAATTTTGGTTTTTGTTGTAATTGCTTTTGATGACTTAGTTATAAATGCCTTCCCAATACTGAAATACAAGAATAGTATTTCCTAGGTCTTCTTCTAGGTTTCCTACAGCTTAAGGTATTACACTTAAGTCTTTAATTTATCTTGAGTTAATTAATTTTTGTATATGGTGAAAAGTTGGGTCCAGTTTTATTCTTCTGCATTTGGCTATACAGCTATCCCAGCACTATTTATTAGAGAGCTCTTTCTCCATTGTTTATTTTTGTCAACGTTGTCAAAGATAATATGGCTGTAGGTGTGCAGCTTTATTTCTGGGTTATTTATCCTGTACCATTGGTCTATGTATCTGTTTTTGTACTGGTACCATGCTGTTTTGATTACTGTAGCCTTACAGTTTAGTTTGAAGTCAGGTAATGTGAAACCTCCAGTTTTGTTATTTTTGCTTGGAATTGCTTTAACTATTCAGGCTCTTTTTTAGTTCCATATGAATCTTAGAATAGTTTTTTTTCCAATTCTGTGAAAATTGACATTGGTAGTGTAATAGGGATAACACTGAATCTGTAGATTTCTTTGGACTGTATGGCCATTTTAATTACATTGATTCTTCCTGTCCATGACCATGAAATGTTTTTCCATTTGTTTGTTTCATGTGATTTATTTCAGTGGTGTTTTATCATTCCCCTTGTAGAGATCTTTTACCTCCTTGGTTAGATGTTTTCCTAGGTTTTTTTTGTGTGTGTGTCTATTGTAAATGGGATTTCACTCTTGATTTGATTCTCAGCTTGTACTTTATTGTTATGTAGCAATACTACTGATATTTGTACACTGATTTTGTATTCTGAAACTATACTGAAATTTACTTTTGTGTTCTGAAACTCCACTGTCATGAAGTTGTTTGCTGTTTATCAGCTTTAGGAAGCTTTAGGTGGAGTCTTTAGGGTTTTCTAAGTGTAAAATCATATCATCTACAAAGACAGTTTGACTTTATCTTGTCCTATTTGATGCCTTTTATTCATTTATCTTGCCTGATTGCTCTGGCTATCACTTCCAGTACTACGTTGAATACAAGTGGTGAGAAGGTGCATATTTGTCCTTTTCCAGTTATCAAGGAGAATGCTTCCTTCCAGTTTTTGCCCATTAAGTATGATGTCAACTATGGGTTTGTCATAGATGGCGCTTATTATTATGAGATATGTTCCTTTGATGCCTAGATTCCTGAGAGTTTTTATCATAAAGAAATGCTGGATTTTATTCAAAGATTTTTCTGTGTCTATTGAAATGATCATATAGTTATTGTTTTTAATTCTGTTTATGTGGTGAATCATAATTATTGATTTGTGTATGCTGAAACAACCCTTCATCCCAGGAATGAAGCATACTTGATCATGATGAATTAACTCATTTATGTGCTGTTAAATTCAGTTTTCTAGTATTTTCTTGAGAATTTTTGCATCTAAGTTTATCAGGGATGTTGGCCTGTAGTTTTCCATTCTCACTGTGTCTTTGCCAGGTTTTGGTGTTAGATTGATCCTGGCTTCATAAAATGAGTTAGCAAGGAGTCTCTCTACCTCAATTTTTTGGAATAGTTTCAGTAGAATTGGTACTAGCTCTTCTTTGTACTTCTGGTAGAATTTGGCTGTAAATCTTTCTGGTCCAGGGCTTTTTCTGGTTGGTGTAGGTCCTTTTTTTTTTTTTTTTTTTTTTGAGATGGAGTTTTACCCTTGTTGCCCAGGCTGGAGTGCAATGGCATGATCTCGGCTTACCTCAACCTCTGCCTCCCGGATTCAAGTGATTCTCTCACCTCAGCGTCCCAAGGGTTGGTAGGTTCTTTTATTACTGTTTCAATTTTGGAACTCAATATTGGTCTGTTTAGTGTTTCAATTTCTTCTTAACTCAATATTGGGAAGTGGTGTGTTTCTAGGAATTTATCAGATTTCTCTAGGTTTTCTAGCTTGTGTGTGTACAAACATTTAGAATTGTCTCTATTTCTTTTTTTGTATTTTGTGTGATCGGTTGTAATGTCACCTTTGTCATTTCTAATTGTGCTTCTTTGGATCTTCTCTCTTTTTTTCTTTGTCAGTAGAGCTGGTGGTCTATCAATCTTGTTTTTATTCTTTCAAATAATCAACTTTTGATTTAGTTAATTCTTTATATGGATTTTTGGGTCTCAATTTTGTTCAGTTTCTCTCTGATTTTAGTTACTTCTTTTCTTCTGTTAGTTTTGGATTAGTTTGTTTTTATTTTTCTAGTTCCTCTAGGTGTGATGTTAGATCATCTTAATTTTTGAGGTAGGCATTTAGTCCTATAAACTTTCCTCTTAAAACTGATTTTGCTGCATTGAAGATACTTTGGGATGTTGTGTCTCCATTTTCACTTATGTCAAAGAATTTTTAAAATTTCTACCTTGATTTTATTGTTTACCCAAAAGTCATTCAAGAGTAAGTCATTTAGAGAGGGGGGAGCTAAGATGGCCAAATAGGAACAGCTCCAGTCTACAGCTCCCAGTGTGAGAGACGCAGAAGATGGGTGATCTCTGCATTTCAAACTGAGGTACTGGGTTCATCTCACTGGGGAGTGTTGGACAGTGGGTGCAGGACAGGGGGTGCAGTGCACCGAGCGTGAGCCGAAGCAGGGCAAGGCATCACCTCACCTGGGAAGGGCAAGGGGTCAGGGAATTCCACTTCCTAGTCAAAGAAAGGGGTGACAGATGGCACCTGGAAAATCAGGTCACTCTCACCCTAATACTGCGCTTTTCCAACAGTCTTAGCAAATGGCATACCAGGAGATTATATCCCGCACCTAGCTTGGAGGGTCCTACACCCACGGAGCCTTGCTCATTGCTAGCACAGCAGTCTAAGATCAAACTGCAAAGCAGCAGCGAGGCTGGGGGAGGGGCATCCGCCATTTCTGAGGCTTGAGTAGGTAAACAAAGCGGCCGGGAAGCTCGAACTGGGTGGAGCCCACAGGAGCTCAAGGAGGCCTGCCTGCCTCTATAGACTCCACCTCTTGGGGCAGGGCATAGCCAAACAACAGGCAGCAGAAACCTCTGCAGACTTAAATTTCCCTGTCTGACAGCTTTGAAGAGAGTAGTGGTTCTCCCAGCACGCAGCTGGAGATCTGAGAATGAACAGACTGCCTCCTCAAGTGGGTCCCTGACCCCGAGTAGCCTAACTGAGAGGCACCCCCAAGTAGGGGCAGACTGACACCTCACATGGCCGGGTACTCCTCTGAGACAAAAATTCCAGAGGAAAGATCAGGGAGCAACATTTGCTGTTCACCAATATCTGCTGTTCTGCAGCCTCCACTGCTGATAGCCAGGAAAATAGGGTCTGGAGTGGACCTCCAGCAAACTCCAACAGACCTGCAGCTGAGGGTCCTGACTGTTAGAAGGAAAACTAACAAACAGAAAGGACATCCACACCAAAACCCCATCTGTACGTCACCATCATCAAAGACCAAAGGTAGATAAAACCACAAAGATGGGGAAAAAACAGAGCAGAAAAACTGGAAACTCTAAAAATAAGAGCACCTCTCCTCCTCCAAAGGAACACAGCTCCTCACTGGCAATGGAACAAAGCTGGAAGGAGAATGACTTTGATGAGGTGAGAGAAGAAGGCTTCAGACGATCAAACTATTCCGAGCTAAAGGAGGAAGTTTGAACCCATCGCAAAGAAGTTAAAAACTTTGAAAAAAAAATTAGACAAATGGATAACTAGAAGAACCAATGCAGAGAAGTCCTTAAAGGACCTGATGGAGCTGAAAACCACAGCACGAGAACTATGTGATGAATGCACAAGCCTCAGTAACCAATGCGATTAACTGGAAGAAAGGGTATCAGCGATGGAAGATGAAATGAATGAAAAGAAGTGTGAAGAGAAGTTTAGAGAAAAAAGAATAAAAAGAAACAAACAAAGCCTCCAAGAAATATGGGACTATGGGAAAAGACCAAATCTATGTCTAATTGGTGTACCTGAAACTGATGGGGAGAATGGAACCTAGTTGGAAAATACTCGGCAGGATATTATCCAGGAGAACTTCCCCAATCTAGCAAGGCAGGCCAACATTCAAATTCAGGAAATACAGAGAACGCCACAAAGATACTCCTCGAGAAGAGCAACTCAAAGACACATAATTGTCAGATTCAGCAAAGTTGAAATGAAGGAAAAAATGTTAAGGGCAGCCAGAGAGAAAGGTCGGGTTACCCACAAAGGGAAGCCCATCAGACTAACAGCTGATCTCTCGGCAGAAACTCTACAAGCCAGAAGAGAGTGTGGGCCAAAATTCAACATTCTTAAAGAAAAGAATTTTCAACCCAGAATTTCATATCCAGCCAAACTAAGCTTCATAAGTGAAGGAGAAATAAAATGCTTTAGAGAAAAGCAAATGCTGAGAGATTTTGTCACCACCAGGCCTGCCCTAGAAGAGCTCCTTAAGGAAGCACTAAACATGGAAAGGAACAACCAGTACCAGCCACATCAAAAACATGCCAAATTGGAAAGACCATCGAGGCCAGGAAGAAACTGCATCAACTAACGAGCAAAATCACCAGCTAACATCATAATGACAGGATCAAATTCACACATAACAATACTGACCTTAAATGTAAATGGGCTAAATGCTCCAGTTAAAAGGCACAGACTGGCAAATTGGATAAAGAGTCAAGACCCATCAGTGTGTTGTATTCAGGAAGCCTATCTCACATGCAGAGACACACATAGACTCAAAATGAAGGGATGGAGGAAGATCTACCACACAAATGGAAAACAAAAAAAGGCAGGGGTTGCAATCCTAGTCTCAGATAAAACAGACTTTAAACCAACAAAGATCAAAAGAGACAAAGAAGGCCATTACGTAACGGTAAAAGGATCAATTCAACAAGAAGAACTAACTATCCTAAATATATATGCATCCAATACAGGAGCACCCAGATTCATAAAGCAAGTCCTTAGAGACCTACAAAGAGACTTAGACTCCTACACAATAATAATGGGAGACGTTAACACCCCACTCTCAACATTAGACAGATCAGCGAGACAGAAAGTGAACAAGGATATCCAGGAATTGAACTCAGCTCTGCACCAAGCGGATCTAATAGACATCTACAGAACTCTCCACCCCAAATTAATAGAGTATACACTCTTTTCAGCACCACACCACACCTATTCCAAAATTGACGACATAGTTGGAAGTAAAGCACTCCTCAGCAAATGCAAAAGAACAGAAATTGTAACAAACTGTCTGTCAGACCACAGTGCAATCAAACTAGAACTCAGGATTAAGAAACTCACTCAAAACCACTCAATTACAAGGAAAATGAACAACCTGCTCCTGAATGACTACTGGGTAAATAATGAAATGAAGGCAGAAATAAAGATGTTCTTTGAAATCAACGAGAACAAAGACACAACATACCAGAATCTCTGGGTCACATTAAAAGCAGTGTGTACAGGGAAATTGACAGCACTAAATGTCCACAAGAGAAAGCAGGAAAGATCTAAAACTGACACCCTAACATCATCACAATTAAAAGAACTAGAGAAGCAAGAGCAAACACATTCAAAAGCTAGCAGAAGGCAAGAAATAACTAAGATCAGAGCACAACTGAAGGAAATAGACACAAAAAAAAAACCTTCAAAAAATCAATGAATCCAGGAGCTGGTTTTTTGAAAAGAAAAACAAAATTGATAGACTGCTAGCAAGACTAATAAAGAAGAAAAGAGAGAAGAATCACATAGACGCAATAAGAAATGATGAAGGGGATATCACCACCGATCCCACAGAAATACAAACTACCATCAGAGAATACTATAAACACCTCTATGCAAATAAACTACAAAATCTGGAAGAAATGGATAAATTCCTTGACACATACACTCTCCCGAGACTAAACCAGGAAGAAGTTGAATCTCTGAATAGACCAATAACAGACTCTGAAATTGAGGCAATAATTAATAGCTTACCAATCAAAAAAGTCCAGGACCAGGTGGATTTACAGCCGAATTCTACCAGAGGTACAAGGAGGAGCTGGTACCATTCCTTCTGAAACTATTCCAATCAATAGAAAAAGAGGGAATCCTCCCTAACTCATTTTATGAGGCCAGCATCATCCAGATACCAAAGCCTGGCAGAGACACAACAAAAAAGAGAATTTTAGACCAATATCCTTGATGAACATCGATGCAAAAATCCTCAGTAAAATACTGGCAAACCGAATCCAGCAGCACATCAAAAAGCTTACCCACCATGATCAAATGGGCTTCATCCCTGGGATGCAAGGCTGGTTCAACATATGCAAATCAATAAATATAATCCAGCATATAAACAGAACCAAAGACAAAAACCACATGATTATCTCAATAGATGAAGAAAAGGCCTTTGACAAAATTCAACAACCCTTCACGCAAAAAACACTCAATAAATTAGGTATTGATGGGACATATCTCAAAATAATAAGAGCTATCTATGAGAAACCCACAGCCAATATCATACTGAATGGAGAAAAACTGGAAGCATTCCCTTTGAAAACTGGCACAAGACAGGGATGCCCTCTCTCACCACTCCTATTCAACATAGTGTCGGAGGTTCTGGCCAGGGCAATCAGGCAGGAGAAGGAAATAAAGGGCATTCAATTAGGAAAAGAGGAAGTCAAATTGTCCCTGTTTGCGGATGACATAATTATATATCTAGAAAACCCCATTGTCTCAGTCCAAAATCTCCTTAAGCTGATAAGCAACTTCAGCAAAGTCTCAGGATACAAAATCAATGTACAAAAATCACAAGCATTCTTATACACCAATAACAGACAAACAGAGAGCCAAATCATGAGTGAACTCCCATTCACAATTGCTTCAAAGAGAATAAAATACCTAGGAATCCAATTCACAAGGGACATGAAGAACCTCTTCAAGGAGAACTACAAACCACTGCTCAATGAAATAAAAGAGGATACAAACAAATGGAAGAACATTCCATGCTCATCGCTAGGAAGAATCAATATCATGAAAATGGCCATACTGCCCAAGGTAATTTATAGATTCAATGCCATCCCCTTCAAGCTACTAATGACTTTCTTCACAGAATTGGAAAAAACTACTTTAAAGTTCATATGGAACCAACAAGAGCCCACATTGCCAAGTCAATACTAAGCCAAAAGAACAAAGCTGGAGGCATCACACTACCTGACTTTAAACTATACTACAAGGCTACAGTAACCAAAACAGCATGGTACTGGTACCAAAACAGATGTATAGACCAATGGAACAGAACAGAGCCCTCAGAAATAATGCTGTATATCTACAACTATCTGATCTTTGACAAACCTGAGAAAAACAAGCAATGGGGAAAGGATTCCCTATTTAATAAATGGTGCTGGGAAAACTGGCTAGACATATGTAGAAAGCTGAAACTGGATCCCTTCCTTACACCTTATACAAAAATTAATTCAGGATGAATAAAAGACTTAAATGTTAGACCTAAAACCATAAAAACCCCAGAATAAAACCTAGGCAATACCATTCAGGACATAGGCATGGGCAAGGACTTCATGTCTAAAACACCAAAAGCAATGGCAACAAAAGCCAAAATTGACAAATGGGATCTAATTAAACTAAAGAGCTTCTGCACAGCAAAAGAATCTACCATCAGAGTGAACAAGCAACCTACAGAATGGGAGAAAAATTTTGCAACCTACTCATCTGACAAAGGGCTAATATCCATAATCTACAATGAACTCAAACAAATTTACAAGAAAAAACAAACAACCCCATCAAAAAGTGGGTGAAGGGTATGAACAGACACTTCTCAAAAGAAGACATTTATGCAGCCGAAAAACACATGAAAAAATGCTCATCATCACTGGCCATCAGAAAATGCAAATCAAAACCACAATGAGATACCATCTCACACCAGTTAGAATGGCGATCATTAAAAAGTCAGGAAAAAACAGGTGCTGGAGAGGATGTGGAGAAATAGGAACACTTTTACACTGTTGGTGGGACTGTAAACTAGTTCAACCATTGTGGAAGTCAGTGTGGCGATTCCTCAAGGATCTAGAACTAGAAATACCATTTGACCCAGCCATCCCATTACTGGGTATATACCCAAAGGATTATAAATCATGTTGCCATAAAGACACATGCACACGTATGTTTATTGCAGCACTATTCACAATAGCAAAGACTTGGAACCAACCCAAATGTCCAACAATGATAGACTGGATCAAGAAAATGTGGCACATACACACCATGGAATACTATACAGCCATAAAAAAGGATGAGTTCGTGTCCATTATACGGACATGGATGAAGCTGGAAAGCATCATTCTCAGCAAACTATCGCAAGGACAAAAAACCAAACACTGCGTGTTCTCACTCATAGGTGGGAATTGAACAATGAGAACACATGGACACAGGAAGGGGGAACATCACACACCAGGGTGTCGTGGGGTGGGGGAAGTGGGGAGAGATAGCATTAGAAGATATACCTAATGCTAAATGATGAGTTAATGGGTGCACCACACAAATATGGCACATGTATACATATGTAACAAACCTGCACATTGTGCACATGTACCCTAAAACTTAAAGTATATTAAAAAAAAAGAGTAAGTCTTTTAGTTTCCATGTATTTGTATATTTTTTAGAGATCTTCTTGGTATTGATTTCTATTTTTATTCCACTGTGTTATAGGAGTGTGGTTGTTATTACTTACATTTTTAAATTTTTTTTTGAGACTTGCTTTATGGTTGAGCATGTGGTTGATCTTAGAGCATGTTCTGCATGAAGCTGAGAAGAATGCATATTCTGATTGATTAGCAGAGTATTCTTTTTTTGTTGTTGTTGATGGAGTTTCGCTCTTGTTGCCCAGGCTATAGTGCAGTGGTGCGACCTCAGCTCATTGCAACCTCTGCCTCCCGGGTTCAAGCGATTCTTCTGCTTCCATCTCCTCAGTACCTGTGATTACAGCCCCGCACCACCATGCCCAGCTATTTTTGGTAGAGATGAGGTTTCACTATATAGGTCAGGCTAGTCTCTAACCCCTGACCTAGTGATCTGCTCGCCTCGGCCTCCAAAATGCTGGGATTATAGGCATGAGCCACCATGCCCAGTGGATGGGAAGAATATTCTGTAGAAGTCTATTAGGTCCAATTGGTCAAGGGTCTATTAGGTCTAGAATACTTGTCTTATGAATGTGGGTACTTCAGTGTTGGGTGTGTATTTATTTAGGATAATTAAATCTTCTTGTTGGACTGAATCCTTTATCATTTTGTAATGCCTTTCATTATCCTTTTTTACTGTTGGCTGAAAGTCTGTTTGATGTCAGAATATTTTTGTTTTCGATTTGTGTGGCAGATCTTACTTCAATCATTTACTTTGAGTCTATGTGTTTCATTATGTGTGAGATTGAGATGGGTCTCTTGTAAACAGCAAACAGATCTTGTTTTCTCTTTCTTTCTTTGTTTGTTTTTTTTTTTTTTTTTTTTTTTTTTTTTTTGAGATAGAGTCTCACTCTGTCACCCGGGCTGGAGTGCAGTGGTGTGATCTCAGCTCACTACAACCTCAGTTTCCCAGGTTCAAGCAGTACTCCTGCCTCAGCCTCCTGAGTAGCTGGGACTGCAGGTGCAGGCCGCCACACCCAGCTAATGTTTTGTATTTTGGTATTGACAGGGTTTCACTATATTGCCCAGGCTGGTCTCGAACTCCTGAGCTCAGGCAATCCACCCACCTCAGCCTCCCAAAGTGCTAGGAGTACAGGCATGAGCCACTGCACCTGGAAGTTCTTGTTTTTTTTATCCAACTTACCACTCTGTGCCTTTTAAGTGAGACATTTCAACCATTTACATTCAAGGTTAATATTGACATATGCGGTTTTAATCTTATCATGAAATTGTTAGCTGGTGGCTTTGTAGTTTCTATTGTTTGAAAATTTTAATGAAAGGTTAATCACTAAGAGAACGAGTCAGGATCTATTTCAATCAAATCAGTATAACAAATAAAGAAAGAAATATTTGAGCTCGATTATGATTTCTGAAAATAAATTATGCCAAATAGAATTGTGTATAATTTATGATATGCATTACATGCAACATATTGGTTGTGAAAATAAATATTAAAGGATTAACACATACATTATAAATTAAAAATTTCAACTTCACTCAAAACCCTAAATACACCTATATGCTATTTATAGAAAACACATTAGAAATAAAATGACATAAATGTTAAAAAATGACAATGAGCAATAATGTATCATGAGGCTAAATAAATAAATAGACTGGCTGTCATGGCTCACATCTGTAATCCCAGCACTTTGGAAGGTCAAGGCAGGTGGATCATCTTAGGCCAGGAGTTCGAGACCAGCCTGACCCACATGGTGAAACCCCATCTCTACTAAAAAAGAAAAAATTAGCCAGGTGTGGTGGCAGGCTCCTGTAATCCCAGCTACTTGGGCGGCCAAGGCAAGAAAATCTTTTGAATCTGGGAGGCAGAGTGAGCCAAGGTGAACCAGTGAGCCGAGATCATGCCATTGCACTCCTGCCTTGGTAACAGGAGTGAAACTCTGTCTCAAAAAAAGAAAAAAAAAAGAAGAAAGAGAGAAAAGTAGTTGGGGACTTATTACAATATACCCTAGGTCTCATTTTGCTTATGCTAGCTCTGATAGGCTTGTGGGATGGGGAGATATTAATTTTTGTAAACAAAAGATAATATAACCATTGAAAGGTAAGAAGCATTATAGACTGATTATCTATCCAAAAAAAAACCCAGATAAGAAATTATCAAAACTAATTTTTTAAAAAAGTATTGAATTTAGTAAGTTAGATGTTTCAGAAATCAATGAGTTACTAAATATCAGTACAATACAATGTATGAGACAAACAATAGCATAATGGCATCACAAATTATTTTTCAATTTTCAAGTTTTTGTGAGGATGTTTCTAATCAATCTGGAAATTGCTGACAATGGTACCCACAGGGTTAATGTGCTAGGAAAATGTAATATAAATATGTTATTATCTGACTTTGAATTTGCACTTGGTGAATAGATTTTTATGCACTACAGTTTAGGCAAAATGAAACAAATTACATAGACTGATACCAATTTTTTCTAAGTTCTTTATCTAAAAGACAGTTCTCAAATTATAATCTTCATATTTCTTTGACAACTAACAATATTAATTTGTATATCCTAAAACCTTGATAAATCTACAGAAATTAAGATGATGCAACACCAAGGTAACAGAGACTTAGGGCCAATTGAGGTTGATCAATTAGTAAAAGCATATTAAATTCACATGAGCACACACACACACACACACACAATTGGCAATAGTAGATGGAAAACCATAAATAGAAAGATAATAGATTTAAATGAGTTTCAAAATAGAAAAATTAATGAAGGACTTTAGCTAGTACCTAAATGTATCTGTCTTTCTAATATTTATTATTACTTAGTTATAGCATGATAATTTCATTTGTAGTATTTTATGTAAAATGATATATTGATTTACTTTCCCCTTTCTATTTACACATGCCATTAAAAAGGGACAGTGATCAGGACACTCTGCCTATGGAATAGCCATTCTTTATTCCTTTACTTTGTTAATAAACTTGCTTTCACTTTACCCTATGGTTTCACCTCAAATCCTTTCTTGGATGAGATCTAAGAACCCTCTTTCTAGGTCTGGATCAGGACCCCTTTCCTTTCCAGTAACATCTTCCTGGTGAATCCTGAAGAGATGATATGAGGAGACCCCTGACCCAAAGGAAATAGACTGCAGTACAAATTGGCTGACTTTGGGTAAGCGGTGATGGGATTTCATTAGAGGCCCAACTTAAGAGGAGTTAAGAGTCTCTCCTAAGACAGAGAGTTTTAAAGGCCCCTCTTGAAAAAAGGTGGGTTTGAGGCTCAAATTAGGAAGGTTAGAGTCCTTCCTAAGATTGAGGGGGTTAGAACCCACCTGCCATGAGGAAAGTCCCTGCTCCTAAGAACAGGTTTGACACTATGGGATGTTAATTGCTATTCTCTTTGGATTAATCTGTCTTGCACTCTTTGCTGATGACTGTGCGTGACAGAATTAGGTATTTACAGGATTGTGGGACATGGGGAGCTTTTTCCTCCCTAAAAGGGGAAATTTGAGAGCTGACAGGACTGCTTGCAAATGTCCCTTCACAGCTAACAAGCAGCCACCTGAACTTTCGATTCAGTGTCTCTAAAATGGGTGGGTCATTCTCTGGCCTGCCTGAGCTCCTCACCTTTCCCACCCTGCTGAGGCAATGCTTTTCTTTCTTTCTCTACTTTACCTTTCCTATCTTGTCTGTTACTCAGGGTGATTGTCTTGTCCAGAGACCACATGTTGAAAAACGCCTGTGGGAGATTGATCTTGTAATCATGTGGCGGTACTTTCTCTTGGTTTCCACTATCCAGTGGACAAGAATTTGGGGGTTCATGTCTTAGTTAGCCCTAAAAATTATCTTGAGCATTTGAAAGCCTTCACAAGCTCAAAATTGGCTGATCTAGGCTTCTTCTGAAAATGGCACTGGAAACTGCCCAATGCTGTAGCTCAGCAGCTAAGGCTTTGCCTTTTTAAAATGGCAGCCCAGGGTTCAATCCAGGCTTAGGGAATAAGTATTTTCTCGTTGATATCTGTGTGAACCATTTGTTGATTCTCCTCCACTGCATGAACCATCTTCAATTTTCCTTTCTCTGACCTACCTTTAGGTCTTGTAAACACTGCTTACCACCTCTTTGAAAATATCTCATATACTTGTGATTAAGTCATAAACTTAGTCAAGGCTCATTGGTGAGGTTGCTTTTGATAGAGTTCAAATGTCAGAAATATCAGCCATGTAGCCTGGCTAACATCAGGTAGTAAGAAATTTAAAGAACTTTTTAAAAGAGTGCTATGGTTAAAAGTCAGCTTAATTAAAAGCTGATATTCAAGCTCTAACTGCCTGGGACTTCTTTGGAAAAACAAGGAGTTTTTCCACAGATCTTGTTTTGGGAAAAATCTGTTTTCCTCATAAAATCCAGCAATTGGAAGTGGATAGATCCTTCTCAAACTCTAAGGTCCTATTCTGTTTTGCATTGATTATCTGATGTTTTTGACTTTCGGAGGTATCAGAAATTATTTTGCATTATGAGAGAGCTTTGGTGGGTAATACCTAGGTCAGAAATATACTTTTGGGCATAGATAATGGCAGTTATGGAGGGATACTCAGCTCTTTGCCCGTTAGGATCAGAGAAGCATGCTCTTGGTCACCTGGAAGGTATGGAGGTGTCCCCACCCCACACTGAGTTATCACTCCCATGGGGGATGGGCTGATCACTGAGGAGGCTGATTGGCTTTAGGTTGCTTTGCAATGAATTGTACAGTAAAATCATTGTACTGTCTTGTTACATAGCATTTCTCTTTTTGACATCCATGATCTGGTACAAAAATGGGACCCTTAACTTTTGGAGATCTGTTTTGCCCTCTAGCTGTGCCTGCTTATTAGGCTGTAGAAATCGCATGCTTTCCTGTCCCTGTTCCTCCAAGGGATCCACCCTGAAGCCAGTAATCCAATTAAGAAACTGGCAAATGAAAAAATCTTACAACTACAGGATCTTCTTCTGTGTGTCTGTGTATTTATATGTGTTGTGTGTGTGATATGAAAGAGCATTGATTAATTGGATTAATTAGCTTAAAATAAGCGATTAACTCAAATATTTTACCAGAAAAAATAATTGCAATGCTTTTTGGTTCACGTTAATTAAGTAATCTCTATGACATAGAAACTGTTTTACATGCAAGTTTTGTAAGGAACGTGAAATGTGTTTTTGTTAAAAGATTATAAGAAGTCATGGTAATGTGAATTTTTTCTATCTAGATTAAAGGGTTAAATGATCATTTTACATTAGAGAAGATAAAGCTGAAGGTTTGAACAAGTTGCAGAAGGTTCATGAAAAATTAATCTTGTAAAAGAAATTCTATGTGTGAACATATTGCCTAAAATTAAAGGGGTATTATTCAGTTTATTTGTAATTTGAGCATTGGAATAAAAGCACAACAGGGTTTCCTGAGAGCAATGATCCACTCTTTAACAAACATTGTAAAGGATTATAAAATGTTTGTGAAAATCTTACCTTATAGTCAGACATTAAAATTAGATAGATTTGTCTATAAGGTATTACTAAGAATTAGGTTTGACATTAATAATGCACTAAAGCAAAGGGTGAGATTGGCTATCTTTCTCGAACATGATTTTCATGTTATGTTAAGAAAAAGATTTTTGTTTGCCTTTTGAATAAACTATAGAAAACAAAGGGAAAGAAAAAAGACAGATTATTTGGAAAGCTAATTCTTCCCTTTATCTATGAGTAAAGGTTTCTGCCTTTTAAAAATTTTTGAGTTGTCATTTTGGCTAAGTAAATGATATATGGTGACCTGGGATTTGATTTTATAATATCAAGTGTTTTAAACTTTGCAAAATCAAATTATAAATTATATCTTTGCTGACCTAATTAATATTTTAGATATTAGATCCCATAAAGTCCAAAAATGACATATTTGGATTATTTGGTGTAAACAACATACAGGAAGCACTGTCAAATACGAAATGGTATTTGGCTTTCTTTGGGCTGTATTTGCAAAAATATGTTATTGGTATATGTTCTGAAATTATGAGAAACTCCTGTAATCCTGATATGACTTAGTGTATGTTATTAATAGTTATAATTGCTATATAAAATTATTGCATCTCACAGAAGTAATCAAAATTTCTTTGTCAATTGTGGCTTTAATAGTGGCTGTCGTAACTCGGATTTTTTAAATTCATTAATAATTGTCTTGCTTTGATTCTCTTCAAAAGGTGGTTTATAATAAGCTATAGGACTTTGACAGGTGCTCTTGAATGCAGGTTTCTGATAACTTTGGAGAGTGTGACATTAGATTAGAGGAATAAACTTTCAGTACTCATGGAGAACTGAAATATGAATATCAATATAACAGGAGTTAACTGCATTAACTGAACTAATAGAAGACTGAAGTAACCTTTTTTGACTTTTTTTTGCTTAAAACATTATTGATCCTTTGTTTTGTTTTTCAGAAACAAGAAAACTGTTGAGCTATTTACAGCTTTTAACATTTGAGTAAATTATACTCTCATGATCAAAATTTGGAGCATATTTGTTTCTCTCTACATGCTTTCCCCAGAATTTGGAAATTATTTGTGACTATTCTTATTTCAATATAGTTATTTGCATAAGTGCAATAAAAGTATTTTGTTTTACAACAGGACACAATTGGAGAAACTGATTATTTTACCAAGACTTCGACTGGATTGGTGCTTCACACATCATGCTTTCCTTTAAGGCATCAAACTTGACTTGTAGAGCCAATAAAAGCCCCCTGGGACAACTGGCCTCATATCTTGTCTACATAGTCCCTGTACAGGGTTCCTGAGCTGTGCTAAATAAAGAATGTCATTTCTGATAGGTCCAGGAGCCCCATTTTATCTCAGGACCTCAAGAGGAGAGGAATTGACCCAACTCATACAGGTACTTGAGGGTATAAACCCATGGCTGGACTCGGCTTTAAAAAAGTCTTGTCTGAGATTCCTTATGGAATAAACTTCCATCAAAGCCAATTTTAAAAGCCCATGGGAAAAATAATTATTTTTGCTGTACTTTATATATATGTATAAATAATCAGGCCAAATAAATAAAGCTAATCAATCTTACCATGATTTGTCTTTAGTAAAAATGGGACACTAGAGGGAGAAAAAAAATTGTTTCAAGAACTATGGTAAACCTGTTATTAGATTCTAGTCTCATTAATTGTTTTTGAGATTTTTCCTGCAATTTAGACTAACCTTGCTTATTCTTGTGAGCCAGCCGGTGACCTCTGCCTGCTGCTCAGAAGAAACAAGAGGGATTGGTAATGTAAAAAAAAAAAAAAAAAGAAATCAATATTCTAATTCTGGGCACATATTGGGATTGGCTAGCAACCTTGTACCAGCTTGGTTCCAACCATTGCCCAGTTCATGGAAAGCCTTCTAATTTAGTTACTTTTGGAGATAATTTCGCTTTACTGTTGTGGAATATATTGCTGTTATACTCTTTTGTATGAATGCAGCATAAGCTTACTCAACATTTTCTTATATTCAATACTTATTAACATTCCATATATAATCTTTTGTCAGAACTCAGAGTTATGAATGGCCATTGACATACTGATGCTTTGTTTTTTCTTTTTCTTTTCTTTCTTTTTTTTTTTTGAGACAGAGTTTTGCTCTTTCACCCAGGATGGAGTGCAATGGCAGGATCTTGGCTCAGTGCAACCTCCACCTCCTAGGTTCAAGAGATTCTCTTGCCTCAGCCTCCCAAGTACTTAAGTAGCTGGGATTATAGCCACCTGCCACCATGCCTCACTAATTTTGTATTTTTAGTACAGATGGTGTTTCACCATGTTGGCCAGGCTGGTCTCAAACTCCTTACCACAAATGATCAGTCCACCTTGGCCTCCCAAAGTGCTGGGATTACGGGTGTGAGCCACCATGTCCAGAGCATACCAACACTTTCTGACTGAGCTCCTTTCTGCCCCAAATACCAGACACCCTAATAGTTAGGCAGGAATATCATCACCCCTATTCATCCCAAGGAAGTTATAGAAGATGAATCTTCATCCCTCTACAAACCTTAGGATTAAGGGTTCTCTTATAAAAGAGAGGGGGAAAATAGCTCAGAGGTGTTTGAGCCAGAGCCACTCCATCTTGAATAAGGGCTGGATGAAATAAGGCTGAGACCTATTGGGCTGCATGCCCAGGAGGTTAAGCATTCTAAGTCACAGGGTGAGATAGGAGGTCAACACAAGATACAGGCCATAAAGACCTTGCTAATAAAACAGGTTGCAGTAAAGAAGCCAGCCAAAACCCATGAAAACCAAGATGGCAAAAAGAGTGACCTCTAGTTGTCCTCTTGGCTCATTGTATGCTAGTTATAATACATTTGAATGCTAAATGACACTCCCAGCAGCTCCATGACAGTTCACAAATGCCATGTCAATTTGAGGAAGTTACCCTATATGGTATTAAAAGGGGAGGAACCCTCAGTTCCACGAATTGCCCACCCTTTTCCTGGAAAACTCATGAATAATCCACACCTTGTTTAGCATATAATCGAGAAATAGCAATAAGTATCCTTAGTCAAGCAGCTCAAGCAGCTGCTCTGGCTATAGAGTAGCCATTCTTTATTCCTTTATTTTTAATTCCTTTACTTTTTAATAAACTTGCTTTCACTTAAAAAGTATCCGTGATAAAAAGGGTTATTGGGATTTCCACTTTTTAGAGTCAATTTTGAGACATCTCTGTCAAAGCATTAAGAAAAAGAGAAAAAACATAGAAAATTCTAAATTTGGAGATAGCTCATTACAATTGAACATATGAAGTATAAAGGTTGGGGATAAAAAGAAGGAAAGAATAGAAAACAGTAGATTAGCTGGGCGTGGTGGCTCATGCCTGTAATCCCAGCACTTTTGGAGGCCGAGACGGGTGGATCACAAGGTCAGGAGATCAAGACCAGTCTGGTCAAGATTGTGAAACCCTGTCTCTACTAAAAATACAAAAATTAGCCAAGCCTGTCATCCCAGATACTCAGGAGGCTGAGGCAGAGAATTGCTTGAACCCAGGAGGTGGA
This sequence comes from Homo sapiens, assembly GCF_000001405.40. NCBI lineage: Eukaryota > Metazoa > Chordata > Mammalia > Primates > Hominidae > Homo > Homo sapiens. The sequence goes on along the minus strand of NC_000005.10, from coordinate 51,776,080 downwards.
GGTTGCAGTGAGTCAAGATCATGCCACTGCACTCAGCCTGGGCAACAGAGCAAGACTCCATCTCAAAAAAAATTAAAAAACAAAAAACAAAACAAACAAAAAAAAGTGGCTTAAAAAAGAAGCTTTTCTTTTGCAATCAGTTGAAACAGGTTGAGTTGCTCAAAGGAGTTGTGAGTGGTTATTTTAGAAGTGAAAGGTCAGGTACAATGTAATAAAAGCTTTTTGAAATACACACATGAATTTCCCATACTGTGAACCAAAATGCCATATATTGGCCAATATAAATCATGTAATTGCTTAAAGAAATTTTGGTCAACAATGTGGTTATCAATCCCAAATGGTGAACAAACTTGAAAACCATGTGTTTCAGGTATAAAATAATAAAGAGTCTAATCAGAAGATGAAAAATGGGAGAGGTAGGCTTTTTTGATAGGGAGAAATAGAACATTTACAAATAGACATTTGGAAAAATTGGTACAATGAAGGGGCAAATATCAATGCAAAAGAAAAATTTTCTTCCTGGGAAGAGAAACTCCTTAAGCGCCTTAGAAAAAAACACACACAGAGACACAGACACACACACACACCATATAAAATAAGCAGCAATTGGCTCAAGCAGTTAAATGTTAAAAGAGAAAGCAAAAACATAAATATCTAATAAGAATATAGACACATGATATTTTCTCAGATAATTAAACACATTTTAAAGAATATGAGATTACTATGAAGATAAAAATAATGGGTCAAGAAGACCAAAATTACAAAATATTAAATACTACAATAAAAGGCACAAAATACAATAAGAAAATAATTTGCATTGTACGTAGCAAAGTTACAGTTTCAGTTCATTTTGTGTTGCTATACCTGAGACTGAGTAACTGATAAAGAGTGTTTTTTTTTTTCTTTTTTTCTTTTTTTTGAGACAGAGTTTCGCTCTTGTTGCCCAGGCTGCAGTGCAATGGCACGATCTCGGCTCACCGCAATCTCTGCCTCCTGGGTTCAAGCCATTGTCCTGCCTCAGCCTCCCGAGTAGCTGGGATTACAGGAAGAAGGTTTTATTTAGCTCACTGTCGTGCAGGTTGGCAAGTTCAATGGAACAGCTCGGGATTTTGGTAAGGGCTTTCCTGTTGCATCATAACATGGTGGAGAAGGTCAAAGGGGAAGTGGACACTTGTGAAGAGACAAAACCCTAAGAGCGTTGTGGTTTTATAACAACCCTTTGTTAACTCATTTCTGTGAGAACTAATTCAGTCTCACCAGAGTGAAAACTACCTCACAACTGCAAGAATAACACAAAACAATTCATGAAGGATCCATCCACATGATCCAAATACCTCCAACTAGGCTCAACCTCCCAACACTGCCACATTGGAGATCAAATTTCAACATGAATTGCGGTGAAGACAAACAAATTATATCTAAACCACAGCAGTTACCTTCCCCATATAGAGAACAGTTTTAATCATTAAAATCATTAAAACACGTGTATATATATAGTTTGTATATATATTCATTATATATATATAGTATATATACTTTGTGTATATATATATACACATTGTATATATACTTTGTATGTATATATACTTTGTGTATATATACATTGTATATATAGATACTTTGCATATATATACAATGTATATGTGTATACTTTGACACACATGTATACACAAAGTAGAAATAATGTTACGTTGTTCCAAAGAAAAATTCAATCACCTAAACATTCTCACTATATTTAATATTACTTAAAGAAATAAAAAGCAAAAATCAACCAAATGATGTATTAATTTTATATATCAATATGGCAATTTAAAATAGTCAGCATCTAATATTGGTCAAAATCCAGGGCAGGAAACATCCTCACACCTGTGGGGATGTATCTATTGATGCAGTCTCCCAGAAGACAATATCTAAGAATTTATATTAAAAGTAATTCTGTAACAGAAATATATTGTAAGGCAACCATAAGACCCATAAAAAATATTCGTAACACCATTGACATCAGTCTTATGTAACAATAAAAGCAGAGAAACAACCTAAATATTTGCCAAAGATTAATTATAATATATATGTAAAAAGAAATATTCTATGTCTACAAAAATAATTTCAGAAATGTAATGAATTATATAATGAATATTTGTAATATAGCCTTAAGTAAAAAACACCATATTAAAAATATAAAAAAATTTATAGTAAAAATTGAGAATGGGTGAGTAGGAAATACTCATATGGAAGACATACAGGACTATCAACACCCAAGGTATTCACCTACCCAAAGAAGTAAAAATAAGTTGCATAAATGTGCTCTGTTTAGATGTGCCCTGTTGGGTTTGTATGTTATATACAGATGTGTTCTGTTAAATTAGAAAGACACACTTAAAGTGAGTTATAAACTAGCAAAGGAAATATAAGGCAACTTAGGAATAGGTAGGCAGCCTCTCAAACTTAATAGGGTCTATATATTTGATGAGATCCACTTCAGCAAGCCAATGGCAAGCAATGACTTGTGAAATTCAAATGAATGAGTTGGTCAGCTGGACATTCTTTTTGATCCATCTTGCTCTTGTCTATATGAACTAAGTACATTTTGCAACTATTATATGTGTGACAATATTCTCACCCAAGTGTGGTTTGATAGCCCTTACATGTTCATTGCAAGGGCTGGAAACCTCCTCACATACCACTGGATTCCCCAGTCCCTTAGTAAATGAGACAGTACAACTCCTCACACTGTACTTATTCAAGTGCTAATTGCAGTCCAGGTGAGTCTTCCCTTCATGCTCAGGTATCTTGGGTGTCAACAGATATGTCAGAGCTAAGTATGTTGTGCAAACACATCTCTGCTGTGTTAACTCTATTATATTAAACACATACAACAATTACTAGTGTTTAGGAAATCTGATAGTAGTGAACCAACCTTAGGCAATTTCATATATTAATGATTTACAAATTTAGAAATTTTTGGAACTACTCTGGTAATGAATGTTTCCCTCTCTAACACCTCTATCACAACCATCATCTCTTTTTTTCCATCTTACACAGGCTCTACTTTTTTTTTTTTTTTTTTTGACTTCATTGGAAGATCAGCCCTTCAAATTTAGCTGGCCACCTTCTTGAAGTTTACTAATTTGAGCCCCTCATTCCCCAAATGAAAGAGATTTACTGTGAAGCTCCTAAAATTAGAAACAATTAGAGCCTAGTGACCCACCAAAGCTAAGCAACTTTTCTCTTGTGGCTTAGAAAGTTATGGCAGTAACATAAGTCAGAGAATTCCTGTCCAATCTGTGACAAGGGTTTAGAGGACCAGGCCATCTTCACTCCTGCACCCAGCACAATGCTGTTAGTACTGCCTGGAGCATAATTCTGGTGAAGCATAGGCCCCAAAGACTGCAAAATCCTCTTTTTACTAGTCCTGACAGATGAAGTATCCAGATCTCAAAGTGCAGGCATCTCACTAGTACCTGGCCACTTTCTCCAGTTAGAGGCAACAATATCCACCACTAATAAAATCATCATAAAAACAAAAAACAGAGCACTTAAGTCTAAAAAAGTAGAATTAAAAGGAAGAATAAAAACTTCCCATTTTTAATTGGATTATTTGTTATTTTGCTTTTGAGTTGAGTTCCTTATATATTCTTAATATTAGCCCATTGTCAGATACACAGTTCACAAACACTATCTCCCATTGTGTAGGTTGTCTCTTTACTCTGCTGATTATTTTCTATGCTGTGCAAAAGCTTTTTAGTTGGATATAATCCCATTGTACTTTGCTTGCCTATGCTTTGGGGGTCTTATTTAAAAAATCATTGCCCAGACTAATGTCATGAAGCATTTCTCTTGTGTTTTTTTCTAGTAGGTTCAGTTTTGAGTCTTACGTTTAAATATTTAATCCATTTTGAGTTTTTTTTAAGTGGTAAGGGGTCTAGTTTTATTTTTGTGCATGTAAATAAACATTTATCAAAAGAAGATATACAAATGGCCAATGAGTATATGAAAAAATGTTCAACATCACCAATCTCCAGAGAAATGCAAATTAAAACTATGAGCTATCTCACCCCAAATAGATGGCTACTATCAAAAAGACAACAAATTTTAAAAATTATGGCAAGGATGTAGAGGAAAAGAAAGTCACACTGTTGGTGGAAATGTAAATTAGTATAGCCATATGGACAACAACCTGAAAGTTCTTCAAAAAATTATGAACATAGCTACCATATGATCTAGCAATCCCATCACTGAGTTTGTAACCAAAATAAATGAGATCAATACATCAAAGAGATGTCTACACCTCCATGTTTCTTGCAGCGCAACTCACAATTGCCAAGATATGTAATCAACCTAAGTGTTCATCAGCAGATGAATGGCTAAACGAAAATGTGGGATACATAAACAGTGGAATACTATTAATCCATAAAAAGAATAAAATCCTTTAATTTGCAACATCATTGAATCTAGAGGACGTTATGTTAAGTGAAATAAGTCAAGCAAAGAAAGACAAATACCACATTATCTCATGTGAAATCTAAAAATATTGATCTCATAGAAATAAAGAGGAGAACAGTGGTTACCAGTGGTTGGAGAAAGCAAGGAGAATGGGGAATTGGGAGAGGCTGTTCAGTAGGTACAAAGTTATAGTTAAGTAGGGGGAACAAGTTCCAGTGTTCTATCACCCAGTAGGGTGACTATAGTCAGTAATGTACTGTATATTTCAAAATAGCTAAAAGAGAGGATTTTGAATTATTCTCACCACAAAGAAATGACAAGTGTTTGAGGTGATGGGTATGTTAATTATCCAATGTGTACATGAATAAAAATATCAAACTGTGTACTCCATAATATGTAAAATTATTATATGTCAATTAAACACAAAATAAAACTTCAAAAAAGAAGAATCTAAAAAAATAATTTAAAAGGTAACTACTCTGAATATTGAGGAAATTATTGAGCATTTAGAGTGAAAGTAATGTGAGTATGGCCAATTTGTAGACCCAATCAGCATCTGATCATGTCTGAAAGGTACAGATTGGTACTGGCAACTCACCATATTTTCAGAAAAACTGAGATCTGACATTTTGCAGTGAAATTAGACACAATAAGGTAATATTTGTATTAACCTCTGAAGCCTTTCAAAGTACACAGAAGCCCTTACACTCAAATGAGTTGTTATCTACTTCCTTCCAACCTAACAACAGTTTTTTACCTGTCAAATACTAATATTAACGATAAATTAAAAACAAGTGTTCAACATACACAATTGTATTTTTCAAAAGGCATATATGCATTCAATGCAACAAACATTTTTACTCTGAGAAACTGTGACAGATTCTGTGGAAGCTGGACAGACTCAATAACTCCCCAAAAGGAACATATTGAAGAATTGCTGCCTTTGGGAAAAGTACTATAGATGAATTTGAAAGAGTGGGTTTGTTTGTTTGTTTGTTTGTTTTTTGAAACAGGGTCTCATTCCTTTGCCCAGGCTGGAGTGCAGTGGCACGATCTGGGCTCACTGCAAACTCCACTTCCCAGGTTCAAGTGATTCTCATGCCTCAGCCTCCCGAGTAGCTGGTACTACAGGCACGTGCCACCATGCATGGGTAATTTGGCTAATTCTTGTATTTTTTGGTAGAGATGGGGTTTCCCCATGTTGGCCAGGGTGGTCTCCAACTCCTGACCTCAAGTGATCCACCTGCCTGGGCCTCCCAAAGTGCTGGGATTACAGGCATGAACCATCATGCCTGGCCAAGGGTTTTGATATCTATATATATTCAGTAAATTTTTTAAAAAGTGCTCTGTGTTGTTCAAGCAGATTTTGACAGACTAAATTGAGTACTTCACCAACATACATAACCCATTCCTATAAGAAATTTTGAGCTTCAAACAAATAATTTGGTATCTTCCATTTGCATGGACATAGAATTTACCAAAAAAAAAAAAACCCACATTTATTTAACACTCATACATATAGTCTGCAATTTGAGAATTGTTATATTTATTTTACAAAAAAACAATTAACAATCAAAGACCTTGTCTAACCCAAAGCCAGTGATGTAGTCCATGACCAATCTGACGTGACTAAGTCTTCTTCCTAGTTTAGGACTTTTTTTTTTTTTTCATTACACTAGAGATGAACTGTTGGTCATACAACTGGTTCATAACATAATGCATGCCGGTTTGATGAAAGGGAAAGTTAAAGAAAAAGCGTTATAAATATTTTTTCTTTGATTCAGAGTACACATAAAGATTTTACATGCTCTAGAACAGGAGTTTTCAAAGTTTAAGAACATTAGTGTTGCCATCAATGGAGAAATTGTTAGAAATGCAAATTCTTAAGCCCCGTCCCAAATCTGACAAATCAGAAACTCTGGTGATGGGGCTCTGAAATCTATGTTTTAACACGCCCTCCAAGTAATTCTGATGCATGCTAAAGTTTGAGAATTATTGCTCTGGAACCTTCCATGAGTGATTCACATCCTTCATAATGTCTTATTCAAGATGTCACAGATAAGGTTGATTAAACTGAATATGTGCATCTCGCATCATTAAAATGGTTTTATTATATAAATCCCTGTAAAATTTTTGAAAGAGATATTGCTCATTATAATCAGTTTTTCTATCTTAAAAGTAGAGCACATTATAATTATGATATTTTACTTATTTTACCATTAAAGTAAAAAAATTCCAATGTCTTGCAATTTCAAAAATTGTTTTTATGTTTATTGGAGCAAATTAAAATAATACTATATTTTAAAGAATGCTTTAAAATGATGATTCTTCATAAAATAATAAAGACTCGCACAGCTGTAATTAACCTGGTAGGAATATCCAGCAGGCTCCGTGCCTAGCTAACACTTTTGAATTATTTGCATTTTATGTTAAGCATTTTTATATTCTAAAATTATTGTTTCCACATTTCAAAAAATGTAATTGACAATAAAAACTATTAGCACTTTTTAGTAATGTTATAGTAAAAATAACATTTCGAAATGACAAGAGAATTTTAAATTGTGAATTGTTTTTGAATAATAGTTTAATCAAAATTTAACACAATTATACTCAAAAATACAGTAGAAATTACTGAGCCAAACATTTTTTTGTATATTATGCATAATCAAGTTTTCTGATTTATATAAATATTGTCATAAGCACTAACACACATATTTTAATAGTTTGTAGCATGTACATATGCTACTATGTAATTTATAATTTGTAATATTTGTAAGAATTCAAAATAACACTTTTTTTAACTCTTTCCATAAGACAAGACTTATGTTAAAAATATCAGATCCAAGATTATTTATAAAACATATATTTTGTGTTTTTGTAAAATAATCAAGTTAAATTGAATTTAAAAACTGGTTGAAGCATACCATATCAGAGTAGAGAAAATAACCAATCACCCTGAAATAACCAATTGCTATGATTTTCACTATACTCAATCAAATTGAAACTCCCACTGTCTGATTCTGTTTTCATTTTAAAAGCCCATTTGACTGAAATTAATATTTTCTTGCCTATGTGCATGTTTTCTGTTTGGCCAATGGCTTCTGCCAATTCACAGTGACAGTTTTGAATAATGTCACCACTTTTTAAAAAATTATTTTTGAGTTTATTGCATTGAAAGTTGAAATATATAGTGAAAACATCATTATGAGAAGCATAATACACAGCAAGACATTAACAAATACCACTTATAAGTTGTTTCTGCTGAACAACTGTAAACATTTTGCTGTGTCTTCTCTATATATTTATATTTAAATCGAAACCAAGTACAATAGTATGGCCCAATGAAGACCATGACTCATTACGTTTATTAACCATTTGCTTTTCATTTCATCCATTGCAGCAAAAAAAGAAAAATAATAGAAAGGAAAGAAAGGAAGAATGGAAGGAAGGATGGAAGGAAGGAAGGGAGGGAGGGAGGGAAAAGGAAGGAAGGAAGGAAAGAAGCAAGGAAGGAAGGAAGGGAAAGAAAGGAAGGAAGAGAAAGAAAGAAAGAGAGAGAAGGGGGAAGCATCTCTAATTTGATTTTTAAAACCTCTATAATATGACCTAATTCTTTCTTGAATATAGCTTGATAACTCCCAACTTTTTTTAAACAGGTCATTTCCTTGATTAGAATGGCCTCTTCACCTACCAATATATACTTTTTACCCAATTCAAACCCTTCCCATCTGTCAAGATCCAACTTGAGTCACTTGCAGGATGACTTTTCAGTTCACTTTCATTGAAGGATTCCTTTATTCTTAGGACTCCTATACAGATATCAAAAATGTCAGTCTGAAATGGCATTAATTGAATGATTCCTTATTTTATGTATAATCTCCTAACTTGTCAACCCAAGTTTTAAGGGAATCAATAGGTTGTGAAAGTTAAGTTCACAGGTACTGGCATCACACTGTTTGACCTTGAATGCTTCTTTGGTCAATGTCTTTTGGACCAAAGAAGTTTGGTCAAGCTGTGTGATTTTAGCCAACAAATTATATGTGCATTAGTGCCCTCATCTATAAAATGATGATAAGGAAAATATCAGTATTTTGAGAGTTAATACATATAAATTGTTGATAAATGCAGCAATTTTTATAAGGGTATACAGGAAGGAACAATGGAATGAATTTTTCAAATCTGAAAAAAATAATATCTGAGTTGTTTCCCATTAACTAGCCTAAAAATCTCATAATATCCCTGAGTTTTATTTTGTTTTTTCCTCCAACTGATTTTCTTCATCGTAAAATAGAAATTCTGTCTTCACTTATCTCAAAAGTCCATCCTAAGTATGAAATTCTACTGTTACTAGAGTGGGAATATTATCAAACCAAGCCAGTCCTCTCTTCCTCCCAAAAGTGAATTTTTGGAAGAGAGATTTTAATGCTGATTTCTTTTGTCTGTTTGTTTTGTTTTGTTTTGTCCCACAGAAAACTTTGCATTGTCTATGTTCAGCACTTGTGTGAGTTAATCAACTGACAATTCTTCTGGGCTAAATAAATCATGTTCAAAATAGATTAAGGTGAGTCTTTTACAAAGCTTTTTGGATCTGCTTTCATTTTACTCACTCCTTCCTTTCCTAAATGCATAAAAATAGAAAGGTCAAGTGAGCACCATTGCTACCCAATATTTTGCAAGTGGAGATCCTAAATTATGGTATTTAAAAAAATCACCTTTTCTAGGCAGACATAGTCTTCAGGCTGTTCATTTGTTTATCATTTGGTTGCTTCATGACCAAACAGCGAAAGCAAACAAACAAAAAGGCCTCCCTTCCACCAGGCTGAGGCAGTCCTGTACAAGGCCACATAGCTTGGCAAGTGAAAGGTTCGTTAGGTATCAGGCTTCTTTCATTTGTTCTGACAGAGACCTTTGTGTGGTGCAGAACTGCACATCTGTATGCACCATCCTCAGGATACCTTTTTTATATCTTTATGCATTTCTTTCCCTTCCATATAGAAAACTGACCCTAACTATATGTACTTACTCCATTTCTATTTTCAAGTATAGCTTTTCAAAAAGAATAAACTTAGGAGAGAGTTTTGTTGGAAATGAATGAGAACTTCTTGATCATCAGAATAACAAAATATTGAAATATTTGGGACATTGGGAAATGTCTAACAAGAAAATAATTGACTAATCTAAACATTTAAGTTGAAGTATAGGTGCTAAATTAGATAACATGCCTTATCCTTTTTATGGTTCTGTTACTTAGATATATTTAAGTCTATAACAGTACCCCCAGAATGACTGAGATGCTGTTCAGTTATAAATGTGCTTGAACTAGCTCTGGGGACAGACATTTTGGCAGGTAGGAGAAATTTTCAAAAATCTCCAGTTTTATGGTTTCTGGTATAATAGTAACATTTTATTTTCATAATGCAGATTGAATTAGCTAAATTATTTGATTATGCAAAAATGAATTTTGGAGAGCTTTACACTTTACATTATTCCAGTAAGAAACTTAAAAGAGAGAAGAGTTTGAATACAGCTACGTGAGATTTGATAAGTATATACTGGGTGATTTTCTGGTTATATTTTAAAAATATTGTTCTCATTTTCATGTACACATTTGGACAAAATAACTGCACATATTTATTGTGTATATTTTAAGTGGTAGAAATACCATTAAAGTCCATGGAGTAAATATATAGTCATTTTAAAAATTATCTGGAAACCTCAAGAGCTTTTTGCTGCTGTTTCATCTGTCAGTTAAATTTATTTCAGTAGTATAAATAATAGTTACGTGATATTATTATATAAAGTAGCTATGAAAATATGTACAATTTACTTGTAAGAATGATCAAATAAATAAATACAGGAGGGTATATCCTGTCTTGATCAACGCGTGTAACTCTATGAGTGTTAATCGGCTTTTTGCTTATACTTTTATAGGAAAATGTACACACTAATTTAACATATGCTGTTTAATTCATTTCTAAAAAGTGATTCATGTGTCACATTTTTAACGTGTACAGATTCACACATTAACAGAGTTGGGTTTAAAGAATTTGGTAGATTCCTAAAACAATTTATTATTGAAACATTATAAGAAAGAATAAGACAACCTAAAACTAATCCACCAATTTGTCTGAATACACTGGTCAAAATATGCAGAGATAATGCGCTAGTATTAATTTGTATTAAATGAACACTTTTTTGAATAATCACTGTGTTTTTATTAATACCATGTAAGATTTTCTATCTTTTTTTTCCTCAAAGATGATATAAAATAAGAGAGAGTTAAATAATACTTCACAGGCTTTTCTATGGAAAGAATACTTCACACTTTTTCTATGGAAAGCTTGTATAAGCATGTCCTTAAACAATTTAAATGTATGGCCTAGCACTTGGGCAAGTCTGTAGAAAATTTATTTTGGGGATTCCATTCTTACAGTTGTTTCTTTCTTACCAAATCACCTGATTTCCAGGAAAACAGATTGAACATATCCAGAAACATCCCCATTCTAAACATACCAAAATAATAAAATAGACATGCTTTAAAACTTTAAAAATTATGAAAAAGAAATAATCTCCCAATACCTTAAACAAATGGTGACACCAATTCGGCAGCTTACTGTAAGAGTCTCTAGTTAAGAGGAAGAAGTTACAGGTACAGATTTAAGTTTGAGAAGCGACAATAGGTAGATGTTACTGTTTTTATAGAATAAGGTTAGACTCTAGAGAGAGAAAATGAAAATAGGGAGAATGACAACTGCCAGAATTGAGCTCGCTTCTTTAATATTTAATGCTTAGATAGAGGAAGAGGAGGAGGAGGAAGAGCTAACAACAAAAACAACCTGAAAAGACATAACTACAGAAATTGAAGAAAATATTAAAAGAGGGAAGCATCAACAAACATACAAACATGGAGTGCCTTCATAGACGAAGCTTTACTGTGTCAAGCATTCCTGAGAGTTTAAGGTAGATTACTGAGGCAAAGAACCGACCGTCAGATTTAGCAAAATGGAAACCAATGGTGAAATTGACAAGACAGTTTCATGAAAACAAAGAACATAAAAAGAAATGCAATATGACTGTTTGGCTAATGATAAATACACAGTAGGCACACGTAATTATAAATTGAAGTGATACTAGTTGACCTAATTATATAATTTCCTACAGATATATAATATACAATTAATATTCTCTACCTATTTTTCCCCTGCTTCAGTGAAGCCACATGTATTAGTTTGCCAGGACTGCCATAACAAAATGCTACAGACTGTGTGGCTTAAACAACAGAAATGTATTTCACACAGTTCTTAAAGTAGAAATTCAAGGTCAAGCTGATGGCAAGTTTGGTTTCTCCCGAGGCCTCTCTTTTAGGCTAGTAGAGGACTACCTTCTTGCTAGGTCCTTACATAGCCTTTTCTGTATGGTCTCTCTCTCTCTCTCTGTCTCTCTCTCTCTCTCTCTCTGTCTCCCTCTCTCTCTTTCTTTTTATAAGGATACCAGTCATAATAAAGGGCCCCACCCTTGTAACTTTATTTAACTTTAATTGCCTCCTTAAAGGCCCTGCTTCCAAATTTAGTCGCACTGGGGGTTAGAAATTCAACAGATGGGCCTGACGCGATGGCTCACGCCTGTAATCCCAACACTGTGGGAGGCCGAGGTGGGTGGATCACGAGGTCAGGAATTCAAGACCAGCCTGGCCAACTTGGTGAAACCCCGTCTCTACTAAAAAAAAAAAAAAAAAAAAAAAAAAAAAGCCGGGTGTGGCGGCGGGTGTCTGTAATCCCAGCTGCTCAGGAGGCTGAGGCAGAGAATTGCTTGAACCCGGGAGGCGGAGGTTGCAGGGAGCTGAGATCATGCCACTGCACTCCAGCCTGGGTGACAGAGCGAGACGCCGTCTCAAAAAAAAAGAAAGAAAGAAAGAAAGAAATTCAACAGGTGGCTTTTGAGGAGGAACAAATTCAGCCTACAATAAAATAAATAAATAGCGGAATTTAACTAGGATTGGGTATAACAAAAAGGGTGGCAAACATAAAGGAGTAAGGCTATTTTTAATGAGGTTGGACTACAGGATCTAAGTTTAGAAGTGGGGAAGATATAAGATGTAGACTTACACTGTATTTCTTAATGAAGGAGAAAAATTATCACATAGGTACTATTACTGTGATCATAATAGGTAACAATTACTGAGCACCTACTATGTGTCAACTGGGCTCATAACAATGTCATAACAAAGGACTGGTATTGATCTCATTTTACAGATGAAGATACTGAGTCATAACATAGTTCAGAAACGTTCAAAGATCACATATTCAGAGAACAGATGACACAAAATGTGAAGAATGTCAGCTTGAGTCTAGAGGAGGAAAAAGAAGAGAAGTCCACAGAAAATAATTATCAAAATCAGTTTTCCTGAAGTGGCAGCTCTATTGGGCATGGCAAGCTACAATGCTGATCATAAAAACGGTTGGCTGAATTCAGAATGAGGAAATAAAAGTGGTTTGAGAAGAAAAGTTGCTGAGGGTCTAGGGTGATGAGTGGGGATGGATCATCTACATGAACGAGCAGCCACAACAATGATGACAGAAGAGAGTGTTAATGCTTCATAAGTCAATAAACAAGCCCACTCAGACAAGTAAGTAGAGGACATGGCAGACAATTTAAAAATAAAATACATATAACCAGCAAGATTGAAAATTTTTCACCTCCACAGTAATCAAAATGTCCAAATTAAAACTTACATTTAAAAATAGATGACTTCTACAACTTGTAAGAAAGACATTCTCAAGTATGGCTTATGGGAGGAGGGCTTGGTATGCAGATCTATTATTCCAGTAATTCCACTCCTAGGAACTCACCATACATAACCCATCAAAGATTGAGAAAAAGACTTATGTACAAGAATATTTACAATATTACTTATGTTATAATTAATAAAAAATTAAATGTCCAAAAACAAAAGAAAAATTAAATAAAATAATATCCCATTTCAAACCTGTAATTTTGAGGAATTTTAATATGGATGAAAATATATCTTAAAGAGTAAAGTGCTAAATTATGTATATTCTTTAATACAGAATTTTGAGGGGAAAGATATATATATGAACTCATAGAAAATAAACAAATGAAATACACCAAAATGATCTTTGAGTAAGGTATTATTGGGGATTTTTTTCTTTACTCTTTATATTTTTCTGTATTTTTCAAATTTTGTACAATGAGCATATATTATTTCAATCTAAAATGTATATATTTTAAAATAAGTCTTCAAAAATACTGGCTAGAAATATGAGAATTATTAATTTATCTATTGAATTAAATTTGAGTATAGATTGAAGCAATAAATATGAAGAATAGTAGTAGAAAAAGGATAAGTAGCCAAGAAAGAATAATGTTAAAGGCATAAAAAGTATCAAAGTATCAAAAATTAGCAACACCCTCTTAATCACAGCATATTCATTGTAAGTATGTTTGTAGACAGCAAAAATCATAGATTATATCACATTTAGCTCTGTAAGCTGTAAAAGTCCAATTAAGAGGTACATAAGTCCCAGTTGAGTGCTACTATGTGTCGGCTCACAGATTTAGTTTATATAGGGAATTTACATTAATTATTTCAGGAATGAGTAGCCTTTGTTGCATTTTCCCCAATCTTTCTTTTTTGCATATGAAAAAATTTCTCTCTCTCTCTTTGTGTGTGTGTGTTGTGTATGAGTGTGTGTGCATGTGTGTATGTGTGTGTGAATCTAACCAGCCCCTCAGGTCTTCTCAACTTCATAAGTAGACTTGTATATGTAAAGTTGAGAGGATGACTGTGCTTCACTCTGTTACATTCAGAATCAGCAGCTCTCCATTTCCTTCTTTTCTTTCCATTCTATTTTGTATATTGAGATATTAGAGGAGGAAGAAAACCTAGGTCTTCTCGTTTGCATTGTCAAGCTACATAACAAAAACAGAGAGAATCACTAAAAAATATATTTATTTGGGGATAGGGCATGGCAATGAGAATATGCAAGCCATAGTAAACTATGTGCATATTCAGGAAGGTTAAGAAAGACAAAAGTTTTTAAAGGAAAAATGAAGAGGATTACATAATTGTTCTGAGAATATTATCTTTGGCTACAAAGATCAGTAACAAGGGTGATGGTAGTTTGAGGTTAGATACAGTTGCCTTAGAAAAATATTTTGTGTGTGAGGTTGTGATGACCTTGTGCAAATCTGTGGGTTGCGCAGTCTTTGGTGTAAGCTCTTGTTATTAGGCATTTATGCATAAAAACTCTCTTTTCATAGCCTTCCCTAGTTCTATTTATCAAGTGTTTTGTTTTGTTTTGTTTTCAATACAAGTGACTCCATTTTGACTCTGACACTTTTCACATTTTTCCCTTTTGATCAAGATATTTCTTCAAAAGCATCACTGATAAATCATCCTGTAGATAGGTTTTGATGTTCCTCAGTGCCAAGATGAACTTGTCCACGGTTACTGGTCTGGTTCCATGTTGGAGGGAGTAAAGGGCACTAGTAGTGTCAAAACCCTTTTAGCCACATTTGAGCAACAAGGGAAGTTTGAAGAGAATGACTCTAAAGCTTAATCTAACCAGAGTCCATCATTAAGGTTAATTTTTTCTGTTTCCTAGTGTTTTGCTATCATCTTTAAGTGCTGGACCAGCATTAAACTGTTAGGAGTTGTATTTCTATAAAAAATTAACAAGTAACAGATATAAGGTTTAAAAAAGAAAGTATAAAGTAAAACTAGTAGTAGTATAACAATCCCAGTTTACAAATGATTTTGAACCATGAACTTCAGTTTAAAGGCAACCAATTGAATAAATCAAATAACTGTTATCCTGTCAAGTGAAAAAGGTACACGCATTTAGAGGGGTGAGTCTCTCTGTGATATGAAGTCTTGTTCTGATATCTTGGGGAAACCTATCTACATGTAAAAACATCAATTTTTCATCCCGGTTTGCAGTTTGAACGTCTATGGTTATGGTCATGGGCATCTTGGTAAACTTTCCGTGTGGCCCATATATCAGGCACAAGACATGTTTCTTACAACGTATCTAGTTGTAGCACATAATATTTTAGGAACAGTGCAGTTCCTAATTTTAGTAATTTCATGGAAAAAATTTGGATTGTAGAAATCTAGAAGAATTCAGTATCTAGTTTTGTCTATATGCAGATAACAAAACTTGAAAACAATGTACAGAGCTGCAATTTAATAGCATGTTTTATAGCTTTCTTTAGAAACATAACTTTTCCCCTCTTCATTGACCACATATGATTCTCAGATATAAAATTTCTTGAGGCTAGGAAGCCAAACTCATGTAGGCTCTAGATTATACCTAGAGTCAAGGTTCCTCAGCCTGTCAGCAAGTGACAGTTTTTATCTACTCACTACAAGGCAGAGAAATCTTGAAGCCAAGCATTCTATACATTTTCAAAATGCTATTTTAGTGAAAGCTTTGGTAATATAATCAGTGTTATATTTTATCGTAAGGAGAGAGCAGAGTTTTATTGGACTTATGTGAATAACCATATTGTCATAAGAATACTCATGAATAGTTTTTGAATTTTCAAGGAATGAAGTAGGGATAAAAAGTAAATGCTTTCATTTTTGTTAACAAAGTATACTTTATCAAATTGTTGTAAACTGTAGAAAGCTAAAGAGAAATTTTGTTATATCTGGAAAATAAAACATTTAAGTAAAGAATGAACAGTGTTTTAAATACAAATCACAAAAGCACTATCTTCATCACTATTCAATCTCATGTAATTGGTTTTTGTTTTGCTTTATCTTGATTAATAGCTTCATGAATCCATCAGTTTCTTCATTAGAGTTTTGAAAAAAATTATTTAGTTCATTGACTTTAAAGTTATTAGAAATCTGTGCTCAAGGGTATTTGTTAGAGTCTTTTCCATTAAAAAAAACATTTTGAACTGTAACTGATTGCAGATGTTTTTAAAGAAAAATCAAAACAATGACTGTAGATGACAAAAACTTAGAATAGCCAAGGTTAACATCTGATTAAAGTTCATTATAATTAGCAATAGACAAGGAACGTTAGTTATTTTGTGGCGTATAACATATTATCCAGAATTCCAACTAATGAAAGATTTCTGAGAGTTTTGTACAATTTTGGAACATTCCTATTAATACTATACTCATAAATGTATATAAAAGAAGATATACTATCACTTATCTTTTGACAATGTTTCTTATGCAATTTACAAAACAAGTCTAATGATTTAATACATATATAAGATTATATGAGAGATACATCTTTGAGACTGTCAAATGTCCCAACTGATAAATCTCAAAGTTAATTTTAGTCAAAAAGACGTAATATAGAACTTTGGTACCGAGAGGCCTGCCAAAGAAGTCAAAAGCTTCAAAACATTTGATCAAAACAGGATTCCAGGTAACAGTGAAACAGTAGTCATTCATTTAATCAGTGTGATAATTAAAAGACATTATAAGAAATACAGAAAGTTATGTGAATTAAAAAAAAAACCCTTAACACATTTAAAGCTCAGTTTTCCTGAGTAATCAAAAACCTAAAAACAACCACACAGGAAATTATCTTGATAAAAGATAAAACCTTTGTTTTTAGGCTAGTTACTAAAAAGGTAAAGGAAAACCTCCTGTAGTGTGATTGCTTCTGCCTGTGGGAAGTTCATTTAGATAATCTGGAAGTTGAACCTGTTGAAAAGGGTCCTTTAACCTGACACAAGAAGAATATGTGTCCTAGGTAATGAGTATACACTACATTACAGAGGCATGTAAATGAGAAAACTAGTACCCTGTGTAGGAAAATGCATGCCTTCTAGTACACATGAGAAAGTTTGAGTTATACGGAACAATTCTGACATACCAAGAAAAGTCAAGAGTACACAGTCAAGTTATACTAGAGAAACCAATCGTAGTGTATAAACCATGATAAGCATTCCCACATCTGGTCACAACAGTAGAGTTAGAAAAAAGTTCCAGGAACTGATTGAAAAATTTATAGCACTAAAGGCCCACAAGAGAAAGCAGGAAAGATCCAAAATTGACACCCTAACATCACAATTAAAAGAACTAGAGAAGCAAGAGCAAACATATTCAAAAGCTAGCAGAAAGCAAGAAAAAACTAAGATCAGAGCAGAACTGAAGGAAATAGAGACACAAAAAATCCTTCAAAAAATCCATGAATCCATGAGCTGGTTTTTTGAAAAGATCAGCAAAATTGATAGACTGCTAGCAAAACTAATAAAGAAGAAAAGAGAGAAGAATCAAATAGATGCAATAAACAATGATAAAGGGGATATCACCACCGATCCCACAGAAATACAAACTACCATCAGAGAATACTATAAATACCTCTACGCAAATAAACTAGAAAATCTAGAAGAAATGGATAAATTCCTTGACACATACACCCTCCTGAGAGTAAACCAGGGAGAAGTTGAGTCTCTGAATAGACCAATAATAGGCTCTGAAATTGAGACAATAATTAATAGCTTACCAACCAAAAAAAGTCCAGGACCAGACGGATTCACAGCTGAATTCTACCAGAGGTACAAGGAGGAGCTGGTACCATTCCTTCTGAAACTACTCCAATCAATAGAAAAAGAGGGAATCCTCCCTAACTCATTTTATGAGGCCACGATAATCCTGATAGCAAAGCCTGGCAGAGACACAACATAAAAAGAGAATTTTAGACCAAAATCCCTGATGAACGTTGATGCAAAAATCCTCAATAAAATACTGGCAAACAGAAACCAGCAGCACATCAAAAAGCTTATCCACCATGAGCATGTGGGCTTCATCCCTGGGATGCAAGGCTGGTTCAACATACACAAATCAATAAATGTAATCCAGCATATAAACAGAACCAATGACAAAAACCATATGATTATCTCAATAGATGCAGAAAAGGCCTTTGATGAAATTCAACAACCCTTCATGCTAAAAACTCTCAATAAGTTAGGATTGATGGGACGTACCTCAAAATAATAAGAGCTATCTATGACAAACCCACAGCCAATATCATACTGAATGGGCAAAAACTGGAAGCATTCCCTTTGAAAACTGGCACAAGACAAGGAGGCCCTCTCTCACCACTCCTATTCAACATAGTGTTGGAGGTTCTGGCCAGGGCAATCAGGCAGGAGAAGGAAATAAAGGGTATTCAATTAGGAAAAGAGGAAGTCAAATTGTCCCTGTTTGCAGATGACATGATTGTATATCTAGAAAACCCCCTTGTCTCAGCCCAAAATCTCCTTAAGCTGATAGGCAACTTCAGCAAAGTCTCAGGATACAAAATCAATGTGCAAAAATCACAAGCATTCTTATACACCAATAACAGACAAACAGAGAGCCAAATCATGAGTGAACTCCCATTCACAATTGCTTCAAAGAGAATAAAATACCTAGGAATCCAACTTACAATGGATGTGAAGGACCTCTTCAAGGAGAACTACAAACCACTGCTTAATGAAATAAAAGAGGATACAAACAAATGGAAGAATATTCCATGCTCATGGGTAGGAAGAATCAATATCATGAAAATGGCCATACTGCCCAAGGTAATTTATAGATTCAATGCCATCCCCTTCAAGCTACCAATGACTTTCTTCACAGAATTGGAAAAAACTACTTTAAAGTTCATATGGAACCAAAAAAGAGCCCGCATTGCCAAGTCAATCCTAAGCCAAAAGAACAAAGCTGGAGGCATCACGCTACCTGACTTCAAACTATACTACAAGGCTACAGTAACCAAAACAGCATGGTACTGGTACCAAAACAGAGACATAGACCAATGGAACAGAACAGAGCCCTCAGAAATAATGCCATATATCTACAACCATCTGATCTTTGACAAACCTGACAAAAACAAGCAATGGGGAAAGGATTCCCTATTTAATCAATGGTGCTGGGAAAACTGGCTAGCCATAGGTAGAAAGCTGAAACTGGATCCCTTCCTTACACCTTATACAAAAATTAATTCAAGATGGATAAAAGACTTAAATGTTAGACCTAAAACCATAAAAACTCCAGAAGAAAACCTAGGCAATACCATTCAGGACATAGGCATGGGCAAGGACTTCATGTCTAAAACACCAAAAGCAATGGCAACAAAAGCCAAAATTGACAAGTGGGATCTAATTAAACTAAAGATTTTCTGCACAGCAAAAGAAACTACCATCAGAGTGAACAGGCAACCTACACAATGGGAGAACATTTTTGCAATCTACTCATCTGACAAAGGGCTAATATCCAGAATCTGCAATGAACTCAAACAAATTTACAAGAAAAAAACAAACAACCCCATCAAAAAGTAGGTGAAGGACATGAACAGACACTTCTCAAAAGAAGATATTTATGCAGCCAAAAGAAATATGAAAAAATGCTCATCATCACTGGCCATCAGAGAAATGCAGATCAAAACCACAATGAGATACCATCCAGTTAGAATGGTGATCATTAAAAAGTCAGGAAACAACAGGTGCTGGAGAGGATGTGGAGAAATAGGAACACTTTTACACTGTTGTTGGGACTGTAAACTAGTTCAACCATTGTGGAAGTCAGTGTGGCGATTCCTCAAGGATCTAGAACTAGAAATACCATTTGACCCAGCCATCCCATTACTGGGTATATACCCAAAGGATAATAAATCATGCTGCTATAAAGACACATGCACACGTATGTTTATTGTGGCACTATTCACAATAGCAAAGACTTGGAACCAACCCAAATGTCCAACAATGATAGATTGGATCAAGAAAATGTGGCACATATACACCATGGAATACTATGCAGTCATAAAAAATGATGAGTTCATGTCCTTTGTAGGGATGTGGATGAAGCTGGAAACCATCATTCTCAGCAAACTATTGCAAGGCCAAAAAACCAAACACTGCATGTTTTTACTCATAAGTGGGAATTGAACAATGAGAACACATGGACACAGGAAGGGGAACATCACACACCAGGGCCTGTTGTGGGATGGGGGGAGGGGGGAGGGATAGCATTAGGAGATATACCTAATGTTAAATGACGAGTTAATGGGTGCAGCACACCAATATGGCACATGTATATATATGTAACAAACCTGCACATTGTGCACATGTACCCTAAAACTTAAAGTATAATAAAAAAATTTTTTTTATAACCTTAAACCTTGAAAAAAAGAAAAGTTGAAAGAGCGAGTTATCATACCTTCTCAAGGGAAGAAAGAGCTGAGGCAATGATGCATGACCTAAAAATCATGTGTTGCAACATACAAAAACAATTGAACTTTTGAGATATAAATCTGAGTAGCTTTAAGATGAAAACTACCTCAAGAAACAAAATCATTATTTTGGGTAAAAAACATAGCATTTGTAACCTGAAATTAATGAAATTAAATGAAAACTGTAAACCAAAAGCCTCTTGTAATTTTTAATAAGAATGGATTATTATTTTAAGGAAACATTGCTGTTTTAACAGTGGGGGCAAATTTTTTAGTTTTGTATTAGTGTATTTTTAATATTAAAGCTCAATCTTTAGAAACACTTATACTTTTTTTCTAATGATAGCCAACTTGTTTACACAAATTCCTTCATTTAAGCCTTCATGAAGCTAGAACTTTGACAACATAGTTAAACGTTTTGCTTTGTCCTATACTTTTTATTTCTTAAATAACTAGTCATTGCACATTAGGTCAAAATTTACCACACAAGGTTATTTTTATATAAAAAAAATTTTCAAACTTTTTTTTATACCAAAAATACAACTTTAGACCTGTAACTATTTTTTACATTTCTCTCTCTCTCTTTACCTACTGGTTTCTTTTTTACTTTGTTTCTATTGCTCTTCCAAATTTACTTTTTGAAACAGCTTTAATAACCTTTGAATTTAAACAAAATTTATAAAAATAAGAAAACATTTTAGTATCATTTCTATACCTTTCAAATCAAAATATATCTATTGGGGTACACTTTATATATAGAATTATATATATTAGTGCTAGTTTTAACACTTGGTAATCTAGATTTTTAGGAAGCAGTTTGAAACTGTCACGTATAAGAATTTTATAGATGAGAATCATTTTATAATTCTCAGAAACATGTTTTCCAATAACGTAATTTTAAGATGTGCAATAACAGTCTCTTTTATTAACAGTCTCATTTAAATGTGCATTTATGGCCCCATTTACCCTTGGGACTCTATATGGTGTAGTCTATTGCTCCTAGGCTACGAACCTGTACAGCACATTACTGAACTGAATACTACAGATCATTGTAATAGACTTATAGGTACTTGTATATCAAAACACAAGTAAACATGGAAAAGGTACTATAAAAATATGATGTAAAATATTGAATATGGTACATCAGTATAGGGCACTTACATAAATGGAGTTTGTAGAACTTGAAGTTTCTCTGGATAAGTTAGTGAATGGTGAATTAATGTGAAGACCTAGAACATTACTGTACTCTACTGTGGTCTTTATTAACATTGTATATACATTAAATTTATAAAAATACATTTTTGTCAATAATAAATTAGTGTACTGTAACTTTTTACCATATAAATATCTTAATTTTTTAAACTTTTGATTCTTTTGTAATAACATTAGCTTAAAATACAAGCACATTTTATAGCTGTACCAAAATATATTTTTTAATATTTTTATTCTGTAAGCTTTTTTCTATAATTTTTTTTAACTTTTCAAACGTTTTTGTTAAAAACTAACACATGAACACATACACTAGCCTAAGCCTACACAGGGTCAGGATCATCAATATCACTGTCTTCCACCTTCATATCTTGTCTCACTGGTAAATTTTCATAGGCAATAGCATGCATGGAGCTGTCATCTCCCATGATAACTATGTCTTCTTATGGAATACCTCCCACTGTTGTTTTTTACAGTGAACTATATTTTAAAATATGTAGGAGTACAGTCTAAAATAAAGGTAAACATTATAGCATAGTAGATACATAAACCAGTAACATAGTCATTTATCATTATCAAGTATTATGTACTGTACACAATTGTATGTAGAATTTGATTAGTTTGGATATATGTATCTTCTCAAGACACCGTTACTGCAAAGTAATAAACACATCCATCATCTCTATAAGTTTTCTTGTGATCCAATGTGTTGTGTGTGTGTGTTATTGTGTTAAGAATACTTATGAGATCTACTTTTTTTTTTTTTTTTGAGGGACAGGGTCTCACTCTGTCACCCAGGCTGGAGAGTGGTGGCACAATAGTAGCTTACTGTAACTTCAAGCTACTGGGCTCAAGCAATCCTCCTGCTTCAGCCTCAGTAGCTGGGACTACAGGCACAGGCCACCATGCCCAGCTAACTTTTTTCATTTTTTGAAGAGACAAGGTCTTACTATGTGCTCCAGGCTATTCTAAAACCCCTGGCCTCAAGCTGTTTTCCTACCTCAGCCTGCAAAAAGTTCTGGTATTACAAGTGCAAGCCACCTCTCCTGGCCATTATTTTCTTAACAAATAAAAGCGCATAATACTATATTGTCAACTATGGGCACTATGTTGTATTCTTAATCATCTCGCATAACTGAAACTTTGTACCTACTGAACAACAACTTCCCGTTATTTCCCCTTCCCCAAACCTCTGGTAACCAACATTTTATTCTCTGCTTCTATGAGTTTGACTATTTCAGGTACTTCATATAAGTGGAATCGTGCAGTGTTTGCTCATCTGTGACTGACTTACTTCAAATAGCATAATGTCCTCCAACCTCATCCATGGTGTTGCAAATGGTAGGATTTCCCCTTTATTTTTAAGATTGGGTAATAGGTAATATTCCTGTGTGTGTGTGTGTGCGCGCATGTGTGTGTGTGTGTGCATGTGTATCACATTCTTCTTATTCATTCATCTATTAATGGGACATTTGGATTTTTTCTATATCTTGGCTATTGTGAATAAAGTTGCAATGAACATCGGGGTGCAGTTGTCTCTTTGAGATCCTGATTTCAATTTTTTTGGATAGTTGCCCATAAATGGGACTGATGGATCATATGGTAGTTTTATTTTTAATTTTCTGAAGAACCACTATACTGTTTTCCATAGTGGCTGCACCATTTTACATTCTCACCAATGCACAAGGGTTCCAATTCCTCCACATCATCACAAACAATTGTTATCTCTGTCCTTTTTGATAATAGTTATCCTCAAAAGTAAGTTATCTTTAAAAGTTATCCATAAAACTCATTGTGGTTTTCATTTGCATTTCTCCGATAATTGATTATGATGTATACCTTCTCACACAACTGGTGGCCATAGGTATGCCCTCTTTGAAGGGATATGTATTCAAATCCTTGCCCATTTTTAAATTGGATTATTTAGTTTTGGGGTGTTTTGCTTGTTTTTGCTATTTAGTTGTAGGAGTTTCTTATATATTTTGGATCTTAAGCCCTCATCAGGTAAATGGTTTACAACGATTTTCTCTCATTCCCTTGGTTGCTTTTTTACTCTGTTGATTGGATCCTTTACTTTGCTGAAGCTTTTTAGTTTGTTGTAGTCCCACTCACCTATTTGTATTGCCTGTGCTTTTGGTGTCATATCCAAGAAATCATTGCCAAGACCAGTGACAAGAAGCTTTTCTTCTACATTTTCCATATTCATTAATCCATTTTGAGTTGACTTTTTGTGTGTAATGTAAAATAGAGGTTCACTTCTATTATTTTGCCTGTGGATGTCCAGTTTTCTTAATACTAGTTGTTGAAGAGCATATCCTTACTCCATTTTGTATACTTGGAATCTTTGTCAAAGATCAGTTGATCATGTATGTGAGGGTTTATTTCTGAGCTCTCTATTCTGTTCCATTGGTTGTTATGTTTTCCTTTATGTTAGTACCATAATGTTTTGATTACTATAATTTCAATAATATATTTTGAAATGAGGAAGTGTAATGCCTCCAGCTTTGTTCTTTTTTCTCAATATCACATTGACTAATTTGGGTATTTTCTGGTTCCATATGAATTTTAAGATTGTTGTTTCTATTTCTATAAAAAATGCCTTTGAGATTTTAATGGGGATACCAATGAATCTGCATATTGATTTGGGCAATACAGATATTTTAACAAATTAATTGTTCTAGTCTATGAACACAGTATGTATTAAATACCTAGGAACAAACAGCCCAATAAGTGTAATATTTATAAACTGAAAGCTTTGAAACATTGAGAAAACAAATTAAAGACGCAAATAAATGTTCTTTTTTCCCTACAGTGTAGAGACTAGTTTTCTGGTCTATAGGTGGATAGGCTTCTATTATTCATGATCTTCTTAAAATTTCAGATTAAAATCATTAAAATTTTCAAATTCAAAGGGCAGGAAGAGATATTCTCTTTTCTACTACTTTTTGAACCACATCTTTTCCCCAAAGAATAGACAGTGCTACTTGGTGCATGAATAGAGGTGGAAAGAAAATCGGGGGAAGGAAAGAGAACATTGGGAAACATAAACCAAGTTAGTATTTCAATTACGATAACCTACCACTCTTGCAACAACCCACCACCCTCCCCAGGATACCATAAATTGAGAGAACTTTGCTTATTACCTTGGGGCTAGATGGATCTCTAAAGGAATTAGGGACTTGGTAATATCCACATAAATTGCTTCTCTGAGCCTAGCTGCATTTCTAATTGAAAGGAGGTCTTGATCTTTGTGTTTTTTATTTGATCTTATCTGGAGGCTTCCAGGAAGTTTCTAGAGGGTTTAGATTAAATTCAGGTTTTCTAGAGCTTCTCAAAGATATTATCAATCGTATCCTCTATTTACATACAAGTCAACTGGACATTTAGGTGTAACTAGAGTGCTTTACAGACCTGTGAGAACCTCATGGGAGAGGCCACGACTCAGGAAAAGCTTCCTGTTAAATACTGACTCTGCTCAAGTAACGGTCTTACTACCTTCCCTGTGAGCAGAATCTGCCCACTATGTTTTGATATCCTCAGCATCTAGCAGAGCTCCTGGAACATATTAAATCTCAATATATGTTTGTTGAATTGTTTTATAAATAAATTTAATTATTCATCTATTCTCTAAATCAAACCTTTACTCTCAGTGCAGCTATGCAGTCATTTTTAGAGAAGTTCTTTTTACAGCAATTCAGCTATGGAATCTTGGTGCTTTTGGATTTTATCGGCATAGTCAACCCAGTGTAAGTTCGCTGGTTCATGTGCTAGGATACCTCATGATTCCCACTGGGGAGCAAAGTGATTCCCAGAACATAGCATTGTGCTATTATTCTTACTCCCTTTACTTATTCTGAGAGCAGCTCAGAATCTAGGCATCAAAGTAAAGCCCCAAATTTCAAACACAAAAGTGACAAGAACTTTCATTTTCTTGACATTCTCCTGGGGGAACAGTGGCTGTTATTAGGGTGAATTTGACAGCATTGATTGATTGTCAATTTTATTTAGAGAGCACAATGGCCCCCACTTTCATTTTATTCTTACCAAGGACCCTTTACAATTTGACTGTATTTTACCCACTCTTCATTTCACCCACCCCCATGTATCCCTCCTTCCATCCTCCAAATAGTTGACAGATTTGGAAAGGGGATAGTTTAATCATATGCCAGTTTGAGTGGAAGTCAATTTTTATTTCATTTCTTCTGTGCTTCACTGCTGGCCAGGCTTTTTAAAAATTCTTTTCTGTTGCTCTGTAAATAATAGCCAATTCAGCTCTTTCTGACTTAAAAGAAAACCTATTCTTTGCAATGCCTTTGTTTTATTCCAAACCCTAGTGATGTTCTGACCCATACATTTTATTTGATTTAGGGCCTGTAGATTTCCAGTTAGACAAAGGCACCCTAGAACCCAGGTGAATCTCCAGAAGTCTTTGAACTCAATCCAAAGCAAGCACAAAAGCTCAGCTCTAGACAGTGCAGTACCTGTCCTTTAAAAGTTTAAGAAGATCCAAAGTTACGTTTATAGGAAGCACTGTTTTTCCCAGTCTTTTACTGGAAAAAATTAAATCTACAAGGTGAAAAAAAGAGTAAAATGAGTACTGTATAACCTTCACTTCACTTCACCATTTGTCAACATCTTGCATATTTGTTTGCTATCATGTTCGTTCTCTCTCACTGTGTAAGTTATCTATCTATCTATCATCTATCTATCTATCTATCTATCTATCTATCTAATCTATCTATCTTTTATCTATCTATATCTATCATCTTTCTGTCTATCAATCGTCTTTCTATCATCAATCAATCATCTATCATCTATCTATCCATCTGCTTGTCTATCTTGGTGAGCAATTTAAAAAGTAATTGCAAATGTGATACTTCACCTCAGGAAAACTTATACAAAACACTGTAGACATATAGGTTGGTTGTCAAGTACCTGACAAACTTATTTAAAGCAAACAGAAAAACATGTACGTATGGGTTAATGTAGCTGGAAAGTAAAATACTTCACAAAATCAAGTCTGTTAAAAGTGTTAAGTTTTCATTTAGTGAATCACTCATGTGTTTGTGTTTCTGTGTGTGTGTGTGTGTGTGCGTGTGTGCATGTGTAGACCAATAGTCTCTTTTTATTGATTTGGCACTATATGGAAATAGACAACACTTGCATGAGATATATACATGTATAAAAAAAGATTTGACAGGTGAACTTAAAGCACATATAAAAGTTAAAAAAGCGAAAGCACAAAAGAAATGTGTTTCTGGATTTTGAAATGCATCCCTTGCCAATTGCTTCTAAACCCAAGAGAATTGAGTTAAAGGTAAACTGGCACTTTGCCATGACATGAGGAAAACTAGGGCTCTGATGAAGTTTGACATGGCAGCACTTGCATCTCCTGAGGGACTTCCATATACTGCTTTTCCTTCCTGAGGTAATATGCACAAGGCTGCATTAAATTATATTTTCTGTCTCCATCCTCCATACTGAAGAAATGTAGTTAAACACATTGCAGCACAGAAGGGAGGAGAGTAGCAAAAGTCAGTTTGCTGACTAAGTGATGTGTGAGTAAGGGAAATCGAATATCATTATTAGAAAGGCTGCTACAGCTCCTTGGAAATGAATGAATATGTTTTCTTTCTGAGGATTTGCTGGTTGCACAGTTTCTTTTCCAATAATTAATGTGTGGCTAGAATTGTTTAATCCCCATAGCGGCCTGATATTCCTCACCTTTCTAAATCTGGAGCAATGACCCTAAGACTAAATGAGAGGCCAGTGAAATAAGGGAAAAGTAAATTAATACAGATCTACACTAGGAACATGAATTAGGAAACTACTCAAGAAAGGTCAAGTGCGTGTCTGACCTGATGTAGCTGATAGGCACCATCTCAGTGACAGCCTTCGCTTCCTTCTTCACCAACTGGGCTTTCTAGCCACTTCCTAGGGGAAATCTCTGGCTCACAAAGTAGACTTTGAAATGGATGACTAGGGATGTATTTGACAGAGATAAAGGAACACGCAGCAGTAGCCTGACACCTTAGACAGCTTCTTCCTCCAGGTTTGTCTGGAGGAGTTCCCCAGTCTGCAGTCTACATAATGGAATGCTTAGTTATTGCTCTCTCTCTCTCCCCTCTTCTCCTCTATCCTCTCGTTCCCTCTCCCTCTCATCACTCTCTTCCTCAGCCCTTGTATTGTTCATTTTAAAGTAAACTAAAAGGAAGGTCCAAATAGAAATGTTGTATATTAGTATCTCAAAAGCAAAACACACACAAGACACCATGTCCTTTTGTTTAAGCACAGTAAAGCCAGAAAGCACAGAACTTCATAGATGATAAATATTTATCATTTCAATTAGTAAAAAACATATCATTGTTATCTACCACAATCAATGTTATTATGTGTAGCCCCAACCTTGAATGAACTTAGAGCATATTTTGATATACATTTACACAGATACACAAAGTAGATATAGTACACAAAAAACGTGGCACAATAAATAATAACAACTAGATTACTTGCCTATGCCACTCTTCTTTGCACATCAACTAGTAATTTCCTAAAGGGCAGACATGGTGTGTTATTCACATTTATTCTTTGTATAATGTAGGTTTTATTAACCCCCTAATAAAGTGATATAGTTTGGATATTTGTCCCTTCCAAATTTCATGTTAAAATGTGTTGAAAGTAGGCCTAGTGGGAAGTGTTTGGGTCATGGGGGCAGATCCCTCATGAATGAGTTGGTGCTGTCCTGTAGTAATGAGTGACTTCTCATTCTATTAGTTTACAGGAGAACTGGGAGAGCTGGTTGTGGGAAAGAGCCTGGCACCCCCCCACACCGCGTCTCTATTTTGCTCCTCATCTTGCCATGCAACACACTGCTCCCCTTGCATTCTGCCATGAGTAAAAACTTCCTGAGGTCATCACCAGAAGCTAAGCAGATGCCAGGACTATGCTTTTTGTATAGCCTGAAGAACCATAAGCCAAATAAACCTCTTTTCTTTATAAATTACGAAGCCTCAGGTATTTCTTTAGAGCCATGCAAAACAGACTAATACACAAAGATTGTTTGTTTAAAAATAAATTATATTATAGGTATTGTATGAGTAGTATGAACTAAATAGTCTATTGAAATTCAAAGGAGGGGCCCGGCATGGTGGCTCATGCCTGTAATCCCAACACTTTAGGAGGCCGAGGTGGGCAGATCACATGAGGCCAGGAGTTCGAGACCAGCCTGACCAACATGGTGAAACCCCGTCTCTACTAAAAATACAAAAATTAGCCGGGCGTGATGGTGCACATCTGTGATCTCAGCTATTCAGGAAGCTGAGGCAGGAGAATTGCTTGAACCCAGGAGGTGGAGGTTGCTGTGAGCACTGCACTCCAGCCTGGGCGACAGAGCGAGACTCTGTCTCAAAAAAAAAAAAAAGAAATTCAGAGGAGGAAGACAATATTACAGACCTTAAACAGGAAATAAAAAGAGCAAGAAAACTTGAAAGTTGCTCCATAGAAAGGTCTCTCCTAGGCAAAAGTCCAAACAGATTGGAGTGAATGGTTTGGAAGTTTCATAAGATAGATGTTTTCATAGTAAATTAAATGTTTGGTTTTGTTTGTTTAATGTCACCTAAGAGAACTTCTTGAGAGGGAGAGAAACATGTTAGAACCGTTTTCTAGGAGCAAGAGAAAAAGGAGTCTAAAATAATGCAGAGACTTCAGGCTTTGACAACTAGGAAGTATGATGACATTAAGCCCTACAGGAGAATATAGTTAGAGCAAGCTGGTAAAGAATACAAATTTGGGTTGATTCATACTGAACTCTTCACTAGAAAATAAAGGATTCAGGACTGTTTGACATAGAAGTCAATGCTGGAATATAGTTCTTAGAAACAGTTATATAGAGTTGATGGTCTATGTGTATTACATCATCATAGTAGGCTCTTTTCTCCCTTCTCTCCTTCACTCTATTCACCTCTAATGGTCTCCATTAGTACCATGTTGGCTTTGGGACTGCACAAATCACAAGACAAATTAGTTTCTTCTGCAGATCCACCTGCTTATTCTGAAATGTGCAGCTGGATATTAAAATAAATGAACATTCACAGCTTCTTTTGTAGTCCTGTCACACCCATATATTTTATTACTTTAGTGCAAATATCACTGGGTAAGCTTTTCAGAACAAGTGCTTTCACTATTAAGAACATCTGTCTTGTGACCTTGTCATTTTTACTGATTCAACTTTAAACCTCATTGTTTTGGCCACCCTGCTTTGCCAGTTTAATATTTGGTGTTATGAATATTTTCTTGCTTAATTATAAACAGAAGATTTTTTGCTCCTCTTATTGTTGTCTATTTAAAGAGAGGCAAGTGAATAAAAATATTTGGTGAAATATATTACTAAGAGGATATTAAACACTGGCATAACACTGAGACATAAGAGGAAATTCTAGACCCTACCTTGTAGGTTTTAGTATTAAGAAATTGGTCTCTCTGAAGGCGCTAAAGCCTTTTGATATACCCAACTATATGACGCTTTCTACTTATTCCTTATTTGTATCTAAATGAACACATATAACAGAAGAGTGTTGAAGGAAACTCTGCTATGCAGAAAACTTCAGGAAACTATCACAGCTATCATGGCGGTGGCAGTATTTCTTTTCTGCAATGTGTAGCTGGTCATATTAGATTCTTGAGAAGAGGAGCAGATATACTGTTGCATTTTAGCAAAACACAATTTCTCTATCTCAGGCTGCCAATGTTCATAGTACCATAGCTGGACTATTAAAGTGACTCACTTAAAATGTATTATTTAAAGGCTAAGAGGGTTAAATATATGTAGGGTGAATTGGAAAAGTGTTTCCTGCATTTGTGGTTTTTTTTTTTTTTTTTTAGAGGTTGAATAAAATTTGTAATGACGGAGATGTTCTTTGAAAATCTGAAACTATTTTTCTCTACTTAGGTCAAGTTAAAACTTAATAATCCAAAGGACACAGAAAGTTTTATAGTAAAAGCTTGATAAACAAAAGAATGAGAAAATCATTTGTTATTATCAAAAAATAACCTGGACTTTAATTTTTTTTCATAGACTGAGGTTATTATGTTCCCTGAGGACTTACCTTTTTCACTGTTTCATCTCAGCTCCATGGTTTCCTATTCATGTTAAATGGAGAAACACTATAGCTCTTTTTTTCTTTTTGCAAAGGCTACTTATTCTTTAATAAGGATACGGTAGTGGTTTCTTTGTGAAGCTAATTGACTTTCTGGCTGTGCACATAGAACCTTAAAGCTAAAGTAATAATTTTAGATAAATAATGGAAGTTCCTTAACTTTATCAAAGTATACTTTCAAAAGACATTGGTTATTTCATCTGATATAGGACTAGTAAAGAAAATTCTTTACCTATTAAAATATCATAGAGCAAACATTATTTGTAAATCTGTTGTTTAAAACTCTAAACACACTTCCTGCAAATAATACAAACATAAGTAAAAGCATACCTCATTGTATTGCACTTCCCTTTATTGTGCTTCACTGATTTTGAATTTGTTACAAATTGAAGGTTTGTGGTAACCTTGAATCAAGCAAGTCTCTTGGCACCATTTTTCTAACATCATGTGCTCACTTCATGTCTCTGTGTCACATTTTGACAATTCCCATAATATTTAAAACTTTTTTCATTATGATTATATCTGTTATGGTGATCTGTGATCAGTGATCTGTGATGTCACTATTGTACTGGTTTGGGGCACCACAAACCACTCCCATATGCCATGAGGACCTTAATTGATAAATGTATTGTATTGGTTTGGGGCACCACAAACCACACCTATATGACATGAGGAACTTAATTGATAAATGTGAGTGTTCTGAGTGCTCTGCTGATCCACTGTCTGTCCACCTCTCTTCCTTTCCTTGGACCTCCTTATTCATTGAGACACAATAATATTGAAATAAGACTAATTAATATCTCTACCATGGCTTCCAAGTATTTGAGTGAAAGGAAGAGTTGCACTTCTTTCATTTTCATTCAGAATGCTAGAAATGATGAAGCTTGCTGAGGAAAGCATGTTGAATGTTAGGCCAAAAGCTAGCCCTCTTGCAACAAACAGTTACCCAAGTTGTGAATGCAAAGAAATATTTCTTAAAGAAAATTAAAAGCGCTACTCCAGTGAACACATGAATGATAAGACAGGGTAACGGCCTTATTGCTAATACCGAGAAAGTCTGAGTGGTCTGGATAGGTGATCATACCAGCCACAGCACTCCCTTCAGCCAAATCCTAATCCAGAACAAGGCTCTTTTCAATTCTACGAAGGCTTAGAGAGGTGATGAAACTGCCAAAGAGAAGCTAGGAGAGTTTGTTGGTTTATGAGGTTTAGGAAAGAATCCATCTCCATAATAAAAAAGTACCAGGTGAAGCAGCAAATGCAAATGTGCAAGCTGCGGCAAGTTACCTAGAAGATCAAGCTAATATAATTGATGAAGGTGGCTACAGTAAACAGATTTTCAATGTGGATGAAACACCCTTATATTGGAAGAAGATGCCATCTAGGACTCATAACTAGAAAGGAGAAGTCAATGCCTGGCTTCGAAGAACAGGCTGACTCTTTTGTTAGAGGCTGAAGTATCAGGTGACTTTAAGTTGAAGCTAATGTTTATTTACGATTCAGAAATTCTAGAAGCCTTAAAAATGTCACAATATTTACTCTGCCTATGTTCTAAAATGATCCATCAAAGCCTAGATAACAGCACATCTGTTTAGAGCAAGTTTTACTATTTTATGCCTTCTGTTGAGACCTACTGCTCAGATAAAAAGATTCTTTTCAAAATATTACTGCTCATTGACAATGCACCCAAGAACTCTGATAGAGACGGACAGGAAGATGAATGTTGTTTGTATACCTGCTAACAGAACGTCCATTTTGTAGCACATGAATTAATGAGTAATTTTGACTATCAAATTCAGTTATTCAGAATTGCATTTTGCAAGGATACAGCTGCCGTAGATAGTGAGTCCTCTGATGGATCTGGGCAAAGTAAATTAAAAGCCTTCTGAAAAGAAATCACCGTTCTAAATGCCATTAAGAACATTAATGATTCATGGGAGAAGGTCAAGATATCAACATTAACTGGAGTTCGGAAGAAGTCGGTTTCATCCCTTATACATGACTTTAAAAGTTTCAAGATTTCACTAGGGGATATCACAGCAGATGGATAGAAATAGCAAGATAACTAAAATTAGAAGTGGTACCTGAAGATGTAACTGAATTGCCCCAATCTCATGATATAACTTCAACAGTTTAAGAGTTTCTTCTTATGGGTGAGCAAATAAATTAATTTCTTGAGATGAAATTTATTCCTGGTGAAGATGCTGTGAACATTGCTGAAATGACAACAAACGATTTAGAAGTTAGTTTATAAAGCAGCAGCAGGGTTTGAGAGGATTAACTCCAATTTTAAAAGAAGTTCTACGGTGAATAAAATGCTGCCAAACAGCATTGTATGCTATAGATAAATCTTTGGCTATAAATGAAAGAGTCAATTGATGTGGCAAGCATCATTGTACTGTCTTAAGAAATTGCCACAGTCAATGCAGCCTTCAGCAACCACTACCCTGTTCAGTCAGCAGCCATCAACATTAAGACAAGATTTTCAATCAGAAAGATTATGACTTGCTAAAGGTTTGGATGATTTAAAGCATTTTTAGCAATAAAATATTTCTAATTAAGGTATGTACTTTTTTTAGAGATAATGCTATTGCATGCTTAAGAGGCTATGGTACAGGGTAAACATAGCTTTTTTATGCACCAGGAAACCAAAAAGTTTGTGTAACTAACTTTATAGCAATCTTAACTTTACTGCTGTGATCTAAAGCCAACCCACCAAATCACCGAGGTACACCTGTATGTCTTAGGGGCACATTAGCATATGAAGGGACCCCATATGAAACTGAAAATAGATTAGTAATATTCATCATAGTTTTGGATCCTGGAAAGAAGAAGACCCATGGTCCAGGAAACAGTAATTATATGTGGTGGGTACAATTAGTGCAACGAAGCATAGAAATGTTAACTTGTCCAACATCACAAAACTAGTAAGGTTTTTAGTGTATAAAGGAAGAAGGAGGAATAATGTGGTTGGTTGAGTAAAGGAGCATAAGTTACAAAGGAAAATATGGGTTTTATATGAAACTGGAAAATAAAGAGTCTGAAATCTAGAAGTTGCTTTGGACAAGTGAAGAATGTTAATACACTATATTGGGAGCAAGAATGTCTTTTTATTTCTTTCTTTTCTTTTTTTCTTTGTTTGAGATATAGTTTCGCTCTTGTTGCCCAGGCTGGAGTGCAATGGCATGAACTCAGCTCACCACAACTTCTGCCTCCCGAGTTCAAGTGATTCTCTTGCCTCAGTCTCCTAAGTAGCTGGGATTACAGGCATGCAGGCGTGTGCCACCATGCCCAATTAATTTTGTATTTTTAATAGAGACGGGGTTTCTCCATGTTGGTCAGGCTGGTCTTGAACTCCCGACCTCAGGTGATACACCTGCCTCAGCCCTCAAAGTGCTGGGATTACAGGAGTGAGCCACCATGCTCGGCCTCAAGAATGTCTTTTTCATCTACCTTAGAAATTAGACTTAACAACAAGTTAAACTGTAAATGTTTAATAAATCAAATAAATCATCAAAAGAAAAATAGTCACTACTGATGAGAACATTTAACACAAATGCCCTGTGGGTTTTAAGGGCAACAGCTACACACTCCAACAGGAAAAAATAAAAATAAAAAGCACAATGTAATTGGGACAAATATTCATTCAATGGATATGTTACAAAAATGCTTTGCTGAATTATAACTCTACAAAAATCCATTGCTTAATGGCAATGTTAGTAAAGGTAACTCTTTAGACATCCTAGATAACTTTTTGAAGAAGATTCACTTGAACACAAAAATCCTAATTTGTTTACAACAAATTCACTGATTTTATGTATATAGACCTTATACTTTTTCGTAATGTTGAATAATTTCAGTGCCATTTAATATATTTTAGACTGTTATTGAAGGAATTTTGTATTTCTTGTGCAAACTACAGCTAAATGTGAGAAGGAAAAAAGCCGCAGAACCAATTAAAAGACACAGACTGGCAAATTGGATAAAGAGTCAAGACCCATCAGTGTGCTGTATTCAGGAAACCCATCTCACGTGCAGAGACACACATAGGCTCAAAATAAAAGGATGGAGGAAGATCTACCAAGCAAATGGAAAACAAAAAAAGGCAGGGGTTGCAATCCTAGTCTCTGATAAAACAGACTTCAAACCAACAAAGATCAAAAGAGACAAAGAAGGCCATTAAATAATGGTAAAGGGATCAATTCAACAAGAAGAGCTAACTGTCCTAAATATATATGCACCCAATACAAGAGCATCCAGATTCATAAAGCAAGTCCTTAGAGACCTAGAAAGAAACTTAGACTCCCATACAATAATAGTGGGAGACTATAACACCCCACTGTCAACATTAGACAGATCAACGAGACAGAAAGTTAACAAGGATACCCAGGAATTGAACTCAGCTCTGTACCAAGCGGACCTAATAGACATCTACAGAACTCTCCACCCCAAATCAACAGAATATACATTCTTTTCAGCACCACACCACACCTATTCCAAAATTGACCACATAGTTGGAAGTAAAGCACTCCTCAGCAAATGTAAAAGATCAGAAATTATAACAAACTGTCTGTCAGACCACAGTGCAATCAAACTAGAACTCAGGATTAAGAAACTCACTCAAAACCACTCAACTACACGGAAACTGAACAACCTGCTCCTGAATGACTACTGGGTACATAATGAAATGAAGGCAGAAATAAAGATGTTCTTTGAAACCAACGAGAACAAAGAACAACATACCAGAATCTCTGGGACACATTGAAAGCAGTGTGTAGAGGGAAATTTATAGCACTAAATGCCCACAAGAGAAAGCAGGAAAGACCCAAAATTGACACCCTAACATCACAATTAAAAGAACTAGAAAAGCAAGAGCAAACCCATTCAAAAGCTGGCAAAGGCAAGAAATAACTAAAATCAGAGCAGAACTGAAGGAAATAGAGACACAAAAAACCCTTCAAAAAATTAATGAATCCAGGAGCTGGTTTTTTGAAAGGATCAACAAAATTGATAGACCGCTAGTAAGACTAATAAAGAAGAAAAGAGAGAAGAATCAAATAGATGCAATAAAAAATGACAAACGGGATATCACCACCGATCCCACAGAAATACAAACTACCATCAGAGAATACTACAAACACGTCTACCCAAATAAACTAGAAAATCTAGAACAAATGGATAAATTCCTGGACACATACACTCTCCCAAGACTAAACCAGGAAGAAGTTGACTCTCTGAATAGACCAATAACAGGTTCTGAAATTGTGGCAATAATCAATAGCTTACCAACCAAAAACAGTCCAGGACCAGATGGATTCACAGCTGAATTCTACCAGAGGTACAAGGAGGAACTGGTACAATTCCTTCTGAAACTATTCCAATCAATAGAAAAAGAAGGAATCCTCCCTAACTCATTTTATGAGGCCAGCATCATCCAGATACCAAAGTCAGGCAGAGTCACAACCAAAAAAGAGAATTTTAGACCAGTATCCTTGATGAACATCAATGGAAAAATCCTCTATAAAATACTGGCAAACCAAATCCAGCAGCACATCAAAAAGCTTATCCACCATGATCAAGTGGGCTTCATCCCTGGGATGCAAGGCTGGTTCAATACACGCAAATCAATAAATGTAATCCAGCATATAAACAGAACCAAAGACAAAAACCACATGATTATCTCAATAGATGCAGAAAAGGCCTTTGACAAAAATTCAACAACGCTTCATGCTAAAAACTCTCAATAAATTAGGTATTGATGAGACGTATCTCAAAATAATAAGAGCTATCTATGACAAACCCACAGCCAATATCATACTGAATGGGCAAAAACTGGAAGCATTCCCTTTGAAAACTGGCACCACATGGGGATGCCCTCTCTCACCACTCCTATTCAACATAATGTTGGAAGTTCTGGCCAGGGCAATTAGGCAGGAGAAGGAAATAAAGGGCATTCAATTAAATTAGGAAAAGAGGAAGTCAAATTGTCCCTGTTTGCAGATGACATGATTGTATATCTAGAAAACTCCCTTGTCTCAGCCCAAAATCTCCTTAAGCTGATAGGCAACTTCAGCAAAGTCTCAGGATACAAAATCAATGTACAAAAATCACAAACATTCTTATACACCAATAACAGACAAACAGAGAGCCAAATCATGAGTGAACTCCCATTCACAATTGCTTCAAAGAGAATAAAATACCTAGGAATCCAACTTACAAGGGACGTGAAGGACCTCTTCAAGGAGAACTAGAAACCACTGCTCAATGAAATAAAAGAGGATACATACAAATGGAAGAACATTCCATGCTCATGGGTAGGAAGAATCAATATCATGAAAATGGCCATACTGCCCAAGGTAATTTATAGATTTAATGCCATCCCCATCAAGCTACCAATGACTTTCTTCACAGAATTGGAAAAAACTACTTTAAAGTTCATATGGAACCAAAAAAGAGGCTGCATCGCCAAGTCAATCCTGAGCTAAAAGAACAAAGCTGGAGTCATCACGCTACCTGACTTCAAACTATACTACAAGGCTACAGTAACCAAAACAGCATGGTACTGGTACCAAAACAGAGATATAGATCAATGGAACAGAACAGAACCCTCAGAAATAATGCTGCATACCTACAACTATCTGATCTTTGACAAACCTGAGAAAAACAAGCAATGGGGAAAGGATTCCCTATTTAATAAATGGTGCTGGGAAAACTGGCTAGCCATATGTAGAAAGCTGAAACTGGATCCCTTCCTTACACCTTATACAAAAATTAATTCAAGATGGATTAAAGACTTAAACATTAGACCTAAAACCATAAAAACCCTAGAGGAAAACCTAGGCATTACCATTCAGGACATAGGCATGGGCAAGGACTTCATGTCTAAAACACCAAAAGCAATGGCAACAAAAGCCAAAATTGACAAATGGGATCTAATTAAACTAAAGAGCTTCTGCACAGCAAAAGAAAACTACCATCAGAGTGAACAGGCAACCTACAAAATGGGAGAAAATTTTTGCAACCTACTCATCTGACAAAGGGCTAATATCCAGAATCTACAATGAACTCAAGCAAATTTACCAGAAAAAAACAAACAACCCCATCAAAAAGTGGGCAAAGGACATGAACAGATACTTCTCAAAAGAAGACACTTATGCAGCCGAAAAACACATGAAAAAATGCTCACCATCACTGGCCATCAGAGAAATGCAAATCAAAACCACAATAAGATACCATCGCACACCAGTTAGAATGGCAATCATTAAAAAGTCAGGAAACAACAAGTGCTGGAGAGGATGTGGAGAAATAGGAACACTTTTACACTGTTGGTGGGACTGTAAACTAGTTCAACCACCTGGAAGTCAGTGTGGCGATTCCTCAGGGATCTAGAACTGGAAATACCATTTGACCCAGCCATCCCATTACTGGCTATATACCCAAAGGACTATAAATCATGCTGCTATAAAGACACATGCACACGTATGTTTATTGTGGCACTATTCACAATAGCAAAGACTTGGAACCAACCCAAATGT
The DNA here is from genome assembly GCF_000001405.40 of Homo sapiens. NCBI lineage: Eukaryota > Metazoa > Chordata > Mammalia > Primates > Hominidae > Homo > Homo sapiens. The sequence continues at coordinate 51,737,533 of NC_000005.10, read as the reverse complement.
CCACCAATGATAGACTGGATTAAGAAAATGTGGCACATATACACATGGAATACTACGCAGCCATAAAAAATGATGAGTTCATGTCCTTTGCAGGGACATGGATGCAATTGGAAATCATCATTCTCAGTAAACTCTCACAAGAATAAAAAACCAAACTCTGCATATTCTCACTCATAAGTGGGAATTGAACAATGAGAATACAGGAAGGGGAACATCACACTCTGGGGACTGTTTTGGGGTGGAGAGAGGGGGGAGGTACAGCTTTAGGAGATATACCTAATGCTAAATGACGAGTTAATGGGTGCAGCACACCAGCATGGCACACGTATACATATGTGACTAACCTGCACATTGTGCACATGTACCCTAAAACTTAAAGTATAATAATAATAAAAAATAAATAAATAAAAATAAAAGAGACATGAAACATTAAGAAAAAAAAAGCCACAGAAAATGGCTTTACCGAACATAGATGCTGTGTGGGTAGAGAAATTATCATGCCTAGTGATTGAAACTTACATATAACTTACATAGAGTTAATTTTTGTTTCCTATGTGTGCCAGCTATGAATACAAGTTACGAAAGTTTTTGTAATTTTCTGTGTAAAAATTTTAAGAAACATGATTTATTTATATTTGCTGACATTTTTTGTTAGCTTTTGAAGTTGTTCTAGCTGAAATTACACCAGGTAGCTTTGGCTTTTACAAAATATGCTTGGGTACCACTATTACATATTTTTTCCTGTATATAAACCTCAGTTGTGTGCTTGGCAGTGACAATTCAATCCACATAGTTCTCGATCTTCATAGTTCCGTGTTCAAAGTTTTAAGGAGATAATACTTTTTTATTGTTAACATCCAACATGTAAAATGGCATTAATAGGGGACCTATACACTCAGAGACTTTCCTGTACCGTGGTCCTGGTATATAAATGACAACATATAGGCTTTGTATCTGTGCATTTGCCAATATGTCTTTCTATCGCTTATTCCAAGCCCTTACTGCACAGGAGGAAACATCCAAGTATTCTCAAGTGTTACATTTATCTCCTACTGAGAAAATACTATATTACACTCCTTGTGATGAGAGTGGTTAATCAAGAAATAAAGTGAGGTTTCTATATAAATAAAATGCAGTGCAGGGAATAGAAGCAAATAAAGACACTGGGTTTTTAACGATTTTCTAGAAAAGAACTATATCCATATTCTTCTGAAAATAGTACTCCAATACAATTATTGAATCATTACCTTCTTCTTCAAGGATTTAAAAAATTACTTTCCTTAAATATATTTGTGGTAGGCATAATTTTTAAAATGCCCCCACTTCTACCCCCACCCCAAAAGACGTGCCACCCTAATCCCTGGAACTGGTGAGTTTGATGAGGTATTGTTATGCTATTTGGCCTAGTTGAACTTAAGATAGGAAGATTCTCTGTGCAGGCTTGACCTAATCACTAGGCCCATAAAAACAGAAGAGGAAGGCAGGAAAGAAAGACTTTAAGCGTGAGAAGGACTCAATATGCTGTTGCTGGCCAAATGGCAAGAAATGTGAGCATCCTCCTAGGGAAAAGAATGGCCTTCCCAAACAGCAGTAAAGGAAACCATGACCTAGGACTTAAAAATCACAAGGAACTGGATTTTTCCAAAAAACTTAATAAGCCTGGAAGTGAGTTCTTTTCCACAGCCTCCAGATATGAGCCTGGCCTGGCCAACACCTTGATTTCTGTGATATCCTTAAAGAAATCCAGCCACTTGTACCTAGACTTGTAACCTACAGAACTGTGGCCTAATAAATGGAGGTTTTTTTAAGCTGCAAAATTTGTGGTAACAGCTATCATGTGATATGGTTGTCTGTGTCCCCACCCAAATCTTAAACTGTAGCTCTCATAATTCCCATGTGTTGTGGAAGGGATCTAGTGGGAGGTAATTGAATAATGAGGGTTGGTCTTTCCCATGCTGTTCTTGTGTTAGTGAATAAGTCTCATGAGATCTGACAGTTTTATAAAGGGGTGTTCTCCTGCACATCCTTTCTCTCTTGCCTGCCTCCACGTAGAATGTGACTTTGCTCCTCCTTTGCCTTCCACCATGATTGTGAGGCCTCCCCAGTCATGTGAAACTATGAGTGCATTAAACCTCTTTTTCTTTGTAAATTACCCAGTCTTTGGTGTGTCTATATTAGCAGTGTCAGAATGGACTTATACAGTCTTTATGCAGCAACAGAAAACTAACACAGTATCACTGCTTTTATTCAGTTTTTGGAGAGTAAAGTGGTTTATTCAATCATTGAGACCCTCAACAAGTCTTTAAACATAACGGTTGCACTTTGAAACAAAATTATCATAACTTTAAAAAAAATCCAGGTTGATTGAACTACACTTGATGAATGCATCTTCGAATGTCCTCTGAAACTTCACACCAATGAAGTACTTAAAATATTGTCTTAGGATGGAGTAAAGTTAATGAAAATGACAAACTGAGTTCTTCCTATCTTAAAAATAGTGATTCATATTTATATCATCACACATCTTTTTCTTCTTACTAATATTTATTTTGTGATTATTTACAGAAGTAATCTGATAATCACAAAATAACAAACATTACTTAGGAGCTTACAAATGTAATTCCAATTCCTGGGCACCTAGAAGGCTACATTTTCCTGCGGCCAGGTTGGGGGCCACATGACTAAGTTCTTGGCAATATATTATGCATAGGAATGATGTAACTCATACCCATATGCGGCCTTGGAAATATATCTAGTTCAAACCTCTGATACGTTTTCTTCTTCTGTGGTGACATCTGTGGTGACCATGTTTTTAAGATGGTAGCAATACAAACTAAGGAAGTTTGGATGCCTGAATTATTTCATCCAGGAATGAAACTCCTCAGACCCACACCAGAAGTAAGCCTTTAATTAATCTCCTGGACTGGAAGGTATAGGTATATATCTACAAATCTCCTGAATTGGAAGGTATAGGTATATGCCTATATATGTATAGAGACTAGAAATGACGTATTTCCCTTTGTATTTCCTTTTAAAACTATCATGTGGCTACAATATAGTCTCACAAATTATCAGTAGGTAAATTTCATAAGTACCAAGAAGATTGAGACCTCATCTTGTCATCTTACTAGACCTAGTTTTATCGAAGGGTCTGGCTTAAAGCCCATAAATAATTAGTCAATAAATTATTATGACTTTATTAATGAAGTCATATTTTGACTTTGATTAATAAAGTGAATAAATAATTATCTAGTGAATGAATGAATGAATGCCTTGTTCATCTAGCTATAACCTACTCTTACAATAAGGAAGATCATCTATTCTATTTAACATCTTATTGGGATTACCTCTGGCCCACATGTCTTGTCAAACAGCCTAGGCTTATTACAAATGTAAATAGCTGACTGGAGCTTACTACCCACATTCCTCAAGCCCTTTATTCCAGAAGATGAAGTTAAATTCCTATTAGAGATCAAAAGTACTTTTATGTCCTCCAATAACAAGCCAGGCTTGATGCAGCAAAACTAGACACTCAGAAAAAGCCTCCCATTGTAATTGACACCCAATACAGCCTGTGGTCAATATCTGGCACTCTGGTGTGCAACTGACTACAGGTACTTGACTTGGGAAAAAGAAGGAAGGAGAAATAGCCTAAAAACGTTAACTTGGGACAAAATATCTAATGGATTTGCAGTATACACAAAGAAGCACAGACCCCAATTACCAATTTATTACCTAGTCTCAAATAGGTACCTGAGGAGGACAGATAGAGACAACAGGTAATTGCTGTGTCCAGGAGGACAAGTTCAGGTAAGAGAAGAAAAAGTTGTTGAAAACCAGAAACAAATATTAATCAATACAAACCTGAAAACCAAAAGAAAAAAATAATGTAAGCAAACAGTCCAACAAATGGGTTAATTTACTCCCAGGAAATGCCAATAGTAGGGCTTTGTTAAATAGCGCAGCATTTTTGTATAAAGTAAAATCTGAAATTACCTAAATATCAACAGGTTTATGGATAAGTAAAATGTGTCGAGTTCAGAAATACTATGTTAGAATGACCTTGTTCAATTTCATTGTTTAAACATAAAAAGAGTTTAAAACAATAAAACATAGTATGACATCCAGATATAGCATAACACATATGGCAATCGAAACATTCCCTGTGTTACTTATGAGTTCTTTTCTGTGGAACTTTTGTTTTGAATTGTTACAAGCCAAATTCAAGATCACAGCTACCTGCTGGCACAGAAGAATGATTAAGCTTCCGAATGATAAAAGGAGTTTAAGTATGTGATGGTTTGTTTATTTCTCATATGAAAGGAAAGATCTAAAGCAAATATGACAAAAGTTAACATTTATTTATTATGGTTATTTGGGAGATGGCTATTTTCATGTAATAAATTTTTCTCATATTAAAAGAGTAATAACACTTGCAGTAATCTGTGCTGCTGTTTTTGTTCAGTAAAATGTACTTAACGTGAACTGTGTCAAAAAATTTATTTCCTTCAGAATTTTGAAAAATTAATTCCCAATTTTTAATACCTAGAAGGATGAGGTAATTCATATTTAATGATTATTATCAAAATAGTGCCAGTTTCCAATCAAATGTTTAGACAGTGGAGCCTGAATAAATATAGGGGCAGGAAGAAAATATGGACCTCTTAACAGTAGCATGTGGGACATGTAATTTTCTTCCTATGTCCTAGGACAAGATTCTGGAGAAATATGATTTTCCTTAAGGAATGTATCATTATAAAGTACATTTCTAATAGTAATTATTTGAAGCAGCAAACACACTGACCACCTTTATGTTATTGACATGAAATCAACAATATGCAACGATACTCTACTAATTAACTCAAGTTGAGCTAATTGGGAGGGATACAGAAAGGTTTTTCACTCTTCGCCAATCAGGAAGCAGCCGGGCCTACTGTACAGGGAGATTCACACTCTGTCAGATTTGTAGGTTCCTGAGACAGGATACAAACCTTATGTCCTTGGACAATGCCAAGCTCTTCATCTTATCTTTGCTTTCACTGACACAGGAATGTTGTCTTTGTCCCAACTGCTATCTCACTAATTATGAATGAAATTTAGTACAAAATGGTTGAGGAATTCTGATTTATTAGATTCTAAAAGAATCCAATACTCTGTCATAATAGTGAACAGGAAAGAAATTAATTCTTTGATGAATAGAATTGCTATTTCACTGCTTTGTTTCTCTTTAAAGTATAATCTAAATGGAGTAATTATCATTGGACGTCAAGAAACTAAAGTGGCCCAAATTATTTTTCTTGTTCAATTCAGTAATTGTACTTGCATTAATAACAGTATTTGTCTATAGAGCTCCAGACATTTCAGTTTGTTAGGAATTGTTTAAGCCAAATCAAATATTATTAATGCATGCACCAAAACAAAGGGGTAAAAGAGGTTTCAAATAAGAGAATTAGAGGGAAAAAAGTAAAGGAGAAAAAAAGCTTATACAGATTATGTCTTTGGGTGAAAATGTTACATACGTGATGAATTTAATTTTTTTGTTTTTAACACTGTCTTAGCTTCATCTTCACTCTGAAAAAATAACCTACATGAATTTTTCACTAATACTTAATGCTACATGATTTTAGACATAATTACTTCCAAACCCTGAAAGCAGAATGTTTCTTATATCAGCTAATGCATGTGAGTGTGACTCATAATGTTTGGCAGTTTCTTGGCTGATCTGCATAATGAAAAAAAATAATGTAATACTTTGAATTCTGAATTGTGTCCTTTCTCTTGTGCTGGGAAATTCTTTGCAACACCCTTTTATTACTTCACTGATCATACAAATTTCAAGGTGTATGTTTACAAACATTTTGTTGTGTTTCTCATGTTATTAGCATTCTGAAGCTTTCTCTTTCCAGGTTACTATGGCAACGAGGGTACAGCACATTCATTAAAAAGAAGTTCTGTTTAATTGATCTACTAATGTATTGCTTAATAGTAACTGTTAAGCAGCCTTTTGTTTCCAGGTCATATTTAGGGTCCACCTATTTGCATAAAAACATTTCATTAGCTGAAACCAATTATTAATAGTAATTTTCTTTCTTTAGTTTTAAATAACTAAACCCTCATTGAGGTTTTCTGAATAGCAAATATTTATAGCCTTCAGAGTACACTTGCTGTATGAGATCGGCATGCTTTGTCTCTGAGAGCAGCAAGAAAATTATAGCTCTTGAAATGTTTGATAAAAGAAGGCAAAAATAAGGTATCTCTTCATTAAAATTGAAAGTTAGATATTCAGGAAAGCTAACTCTAGGCCATATCATGTATTTGATACTGTTATCTGTTACTTTCAAACTAAAACACACAAGCTATCAATACAAAATTTATATCAGAGCCTTTTAATAGTACTCAAGGCAAATCCTGACACTGCATCTATATTTAAAAATCTGTGAACACATTTTAGAATTAATGCTTGTAAGTTGAAAGATTTTTAAGCAAAAGGAAAGTGTTGTTTCATTTAGGTTTAAATAATAAATTACCTGAAAATGCTAACCAGAATACTTGTAATTGATGCTTCTGTTTGAGTAAAGTAATGTTAATATGTGCCTGTGCATGGCCACATGTATGTGTATACATTTTTGAGGGATAGTGAGTGATTTTAATATATAGCTATATAGAGATATATATAATATTCCCACATCAAATGTTAATTCTAATCACTTTAATAAATACACTCATATTCAATTACGTATATTATTGTTATACTATTTAAAAATTGGATTCTAAAAAATTAAATAAGATACATAATTTGAATGCCAAATATGCAAATTGTTGACTGAATTTCTTCTTTAATATATCAATTCAATTTATTTATATATACTTTTTTGTATTTTCATAAATATTAATAAATATTAATATTAAGTCCTTTATACTTTACCCTTGACTCGCTCTTGTCTTGCCAATCTCTTGAATTCTTATATTCAAGGAATTATTTTAAAATGAGATCATATGCTTGTAAATATAGTATTAATATAGTTTACTAAAGGCAGTCACATCATCTTACCAAACTCCCAGAAAATGTAATTAACACATTCTCTCCTTCTCTATTTCTCTCTCTCCCTGCATCCTTGACCTCTATGTGTCTTTGCAGAAACATTAATAGCATGAACATTAAGCTATGATTAAAAAGCTAGACAGCACAACAATGCTGCTTGACAAGATATTTTTACAATTCTTTTTGATGTCATTCAGTTAAGAATGGATATCCTTTGAACTCTTGCAAATTAAGTGGATTTTCAGTGAATGTATTCTCTATGGAAGTTCTCTTAGCTGTCTGATAGATGTTTCTATTTTATAGGATGAAGCATTAGTTTCAGTTTACACTACTAGCACCTATAATTTTGCTAAGTGATCATCATATACATATTGCAAAGTCTTCAAAACTAGTTTAAAAAGTGAATGGAAAATATCTCTGAAATGGATGAAAGTTATGTTTGCAATTTTTTGTTTGTGAGGTGAGCAAATAGAATGCAAAGGCTTTTTATTCTGGTAATTAAAAATACTTTCATAAACAGCCATCAGAATAAATCTGAGTAAATAATTGATCAAAAATCTCAGTTACCATATATTAAATTAACCCAAAATAAGGACCCTCTGGAAAGATACCCTTTGGGGAGCATTACTATGAGTGAAAACTATGTTAGCTTACAATGATATCATGGGTGTAACTTAATAGAGTGAGATGAGGGCAGTATATCAGCATTGCTTTGGAATTTTCTTATTTATGGTAGATGAATGATACCCTTGATGAAATCCAAAATCTGAAATTGAACTATTACTTTTCCCTAATTTATCATAAAATGAAGCAGACTTTAATTCCAAAATATTCAAAAGCGAAATAGCATCATTTAACTTCGTATAAAACAATTCAATGATTTGTGACTTTGAGATCTAAAACTCTGAATGATTCGTAATGCTGGGATTTGAGTATTTCTTTTTCATTTTTAAAAAGCATCATTTAATTGAAATTAATGCACTTTCACAGTAAAAAATGGTTATGTAAAAAAAGTTAAGTAAACTTTAAATTTTAAAATTGTAAGGAAAATAGAGTAAAATTTAACAGGTTAATCTGAACAAATGCTAACCTTCAATAGATTTTCCTACTAAAACTTTTTCCATATCTTCACTCACATTTTAACAAAACTTTATAAGCCATGATATATGCCATGATATATACCAAGCATTGTTACAGGCATTTGGGATGCAATGACATACACATAATACACACACACACACACACACACACACACACACACACACTCCTCCCTTCATTGATATATTTTAGCAAGAACAGATTGTAAATGAATAAAAGACATAACAAATGAATATGTTAGAAGGTGTAAAAGGCTACAAAAAGTAAGTAGAATGAAGAGAGTACAGTTGGGGATCAAGTATGTCAAGTATGTCGTGAACGAAGGAGGAATAGAGGGAGGAGGTTTAGAGTAGACCTCAATGAGAGGAGAGATTTTAACAAAATTACAAAAGACATGAAGAAGCTAGCCAAGTGAACCTGTGGATGTAGTGGGTTCCAGGTAGAGAAAGAAGGTGGAGAAAATGCCCTAGGGTAGGTATATCCAGGGAGAGGATATGCAAATATTATGGAGGCCAGCACAGTTGTAAGCTGAGTAAGCAGGGGAGGACAGGAACTAATGAAGTCAGAGAATTGGGCCCATCTGGTGGGCCACTTCATTGCAGGGTTTTTCATTGCAAGTGTATCATCGTTCCATTTAATTTGTCAAAAGATCACCCTGACTCCCATGTTGAGAATAAACTGCAGGCAGATTTTCTGGTTACTTTGTACAACAAATTGTTCCAAAGTTTAGTGGCTTAAAACAGTGATTTTAAATTGTCATGATTTTGTAGGTCAGAAATTCAGGAAGCTCTCCACTGGGTAGTTCTCATTTGGGATTTCTCATGGCAGTTGCACATCTATAATGGCTGGGGCTGCACTCATTTGAAAGCCTGACTGGGCAGGATAACAAGGATAGCTCACTCAGATGGCTGGAAATGATGCTGACTACTGGCTGGGGGTCATCTTGAGCTGAGAACCAAAGCGCCCACATGTGACCTTTCCTGAGTGATATTCTACACTTTTTATATAACAGTAGCCCTTACTCAGAATAATGTCCCAAGAGAATAGGACTAGGTAGTAGTTGCATGGTTTTTATTACGTAGCTTCAGAACACATATAGCATCTTTTGCTCTACATTGTATTGGTCAAAAAAATCAAAAGCCCATCAAGACTCAAAGAAGAAGTAACAAAGAATTTCTATGCATTATTTTAAAGTCTCCAGTTTATCCTGTATGAATTATTTATGTTTCTACCATTGTTAAAATATGCTCACCCTTCTGGACAACCCCACATCCCCAAATTCTCATCACATTACAGCATCAGGCTTGGGACTGAGAACTAGGATTTCATTATGTAAATCTGGTCTAGCTGTAGATGAGGTTCCCATTCCTCAGGTGTAATTCTCTAAATATAATTCTTTTGGTATCCTTCAACTTGATCAAAACATGCCCCACTCCATATACTCAACCTACAATGTTGGGATAGGTGTAGACTCAATGTAAGAGTATTGTCATTCAATTGTGGGAAAATGAGAGACACACTGCAGTCACTGAGAGAAGTTCGCTCCTTTTTTTTTCCAAGGGATAAAACTCAAAAACTCTTGCCATTCATAGCATTGAGCATGAAGTAAAGAATCTCATGATAATGTACATCTGGTACAGATATAACTTTTCCCAGTCATGAAACCTATGAACACCAAAAACAAAAACAAATTATCAGCTTCACTAAGCATGTCCACTCACCTACACACACACACACACACACACAGCCAATATACAATTGTGGAATAGAAATGGAATGACTCAATCAACACTTTCAGAAACAGGAACAAGGAGAGAAACACACCAGTCATTAATTTAAAGGCATTCTAAATCCTCTCAGGCAAAAGTTATGAGAATAGGGAGTGAAGTCTTCCTTGAGTGGTTTAGCCCATTGGTCTCCATGGCCCATACTTCCAATCTTGGGTAAGCCCCTTATTTTTTATTATCTTCTTAGGCTATACATGGAATGGGTATTGGGATATATGCACTCTTTGGGAAATGAACATTTTTCCTAGCCTGTTTCCCTGTCATGAATTTTTCTTTTGACTATACCTCTTACAAATTTATTCAGATGCTTATATATTTTATTTCAAACCATGTACTGATCACATCCACAATTTTTTTGAGACCAACCTCTTTCCAACCTTCTCTTTCCAACATTTCTCTCTCTCTCTCTCTCTCCTCTCTCTCTCTCTCCCCACCCACCACTCTCTCTCTCACTTAGTTATGGTTACCTTGACTGAATAAGTTGCCAGGAGAGAGCTAAACTTTTTGCCACTTTCTTCCAGCTGAAAGGATTCACTGGGAAGCATCTTAGTCAGACACTGCAACAATCAGCATAACAGTTGTATCACTGATTTTATCATTGCCACAAAACTGAATCCTAATTGGCCTTTGTTACCCAAACATGTTATAAGTTTTATAATTTACTGGGTAAGGATGAGAATTCGTTGTCACTTCCAACCCCACAATTCTGAACTCTTGCTATTTCCTTTCATACATCCTTGGAAACCAGCCAATTTTCCTTTACTTCCTCACTTCCTTGTAGTACTTGTTAAAATGCAGGCAATATTAATACACTCAAGCTATCAATATTTAACTTTTCAACATGTTTCCTAAAATTAAAGGATATTTAAGTATCTTACCTGCCTTTTAAGGTATCACAAGTAACAATGTTACCAAATGTTTTGACATAGGGTAATATAAATTGTTCAATTTACAAGCCTGATAAATATTTCTCTCCATCTCATTCCCTATCCTAAAGCCTTTGCAACATATTTTAATTTTTTTAATGCTAAAACCCCACTTCTGAACAAATTTCTGTCTGAGTTGGGATAGACTAGATTATACTACAATAGCAAGTAATTCAGAAAAAGAGGCTTAACAGAGCAAAGGCTTATTTTACACTCATTGTACATGTCTTCCGACCGTTGGCTGAGACGCTGCTCCATATTGTCATGGCTGTCACTCAGACATGGACATCATGATGGCCTTAGGGATTTGTTCATCGTACTGGCCGCCTTTGCTTGATGGTATGAATAAAAGGAACATGCTGGGTCTCAAAGATTCTGCCTAAAAGTAACATGCCTCACTTCTCATGTTAGTTTGAGCAAATCATATTGCCACTCTGAGTTAAAGTGAGTGGAGAAGTTTCCTGACTACTATGCACCCAGAATGAAAGAACCAATCATTTTTGAACAGATTCAGTGACTAGTAAGAATTTTTTTTTCTGCCTGATTTTCCCCTATGGAATTAATTCTTAATTGTCTGTTTTTGTTGTTGTTATTGTTTTTAGTCTTTTTTCTATTTTCTTAAAACTAATTTAATGTTGAACTAAATTGTCAGTTATTTAAATTTTGAAGACATTCAGACACATCAGACTTTATAACAAATTAATTTTCCTGTAAAAACCTCTCTGGGAACTTGCAAATATGACCCAATTTGCACTGACAATTATACGTTCTATATCAGATGAGCAGTTTTCATCTGAGAATCCCTCTATCTTTTTGCTACTTTGGATCTTCAATTTATTTTATCCATATGATTATTTTTTGTTGTTTACTTTCTTGGTTTGGTGGCTCTGTCCTCCAGTATCTTTATCGGGAAAATAATCCATGGAGAGGAAATGTTTGTGCTCATAATTATATAAAAATATCTTTATTCTGCCATCACCCTTCATTGGTAATTTAATTGATGTTGAATTTTAGGCTGGAAATTATTAAAGTCATTGTCCCAGTGTCCTTTTCCTTTCTATGTGACTCTGAAGTCTGAGGCCAATATGACTGCTTTTTCTTTGAAGGATTTTGTAATTGCTCCATGTTGTGTTTTGATGCAGGTACTTTTTGTATACTTTCAATATGTAATTCTAATACGAATCCTTCAAGTCTGGCAAATTTTCTATGAATTATTTCTTTGATCATTATTTCCCCTCTGATTTCTTCTGATGTCTTTTCTCTCTGAAATTTTTATTATTTACATATTAGGTATCCTAAAATAGTTTTTAAATTATATTTTATCTTCTATGTTTCTATCAATTTGTCTTTTTTATTAATTTGCCACAAAATTTCCTCATTTTTACTTTCAAGTCTTCTGTCGAATCATTTTCTTTAATTTATACAATCTAGTATTCTTTAAAATTTTTATTAACTTAAACGTTCCCTGTTATGGCACCCTGTCCTTCATACATCATGACATGATACACACATAACACTGTAAGAGTATTTTTGATGCATGTTTTAAAATTTGCTTCATTCTATAGGGGCTTCGTCCATGCTTGTTTTGTGTATGTTTAATATATTTGTTGATTTGCATTTGTTTATTGTGTTCATCTCTTGGTTTTGGTATCTGTCTTTCTGGCTATGGGTTTTCCTCAGTTGTCTAATAAGCCTCAGTTGTCTGCTAATATTAAAGAATAGAACACTAAAAAATCTGATTGATATCTCTGAGCATAAATATTGTTGATTGTGAACCTTACTTTAACAACAATACAATGGAAGTTTTCTTAAGGAATCCCCTTGAGGGTCAACGTGTTTCCGTCTTTATTCTAAGGCTGTCAAAATCACTCTGGAAAGACTGTTTTCTCTCCTGCCTAGAGGGAGAAGCCTGGCTTTCAGCTTTCCAGTAACGTAGTTGAGAATGTAAAGGGGAAAGGTGCTCAGCATCTGATACGCATATAGTCACATAATCTCCTACTTGTAAACATGGTGTATTTGCCCTCAAAAGTACACAGGGAAACCCAGGAAACTGATGTTCTTGGTTTTATGCTCTCACAAAAATAAACTTGTAGTTTTCTTCTGTGGCAAAGGAAATCACCTGCCTAGAAAAAATGGTCAAGGGGAAGAAGGGATCTAATACTTGCTCAGTCAGACATTTAACTAATCAACATTATTCTTTCCTGACATCTAATTATTAAAAGTAACCAGTATTGCCAATCTCAGGGCCTTTTGGAAGTTCTGCAGACTCAATTGTATAGGTTATTGAGTTTTTCCTGCAGGTTTATGAGAATGAATGAAAAATCCTCAACAAAATATTAGCAAGTTAAATCCAACATGCATAAAAATAAGCATACATCATTACCAAGTGAGATTTATTAAAAGTATGCGAGACTGGTTTAACATTTGAAAATCAAGTAAAATTCATCACATCAACAGATTAAAGAAGAAAATTAACAAGATAATATCAATATACACTGAAAAAGCATTTGACAAAATCCAGCACCCATTCATGACAAAGTCTCTTGGCAAACTAAGAAAAAAGAGTATATTCCTCAAATAAATAAAGAATATCTACTGAATCTACAGGTAATATCATATTTAATGTTGAGAATCTAGAAACTTTCTCACTAAGATCAGGAAGAAGGCAAAGATGCCCCCCTTACCTCTTATTTTCAACATTGAATTGGAAGTCCTAGCTAATGCGCTAAGATAGGAAAAGAAGACAGAAGTTATACAGACTGGGATGGAAAAAATAAAAGTGTTTTTGTTTGCAGATGACGTTATTTTAGAAAATCCAAAAAATTTACAAAACAAACCTCCTGGAACTAATAAGAAATTAAAGCAAGGTTGCAGGATATAAGATTAATAAACAAAGTCAATCACTTTCTGGTATACCAGTAATAAACAAGTAAAATTTGAAATTTAAAACATAGCATCATCTACATTAGAATCCCACATAAAATGAAATATTTAGACACATATTTAACAAAATATGTACAAGGTCTATATGAGGAAAGCTACCAAGCTTTGATAAAGTAAATCAAACAAGAACAAAATAAATGGAGAGATATTTCATCTTCATGGTTAGAAAGACTCAATGCTGTCAAAAATTTAGTTCTCTCTAATTTAATCTGTAGATTCAATCCAATTCTAATCAAAATCCCAGAAGTCATATTGTGAATATTAGTAAACTGATCATGATGTTCACACAGAGATGCAAAAGACATGGAATAGCCAACATTAAAAGAGAAGAACAACACTTACTATTAACCTACAGTAATCAAGAAAGTATGATATTGGCAAGATAACAGACGAATAAATTAATGGAACAGAAAAGACAGACCAAAAATAGGCACACATTAGTCAACTGATGTTTGACAAAGGAGCAAAGGCAATACAGTGGAGGAAGGATGGTCTTTTCAACTAACAGTGCTGGAAGAACTGGACAGCCAGATATAAAACAATGAATTCAGCCATGGCCCTTACATCCTTCACAAAAATTAATTCAAATGGATCATAGACCTAAATATAAAATGCAAAACCATAAGACTTCTAAAAGATAACAGAGGAAGTAACATAGATTTCCTTGTGCATGGAAATAACCTTTTACATACAATCCTAAAGGCACAATCCTAAAGGCACAATCCATGAAATAATTGATAAACCGAACCTCGTAAAAATGAAAAACTTCTGCTCTGCAAAACACATATCGAGAAAATAAGAAGACAAACCATAGACTAGAAGACATTTGTAGAAGTTATATCTGATAAAGAAATGCTATCCAAAATATACCAAGAACTCTTAAAACTCAACAATACAAAAAACTCTGATTTTTAAAAATGGGCCAAAGACCTGAACACACATTTCACCAAAAAATATATACATATGCCAAATAAGTATTTAAAAAGGTGCTCTACAGCATATGTCATTGGGGAAATACAAATTAAAACAACAATGAGCTACACACCTTTTGAAATGGCCCAAATCCAGAACATTGACAACATCAAATGCTGGCAAGGTTGTGAAGCAACAGGAACTCTCATTTATTGCTGGTGGGAATAAAAAATGGAACAGCTACTTTGGAATAGAGTGTGTATATTTCTTACAAAACTGAATGTGACCTCACTGAGGGATCCAACTGCAAGTTTAGGATTCAGTTTTTGCTATTCTGATAATATATGGACCACTTGCCCCTGTGCTTGAGTCTTGGCCCTCTTCCTCTTCTCTCTGGCCATGATTATATTAATTTATATTTTTGTTTTGTTTGGTTTTGCCTTTTTAGAAAACATACTTACTGTCATTTTAATGGTACTCTTGGAGAGGGCAAGAGTATCAGATAGTGTCTTACAAATTTGCTTATTTTCATCATTTTTGAGCTATGCAAAGAAAATCTTAATGTTGAAAACTAAAATAATTTCTTCAATTTTCCATAGTACAAAATTTCCAATTTAAAAAAATTTATAGTTTCTGCAAAATATCATCAGTTCCTGCTGGTGAAAATAAATGTTTTACATACTAATTAAGAAATACATTTTAATTGCAACAAAATATGCATACTATAAAGGCATAATTCAAAACACAAGTCAGTTAATTCACGTCCTTTTCAGACTATATATTTGCACCTGATTTTTCAGAGGTACTATTTGTTTAATTTGTTTAATTAGAATAATATAGCTCCTGAATATTTAAATAAGCTTCAAAGCTGACAGGTTTTGACTTGCCCAATCACAGACACAATTGAATCATGATGAAATAAAACTAGACTTGCTTTGACTCACCACATCTTTTGTTAATTACTCAGTAGAGAGAAAAGTTTGAGCCTTTGTAGTCTAATCCAGCAATGGAATAGAGAAGCACAGGTCGAGAAGTGTTAAAAATGACCTCTACAGGAGATCGAGACCATCCTGGCTAACACGGTGAAACCCCGTCTCTACTAAAAATACAAAAAAAATTAGCCGGGCGTGGTAGCGGGCGCCTGTAGTCCCAGCTACTCGGGAGGCTGAGGCAGGAGAATGGCGTGAACCCGGGAGGCGGAGCTTGCAGTGAGCCGAGATCGCGCCACTGCACTCCAGACTGGGCGACAGAGCGAGACTCCGTCTCAAAAAAAAAAAAAAAAAAAAAATGACCTCTAGTCCTTTAAAATATAATTTGTTAATTTAATTACTATTCATTGATTAGTGTCTACTGTAGGCAGGACAAAGGTGCTAGGCATGGAGTACAATACACCACAGCAAACAATAAAGATTGAGTCCGTATCTTCAGGGAGATAAACAACAACATATTCATTTTACAAATAATTATTTAATAACCGTAGATTCTGCTCCACCTTCTTTATCATTCAAGGGAGAAATAATACATTTCATCACATTCACATTGCTTGACACACACAAAAAGGAAATCCTGCACAATGTCCACACAGTTATTTCCTTTGAATGTGAGTTTCATATCCATTCCATACACAATCATAAGTGGATGGAGATTCAAATATTTGACTCTATTCAGTGATACCACATTCCTGCTGCTCCTTCAACGGGCAGGTGGCCTTCATTCTTGACTCTGGGGATGCCCCAATACAACCAACACTCCACTGATGCCAGAACAAAAAGTATCTTCCTTGGGCAGTATCTACATTCATTTCTTATTTCTTAACTCCCACCTCTCCCACCACCTGCTTTTTTTTCTTTTTTTTTTTTTTGCTCAGCTTCTTGTGTGAATTATGTTACTTATTTATTTCCACATAGGGCCTCCCAGAGTAGGAAATGGGAGGAAAAGGAGAGAAATCCTCAGTAATTTAGCCTCAAGATAAACCTTTCACACAGCCAAGATTAGCTTCTTCTTGGGTGGTTTCATGCTAACAAATTTATGCTTTGATTAGCTTTGCTTTACATTACCAAAACTTCTACTCTTATCATTGTAAATGTATGTTGTAGGAAGGTGCACAGAAATGTCAGAACGAAAGCAAACTTTATATAAGTTAGTTATGCAACACATTCCAGAGGGAAAAGAGGGGTCTCGAGGGTCTTTTACAAGGAGATCTAACCTAATATAGGTGGTTAGGGAAGAATCGTGTGGAAGTGACTTTTGCTTTCATATTTTTCAGGAAGAGGTAACCACATTTCTACCTGTAATGATGGCGAGGAAGAGGGCTGGTACTACAGGAGCACAAACAACAAAAGAGAGCACTAAGTAAGATGAGTCTCAGGAATGACATGAGACACAAATGCAAATCCATCTCCAGGCAGCTAAAGGATTTGGTCTTTATTGTCTGAATGATTGTAAGCCATCAATGGGAATTTTTAAAAATTTTAATTTTAATATTGGTTGAAGCATAATTTAAACACCATAAATTTACCAAATTTAAGTGTACAATTGAAAGAATTTTGATGAAAGTATAAAGTCAGGGAGCTATCCCTGAATCTTAATGTAGAACATTTTTATCTCTCCAAAATTCCATCTACAGTTATTCCATTTTTACAATCTCACACAAGTAGGATCACACAGTATGTTGCCTTTTATGTCTGGCTTCATTCACTTATCAAAATGTTTTGGAGATTATTCAGTTGTTACATGTATTGTAATTCTATCATTTTAATGATATTAATACCTTGATTAATAGAAATTTGCATTACCTTTTTTTACTGTTATGACTTCTTTAATTTTGAGTCCATAGTCAGGAATTCAAACTGAAATTATCAAATTACAAAATTGTTCTTACAGAAAATACAATCCATTTTATTCTGCTCAATGTTAGTGACATAGTTCCCAGAATAAATGGAATACAGCATGTGAGAAGTCAACTTCTCAAAACACAAATCTTCTACTACAACATTGAAAGAAAATCAATGCGGTTCCTCCACAAAGGTTTCAAGTTTTTGTTTTTCAGATGAATGCAATAAATTGTTTTTCATGTATTTCCATTTTGCTATAACTTTTGTCTCCTAAATGTATTCTAAAAAAGATTTTCACAGTTATTCTTTAAGATAGTTTAAGCAGCATGCAAATTTAACTGTTGAAGTCCAGATCCAAAGAGAAATTTGATTTGTTCCTATCTGCTGGATTTATAAGATACTTTGTAAAAAAAAATCATTGATATTCAATCTATTTTTTTATTCCAGGTTGTTAAAGCTGGAATATTTATAATTACATTTTTGTATAGATATAAATAAATAGTTATCGAATTGTGCTTTGACAACATAATGGCAACCATTTGTGGTGAAATGATACCCATTTGTACCCATTGATTGTGATTCTGCTGGTGAGGATGACTGTGCACAAAGGAGAAATGATAAGCTAAAATATTCTATCAGTTTACTTAATTGTAAATTAATATTACATAAACAGAAAATATAGAAATTAAAAATGTATCTTTATTTAGGTTACAAAAATTCCTCATATATGTTTACTATTGGGTACTTGATTAAAAGAACAGTCTGATGCATTTCAAAGTTAAATCAGAATGTATTACCTCATGATGCCTATTGAACACAATTACTTATGAATTCCTACTCTCCCCAAACCCTGCTTATATGACAGGATAAATATGAAAATGGGAAGAAAACTACATATTTCTGGAAAGGCAAAAGAAAGGTCAAAAGCAAACCAAAATATTTTGGAGTTTCTAAAAGATACAATGCAAGTGGGACCTGACTTGTGGTAAAACATCACAGAAAATAAGGATTTACAATCTTAAACAGGGAACAGATAAACTTTCAAATAAGTACATTTTCACAGGAAACCAAACACAAAAATATTCCAAGGAGTGATGCATAGGGGATAAGACAGTGATCAATGATGCAGTTACAGGTCATACTGAGTTAAAGGGCAGTGGGACAGCCGCATTAGGATCCATTTTCATAGCAGTTGCTATGGCATTTGCCCCAGGACCAAACTCAGCTAGAGTTGTACAAAGGCAGCAGGGCATATGCTGAAGGAGACTCAAAGGCTGTAGACAAACAAAGAGGAAAGCAGAAAGAGCTCACACAATTAGAACTCAAGCTACTCATATACTCTTCTCATCTGCACAGACCCTAAAATCTAAGTACCTTTATTCAGAATCAGCATTTATTGGTTGTGCTTAGCTTGTGCTAAGGAAATACTCTCCCGTGAGCTAAAGTAATCACTTTATAATAGTATAATATTATATATGTTATGTACATTATATATATATACCTAGATTCTTACTTAGAAAAGGAAATAAATAACCAAGAATCAGTAAACATTAACATGTTTTCAATAGCATTTAACATTCTAAACAAAAGATATTTGCTAGCCTGAATGAATAGAAGTATTCTCTAAACGATAGAGCTAATAGAAGACACCAATATAATGATTAAGAAATATATAATACCCATAACATGAGAACAATAATTAAACAGTAGTTAAACTCAGGATGACTGAAATCTCCATCATTATGAAATCTCCATTATTATTTGATAAATAATCCCCAAGGAAACAGAGATAATAAAAGAGGTCAAATAATAAGGCTGATAATAGAAATACCTAGTACACTCATAGTCATACATTAGGGTATAAACTTTGTAACATAAGAAAAATAGTTTCAAAATGATTGCCAAAATTAAAATCTGAATAGATACGCCAAATAGAATGGACGTGGCTGAAGATAATATTACTGAGCTGAAGGATGGAGCTAGAAAATTTTCCCAGAATCCAATGAAAATTGAAAATAAAGAATAAAGAAAATATAAAAATATAGAAAATACTGAGGCCAGGTATAGGAAGTCTAACAACACCACTATATTTATTCTAGGATATGATTAAAAGACAATATAATCAGAAAAATAATAATAGAATATTTCCTGAAAGACTTGTTAAGGTAACAAGGACCCACCAACTTCTTTTGAGAAATAATTTTAAAGTAAATAAATTCAATAAACACATACAGATGTTTGAAAATAAAGAAATATAAACAAAATTCTGACAGCGAGAGAGAAGAGATTAACCATAGATATTGTTGTTTTACCTTGCATCCCTTTCATTTGAGCACTGCCTTTCTACGTGTTTTTGCCAGTCCAGGATTCTGTGTTCTTGAATTTGAGCACACAAATCAGTCTGGTTGGCAACAAAGCCCTGTTCCCTTAAGTAGAACTACCCATAGGTGGGTATTTGACCCAGGTAGATTTCCCCACAGTTACTCTTTAGAGATGAATGAGAGCTCTGGAAGAGAAAATGTCTCTCTTCTTTCATTGTAAAGTACAAATAATTTTTTTGGCAGAAGCCACAATTAGCATTCAGTTTCCTTGTCTGATTTTCCTGGACCCATTTCTTTGACTTTCCAGATTTGTCTGGCCATTCTTGCTGTTTGATGCTTCTGATGTCCCTTCAGGAAGATCACCTGGCCCCAACTACATTCTTGTAGTCATACACAAATAGTTTTGTTATTTATTAAGGGAGGCTCTTTTAGTCCTTTGGCCATTACATAGGGTTCACGGTTAACATGGTATATATTAATTCTGTCATGTCACTCTAGCTTAAGACACAACACACTATGTCTTATCTCCACCTTGTGGGGTGCACCTCTTGCCTTCTATCTCAGGGATTCCCACTGCTGCTGAAGTTCAAATGTCCTGTAATTCACTCAACACCCATCCCTACATACTGGCCCTCCAGGTCTTGCCCAGCTGAAGGCTGAAGGTGAACTAGGGAAGACTGCCCCTGGTTTACTGGCTTCCTCGTGTCCTGTACTTTGGGGTGCTGCTGCTGCTGCTGCTGCTACTATTTAAGCATCTTTCTTGTTATTTTCCAAAGGAGCTGGGGGTACAACCCAGGAGGGTGTTATTTGTTATTTATAATAACAAACATTGACTAAGGGGAGGCAAGTGGTACAAGTTCTGTCTTCCTCTCTTAAAATAATGTTTCAAGATGCAATTTGTAAGGACTTTCTAGAGATGTCTGAAGAAACCACCTATGCTGTGAAGCTTTGTACAGCTGTTTAGCACACTCCCTTTTCATTTGCTACCTTTTCTTCCTCTCTTTACTTTCCTTACTTTCCTTTTTCTTTATTCTTGATTTCTTGATATTGAACTTCCTTCCCCCAAATAAATCACTATCACAGAGTTGGCCTCAGGCCCTGTGTTCTAGAGAACCCAGGTTAAGATCTCTTGAACTCCAGGGTTCACAATTAACAACAATAACAAAAACCAAACCAAAGTAGTAACACCAATAAAATAATAGTAGTAATAGTTAACATTTATTGAATTCTAACTATATACCATTGTTCTAAGTACTTCACATGTATTAACTCAGTTCATCCTCATCCACAAGGTAGTAAGTATATGACTACCCCTGCTTTGCAGATGAGGAACATGAGAAAGAGAGGAAGGTAAGGCCTGCAAAGCTACAATGGCAGGTCGTATGTATGAAAATGGTAGAGATAATTTTTCGAAAAGCATTAGAGAATAGTGGAAGTACTCAGTATATTCTGGTGGATGACACCAAAACTAACTAAATGCAGTTAGCAGTGTGTACATACCCCAGAGAAGAAGGAACTGTGTGAGCAGATTCAAAAAGCTGTTTCACTGAACACTATGCCAATGAGTGCTTAGGCATCCTTTCAGGGGATCCATTCCCCATTCTAACTACATGTAACTATGAAGACTATCGCCCTTTGATGTGACAAGGGAAATAAAGTTGATTGAGTATCTCGAGGTATAGTGGCAGGTGGCGACCTCCCAACAGTTCAGCACAGTTGAGGAGCAACTTCAGTTATCTACACGTTTGGAGCAGAGCTTCACCTCATGTTCTCACTCATATGTAGGATCTAAAAAAAAGTTTAGAGTATATAGAAGAGAAGTAGAAGTAGAGAGTAGAATACTAGTTCCCAGAGGCTGAGAAGGGGAAGGGAGAGAGGAGAATAAGGAGGGGCCATTAATGGATACAAAATTAGAGAGAATGACTTAGTTCTATAGTACAGTAGGGTGTTCAACAGTACAGTAGGATGACTATGTTTAACAATAATTTATGGTATTTTTTATATTTGTTTATTTATTTATTTATTTATTTATTTATTTATTTATTTATTTCTGAGACAGTCTTGCTCTGTGGCACAGGCTGGAGTGCAGTGGTGCAATCTCAGCTCACTGTAACCTCCACCTCCCGGGTTCAAGCAATTCTCCTGCCTCAGCCTCCTGAATAGCTGGGACTACAGGTGCCCGCCACCACATCCAGCTAATTATTTTTATTAGAGATGGGGTTTCACCATAATGGCCAGGCTGGTCTCAAACTCCTGACCTCGTGATCCATCCACCTCGGCTTCCCAGAGTGCTGGGATTACAGGTGTGAGCCACCATGCCTGGCCGGTGTATTTTTAAATAGCTAGAAGAGAGGATTTTGAATGTTCCCAACACAAAGAAATGGTAAATGTCTGAAGTGATGGATATCCCAATTAGCCCGATTTTATTATTACATATTGCTTACATGTATCAAAATATCACAAGTAACCCATAAATGTGTTATTATTAAATATTATTAAATTTAAAATCAAACTAAAAATAAATATACAGGTTTAGGTGATTATACTTGGGTAACAATGTTAATGGCTCAAAGATTTAAAAGCCCAGGAATTTTTCTGGCTTCACACAAGGCTAGGGTAGTTGTTTAAATGTTTTGCAGGGAACCTCAAAATCTTTATTTCTTTCTCTCTCTCTGTCTTTCTTATTTTTACTGTTTCCCTATCCCCACTCCATTCCTCTGTTATTGACTAGGTTTTCTCATCTCTGAAGTCTGCATTGCTCTATGTTGGGTTCATTCTTCAAAACTCAAACTTCTCAAGATTCTAAAATAAAGTAAATAATTGGGCTGGGTGAGGTGGCTTACATCTGTAATCCCAGCACTTTGGGAGGGAGGATTGCTTGAGCCCAGAAGTTTGAGACCAGCCTGGGCAACAGTGGGAGACCATTATCTCTACAAAAATTTTAAAAATTAGGCAGGTATGGTGGTGTGCACCTATATTCCCGGACACTTGGGAGGCTGAGGTGGGAGGATCACTTGAGCCTGGGAGGTCAATGCTGCAGTGAGCCCTGACTGCACCACTGCCCCCAAACCTGGGTGACAGAGTGAGACCCTGTGTCTAATAAATAAATATATAAATACCTAAATATAGTTAAAAAGTAAATAATTGAATGCAATTACCAGAGTAATTAACCTCTTAAAAACTGAGATAGGAGAAAGAAGGAGAGAAACTTACCAGGAAAAAATCTATTCCTGTTCCTCCACCTGTAAATACACTCTAAGAAAATGAATTGACTTTAGAGTTATTTTAATTTTAACTTAATTTTATTGTGTCTACTTGTGTTTGCAAACATTTTTGAGAATCTTTCCATAACTATTGCTTTCATTCAAATTCACTCATTTCACATCAGTAAAATTAGTGTGAAAACTGGAAGTATAGGTTCTGATTGAATCAGCATATAGCAAGATAGCACTAATTGATTTGACTTGTGATTCAAGTCAGAACATTTTTTTTGGTAACGTTGTATTATTATGCATGTAGACATAGCCTTAGTATTAACTGACATTATCTGTCAAGGTCCACCACACTTACACAATACAGTCTGATCATAAAAGAGCAAGTGAGTTTTTGATAGATGAAACACCTAAATATATTCATGTATTTTAAAACCAAACTCTCTAGATAGGTCATTAAAAACAATACTTCAAAATGGAAACTGACAAGCCAACGGAGGTAAGTGTGGCTCCATTGTTACAGCTCCCTATAGCTCCCATACCATTAAAAATGGGATTTTAATCTGCTAACAAAAGTGACGTTTTGATTTTACTGTCTCTTCTCACATCCTTCTCACACTGACAATTTGTAGTCAAAAAAAGAACAAATCATGCAGATAATTTGAATATTGGCTTTTGTCTTCCCTTCTGTCTACCTTTTCTAAATAGATGAACTGACAACTGATGCCTCGGTTTCTCTAATCTCAACAAATCTTTTTGTGTGTGTGTGTTAAATAATATCACTTGACACTTTTCACAAGCTCATTTACGTTAGCATGTTTCTCTACATGGATTTTACATAAGATGAATAAGTTATTTAGTATGAAATTTAAACATATAATTAAATGAAATGAAGTATTAGCTTCCACTAATCTTTAATAACTTCTGATCAAATAAATATGCGTTGTTGTAACATAATCATTTAAATAATATTTTTAAACTGTCCTTCTGATTAACATTTCTTTCTATGATTTTTACCTATTAGCATAACAGTTTTAATACAATCCTATGCAATGTCTTCCACTGGTATATAAAATTCTAAATAAGAATGTGTGCACATATGTGTGAGAACATATACAATATTTATAAAATATTTCTGTTTTTTTATTTTTATTTTTGAATTATACTTTAAGTTCTAGGGTACATGTGCACCATGTGCAGGTTTGTTACATATGCATACATGTGCCAAAAACATTTCTCTTTATATGGTATTAGCAAAGTAAATTTTAAAGTTTAAAAAATCATATGTATGTGCATTTAACTTTTCAAATTACATGGTAATACATAAACACTCTACAGAGTCCCTTCCCCATAGAGTCAGCACAGTTCATTTTTTTCTGGATATATATATTTTAAAAAGTATCTTTATCAGTATATATGTATCTTTCATCTTCCACATTTATCATAGTGTTCTGCACTTTGATTTTTTCCACTTTAGTAATGTTTTTTGAGTTATTTGTACTAACACTTGGATAGCAAAATCTTTATCTTATTCCAGTGACTGAATTTCAGCTAACTAACTTAACTACAACCCTACAGTTAGACATTTTAATTGCTTCTGGTTTTTTCTACTTCACAGTAATGTCACAATATCCATTTCTAAATGTGTGTGTCTGAGTGTGTGTGTCCGTTTATGCATAAAACTTACTTTCAGTTACTAATAAGGAGAATATATCACCAGCTGCCAAGTTAATTTCCCCAGTCCAATCTAGAAATATCACAGAAGTAGGGAAAACTTACATTAATTTGAAGAACTAAGGTAAAGCTGTGAGAAATACTTGAGGGAGTGAACAGAGATAAATGTTGTTAAAGCCCAATAGAAGGGCAATGGAAGTCTGGAATGGAAGCAGGCCTAGGGCCATTCTCAGCGGGAAATAAGATGGGGTGCTTTTGAGCGCTTGTTTCTCTGCCATATTTCTTGTGGGAATCACTCACTGCTCAGTTATTATTTCAAAGTAGCGAAGTAGCATGGCCAATGCAGCAGCTTTTGCCAAGGATATAGCTGGTGAGTGAAGACCAGCTGCTACTGATTCTTCTTTCCTCTTTCACTCTACTCCTATTCTGCAACTTGGAAACGAAAAACAGCTGAAAAAACTCGTTCAACAAAGAGCAGTGTCAGGCATAGCTATAGAAGTTCTCTGAGGGTCAGAGTTACTTAATGAGGAGAGAACAAATAGAATCTCAAACCCAGTTTATGTTATGGGAACATCTTCCTGGGGCCTGCCGCACTTCCAAAGCCATCAAAACATCTGAAGCTGGGGCTTCCTCTTGGACCTCATATTTTTTCTAAGAACAGTCAAGGTGGTTGAAATCTCAGGGGAAATATTCACACAGAAGAAATAGCCAGATATAGAAAAGCGCAACAAATAAAAGAGGAATCACAAAATATAATATTTATTATACTGGAAAAACCAGCATGAATAGAGCAAGTAAATCAAGAATTTTTAAAAAGGGGAAAAAGACACAAAAAAACTATATTGATGGAGCTACTGATAATTGAAAAGGGAATGGTCACTAAGGACCATACCTTAAGAAGGTATACTGGTAATAGGCCAGGCACGGTTGCTCACACCTACAATCCTAGCACTTTGGGAGGCTGAGGTGGGTGGCATGCTTGAGCCCAGTAGTTTGAGACCAGACTGGGCAATGTGGTGAAACCCTGTCTCTACAAAAAAATTAAAAAATTAGATGAGCATGGTGGTGTGCACCTATAGTCCCAGCTAATCAGGAGGCTGAGGTGGGAGGATAACATGAGCCTGGGGAGGATGAGGCTGCAGTGAGCTGTGATCATACCACTGCACCCCAGTCTGGGTGACAGAGTGAAACCCCATCTCAAACAAAGAAACAAACAAAAAGCAACAAATAAAAAGAAGGTATACTGGTAATAACAATTACAATAGTTGAAATAAGGTACACTACACATGAGCTAAACAGAAACAAGCTGGAACTACTATATGAATGAATTTGGAAAATGGAAGAGCAATTGTAGGAAGCAGTTAGGAAAGGTAAGATGTAAAATATTTTAAAACATTAATACACGTTTGAGTATGAGAGTAGCTGTGGCAATAGTTACAGACCCAGAAAAATAGAAAAAAATGATCAGAAGAATATTTGAAGAAAACATGACTAAGAGTCTCAAAGGACTAAAGAAAAATAATGAATGCCTAACACAGACATGATGCAGTGTCAAGCAGAAAAGATGAAAAAGCCCATGTCTAGATAGATTGGAGTGTAATATACACACAACAAAGACCAAGGGAAATTCTAAAAGTTTCTAGAAAAAAAGACAAGATCACCCACAAACAAAACATAATTAGATTGATGGAAATCTTCTCAACAGAGGCACTAGAAACCAGAAGATGAGGGATTAGTTGTAAAGATTCTGAAGAAATGTTCTTTGGAGCTAGAATTTTACCTATAGCCAAATTAGGTTTAAATGTGAGGGCTCAACCATGGGAAGGCAAGAAATACTTAAAGGTTTACTTTTTTAAAAGTCCTTTTTAAAAACACCTTTGCAGAAAGGACTGCCATTAAATGGGAACAATGTCTCTGAGGGTGTTCTGGGACAAATGACATATGAACAAAACAGATATATAGAGCAATGGAATATAACAAAGGTCTCAGAAATAACACCACACATCTCCAACCATCTGATCTTTGACAAACCTGACAAAAACAAGCAATGGGGAAAGGATTCCCTATTTAATAAATGGTGCTGGGAAAACTGGCTAGCCATATGTAGAAAGCTGAAACTGGATCCCTCCCTTACACCTTATACAAAAATAAACTCAAGATGGATTAAAGACTTAAATGTTAGACCTAAAACCATAAGAACTCTAGAAGAAAACCTAGGCAATACCATTCAGGACATAGGCGTGGGCAAAGACTGCATGACTAAAACACCAAAAGCAATGGCAACAAAAGCCAAATTTGATAAATGGGATCTAATTAAACCGAAGAGCTTCTGCACAGCAAAAGAAACTATCAGCAGAGTGAAAAGGCAACCTACAGATTGGTAGAAAATTGTTGCAATCTATCCATCTGATAAAGGGCTGATACCCAGAATCTACAAAGAACTTAAACAAATTTACAAGAAAAAAAACAAACAACCCCATCAAAAAATGGGCAAAGGATATGAACAGACAATTCTCAAAAGAAGACATTTATGCAGCCAACAAACTTATGGAAAACAATGCTTATCATCACTGGTCATTAGAGAAATTCAAATCAAAACCACAATGAGATACCATCTCATGCCAGTTAGAATGGTGATCATTAAAAAGTCAGGAAACAACAGATGCTGGAGAGGATATGGAGAAATAGGAATGTTTTACACTGTTGGTGGGAGTGTAAATTAGGTCAACTATTGTGGAAGACAGTGTGGCAATTCCTCAAGGATCTAGAACTAGAAATACCATTTGACTCAGCAATCCCGTTACTAGGTATATACCCAAAGGATTATAAATCATTCTACTAAAAAGACCCATGCACACATATGTTTATTGCAGCACTGTTCACAATAGCAAAGACATGGAAGCAACACAAATGCTCATCAATGATAGATGGAATAAAGAAGATGTGGCACATTACACTGTGGAATACTATGCAGCCATAATAAAGGATGAGTTCATGTCCTTTGCAGGGACATGGATGAAACTGGAAACCATCATTCTCAGTAAAGTAACACAAGAAGAGAAAACCAAACACCACATGTTCTCACTCATAAGTGGGAGTTCAGCAATGAGAACACATGGACACCGGGAGGGGAACATCACACACCGGTGCCTGTGGGGAGGTGGTGGTGCTGGGGAGGGATAGCATTAGGAGAAATTCCTAATGTAAATGATGAGTTGATGGGTGCAGCAAACCAACATGGCACGTGTATACCTATGTAACAAACCTGCACGTTGTGCACATGTACCCCAGAACTTAAAGTATAATAATAAAAAAAATTTCCATCATCTCTAAATAAGGAAGTCCTCCCAGTTTACCTAATCTAGTCCATATGCACAACAGCTCTAGCCTATGTATATGGAGCTGAGCCTAGCTCACAGACAGTCGTAGTTCCTGATGGTCTGAGGCACTCATCAACTGAACAAAATTCTGGGTAGGGTTTAGGTTCCAGAAACTTGAATCATTGCCCTCTCTGGGGAATATTACTACCTTCCTCTGTTTTTGTTGGTTTCATTTCTTTCTGTGTCCTCTAAAAACCTCACTGTTTTACCAATAGATGTGTTTAGATTTGACTTTCTAAAAATCTAATCTTATTCTCTTTAACTTTCAATAGTTAACTTTAAGCCATTTATATTTATGGTAAATATTGAAATTTTCTGCCATATTCTTTTGCATTTTATTTTAGCCATACTTTCTTGTTTGTTTGCTTTTTTTTTTTTTGAAATCAATTCTTGCCTTTTGTTTGATTGAAAATACTCTTACAGTTTTAAATTATATATACAGGTTTCACTAGAAAATATACACATTTATTTCTATAAGAAGATTCAGGTGTTAATCACTATCTGTATTTAATTCCCCTGGAAAACACAAGGTGGTCATACTAGAATGCCAGCTTTGATCTCATTTCTGCCAGAGGCACTTTTTAACCCTCTGTTCCTTCTCAGATTGAAAGCTTGCCCCAATCGGGGTGGTCAGCTTTATGTCACTATTTGAATTTCCTCCCCATTTGGAGTTTACAAAATTTTTTCACTTAGTTTTCAAAAATGGCTAGACATTTTAAAATATTTTCAATTGTTCTTTCATTATTTATTTTGTTTCAAGAAAAAGCGAGCAGTTTCAGGGTATTCATACTGGCACTTTCACATGAAATTTGAAGAATTAGCATCTTTATATTTTCAGTTCTTCTGTTCAAGGATATGGTATGTTATCTGTATATTTAAGTATTATTTCTTCAAGCGTGTATTCTATACCCTTATTAAATGTTACTTTTAGCTATATTTTATTAAGATATCATAAAAAGTTAAGAAATGACAACAGCTTTTGCACAAGACTGTTCATTCAGATGCGTATATATATGTTCATTCATATATACACATATGGAATGTGTATGTATACATATATACACATATACATATGTGTATGTATACATATATACACATATACATATGTGTATGTATACATATATACACATATACATATGTGTATGTATACATATATACACATATACATATGTGTATGTATACATATATACACATATACATATGTGTATGTATACATATATACACATATACATATGTGTATGTATACACATTCCATGTGTGTGTATATATACACATATATATTCCACATATATGTATAATATATAATATATATTTACATAAATATATGTATATAGAAATATGTAAATATATATTTTGTAAATATATATTTACATATATACGTATATTTACATATATATTTATATATCTCTATATATTCCACATATGTAAATAAAACATTACAATACTATACATTTAAAATGGACTTTTTTTCCAAGGACATTATACTAAACACATTAGATTCATTGTTTACGAATGGAAGGGGTGTGCATGGAGATGTGGATAAGATAACATATGTAAGTGAAACAGAAGGACCTTGAACAATGATGAAAACAAAATGAAAAATATTTATCTCAATTTTTTGTGCCTGATGCCTATATATATATGTATATTTGTTTGTGTATGTATGTATGTAGCTAGCAAATTTATGCTGTTTCTGCATCAAACTATGTAATTCACTATTGCACAAGCAACATTGTTTTTAAGCGGCTCATTAGCAAGAAGTGTTCTGAGGTGAGGGTTGCTTATATTATTTCCATTTTCATAAAGACTTGTGATTATGATTTTTTTCAAGTAAAAACTTTCATGGAAACCTTAACTTCATGTGGAATCTTGTACTATCTATCAATTAATTCTTCATTTGTTTCATTACAATTTAAAAAAACTTGTCAAAAGCCTAACCAACTTGCCAAATGTTAACATCAATGGTAATGGAATAGTACTACCAAATGAAAGATCTTATATATCATTTAGGTTTCCTAAATCATCATGAGAGCTCACAATTCTGAAAATGAATACAATATAAACAATGTATATTCTTAGTCTTAGAATGAAAAAAGTCACAAAAATGTTTTCATTGTGTTCGATGAGTTTCCATTTGTCTAGACAATATATTTGTCCTTTAGTTTGAGTATAAAGTTCAGAGTCAGAATGTGAGAAATATCTTCTTGATATTTAGGCCATATTTTAGGCCTAAATAAGAAATTTTAGGCCATATTTATTTTTTCTTAGCTTAAGATTTTCAAAACAGGCAATTTGTTCTCACTGTATGAGTCATAGAAATATGAAATCTAATAAGGATATGGCAATACAAGTTATTTTTCCAGTAAGTACGTATTGGTGACATCAGCATATGCATTCAAAATTTATCAGCAAATAGGAACAAGACCAAAATCACCTTTTAGACTTGCATTTAGGTAACTTGGATTATATAGAGGGCATTTGGGAAAGAAGATAAACACTTGCTGTATAGCAAAAAGACCTCGGCACTGGGAGGCAAGTGAACTGCCTTCTAGTTTTAGCTGTGCCAGAAATTAATTTCCTAACGAAAGATAAGTTTGTTTGTTTGGTTAAAAATTCAATAGGACTTCAATATCCTTATTTGTAAAATAAAGGGACTGAGCTGGATCCTTTCGAAGGGGTAGTTTCCAGTTCTATCATTTCATGTGTCTATGAATTAAACTGACAAATCTTTAAGCCATAAAATTTTTATTGCAGGGTTGTTTGTTTGTTTGTTTGTTTTCTGCCAATGAAACATGGGAAGATAAATGGGTATCTATCTAATAACTGGATCTGAATCTTGGGTCTAGCATCTTCTCTAAGACTCTTTCTTCAAATGTAAAATAAAGAAAATAACATCTAATTTAAATAGGATTTGAGAACCCACAATAATAAAGTGCACTTACAGCATAAACATAAAGCAGACAGTACAGATTTCTTGTTCCATAACATGTGTTAAATATGTTTTATTAAATTATTGTGATTTTATTAGCCCATATACCACAAATTAATAGAATAGGTACTTGCAGAGTGCATATTATTTTTGAACAGGATTAATGAACATATATGACTTTTAGAATTATAAAACTGACCAGAAGTTTTGCCTAATACTTAATTATAGTGACTGCTAAATATCTCTTGGTTTAATATTGAGAATTATTAAGAATGGAAGTCTCTTGGAACTGGAAGAAACAGAAATAGTCACATATGTATTGATGGCTCTCAAAGAAATTATTGTCAAATAGAAATAAAAAGAGAAATGAAAGTAAAATACAAAGAAATACATAGGACAAGAACTGGCATTCTAGATTAGAAATGCATTTAAGGAAATAAGGCAAATTGTCTTTCTCAAAGGGATCCAATGACCTTTAGAAAAGTCTTCTCTGGTGAGTGTCTGGCTTATCAATAAATTTCTAACCTACTGCTATATATGTATATATATGTGTATATATATATATATATATATATTTTTTTTTTTTTTGAGATGGAGTCTTGCTTTGTCGCCAGGCTAGAATGCAGTGGTGTGATCTTTGCTCACTGCTACCCCCGCCTCCTGGGTTCAAACAATTCTACTGCTTAAGCCTCCTGAGTAGCTGGGACTGCAGGCGAGCACCACCATGCCTGGCTAATTTTTGTATTTTTAGTAGAGACGGGGTTTCACCATATTGGCCAGGCTGGTCTCGAACTCCTGACCTCATGATCCACCCGCCTTGGCCTCCCAAAATGCTGGTTATTTTTGTATTTAAAAGAGTATATTGTTATGTTTCTTTTTCAAACACACATGTATGTACAGTCATGGAATACCAAAAATAACAATTTATAAGATTAATATCAAAAATGATCCATTAAGAAGTTACAATTTAAAGTATACTTCACAATGGGTTGTAGCATAGACTGAAAATAACTATTTTTTTTCTGTTATTGGAATACACCTCTATAAGTTGAATAAATATTTCTAGTGTCTAGTTTATTCAATAATTTTAAAGTAATGTAAATGTCACATCCTAGATAACAATTTCAATCACCACTGACCACACCATATTACTGATCCAAAAAGAAAACTGTAAATTGAAAACAAGGAGAAAGCTGAGAAAAACACAGTAATATAAAATAGTTCCCTGTAAAACGTTTAACTGCATGAACTAATTTAAAAACACGATTAGTTGCTTTAAATAAAAAGCCTCTATATAAATGTAATCAGAGGCTTTATTAAGTGGTGTTGATTATAATAACTGGAAATATTGTTACCTTAAATTATTTAATAATTACAAGAAAAAAAGTGTCCTAAATTCCACAAACATATTAAACTATTACTTTGCACAAGGCACAACAGGTCTTCTTAAAACAGGGTATGATATATAATTCAGGGGCTGGCAAAGTTTTTATTAAGGGGCCTGACAGAAAATATTTTCAACTTTGTGGGCTAATAAGATCTCTAAGCAACTACTCTCTATCCTGCTGCAGAAAGAAGTCATAGACAATATGTAAATGAAAGGACATGGCTGTGTTTCAGTAAAACTTTCTTTATAAAAACAGAGAGAGGCTGAATTTGGCCCAAGGGCTGTAATTTGCAGACGTATGCTATAACTGATTCTTCTTGGAGTACAGTGAATGAACACGGTAACTGAAACATTTCAGTGTCTACTTACTACTCTTGCTGTAGTAAAAGAACCTTATGGTTCTTTTACTTTAGACTAGGTGATTATATTATTTAATGGCTGAGGTTTTAATATGAGAACCCATTGACTCTGTCTTAGCTTTTCAAGAGGTCATTCTTTTTATTCATTTCTTTCTTTTCAATATCAGGATATTGAAGGAAGCCACAAAGAGAATGAACAATGAAGAAAGAAGCAGTTAATTCTGAAGCCCAAAAGAAATAGAAAAGAGAATCAAAGAGAATCCTGAAAAGAAAGGGTTAAGCCAGTGTATGAAAATTTGTAAACAATAGTATGTACTGGCTAATGAGTAAGACAGAAAGATCAGAAAACAAGTTTATCATTTACATCTTCCTTCTTGGGTATCTGAGATACTAGTGTGAAGCCAGAAAGGCCCTCCAGGGATCATCTTCTCTTGATCTTCACCTTTAGGGAAGTGGATGTCTAAATAATTAATGACAGAGTGTGGAGGACTTCAAAACTCTTCTAGAGATTTGACAAATTTTGAGAGAAACCTCAGAAGAACACACCTGAATTTAAGCCTCAGTGATTCGAAAAAGTTAGATTGTCATACGATCTAAATGTATTATCAGAAATGGCAAGCATGTTTGACAAGTGTGCAAAGGAGAACTGGATTGTGGTTGTCAGCTATTATTATGCTTTTATTAGGTTGTTTTACATCTTAATTTTTTCTTAAAAAAGTAATTCCCTGTCCTTCATTATAATAGATTTAAAATGTAATATCATTACTCCAACATTATACAGCTTGATTATAATATTTGCTAAGAAACCGCATTGCCATTTTTCTCCACTAACATACATTGACTTAATTGAAGGGAAATTAGTTTAAAATGTCTAAGACACTACTTTAAAACATTAAAACAAAAGTAAATGTCTATTATTAGCACCTAAGATTTTATTTCTTTTGCGATATAGAAAGTAGATAGACAGTATAGGTGACTATGTAATGGTCAAACACATGAAATGCTTCTCTGAATTTAGGTGGCTATATGAACTCCTGTCCAAATTGAGATAATAAATAATGACATCAAGAAACAGATTTAAACAACACATGAATAAATGGCCACCTGTCTTGAAGTGAAGAAGAGGATGATTCCATACACATGAGTAACAACGTACACAAGAGATGATTACTTGTTTAACAGTAAGTGGCTGAAAATGTAAAATTTGATTTTCTTCTAAATTTTATATACATATATGAAAATATACACATACACACATATATAATCACACCATTTAAAATAAATGAACATTGGTATTCCATTTATTACAGTTGTATGTAAAATATATTATCTGTGTAAATAATTATCTAAAAAACTTAAAACATTCATCTTATGCAAAAAAGTGTAATTAATGTTCAACATACAAGAATAAAAGATGTATTTGTACTACATTTCTACTAGTTAATTTGAAGTAGTCAATCAGATAAGAATGTCATGAAAGAAATATCTTTACTAAAAAGGGGAATGGACTAGAAGAATAAAAGTCACTTCATTGCTAAGATTTTGTGATAAGCCATCACATCTGTTGCCTATAAGATTCACAATGCTGGTCACAATGACAGAGACTCTATTCCCCATGGGTTACCAGATGCGGTTCTGTGAACAGAATTCATAGTAGCACCATATCTCAGCCATATGCACACCTTATGGTAGGGCCACCTGTTGTTAGTTCTGGGGCAGGAACTTTAACCTTACACTCTGCTTGATGCTTTACATTTTTTCACATTTATTCAATTCTTCTAGAAAGACATGTTGTCTACTTGTAGTTGTAAGATCCTTGCAAAGAGCACTAGCTTTAGGGACTGTGTTATTGTTGCTCAGTTTCTGAAATTTCTGGTCAGTATATTATCCTACACTTAATCCATAATAACAGGTTTTTAAAAGTAAAAAACGTACAGGTGTTTATAGTATTCTCTGATGGTAGTTTGTATTTCTGTGGGTCAGTGGTGATAACCCCTTTATTATTTTTTTATTGTGTTTATTTGATTTTTCTCTCTTTTCTTCCTTATTAGTCTAGTTAACAGTCTATCTATTTTGCTAATTTTTTTTTCAAAAAACCAACTCCTGCATTCATTGATTTTTGGAGGGTTTTTCCTGTCTCTATCTCCTTCAGTCCTGCTCTGATCTTATTTCTTGTCTTCTGCTAGCTTTTGGATTAGTTTCCTCTTGCCTCTCTAGCTCTTTTAATTGTGATGTTAGGGTGTCGATTTGAGATCTTTCTACTTTTTGATGTGGGCATTTAGTGCTATAAATTTCCCTCTTAACACTGCATTAGCTGTGTCTCAGAGATTCTGGTACATTGTCTCTTTGTTCTGAATGGTTTCAAAGAACTTCTTGATTTCTGCCTTAATTTCATTATTTACCCAGGATTTATTCAGGAGCAGGTTGTTCAATTTCCATGTAATTGTGTGGCTTTGAGTGAGTTTGTTTTATTTATTTATTTATTTATTTATTTATTTATTTATTATACTTTAAGTTTTAGGGTACAGGTGCACAACGTGCAGGTTTTTTACATATGTATACATGTGCCATGTTGGTGTGCTGCACCCATTAACTCGTCATTTACATTAGGTATATCTCCTAATGCTATCCCTCCCCCCTCCCCTCACCCCATGACAGGCCCGATATGCTATGTTCCCCACCCTGTGTCCAAGTGTTCTCATTGTTCAATTCCCACCTATAAGTGAGAACATGTGGTGTTTGGTTTTCTGTCCTTGTGATAGTTTGCTGAGAATGATGGTTTCCAGCTTCACCCATGTCCCTACAAAGGACATGAACTCATCCTTTTTTATGGCTGCATGGTATTCCATGGTGTATATATGCCACATTATCTTAATCCAGTTTATCATTGATGGACATTTGGGCTGGTTCCAAGTCTTTGCTATTGTGAATAGTGCCGCAATAAACAAACGTGTGCATGTGTCTTTATAGCATGATGATTTATAATTCTGTGGGTATATATCCAGTAATGGGATGGCTGGGTCAAATGGTATTTCTAGTTCTAGATCCTTGAGGAATCACCACACTTTCTTCCACAATGGTTGAACTAGTTTACAGACCCACCAACAGTGTAAAAGTGTTCCTATTTCTCCACACTCTTTGCAGCACCTGTTGTTTCCTGACTTTTTAATGGTTGCCATTCTAACTGGCGTGAGATGTTATCTCACTGTGGTTTTGATTTGCATTTCTCTGATGGCCAGTGATGACAAGCATTTTTTCATGTGTCTGTTGGCTGCATAAATGTCTTCTTTTGAGAAGTGTCTGTTCATAACCTTAGCCTACTTTTTGATGGGGTTATTTGATTTTTTCTTGTAAATTCGTTTAAGTTCTGTGCAGATTCTGGATATTAGCCCTTTGTCAGATGGGTAGATTGTAAAAATTTTCTCCCATTCTGTAGGTTGAGTGAGTTTCTAAATCCTGAGTTCTAATTTGATTGCACTGTGGTCTGAGGGACTGTTTGTTATTATTTCAGTTCTTGCTGAGGAGTGTTTTACTTCCAATTTTGTAGTCAATTTTAGAATAAGTGCCATGTGGCACTAAGAAGAATGTATATTTTGTTGATTTGGTGTGGAGAGTTCTGGATGTCTATTAGGTTCACTTGATCCAGAGCTGAGTTCAAGTCCTGAATATCCTTGTTAATCCAGAATAAATGGATAAATTCCTGGAGACATACACCCTCCCAAGACTAAACCAGGAAGGAGCCAAATCCCTGAATGGACCAATAACAATTTCTGAAATTGAGGCAGTAATTAATAGCCTACTTACCAAAAAACGTCCCAGGACCAGACTGATTCACAACCGAATTCTACCAGAGGTACAAAGATGAGCTGGGACCATTTTTTCTGAAACTATTCCAAACAACTGAAAAGGAGGGACTCCTTCCTCACTCATTTTATGAAGTCAGCATCATCCTGATATCAAAACCGGCCAGAGACACAAGAAAAAAGAAAACTTCAAGTCAATATCCCTGATGAATATCAATGCAAAAATTCCCAATAAAATACTGGCAAACCAAATCCAGCAGCACATCAAAAAACTTATCCACCTTGATCAAGTCAGCTTCATCCTTGGTATGCAAGGCTGGTTCAACATACACAAATCGATAAACATAATCCATCACATAAGCAGAACCAAAGATAAAAACCACATGATTATCTTTATAGATGCAGAAAAGGCCTTTGAAAAATTCAACATCCCGAGCACAGTGGCTTGTGCCTGTAATCCCAGCACTTTGGGCGGCCGAAGCGGGCAGATCACGAGGTCAGGAGTTCGACATGGCCAACATGGTGAAACTCCATCTCTACTAAAAATATAAAAATTAGCTGGGTGTGGTGGCGTGTGCCTGTAGTCCCAGCTACTAGGGAGGTTGAGGCAGAAGAACCACTTGAACCCGGAGGCAGAGGTTGCAGTGAGCCAAGATGGCACACTAGCCTGGGCAACAGAGCGAGGCTCTATCTCAAAAACAAAAACAAAAACAAAAACAAAAAAACTCAACTCTCAATAAACCAGGTATTGATGGAAGCTAGCTCAAAATAAGAAGAGGTGTTTATGACAAACTCACAGCCAATATCATATTGAATGGGCAAAAGCAGGAAGCATTCCCTTTGAAAATCAGTAAAGACAAGGTTGCCCTCTCTCACCACTCCTATTCAACATAGTTTTGGAAGTTCTGGCCAGGGCAATCAGGCAAGAGAAAGAAATAAACGTATTCAAATAGGAAGAGAGAAAGTCAAATTATCTCTGTTTGCAGATGACATGATTTATGGTTAGAAAACCCTATCATCTTAGCCCCAAAACTCTTTAAGCTGATAAGCAACCTCAACAAAGTCTCAGGATACAAAATAAATGAGCAAAATCACAAGCATTCCTATACACCAACAATAGACAAGCAGAGAGCCAAATCATGAATGAACTCCCATTCACAATGCTACAAAGAGAATAAAATACCTAGGAATACAGCTAACAAGGGATGTGAAGGACCTCTTCAAGGAGAACTACAAACTACTGCTCAAGGAAATAAGAAAGGACATAGACAAATGGAAAAACATTCCATCCTCATGGATGGGAAGAATCAATATCATGAAAATGCCCATACTGCCCAAAGTAATTTATAGATTCAATACTATTATCATCAAACTACCATTGACTTGCTTCACAGAATTAGAAAAAACTACTATAAATTTCATATGAAATGAAAGAAGACCCCCTATAGCCAAGACAATCCTAAGCAAAAAGAACAAAGCTGGAAGCATCACACTACCTGTCTTCAAACTATACTACAAGCCTACAGTAACCACAACAGAATGGTACTGGCACCAAAACAGACAAATAGACCAATGGAACAGAACAGAGACCTCAGTAATAACACCACACATCTACAACCATCTGATCTTTGACAAACCTGACAAAAACAACAATGGGAAATGGATCTATTCAATAAATCGTGCTGGAAAAACTGGCTAGCCATATGCAGAAAACTGAAACTGGAAGCTTTTCTTATATCTTATATAAAAATTAATTCAAGATGGATTAAAGACTTAAATGTAAAACCTAAAACAATAAGAACCCTAAATGAAAACCTAGGCAATACCATTCAGGACATAGGTACGGGCAAAGACTTCATGATTAAAACACCAAAAGCAATTGCAACAAAAGCCAAAATTGACAAATGGGATCTAATTCAACTAAAGAGCTTCTGCACAGCAAAAGAAACTATCAGCAGAGTGAAAAGGCAACCTACAGAATGGGAGGAAATTTTTGCACTCTAGCTATCTGACAAAGGTCTAATATCCAGAATTCACAAGGAACTTAAACAAATTTACAAGAAAAAAAAAAACAACCCCATCAAAAAGTGGGCAAATGTTATGAACAGACTCTTCTCAAAAGAAGACATTTATGCAGCCAATAAACATGAAAAAAAAAGCTCAGCATCACTGATCATTAGAGACATGCAAATCAAAACCACAATGAGATGCCATCTCACACCAGTCAGAATGGTGATTATTAAAAAGTCAAGAAACAATAGATGCTGGCAAGGCTGTGGAGAAATAGGAACGCTTTTACACCGTTGGTGGGAAAGTAAATTAGTTCTACCATTGTGTAAGACAGTGTGGTGATTCTTCAAGGATCTGGAACCAGAAATACCATTTGACCCAGCAATCCCATTACTGGGCATATACCCAAAGGAATATAAATCATTGTACTGTAAAGACACATGCACATGTATGTTTATTGCAGCACTATTTACAATAGCAAAGACATGGAACCAACCCAAATGCCCATCAATAATAGACTGGATAAAGAAAGTATGGTACATATATGCCATAGAATACTACGCAGCCATAAATAGGAATGAGATCATGTTATTTGCAGGGACATGGATGAAGCTGGAAGCCATCATCCTCAGCAAACTAACTCGGGAACAGAAAACCAAATACTGCATGTTCTCACTCATTAGTGGGAGTTGAACAATGAGAACACATGGACACAGGGAGGTGAACAACACACACCAGGGCCTGGTTGTGTTGGGGGTGGGGGGTAAGGGGAGGGAACTTAGAGGATGGGTCAATAGGTGCAGCAAACCACCATGGCACACATATACCTATGTGACAAAGCTGCCCATGACAAAGTTTTCCCGTAGGGTAAATGCTCAAGTGTGAGAATAATTAGAAAGATTTGTGGAGAAGCAAGCACTGGGGCTAACCAACTGGAGATGGTTCTGGATATGCAGAAAAGAGGGAAGGTCACATTTTTTGTTTAACCAGGAGCATGAGCTTTAATGTAGAGTTAAGACTCACTAAATAGGGGATAATGGTAAGACCAGCCTGACTACAGAATCATATCAGAAACTGCAAGAAATAATTCAGAGAAGTGCCAGGTTCTGAAGTGAGGTCTTCACCAAGCAGAGAAACTTAGGATACAAATTGTAGAACATAATGAAATGGGTATCTGGGAAAATCAGTCCCATAGCTGTACGTTGGAAGGCTTGAGAACAGAAACCCCAGTGGGAGGGGCACAAACTGAGGCACTGTTTCAGTAATTCAGGTGGAGAATGATAATGGCTTTGAGTATACAGGACCCACAAATATAATTTGTGGGGCCTACTACAAAATGAAAATATGAGGCATCTGTTTAAAACGTATAAGGAGTTTCATGACAGTAACAGCAGAGGGCTTTCCACATGTGTTGATATGGTTTGGCTCTGTGTCCCCACCCAAATCCTCATCTCGAATTGTAATCCCCATGTGTGGAGGAAGGGAGGTGATTGGATCACTGGAGTAGTTTCCCCCATGTTGTTCTCATGACAGTGAGTGAGTTCTCATAAGAGCTGATGGTTTCATAAGGGGCACTTCTCCCTTCACTTTCTCCTCTCTCTCTCTCCTGCCACCACGTAAGACACATCTTGCTGCCCCTTTGCCTTCCGCCATGATTGTAAGTTTCCTGAGGCCTCCCCAGCCATGCAGAACTGAGACAATTAACCCTCTTTCCTTTATAAATTACTCAGTAGTATCCTTATAGCAGTGTGAAATGAACTAATACTGTGTATGTGTGTGTGTGTGTGTGTGTAACATGGGGGCACTATTTATCATTACAGGTCACCTGTTCTTGAAGCTGGCCCTAAGAGTAGGGTGTAATACATTTTTGCCATAAAATGGAGGCCCTGGGAATGCTTTTCTGAAATATTTCAGCTTTCAAAACAATTTCACCTGTGAATAAAATTTTGAAAACTTAATGTGAAAAAATACACATTTGTTTATTTGCATGGACTATATTGTTGAATTATTGTGGTTGTCTGGCTACTAGGGGCATTTGAGAGTGCAATCTCAGAACAGTGGCAATTAATTGAAACTGGTAAATAAGGCAAAAATCAAAAGCTACTTTAAATAATAGTACATGTAGAACTATCAGGAAAAGGAATTGGAAAATATAAATGTAAACTTTTCTAATCTAAGTACTTTATCCAAAAAAATTATTTGGAAAGAAAGATTTCAAATTTGCTCTTATTCATTTTGGATTTGAAGGCAGAGAAGTATATTCATTTAAAAATTTTCTGCAGTTAGTGGGAGCTATAAGTCCAACACCTGCTAAAAGGTAAAGATTATATATGTAGATTTTAGGATCACATCTGATGAGAGTTAAAGGAAGATGGGAGAATTTTGTTTTCTACAAAACTGAAAACTTGGATGCTTCAATTCAAAATGTTGAATCCACACACAAATTCAGGAGGAGGCTGGTACTTACAAGCAAGGCCACACCTGAGCTAAATTGCAGAGGAGGTGAAAACTGTCTTGGCATCCTCCTGTGTTTCTTGTTCATATGCTATTCTTTCTCTGTTACTCTCTGGCTGCTACTGCATTTCTAAAAATGCTTACTGAAGCATTAACTGATAAAAGTAAAGACGGAAGTGTTAGCTGAAAAGGGATTCGTGTGTGAACTTCCTCACCGTACATTTTGGCAGAGGTCTCCTAAAAATCCAACAACCACTGTCTGAACCCAAGAAATGGAGCTTTAATGCTGCAGGTGCTAATTGGGGGAATGGGGTCCTCTCTCTAATCATCTCACAGAAGGGCAATTTTCTTTGTTCACAAGGCCAGAAAAGTCTGGAAGGGTCAATACACACATATCCACCCTTGTCATGTTTGTCTTCTTAAGCCTGTAACCTAAAAGCACAAGTTCTGTTAGGATTGAGAAGGCACGACTTAAGTGTTCATTCAACAAAGATGTATTAGGTAGTTACTATATGCCAGGTCTTACAGTATGTCCTGTGTCTCTAACAGAAAACAAAAGGCAAACCTATATGCACAGAGCTTATATGCTATTAGAAGAGACAAGTCAAGAAAGAGGACGTTTCTATACAAACTGAATAAATTCATAGATTAGTCAGTGGCTACTGTGGGGGCATCAAGGAGGGAAACCTAATCCAGTCAGAGGTGGAGATGAGGGGGAGGAGCCAATCAGGATAGGTTTCCAAAAGCAGGCATGGTTCAAACTGATGGAATCACAAAATTTTAAAACTTTCTTTAAAGTCTAGGATTACCTTAATTTTTTAGGTAAACTTGTATCATGGGGGTCTGTTGTGCAGATTATTTTGTCACCTCAGTATTAAGCCCAGGCCCTATTAGTTATTTTTCCTGATCCTCTCCCTCCTCTCACCTTCCACCCTCCAATGTCTGTGGTTCCCTTGTGTCTGTGGTTCCCTTGTATGTGTCCATGTGTTCTCATCACTTAGCTCTTACCTATAGGTGAGAACATGCAGTGTTTGGTTTTCTCTTCCATGTTAATTTGCTAAGGATAATGGCCTCCAGCTCTGTCCATACTCCTGCAAAAGACATGATTTCATTCTTATGGCTTCATAGTATTTCATGGTGTATACATACCACATTTTCTTTGTCCAGTCTACAATAGATAGGCATTTAGGTTGATTTCATGTTTTTGCTATCATGACTAGTGCTGCAATGAACATACAAGTGCATGTGTCATTATGACAGAATAATTTATATTCCTTTGGGTATATACCCAGTAATGGGATTGCTGGGTCGAATGATAGTTTTGTTTTTAAGTCTTTGAGGAATTAGCACACTGTTTTCCACAATGGTTAAACTAATTTACACTCCCACCACCAGTGTATAAGTGTTCCTTTTTCTCCACAACCTCACCAGCACTTGTTATTGTTTGACTTTTTAGTAATAGCCATTTTGACTGGTGTAGTTTTCATTTGCATTTCTCTAATGATCAGTAATATTAAGTTTTTTTCATAAGTTTGTCAACCACATGTATTTCTTCTTTTGAAAAGTATCAAAAGAAAACTTCATGTCCATTGCCCGCTTTTTAATGCAGTTGTTTGTTTTTTTTCTTGTAAGTTTAAGTTCCTCATAGATGCTGGATATAAGACCTTTGCCAGATGCAAAAGTTTGCAAATATTTTATCCCATCCTGTAGATTGTCTGATCTGTTGATAGTTTCTTTTGCTGTGCAGAAGCTCTTTAGTTTAATTAGATCTCATTTGTCAATTTTTGCTTTTGTTGCAATTGCTTTTTGTGTCTTTTTAATAAAATATTTGTCCATTCTGCTACTACAGTATTTAGTTTTAAAATGAAATTGGTCCTCTACTGACATTTTTTAAAATTACCTCATGGTGATATGTTTTACACATGTCAAGTTATTCAATAAATTTCGCATCATTATTAGAGTTACCACTTTCTGTGGGTTTACTACATGCCAGACACTACTCTAACCACATAATGGATATTATCTCATTTTGTCCCCACAGCAACTCTTATGAGGTTATCTCATTTATCCCCATTTTACAGATAAAGAGAGTGAGGCATAATGAGTTAAATCATTGCCATTTCCTGATACAGTAAATAGTGCTCTAGGATTTGAATTCTAACAGTCTAGCTCCAGAGAACATGATCTTAATCACTACATTACAGTCTCTGAGAATCCAAATAAGTTATAGGAGAGGAACCTCATCTTAAGAAAGTATGTATGTATGAATGAGCTAAAGACCTTAGATTCTTTTTCATTCAGTGAATTAGTTATAAAAATATATTATTCCAATACAATGTTTATGACACATTAATCATAACCTCTAAAATGTGAATATCATATACAAATTGTCACACGTGTTTTAGTGATGTTTCTGAGATAAAATATTTTAAATATAACTTTGGTGACTGTTTTTTTAACCAGGAAAAAATAATATAAAGCTCCTGTTCAAAGTGTCAAGTTGTGAGTGGCAATTATAACCTTCTACTTGTAATTAAGATTTCAAAGCAAAAGAAAGAGAAAAAGTGATCATATGACAGCAGTTTAAAAAAATCCTAAAGTGGCACAAAAATAAAAGCAATATTAGGAGCATTTGAAGAGGCCTACACACAAATTTAATACAAATTAATGTGTACCTTTGTAGACAAATAAACCTCAGTAGACCTTCACATTCAGGCCATATATGAAGAATCATTTTCCAAAATTATTTTTAAATTATTGTTTGAATATTTACTGACAGAATATGCTATAAGAAATATATTTGTAGAAGATTCTAGCCATAAAAACCTCCCATAGCCCCAGATACTAAACTGCATTAAAAAATAAAGTCGTGGCTCTTATACATCTGCTTGTATGTCTCTATATTGTGGTCACACCTTTTTATGCAAAACTACTTTATAGCATAGTTTTAAAATTACCAGACCCACATTCGCCCAGGTAATATCCAAATATAGATGTTTTTATCACAAATATTAAATCAACAAGACAAAAATACGAATAACACTTTTAGAGGGGCAGTGGGATAAAAATGAAAGTTACTCCTTTCACCCCTCTTGTACTCACCATGGCAGAAACGTGGAGGTGAGGACTCAGACAGTGATTGAGACTGTGCTTGGTAGAGGTAAGACTAGGAGCTCTCAGGCTGACTATTTAGGGATTTAGGAGTCTTCAAACACACAATAATTTTGTCATAAACATTTCTTTCTCATACATATACATGCAAAGCTGTGTATGATTTTCCACAAGATTCGTGTGACAGACTAAATGTTTATGTCCCCCGATGTTCATATATTGAAGCCCTAATCCCCAGCATGACAGTATCTGCAGGTGGGGCCTTTGGGAGGTGCAGTAACTTGGATGTTTATGTCCCTACAAAATGTTGAAATTTAATCCACATTGTGTTGGTATTAAGAGGGAGGGCTTCGCGGGGAGAGATTAGATCATGAGGTCTCCATCTTCATGAATGGGATTAATGCCATTATAAAAAAGGCTTCTAGGAGTTGCTCCGTACCCTCATCCCTTTCATTGTGTGAGGACATAGTATTCATCCCCTCTGCAGGATGTAGCAACAAGGTGCTATCCCGGAGAGCAGGTCCTGACCAGACACTGAATTTGCCAGGACCTTGATCTTGTACTTTCCAGTCTCCAAAACTGTGAGAAATAAATTTTTATTATTCATAAATTGCCCAGTCTCAGATATTTTGTTATGGCAGCAGAAACAGACTAACACAGGAGGTAACCAAGTTTAGATGAGGTAAAGGGAATTAGTGTCCCTATAAGAGGAAAATGAGAACAGAGATCCTTCTCTCTCCATCATGTGAGGATGCAGCAAGAAGGCAGCAAC
This sequence comes from Homo sapiens, assembly GCF_000001405.40. Classification (NCBI taxonomy): domain Eukaryota; kingdom Metazoa; phylum Chordata; class Mammalia; order Primates; family Hominidae; genus Homo; species Homo sapiens. The sequence goes on along the minus strand of NC_000005.10, from coordinate 51,692,579 downwards.
TTGCAAGCCAGAAAGGGGTCCCCAACAAACCCTGGAATTCTGATGGCTGACTTCCCAGCCTGCAGAACTGTGAGAAATACATTATCTATTATTTTAGATACCCAGTCTATAATAGTTTGTTATAACAGCCTGAGCAGTACTGCAATTCACTTAAAATCATATTTTAGATTTACTTAATATTCCTCCAAAGATAATAGTCTCTTTATTCCTTTTTTTCTCTGTACTTCATTTTCTCTACCTTTAGAATGAAGACATTAAAATCTCCTTATTAGGATTTGATGTTAGTAGACAATAAGTAAGTATGCGTAAACTGCTTAGAACTATGCCTGCTGCAGAATAAGTGCTCAACAAATGTTAGCTGTAATATAAGCATAATACAGAAAATCTTAGTAGTTTATATAAAAATTAGAGTTTCTGTTTTTGCCAAAAGCAACTAAAATACAGGCAAAGAGAATGCTTCAACTTCCTGCTTTGCATGGGCAAGGAAGCCCCAGGAATTAAGTTCATAATTATTCCGTTAAGCCACATTGTCTTGGTAGTATTTCAATGTTATGTTCACACCTTAATTTATAAGAGATTCTGAATATTTATAATTTGTTTCAGATCACAAAGTCTTAGAGGCTAGAGCTTTTACCTAAGCAGCTCTATGCAGAACTCTGAATAGACTCATGAATATTCAGTGTTTAAATACTACTTGAGAGCAATTGCATCAATGCTTGATGTACATCACAAGAAAGATACAATCTATAATACCTACTTTACAGTATTGAATTATGTTGACCTGGTAAAACAAATAGCAGGAAGAGTGACTAAATGAGAGTGTCTATAAACCAGAAACATTCCTTTCATTCTGAAGGCAAACTTTCCATAAAAAGCATTCTGTGGATTCAAGATCCTTTTACAGAGGTATGGCAAGTTTTATAATGCATTAAAATACTTGGAGAGCACTTCTTAGAAGGCGTTCAGTTCAGCCTCGCCTGTGATCCCTATCGATTTGACCAGTGAAAAGGCCAGCAGAGAAAGGACCCATCTGTGTGCATTATAATCTGATTATTTAAAATGTTTCATAGAAGAGTCTTTTAAAACCAAACCATGTTGTTTTGATATGTAGATACACAAAGCCAAGCTTAAAATGTTTTAAATCTTTTTATTTTGATTTGTTTTACCCCAATAATCTTTTTATATTGAAGTATAATTTACATGCAGTAAAATGCACAGATTTTAAGCGTGTTGTTTGATAAATTGTAGAGAATATGTACACCCGTTTCACCATCACTCCAATCACCCCAAATGTCCATTACTCCAGAAAGCTTCCTCCTGCTTTTTTGCCTCCTATCCCCTTTCTACCTACTCCAGGTAACCACTTCCTGATATCTGTTACTATAGATTGATTTTACACATTATAGAATTTCCTATAGCGTCAACAAATTGCACTGTTTTGTATCTAGTTCTTTCACTCAGTACACAATTTTTTAAATTCACCCACATAATGAATATATGAGTACTTTGTTCCTCTCCATTGTATAAATATACCACTACTTGCTGATAAATTCTGCTGGACACTTGAGTTTTATTCCAATATTGGGCTATTATGAATGAAGGCACTAGGAACATTCATGAACAAGTCTATGTGTGAACATATGTTTTAATTTTTAAAATCAAATATCAGTGGAATTGCTGGGTCACAAGGTTTCTGCTTATTTATATAAAATAAACAAGCAATTTTCCAAAGTGGTTGAATCAACACTTCTAATAGAAACGTATGAGAGTTTTAGGTGTTCCACATCCTGCCAACACATAGTATTTTCAGTTTTTAAAATTACAGCCACTCTATTGGTTATGAAGTAGTATGTCATTATTGTTTTTCAATCTTTTGATAGAATAAAACATACAGTCTTTCCTTTAAGTATTTATCTCTTTTTTCTTCTTTAATTCTGCTGGATAAATCCCTATAGAATGCAATGAATTATAAAGTCTACGATTGCAAACTAATACAAATTATACTTTTTGTAGTATAAAAGTACCTGTATGGTCTCATTTACCTTTTGATAAGATATTATGTTTCAACATTATTTTCAGGCATTATGTTTCAAAATAATTTTCATGCTTTGTGAAAGCTTATGGAACGTATTTTTCTTTTTTTTTTTTGAGACGGAGTCTCGCTCTATCACCCAGGCTGGAGTGCAGTGGCACAATCTTGGCTCACTGCAAGCTCTGCCTCTCAGGTTCATGCCATTCTCCTGCCTCAGCCTCCTGAGTAGCTGGGACTACAGGTGCCTGCCACCACGCCTGGCTAATTTTTTGTATTTTTAGTAGAGACGGGGTTTCACCATGTTAGCCAGGATGGTCTTGATCTCCTGACCTCATGATCCGCCTGCCTCGGCCTCCCAAAGTGCTGGGATTACAGGTGTGAGCCACTGCGCCAGGCTGGAATGTATTTTTTAATTATTAAACTACATTATCAATATCTTCTGTATGGTTTAATTTGTCAAAATACTTACTTTTTCAAATGAAGTGGTTTTTATAAAAAAATTATATATAGCAAACTGGAGTCTCTAAGTGTAGAGGTTATAATTTGAGGAAGGTATAACAAACAGCATAGGTACTATAATGGGGTCTGAGATCCATTCATTACAGAAAGATGATGGAAAAAAGAGAAATACCCTTAATTGAGAAAGTTCATTGTATTAGTCTGTTTTCATGCTGCTAAAGGAAGAGGTTTGATTGCACTTACAGTTCCACATGGCTGGGGAGGCCTCACAATCATGGCAGAAGGCAAGGGGGAGCAAGTTACATCCTATGTGAATGGTGGCAGGCAAAGAGAGAGCTTGTGCAGGGAAACGCTCCTTTTTAAAACCATCAGATCTTGTGAGACTAATTTGCTATCATGAGAATGGCACAGGAAAGACCCACCCCCATAATTCAATCACCTCCCACTGGATTCTTCCCACGACACGTCGGAATTGTGGGAGTTACAATTCAAGATGAGATTTCAGTGGGGACACAGCCAATCTACATCAATCATAAATATTAATAAGTAAAAATCACAAAGAATTCATAAATTCATCATTTAAAAATGTGACAGTAAATATGGTTGCCTGATTCAGTAAATAAAATATAGGATTCCTAATTAAATTTGAATTCTGGATAAAGAATAACTTTTTTTAGTACAAGAATGTTTCATGAATATTTGGGTTATACTTATACTAAAAATGTTATTTGCTATTTATTCATGTTTATCTGGTCATCTTATATTGTATCTGGCAACCATACCAGTATATTTGTATATAAAAACACATATATACATGTATTTTTTTAGTCATTGTTGTTTCTGTATACAGAATCTGTATTTGGGGTTCTTTTAAATGACACATTGCAAATGCACACAATATGGTAGATGAACTATGAAGGTCTCAGGAACATATGTATTTATAAACAAAAACGCAAAAATATCAGTTGGCATATGAGTTTGCTAGGGCTGTCATAACAAGATACCACAAACTGGGAGGCTTAAAAACAGCAACATATTTTCTCACAGTTCTAGAGGCTGGAAATCCAAGATCAAAGGGCTGGCAGGGTTGGTTTCTTCTGAAGACCTCGTGGGAAGGATCTATTCTAGCCCTCTCTCCTTGGCTTGTAAATGGCTGTGTTCTTCCTATGTCTTCACATTTTCTTCCTCTGTACGTGTCTATGTCCAAATTTTCTTTTCCCACAATAGGCACCAGTTATATTGGATTAGAACACACCTTCACGACCTCATTTTAACATAATTATCTCTGTAAACAGCCTGACTTCAAATACAGTCACACTCTGAGGTACTGAGGATGTGGTATATACTGAAATACTTCAGTATATAAAATTTGGCAGGGTCAGGACACAATACAGCCCATAAGTATTGAAAAGAAGATATGGAAAAGACTGAGGAGGATGAGAATGAGATACTGGCAATTAGAAAAATGAGAACCGATGTGGCATTTAGATTATGAATAAGAAATATTCCAACTTAAATGTGCTGTTATATTGCCGGTATGAGTTTTAGGAGGTAGTTACTTGAGACACTTAGCAGCTACTCATAGAGTTAGATATTGAAATCTCAGTAGAGCCAAGATTCCTACTCCCAGTAAACTAAGTCTCAGTGTGACAAATAAAAGAAAGCATGTGAGTGAGATAGGTAAACCCCTAAAAGTGTTATTTCATCTCCCTCTCTAATATTTCAAATGTAGACCAAAGGGGAAAAAAGAGGAGAATAAATTTGGAACCATATTTTAAAATGTTTTCCAATTCAGAATGCTTAATGGATGCATTGAAATTCACTTTGAATAATGAAAGCAATTTTTTTTTCTAAAACGCTCGTTTAAAACCATGTTTTATTAACAAAGCTCTTAGGGGAATATTCTCTACTCTCTCAGGAACAATCACCCTTGGTTAACACAGAACCCTGGTCCTGTTTATTAGAACACATTAAAAATCAAATCACTTTCTTCCCCTCATACTTGAAGAAAGCAAAAATGTTAAAACAATTTGATAAAGATTTAATCATATTTCAACATTACCTTGGACATACTTTATGTATGTGTAAATCTTAAAAATTCCATCTTATACAATTTTCTGATAAAATGGTATTCCTGTCTGTAATTTTTAAAATTTCACACTAATTTAGCTACAGTAATTTTCGTTTAAAGTAAGAAAATGCTTCACCAGGCAGAATATAATTTATATCATGACCACAAGAATAACATTATGAGAGAAAGGCTATTGTTCATATATTTCACAGATTCTCATGTTTTAAGAAAGAGTGTTGTAAATTCAGCTTACTAGAATCTTTAGTAAAATATATTTATCAAATTCATCTGTTTGATAGCACAAAACTTGAATTTTTTTCCTTTTATTTTAAGATTTTTCTAATCTGGCAGTGAACTGAATAAATCTGCAATGTCTGTAGCTGGTTTATTCATTATTCAACCTGAGAAAACGTACAGGATGGTAAACCATATAAGTATGCCACATATCATATCGGTGAGGCCTTCCTTGATGCTACCAGATGTTTTACTTGCTCTCCTGTGCCTGAATACATCTATCACTGTACTTATCATGTAACTAGAATTAATTGTTTGCATGTCTGTTGCCCCTTACAAAACTATGAGCTCAAGGGCTCCTATTTACCAACACTTAGCACAAACATATGGTTAGCATTAACTAAATAAAAGTCTGTTGGATGAATAAAAGAATGTATGCAATTAAAATAATTATAGTAATTATAGTAGTAACAGTTCTAATTTACTGAGACCTTATTATGTGATAGGTAGCATGCTAGCCGGGTTATATAGATTGCTTTCCTTTCTTCTCACAACAACCTTGTATTAGAGATGTTACCATTATCTATTTACTAGATAACGATATCAGACTTGAAACGATGAACAGCAGTCTTGTAGTTTCAACTGAAGTCTTTCTGTTTTCAAATCTTGGGACTTAGTATGGTATAGTTAGTAAGAGTCTGGCCTGAAGAACACACTGCCTAGGTTAGACTCCTGGTTAAGTCTCTTATTAGCTGCATGGCCATGGGCAATTTATGGAATAGTTCTAAGCCTCAGTATCTTAACATTCCTATGCCTTGGTTTCCCATTTGTAAGTTAGAAATAGTGAGAATTATCCATGTATGAGATTGTGTTGAGTTGCAAATGACTATTACACTCAAAGCACTTAGAATTATTCCCTGGCTCTGGTAAGTACTAGGTAAGTGTTAGCATTTTTATTAGCATAGATTGCATCCATATTATGCTATATATTTCGCATTGTAAATTTTTATTGCCTAATTTACCACTCTGCTTTCAGTTCTAGAATAAACTGCAAACCTGCTATAAGTTATTCACTCTGCAGTTACACTGGCACAATATTTACACAGGCCCTGGTCACTATTTCTTACAATCAAATTCCTTTGATACAAAGCTCAGGTTAAAACTGAGCAAGACCCTGCAGGTGTAACTTTGTGCTACCTAAACAAAAGAGATGAATAGATGAGGTGTCTGAGTATGTCTAGACAGAAACAGAATCAGAGAAACAAATGATCTGGGGCATCATATGTCATACTATTACAAGGCCGATTTGTCAGTATACTATACTTGGTGGAATATTGGATTTTGAGGAAAGAAAGGAAATGGTAAAGTAACATTGGTTAATTCACTGCAAGTATTCCATGTATTAGGTTTAACACAGATTTAAATAACAATAGCATGAAAAAAGGAAATGGAGCTACATATCATTGACATTGAATAGTAGCTCTGTTTTGGGAAGGTTATTTTATCTTTTAATGGTGCCAGGTGTAAGATACAAGGAAGACATTCCTGAAGGACATTGCAAGAAACAATAGAAATTCTTAAACAGAGAAACTCCTTGAACACTAGAAATAACCAGGATGATTTGTTGCCTTTCAGTATACAATATCCATTTGTTAACAGTGAGCAAGAATTAGTTCCACAAGCAATTAGTGCAATAACTTCCACTAATCTTGATCTGTTGCACCCTACAATTTGCTCTTAATATTAAATAAAATATTAAAATGTGTGACTGTTTTTATATCATCAACCTTAAAAATCTCACTAAGTTATTTTAATCAATATACTTGTTTTAAGTAAAAGCCATTTAATCTCCTGACTTATACATTAACCTTCCATTAAGTATTAGTGAAGAAGTTAAATGTACCTTAGTCAATAATGCTAATGCAGGAACTGTTGTATTACCTATGGAGAAATGCGTATTCATATTATGTTAAAGTGGCTATCCTTAACGATTAACCATTATGTGTTAGGAAACTGATAATAAATTTGAAATATTCCATGATAAAATGAATTATAATGTTGAAACTGAGTTCTCTGTACTGTAATAATTTTGAAATGAGGTCATCTGCTTCTTCTGGTCAGTGCCTTTTAAGGCAATGATATTGAAGTGATGAAGACACCCTCGGTGACACTTTAACCTCACCTTGCGGTTTCACATCTTGGTGGGTAATAAATGAGGCTGCTAATTGAAACTGAAATGTATGAATCTATTGCATGGTAGTGTTTTAGCAAGCACTCTTTTTGTTTAAATAATGTGCCAATATCTGTAAGCTGCTTACTGTATGTAGAATTTCTTCTACCTCAAAACCATGTTACACATTTTGGTCTATTTCTTTATCAAGAAATGATATTCATTTTCAATCTCCCTTCCAGCACATTCTTCTATTTCTCTAACATTCTTCTGCAAATTTCCTCCCCACCAAAATCTTATTTTATGGTAAGAGTATTAATATAAATTCTAATGGGTTTGCAAGACCACACAAATGCATTTGCTTTCTCATTGAGGAAAATTTATGTACCTAGGTAAAAAGCTGCTTACTAGATAGGCAAGGAAAATATGTAGACTCTAAATTTTCCAGATATCTCCTTCCACTGTTGCAATTAAAAATGAAGATGCTTATTCATCATTACAATTCCATATCCATAAATTTTCTTCCATGTTTGTATTTGACATAACAAATATGATTTCATAACTTAAGCAAAAAAATAACTCAATGTCAGCAAGTTGTCAAAATCATCTCAAATTAAATGGCTTATTGCTCTTGTCTTTGCCACCTGTAGGTGTCCTTGCAGTACCTCAGGAGAAGAGGCTAATATTTTGAAATATTTTTATATATGTGTGTGTGCGTTTCGTATATTTTCAGTTTATTAAGAAAAGTGCATAAAGTCTACATAACCCACTAAAATTGTGTCTTAACTTCTTTAAGACAACAATAGCCTTTTAATTTATTGATATAAAGGAACAAAACAGAAATTAATGTCTACTCTGATATTTAGTAAAATGTTTAAACCCATGGTGCCATTTTTTGCCTAATAATTTGTTTAAAACTATTCTGAGGCTGATGTTAACTCAATAGTTGCCTTATTCTTTATGCCAATTGCTTAAGATCTCAGTTCCTCCCTGTGGGAAAATATTTTTCCCATATCTCTTGTATCATCAGTTAAATAAAAGTTATTACATTTAGAGTTACATGGTGTTTTAATCACTTATTTGTTATATATTATAACATGCATAACTCCAAAATCAAAACTAAGTTTTTACATTGCATTATTTTAGGAAAATCTTTGTTAATAAAGAATTCATTCTGGGCACTCATTTTTCATAACCATCACTACATAATTTTTATCCCATTTCAAGGTGGCCTATGTTACTTTTATTTCATTATACCCTTATCCATAAAAATACTCTGAAAACCTCTTGGAATTTCAAACTTGCAAATGTTTTTGACTTTAAGAAGAAAATAAGATAACCAACCAGGACATGAAAACTGTGTGTAGTATTTATAAACACGTTTCTTTTATAGAAGTACTCTGCATTATTTCATCAACCTAGTAAGCGTCATACTTACATTGAACACTAACTATGAGGCAAGCATAATTTTCAATTCATTTTAGCTTCACAATGCTGCTGGACATATCTACTATTTCTCCTCTTAAAAATGGGAAAATACAGGTACAGAGAAGTTAAGTTTGTTCCCCACAAAAGACACAGGAGGATTTGGTCAGGATTTGGAGCTGGGCCATTGACTCTTGAGTCAACGCTTATACAATACCCTGCATTCCCATGATGCACTGTAATGAAGTACTGTGGAGAAAGGTCTTATAATTATTGAAAGATTCTTCTTTAATATATATTTTTCTTTTACTGATGAACAGGTTTGAGCAATGATAAAATTATACACATAGAGAATCATCGTGGGCTAACTCTTACAGAACCGCCTTTCTTCCCCTAAATGGGAGAAGAAAAGCAGAGATTTCATTCTGTAACATTGTCTTTACCACAGGCTTTTATTCAACATAATTCACTTTTTAAAAATTTTGAGAAAAATCAAGCTGATGGGGATTCTCTTTACTGCATTCATTCCTTAGAAGGCTCTGTAAGCTACAAGACAGCAGAAAATAAGATCAAGGTAGACAAGTGTCCGCATACATATTTAGGGGAATAGAAACCAAACTTCATTCTAACCCAGTGGTAACCAAGTAATCAGTTACTGTCCAGGAAACAATGAGGATGAAATAGGCTGCTCCCAGAGACATAAGGCTGTGTGAGTAAAAAGGGAACGCTGACTCCTGGGCAGCATCTGGAAGGATGACAGAAACTAAAGACAAAAGGTTGTCCTCCCCTGATGCATTGGTACTTTAAATAACTGAACATCGCCCAAAAAAAAGCAAGGAATATGATCAACAAATGAGGGCCATCCATAAAAGGATAGGCTCAGCACATTAGGACAAGGTAGATACGGAGATAGGATATCACTGCAAACTCTAACATTATGAAAGGAGATGCAGGAGACATTTGTATAGGCTGAAAAAACTCAGGTGGAAAATAAAATGAAGTAAAACCTCATCTTAAACAGGCACATATATACAACTCTTTATAACTAAGAAATAATGAGGAAAATGTACATGGATAGAATGAGAGCTATTGGCAGAAGGTAAGAAGACTTCAGTGATAGTCTTAATTGCTTTATGTCATATATATCCTATCTGGCTTTCTACAAATCAGCTATGAGAGTTCCTTGCACAGACAGAATACCAAATCAGATGCACCATGTTTATACAGCATGATATTAATTATGCCCCTTGCTCCACAAATTTTCCAGTCTTATCTCCATCCACAGTTACATGAGTTTAACCCCAGGAATTCTCTTAGATTTTAAACAAGCTTATAGTTGCTTTGATGAGGTGAATCACACATATGCAAAATAAATAAATAAATAAAATGATTAAATGGAGGTAATAGAAAGGCAGAGAATTACAAGTGGTGAAAATGACCTATCGATTAAGGAATATGCATCTTTTCTATAAGCAACATATTTTAAAAATGATATTTATTACCAATAAAGTGAGCAAACTGATATATGTGTTGATTTTCATTGGTTGCCATGTTTTGGAAAATGACATAGTTTTCCTTTTTCTGTTTCTTCTATTAAATATTTTGTTAAGAACATGTGCCAGCAAATTCTTCTAACTACCTGCTGGTTGTAAGTTAAATACTTTTGCAGACTGCCTTGATTCTCTTTCAGGTCAGCAGGGTACTACTTAACAAATGGAAATTAATTCTATAATAGTCCAGATGTATTCAAGCATTATACAGTTGTGATTTAAAGGTATGAAAAGAATAATATCATGGGTATTTTATATATATATATATATATATATATATATATATATATATGTTCTCCATTAACATTCATCCATGTAAGAAGTATATCTGTTAATCAAGGAAGCTTCTACATACAAGTACGTAAGGCAGATTTTTTGTATTGTCTGTGTAGATTACTAATCCTGACACAGTCTTCTCATTAATAGCATTTAGTATAAAGTTACATTGCTCTACAATATTATGGAAATTATAAGACCATTAATGACACAGTGCCCTCATACCTATTCTCCTCAATTTCCTTCCCTTATTATTCCACTGCTTCTCTTTCTTTCCGTGATATTTTCTGAGCTCAGATTTAATTTAAAAACAATATTTTCTTGATTCCTACCCTCCTCTCAGATTACCCCCAGCACCTCCTTGTTTATCTAAAGCCTGACTTTTGCTGAGGATCATCCGTCTTGCCTAGAGTAGATACTGTATCTTCCCAGCTTCCCAGTATGGCACCACATATTTTATTCCTCTTCTCTATTGGAAACCCCCTCTTTTGCTTCACTGGATTTCTATTACTCTCAGCCACTTATTGTCATTCATATTAGACTGGAAACAAGCTCACTAGTCTTTCTCTTCGAGATTTAACATTATATGAAAACTTCTGATACAAAGGATTTGCCATATTGCAGGGAAGAGTTTTGGGGTTGGCTTCATAAATTGAAGTTCATTGGTAAATTGAGGGAACACTTGTCAGCCAACTGGACTTTGGAAGAAGATAGAATTTCCAGGTGTTCTCAGCTTATGTACTCCCACTGGTTTTATCCAGAATTAGCTTTAGGTAATAAATCTTATGTTTTTTTCTGGAAAACCACAGCACTTAGGAATAGAAGACTGAGGTTAAGCCAATGTCCTTCATCCTGATGCTAAAGGGTTCTGCGCCATCTAGCAGTCAAGATCCCATGCAGACTTTGTTGCTCTTCCTGCCATCACTGGGGAAGGCTTCTCCCAAGTCCTCTACTGCTCTTCATTCTGGCTGGACTTGTGCCTAAGTTTAGTGATTTTCTGAACACTAGCATCCTTCCTTCCCCTCAATCCCACTTTTACCATAGTGTTACCTACTGATTTTCTTCACTTTCTTTTCAAGTCTTCTGTTCCAACTCCAGTTTCCAACAACTACCTCCCATCCTTTCTGGTCTCCAACACACTTACTCCCAGAATGCCCTTTTATCTGTCCATTTTTGCTCCTGTAGGTATTTCTTTTTTGAACCTACACTATATTTCCTTAAAGATAAACACTAGTATATTTGTTATTCTGGTCCTTATATCATTCAACTGCACACATCAAAGTCTCACAGTTGGATCAATTACTCCATTTGACATTCTATTTTTATAACCCAGCTGCTTGGCAGGTAGAGAAAAGAGTATTACAATCAAGGAAATGTTTACCAATTACTTATAGTTTGCCAAATCACAAACAGGAAAAATATGTGCCCTGCCCTAAAGATATTTACAATTACCTAACCACACAAATCTTAACTGACCCTAAGTGTTATTTTACACGTCAGCAGCAAACCACCATGGCACGTGTATACCTATGTAACAAAATTGCATGTTCTGCACATGTACCCTAGAACTTAAAGTATCATAATATCTTTCTTAAATCTTGGGACTATGTATGGGACAAGTCCTATGTATTATACGATATTATTATAATAAGTATAATAATATCTTTCTTAAACTCTTTCATTCCTCAGAGAATCATAACCACTTTTGAAGCCATCAAAGTCTCTCAGCAAATAACCTTTCACCATTTTTCACTGAGACAATTCAGGCCAGCACATATGACCATATTCAACTTTTCTCCCATCTTTTTGTTCAGGATTAATCCTCTGAGTTGTGTTGCAAGTCTCACTTTCTTCCCTTCACCACCCCCACTCCACCACTGACATTTACTCAATCATTATCTCGCTAGCTTCAACTTCTCTCAAAACATAAACTTTTATTCATCAGCATATAGTTATCTTCATAAATTTCCTATCATAAAAATAATCCATTTTGTAGCTAATATCACTTGAACACTTTAATGCATGCTAGGCATGTGACAATTCCTTTACGTATCATTTCATTTCATACTCACAATTAATCCGAGATAGAAAATATTATTACCACTTTATAGATGCTGAAGCTGGGTTTACAAAAGCAAGCCACACTCACAAAATAGTAAAACTAAAATTTGAGCTCAGGCCCCTTTTTGTTCCAAAGCCCAAGCTTTTAACCACCTTGATATTTACTCATTGCTTTCTCTATTTGAGAAGTTCATCTGTTGCTTCCATAGGTTGGGGGTTAGTTTTTAATGTGTCAACTTGACTAGCACGTGGTACACAGTTACATAATCAAGCACTAATCTCAGTTTTATTGTGAAGGTAATTTGAAGATGTGGTTAACACCTTCAAACAGTTGACTTTAACTAAAGGAGTTACCTTTTACTAATGTGAGTGGGGCTCATTCAATCAGCTGAAAGGCCTTAAGAGCAAAAACTGAGGTTTCTCAGAGAAATAGAAGTTCAGCCTCAAGACTATGTATCAACTCCTTTCTTAGTTCCCAGATTGCCAGACTGTTCTAAAGATTTTGGACTTGCCAGCTCCCACAATTTTGTGAGCCAAGTCTTTAAAACAAATCTCACACGCGAGCGCGCGCGCACACACACACACACACAATTGGTTCTGTTTCTCTCTGGAGAACCCTAACTGATTCATTTTATCCATAATTTTGGCTCTTAACCTATCTCCTGGTTTGGCTCCATATCCAGATATTTATCTACCTATTGTGCTTGTCTATACAGATGACCAAAAAGACAGAGACTCACATTCAAACTGTTTCCTTCCTCACTCCTTCCTAGCCTGTTTCTCCTCCTATGTTCCTATCTTGGTGAATGGTAACATCTGCTCAGCTGCCAAACCAGAAGCCCTTGCCCTTCCCTGAATCATTCATGTATTATGCTGACAAATATTTCTCCTTTGTATTTTTTCATCTTTCTTTCCTTCAGTTAATTTGCCAATGACTTCACTCAGATAGTCATCATTTTTGTCTTCATTATTGCTATGGCTCCTTCTTCCTTATAATGGTTTCTGTTTTCCTGATTGAATTCCAATTAGTATGCTTCTCTGATCATTCTCAGTTTAAGACATACGCTTCTTCTATATAATATGTTGCTCATAATTACATCTCAAATAGTGATTGTCACACTGGCTTATAACTTTACAACATTAAAGTAAAAATTGTGGACTATTCAGAATGAGTAATTTATTGAAAAGATCATTTAACTTCCTCTATCACATATTTTTCATATCTATAAAACATTAAAGGCAGAAAATAACATAAACTATGTTAACTATGTCAACATAGTTTTTATATACAAACGTTTTTATAAAAACCTGTGTGCACATATCATCCAATACTCATAAGTTGTCTTAATGATATATGGTTCCAATGAACATTCAAGCCAAATAAATGACTTAGGAAAAAATGTAAATTAATCAAAGACATTCTACTTTTTGTGCAAAGACGTTGCATTATAATCCAATCACTACTCAGTGAATCATTCAATCTCATCTTTAGGTAAATTTTAAAAGAATGCCAAGAAAAATTAAAAAGCTGGTTTCAGTATGTTTCTTTGAGCCAAAGACATTTTTTCCCCAAATAAAGATGGCCTGATTTCTACGGCAGAATGCAAGGTAGTTCTTAGTGGTGAGGCATTTGAAAATATTTTGTATATTTTGGCTAAAACTACACAAGATACATATTCAGGAAAAGTTCCTGATAAGGAAATACCAGAAACTTATCATTCCATAAATATCTTACTTGTCTCTTAATCACTTTGTGGTAGAAGCCAGAGTAGCAGTCCTGACAGACATAGGCAGCTAACTAATGTATTGATGTAAGATAGTCCAGCGAGTCCGTGCTTTACCTCTTTTCTATTGAATTTAAAAGATATAATGGATGTAAATCCTTTAAAACTGTTTTAGCAGAGTAAGCATTCAATACTGGAAGAGGCCATATATCATAAGGTTTAAGTGCACACTCTCTGGAGCCAGACTGCCTGGGTGTGAATCCCAGTTCTACCACATCTTCGCATATGACTTTGGGCAAGTACTGAACCTCTTTGCATCTCAGCTTTGTTTGTTTGTTTGTTTTCATCTGAGAAGTGAGGATAATAATCAAGTGACTTCATAGAGTATTTGTGAGGATTAAAATAATAAATGCATGTTAACTGTTTAGAGCAGCACTTGTCCCATAATAAGAGCTCAATAATTATTAGCTATTATTACTATGTACATGCTACTTAATACATGTTAGCCCTTTCTCTCTCCTTTTCCTTCTCTGCTTATCTAAAAGAGAGGTATTTGACTGATTATAAATGTGAATTCTTATTTTTTTAATACTTTTAAATACACTTAAATGTCATTTTTCTTTTAAACACTTGCCACTGTTTTTTTTCTTCTCATAATTTGTTAATTAATTGTTATAAATTACTGTTATTTTTCTATACATGAGAGATTTCCAAAACTCTCCATGCATTTTAAAGAAATCATTCCTATTCAGCAGCTTATGAAATACTTATTCAGATTTACTTTTAAAGTCACATTACATTTTTAAAGCAGATTATTTCTGCTCAAGGATGATATAGAGAATTCATTTTCAGCCTTTAAAGTATAAACAAAGACACTATTCAAAAAAATTCATAAATTTTTTTAACATGCCAGATGTAAAATCAATTAACTGTAGTAGAAATATGGCCTCATATTTTAAGGGCTGCAACATTCTAATTGCGTGGTCTGCAGTTTTGTGGGGGTTTTTAAACAGTAATATGAGGGGATTTGGACTTAAACATTTTTCATTTCTAGAATGTTCCTGATTGACTTTGGAAAGTGCCCTAACATAAATGCACCGAGAATCTTCTCTGGAAATTTAAAAACACAAAAACACATTCCATTTTCAAAAGGACTTCTCAGAAACAATATTCACCCCATAATAAATAAAAGATCATAAACAGAAGTTTATCAAAGATCCCTAAATACTTGTTATTAGTGTTCACAATTGGAAATGTTTATTGTAGGGATGCTCTAACATTACTGATTTAAAATGTTCAACCGAGATTGTTCAGTTAGATTAGACCTCACCTAAGAAAAGAGACAATAATAACTACAGAACATAAAGTCACAGGCTATAATGCTAATACAACAGACAAGAGCTCACTGAGTGACAAATTAATGACTTCAGACTGGAGAGCTCAGCAGAATTTATTGAACTTAGTTCCACATACCTAGTCTATTTAAACCCCAATCATTGTCAGGAAAAATAAAGTAATATAGACAAACTACCTGACTCAAATGGGTAGTTTACAACTAATACTATTAGCAAAGACTTTTTTAAATTGGAAGGTATGTTAACACTAGCTTTTTATCAGCTCCTTACTGTCTCTTTCCAGATCAACTACGTGCTGATTATTTGGGCAAAACTGGAAGTAATTCCTACCAAAGACACTTTTATCTATGTTTCTAATCTAGATCAGAAGCAAGAAATTTATTTTCCTGCTAAAATTTGATATAATTTGACAACCATTTATCTGAAACCCTTGAAGCCAGCTATGTTTGGGAATTTTTGATTTTCTGTATTTTAGAAATAAATTGTGTTCCATATATAGTTATACTTCATAATACTCCCAGCAGGGTGTGAGGTAGGATATTGTAATGAAAAATATTAATATGTCTTCAACATAAGTATGTAGATATTTGTACCAACTAGAGCAAATTAACATATAAAGTCACCAAATAAGTTAACTAAAAACATTTGCTTTAAAGAGCATTAGCGATTTCAGCCGGACGCAGTGACTCACGCCTGTAATCCCAGCATTTTGGGAGGCTGAGGTGGGCAGATCCCCTGAGGCTGGGAGTTTGAGACCAGCCTGGCCAACATGGAGAAACCCCGTCTCCACTAAAAATACAAAATTATCCGGGCGTCGTGGCACATGCTTTTAATCCCAGCTACTCGGGAGGCTGAGGCAGGAGAATCACTTGAACCCGGGAGGCAGAGGTTGCAGGGAATGGAGTTCTCACCATTGCCCTCCAGACTGGGCAACAAAGAGCAAAACTCCATCTAAAAAAAAAAAAAAATTAGAGATTTCAGAATTGTAAATAAGGTATTGTGATTAATAATATAAAAATAATGAACTAAAAGCAATTCCTGATAAGTTACAATTGCTACAAATCACATATTTAATAAACCAGTAATAGGGTAATGTAAAAGTAGTCTGTATTATAGTAAACATTCCATTGAAAATATGAGAAACTTTGGCAAAATATGTTTAAAAAAAACTATAGGCACTGAAATTTAATCAACAGTAAACAGAAACTGGACATAATGTGACCCTGGAAAAGGGGGAATAATTTAGGTGAGATGCAGGCTTACACATTTTTTGGGGTCACAGGGCCACTACTAGTTCATATCGCATACAGAAAAAGTATGAGGAAACAGAAAGTGGAATTTAGGGTAGCTAGGATGGCAGGAAAATGAAAAGGGCAATGACAGAAAAGAGATAGGCACAAAGAAGGAATAGATATGAAAAAAAAAAAAGGAAAGAAAAAAAATTCTCTTCAATTCAAAAGCTGATTCCTGAATGATCTATGCATGGATGAGACTCCAAGCACCACAGAATACAATAGCTGGAAGGTTGAAAGAGCTGAGATGACATTTCAAAAATTGCCTGCTTCTGAGAAGACAGAATTTAGACTTAAAATTTCACTAAGTTAGAGGAGAATGATAAAGATGGTTTTACATTTAACTCTGAAAAGGCCATAAATAAAGAATAAAGACCAAATCCCCAAACTAAGGAAATTTGTCTAGAGGTAAGGGCACAACTGAAATAGACTCAACTGTAATAACGCCTAAAGCAAGCCTTCATAATATTAAATTTATGTACCCAGTAATTTAATGACCTGCTAAAACAAAATTTACTATTTTTCAAAGGAAGATAAGAGAATTCAGTTTCTTCAGTCTCTCATTTACAATACTCAGTATAAAATCCAAAAATACTAGACTTAGGAACAAAACAGAAATTTACCCCACAGATCAGAGTAGGATAAGGGGAAGGGTGGAAAAAGGAGCAGACCCAGAAGTCACAATGTTGAAATTATAACCAAGACGTTGAGATTAGCAGACAAGATTTTGTAATACATATGATGAATCTATTAAATAATCTTCTGGAAAAGATGGATATAATGAGTGAAGAGATAGTAAACTTCAGGGAGATATGAAAACTGTAAGTAAGAAGCAAATGGAAATCCTAGAACCCTATATATAAAATATACATAATATAATATATATATCTCAACTTAAAAATTATTAGATGGGTTTAATAGCAAATGTACACACAAACACACAGAATTCATGATATTGTAAGACAGACATATAAATATGATACAAAAGAAAATGCAAATAGAGGACTGAAAATGGAAACAAAACCTTAATGATCTGTGAGATTGTACCAGGAGATATAGTGTGTGTGGAAATGGAGTCCAAACCATGGCAATGCCAGTTAGAATGCCAAGGAAGGGAAAAATGAAAACTGCTATTAACCAATCAGAATGGTCAACAAAAAAATCATGCATTTAGTAAAAAGTAAAATTTTGAATACCTACTGTGTGCCACTGCTGTAGGATTTAGAGACAGTGTCGAAGAAGACAGACAAGGTTTCCAATTTCATGAAACTTATATTCTATCTATGGAAATTAACACTGAACTAACAATTTTAAACATCTGTCTTGTAAATGTTCTGATGGAAACAAAATCAGGTAATATCTAAAGAAGGGAACAATAGATACCGTGGCCTACTTGAGAGTGCAGTGTGGAAGGAAGATAATAATTGAAAAACTATCTATTGGGGAAAAAAAATCCATGCTCATGGATAAGAAGAATCAATATCATGAAAATGGCCATACTGCCCAAAATAATTTATAGATTCAATGCTATTCCTATCAAACTACCATTGACTTCCTTCACAGAATTAGAAAAAACTACTTTAAATTTCATATGGAACCAAACAGCCCATATAGCCAAGACAATCCTAAGCAAAAAGAACAAACTGGAGGCATCACACTACCTGACTTCAAACTATACTACAAGGCTGCAGTAACCAAAGCAGCCTGGTACTGGTACCAAAAGGGATATATAGCCCAGTGGAACAGAACAGAGGACTCAGAAAGGACACCACAAATCTACAACCATCTGATCTTCAACAAACCTGACAAAAACAAGCAATGGGGAAAGGATTCCCTATTTTAGAAATGATGCTGGGAAAACTGGCAAGCCATATGCAGAAAAATGAAACTGGAGCCCTTCCATACAACTTATACAAAAATTAACTCAAGATGGATTAAAGACTTAAACATAAAATCCAAAACCGTTAAAACTCTAGTAGAAAACCTAGGCAATACCATTCAGGACATAGGCAAAGGCAAAGACTTCATGATGAAATGCCAAGAGAATTGCAACAAAAGCCAAAATTGACAAATGGGATCTAATTAAACTGAAGAGCTCTACACAGCAAAAGAAACCATCATCAGAGTGAACAGACAACCTACTGAATGGGAGAAAATATTTGCAATCTAGCCATCTGACAAAGGTCTAATATCCAGAATCTACAAGGAACTTAAATAAATTTACAAGAAAAAAACAAACAACCTCATCAAAAAATGGGCAAAGGATATGAACAGACACTTCTCAAAAGAAGACATTTATGCGGCCAACTAGCATATGAAAAAAAGTCCATCATCACTGGTCATTACAGAAATGCAAATCAAAACCACAATGAGATACCATCTCATGCCAATTAGAATGGTGATCACTAAAAAGTCAGGACACAACAGATGCTGGAGAGGATGTGGAGAAATAGGAACGTTTTACACTGCTGGTGGGAGTGTAAATTATTTCAATCATTGTGTAAGACAATGCGGCAATTCCTCAAGGATCTAGAACCAGAAATACTATTTGATCCAGCAATCCCATTACTGGGTGTATACCCAAAGGATTATAAATCATGCTACTATAAAGACCCATGCACATGTATGTTTATTGCAGCACTAGTTACAATAGCAAAGACTTGGAACCAACCCAAATGCCCATCAGTGATAGACTGGATAAAGAAAATGTGTCATATAGACACCACGGAATACTATGCAGCCATAAAAAGGATGAGTTCATGTCCTTTGGATGGATGAAGCTGGAAACCATCACTCTCAGCAAACTAACACAGGAACAGAAAACCAAACACTGCATGTTCTCACTCATAAGTGGGAGTTGAACAGTGAGAACACATGGACACAGGGAGGGGAACATCTCACACTGGGGCCTGTCGGGGGTGGGGGGCAAGGGGAGGGAGAGCATTAGGACAAATACCTGATGCATGTGGGGCTTAAAACCTCGATGACAGGTTGATGGGTGTCACAAATCACCATGGCACATGTATACCTATGTAACAAACCTGCACGTCCTGTCCATGTATCCCAGAACTTACGTATAATTAAAAAAAAAAAAAAGAAAAAACTACCTATTGGGTACTATGCTTATCACCTGGGTGACAAAATAATCTGTACAGAAAACCCTCACGACATGTGATTTACCTATATAACAAATCTGTACATGTACACTTGAACTTAAAATAAAAACCTAAAAAAAAAAAATGAAATAAAATTCATGACATGAAAAAAGGGGGAAAAATAGGATGATCTCATTGAGACTGGCCAATTGCTACTCTAAATAGTCAGGAAAGTTCTCTCCAAGAAAGTGACACTTCAACTGAAATCTGAAAGACAATAGAAAGTACCCTGTGACTATGAGAGTAGAGTGATTTAGGAAAAGAAAATAGCTGACGTAAAAGTCTTTAATGTATAAGGAAGTTTGAAATGTCTGAGGAATAGAAAGATGGCCAAGTGTAGTTGGAGAGCAATGAGTTAGAGAGACTATGGTATAGAGTGAAGATATAGAAGCCAGGCTAGGTTGGGCCAGGGAGAGGAGAGAAAGCCATACAAATGGCTTTCTATGTATGATAGGAAGACGTTGAAGAGTTTCTAATGGGAGGGGTGGGTACCATGGCATGACATTCCATGATTTAAGTTTTTAAAAGATCACTATTGGAGGAAAATATGTTAAAAGGGCAGGGGAAAGTATTAACGGGAAACTGTTGATGTTGACTGGGCAAGGCAAATAGGCATAAATTTTCTGATGAGAAACAAGAAAAATGGGAGAATCAAGAATGAGTTTATGTTTGGAGCTTGAGCAATGGAGGATGTCAAGTATGAGATAGATAAAACTGGAATAAATAAGTTTGAGGTAGAAATTAAAAGTTCTATTTTTGATATGTTAAAGTTTCTTCCAGATACCGAAGAGATGTCAAGTAGACAGCCACATATATGAGAGGAAAGCTCAGGGATAAGTCAAGACAGTGTTTACAAATTAGGGAGTCCATTGAATAGAGATGGTTAAATCCATGAAACTGGAGCATAGTTAAGGAAAAACTGTGGCTAAAACAGAGAAATAGCTAAGAATTCAGTATTTGGGCCCTGTAAAATTTAGAAGTGACTAAGAGGTAAGGAGAGTAAGGCAGAAGCAAAACCAATAGAATATAATGAAAACCAAAATAACAAAATAACAAGTGTTCAAAATGGAGTTCTTTAGCTTCTGATAAAATCTATTCTTTTAGAAGTCATGTTTAACTGAGGAACACAGACAATAAAACAATAAACATAATAAAAAAGAAAAGCATATAATAGAGAGTGATTTATTTATGGAAAATATTTTTAAAGATGAAACAAGTTAGCATGGATCTAGAGTGCTGGGAATCGGGGGGAATGGTTTGCAATTTAAATAGTATGGGCAGAATAGGAAATGATCAGTGTATGCAAAGGCAGTTGAACCATTTTTTTTTAAATGAGGACAGAAAAGTGACTTCTGGATTTGAGTTAACAGAAGACATTACAAGAGCAGTTTCAGAGCATTGTACAGATGGAGTAGGTTCAGGATAAATTTTTAAAATGAGACATTAGAGGTTGTTATTGTAGAAAAATATTTTCAAGGTTAGCTTTGAAAGAAAACAAAATCTCAAGACACTGTTGAAAGCCAAGGTAATTTATAGATTTCATGCCATCCCCGTCAAGCTACCAATGACTTTCTTCACAGGATTGGAAAAAAACTACTTTAAAGTTCATATGGAACCAAAAAAGAGCCCGCATTGCCAAGTCAATCCTAAGCCAAAAGAACAAAGCTGGAGGCATCACACTACCTGACTTCAAACTATACTGCAAGTCTACAGTAACAAAAACAGCATGATACTGGTACCAAAACAGAGACATAGACCGATGGAACAGAACAGAGCCCTCAGAAATAATGCCACATATCTACAACTATCTGATCTTTGACAAACCTGAGAAAAACAAGCAATGGGGAAAGAATCCCCTATTTAATAAATGGTGCTGGGAAAACTGGCTAGCCATATGTAGAAAGCTGAAACTGGATCCCTTCCTTACACCTTATACAAAAATTAATTCAAGATGGATTAAAGATTTAAAAGTTAGACCTAAAACCATAAAATCCCTAGAAGAAAACCTAGGCAATACCATTCAGGACATAGGCATGGGCAAAGACTGCATGACTAAAACACCAAAAGCAATGGCAACGAAAGTCAAAATTGACAAATGGGATCTAACTAAACTAAACAGCTTCTGCACAGCAAGAGAAACTACCATCAGAGTAAACAGGCAACCTACAGAATGGGAGAATATTTTTGCAATGTACTCATCTGACAAGGCTAATATCCAGAATCCACAATGAACTCAAACATATTTACAAGAAAAAAACAAACAACCCCATCAAAAAGTGGGCGAAGTATATGAACAGACACTTCTCAAAAGAAGATATTTATGCAGCCAAAAGACACATGAAAAAATGCTCATCATCACTGGCCATCAGAGAAATGCAAATCAAAACCACAATGAGATACTATCTCACACCAGTTAGGATGGCGATCATTAAAAAGTCAGGAAACAACAGGTGCTGGAGAGGATGTGGAGAAACAGGAACACTTTTACACTGTTGGTGGGACTGTAAACTAATTCAACCATTGTGGAAGTCAGTGTGGCAATTCCTCAGGGATCTAGAACTAGAAATACCATTTGACCCAGCCATCCCATTACTGGGTATATACCCAAAGGATTATAAAACATGCTGCTATAAAGACACATGCACATGTATGTTTATTGCGGCACTATTCACAATAGCAAAGACTTGGAACCAACCCAAATGTCCAATAATGATAGGCTGGATTAAGAAAATGTGGCACATATACATCATGGAATATTATGCAGTCATAAAAAATGATGAGTTCATGTCCTTTGTAGGGACATGGATGAAGCTGGAAACCATCATTCTCAGCAAACTATCACAAGGACAAAAAAACAAACACCGAATCTTCTCACTTATAGGTGGGAATTGAACAATGAGAATACATGGACACAGGAAGAGGAGCATCACACACCGGGGCCTGTTGTGGGGTGGGGGAGGGGGGAGGGATAGCATTAGGAGATATACCTAATGTTAAATGACTAGTTAATGGGTGCAGCACACCAACATGGCACAGGTATACATATGTAACAAATCTGCAAGTTGTGCGCATGTACCCTAAAACTTAAAGTATAATTTAAAAAAAAAAGAAAAAGATGTGACGTCAAAGTCATGCTCTAAGGCTGGCAGGTACTAAAGAGGGTGGGTATGCTGGTGGAAATAATCAAATGCATATAAAGAGAAATTGATGATGCAGAAGAAAGGAAATATATGAAGGAGCAAAGCTATTGGAAAGGTGAGAACAGATGGCATCTCATAACATTGCTTTGCGTAGGAGCTGATACAGGAAGTCCACCTAACCATTGTAATCGGATGAAAGGTAGAGAATCTGGCAAATTGAGGTATTGTTAGGTATCGTAGGGTTGGAAAAGTAGAGGGGGTCATTTGATTATTTCTGCTGATTCTGTGGCCCAGGAATGCAAGTTTTTGATCTATATTCAAAATAATTTCCTGGCACGCTCATCAGGTGTTAGTCATACTTCCTCTCCTCTGGGTTCAAATCCAGAAAGAATAAGAATAGGGAGCCAAATGGGAAGAGAAGTATCAGCTTTATTCTTTCAAGCAGTAAAAATTTGGTAAAGTTGTACAGTATATACAGTTAAATATTTGAATCTCAAAGAAGAGTATGAGATAGAGTTCAAGATTTTAGAGTCAGTGGTTAAAGCCTGGGATTTGAATGAGGTCATCTAGGGAGAGAATATGGTATGATAAAAGAAGAAGGCTGGAAATGAAACACCGAATAAAATGCATATTTTAAGTGCAAGCCAAAAAACAAAAAAGGCTACTAACAAGTAACCAGAACATTTAGTATCTTGGAATCCAACATTCTGAGCTATAGTGTCAAATAACAAAGAAAAAGTCAAGTGAGAAGAGATGAAGATAGGGTAATAGGAGTATCATTAGTGATCTTAACAGAGATAGTTTAGTGGAATAGATCTGAAGTTGGATTCTACTGGATTGAGTACTGAAAGGAAGAAAGGAAATGTGGTTATCCTGAGGTTGGTCTATTATTTCAAGACTCTTGACTGTAATTGGGCAGAGAGGGAAACAAGAGTAACTACGGAGAGTGGACATTTCGTTGTGCAGGTTTTGTATATTATTAATGGTAGAGACTTAGGTAAGTTTACTTACTAAGAGCAAAGTAGCAAGTAGGAGCTTATAGACAGAGAGAGAGTGAGAGGGAGAATAATCAATGAAACAAGTACCTCAGAGAATAAGAAACATGGTGGCCATAGCAAAACATGGCAGAATGAGTCTTAGACAGGTATATGTATGTAACTTGGTAAGTGTTAGTACAGGAAATAGGGAGATCTCAGCTGAAACTCTGGAATCAGTGAGGAACAGAACAAATTAAGGGAAGGGAAATAAAATTGAATGAGTTCTTTACCCCAAGTGGTTTCTCCAAGCATGATCAGAATCCAGGGTAAATAGAAAAATGAAATAAACATATGAACTTATGAAATGAGACACTAAACAGAAACGTATTTCCTGAAATTAAGGAGGTTTTCAAGAAGAAAATTCTCACTCCATTTCTGAAAATTACTCCTCCACCTCCAATTCCCCATGAAGAGATCAATGCCTAAGAGTCTCTGAGATAAATTCAGATTTTTTAAAAAAGGCATGTGCAGACAGTACAAATCACATGATTAACTAAAAGCAGACAGGAACTAATGGCTCATGTCTATACAAGTTATACCTTGAATAAGATTTTAAAAATAAGAAACAAAAGTTTTCTTTTAAAGCAATAAAAAAACACACCAAATTTGCCACACTCTCTGGTATGTCCTAAAGGGTTGATTAAGATAATGCCATCCACTAAGTATATGAAATACGGGCATCTGATAAAGGCTTTAATGAGATTCTTGTTGACAAGTTGAGGAAAGTGGACTTGATGACTATTTTATCCAGGGGAATTGGTTACTGACAGAAAGATGGCCAATTAATAGAATGATCATGGCCAGAAGGAAAGTCTTCAAGTGAAATGTTGAAGAGTGCAGTTTTCAACCTTACCTATTGCAAACATTTTATCAATGACTCAGATGTCATAATGCATGGCATGTTTATGATAGGAAGAGCAAACTAACAAAAATATGCAGGAGTGCAAGTGACTATGAAAGAAAAGACGGAGGGAAGGAGAGAACGAAAAAGGGAGGAAGGAATGAAGAAAGAAAGAGAAAATATATTCATAGATTGATATAAATATGAAATTTGCTCATCTTCAGACTTCATATCCACTGCTACCATTTTGATCATGGCCATCATAGCTGTTGTCTGAACCACAGCACTACCTTAACTACTTTCCTGCTTCTACTTTTATGGTTCCCCATTTTAGAGGAAAATAAATTCAGAAGGTAAACAGAAAAAAGAGAGTGGCACAAAAAGGACTAATGACAGTGTGGAATCATGTACAGATGATAGCCCTGAAAGCCTGACAGATGTGAGCTTGAATTTTGATTTGCCAGTTACTGTGTGACTTAGTCAATTTACTTAAACTTTCTTTGCCTCACTTTCTTTTCCGAATAAAAGACATGTTGATCACAGATATCCTGATACAGGATTCAACGAGATTATGTAAATTAAACACCCAGGTGACTTGTTTTGTTGTTGTTGTTGTTGTTTTCATGTTGTTTGTTTGATTTCAGACAGGGTCTCATTCTGCCACCCACACCATGCCACGCAGTGGCGCCATCATGGCTCACTGCAGCCTCAACCTTCTGGGCTCAAGCAATCTTCACACCTCAGCCTCCTGAGTAGCTGGAACTATAGGCATATGCCACCACACCTGGCTAATTTTTGTATTTTTAGTAGAGACAGGGTTTCACTATGTTGCCCAGGCCGGTCTTGAACTCCTGGGCTCAAGTGGTCACCCATCTAAGTCTTCCAAAGTGCTGGGATTACAAGTGTGAGCCACCATGCCCAGCCTGGGACTTGTTTTTATTAAACTGTTGCAATGACAGCAAGACGTGGTGGTGCTCACCTGTAGGCCTGGTTACTTAGGAGGATGAGGGATGAGTACTGCCTGGGCCCAGGAGTTCAGAGCTGCAGTGCACTATGACTGACTGTGAATAGCCACTGCATTCCAGCCTGGGAAACATAGCAAGACCCTGTCTCTCAAAAAAAAAAAAAAAAAAAAAAAAAAATTCTTGTAATGACTACATGAATTAGTGTTGTAGGAATTGACAGAGATTAGCCTCCAAGAAAGAAGGTGGAGAGGACAAGAGAATTATCTCCAAAAAATTAATTGTCTCAATACTTGAATACTCATTGTTTCAAATCACACATTTTAAAATGTATATATTTAATGTTTTAGTTTATGTAAAAACAATAGCTTATAGATCAATGGTAATATATCACGGAATGAATATTTGGACTCAATGTTTGAACAAAATATTGTCTGATAAATAAAATTGTGTGAAAATATATAAACTGCCCTGGAATATAGTGAGATTCCAGTTTTTGAAGGCATTCTAGTGGAAGATGGAGAAATACCAGAGCTGTTGTTCAGGAACTGCTTATATAGGGTTAAAGATAAAAGAAGATGGTTGTGAAACTCCCTTTCACAGTTAGATTTTTTTTTTAATTCTGCAATTATGATAAATAATTTTTCCTCTCATTCGGGGCAATTCATATTAGAGTTTGAAATTTAAATTTTATTTTTATCTTACAACAGTTGTAATATTACCACACACCTAAAACAGAAACTTTGGATGTATTTATTTTAAAAAAATTTACTCAGCAAATACATTCATATACACTTACATATTAAAGCAATTATTTAAACCTAATTGACACATCCACCTCTCTCTTTGAACAGATTATTATGTTGCTGATAATAAACAGCTTTTTGGCCCTGTTTTAGTTTTGGAAAATCTAAAAATAGAGGATTATCCAAACTACCTTATAGTTCAGTCTTTTCGTCTGAATTTGCAAAGAATGCATGAACTCAGAGTTCTATTTTTAAAGCTTGTAAACACATATTTAGAGTAAAACAGAAATGAACAGATCTCTACTTCTTTCTTTTTTCTTTTTAAATTGCTGATCTGAGAGAAAAAAAATCACTAGCATGCTTGGCATTTCTGCTTACTGATACATACAGGAAAATTGTGTTGAATTTTTTTCAGACTGAAGAATAGCAAATCTATGGTTGTTTTTCTTTTTTGTTTACATCTCTTTTGTGGCAAGAATGAAGATAATGACCCAAATATATACAATACTTAAATATTGTCAGATATTCGTCATATTTATATTCTCTACTGACTCCACTGTCCATAGTGATTTAATACTACATTAAAGTCAAACCTGGGAGGACATCATAAACAGCTCTTGTTTAAAGGGCATTGTGAAGGAGAGCCTTTAATCTGATTGATGAAATAAATGGAAAGTAATCTATCCTCTATTCAACAGCTTGTTGATGATATGAAAGAATTCCTACTCAAGCAAGCAAGGCTTTAAAGAGAAAGACCTCTTTCATCCTGTCAGCCTCTCATTTTTAGAAAAAAGTTAAGTTTTTCATCATGGTTCAGGGGAGTCCTTGTAAAACGTTCATTGAAAATTTAAGAGCAATTACAGTGTCAGACAGCTAGAAAAATTGCTTTTACTGAGTGAGAGTTCTCTGACAGATGCATTGTGGGAGAATTGATTCTTTCTAAGGGATAAGTGAATTGTCATTGTTAGGCTCTTCTCATGACATCTAGCTAGATGTCATCTGCTTTGTAACAGAAGATTTGAATCAGACAACTGTACTCAACACTAGACAGTGTCGAGATTAGTTCTGCAAAGAAATAAGGCTTTGCTGTGCATGGCATCAACTGAGCTTTTAAAGATTACAGATGAGCAAGGGTTTCAAAAAAAAAAGTTAGAAAAATCAAAAACAAAGCTTTATAGCCACTTCAGAAAGCCTGGATGTTTAACCTGTAAGGAAGTCTGTCAAATCCTTGTGGAAACCATATAGAGAAAAGATCAATAGGATACCTACTGGCTCCATTAGCTTGATGTAAAAGGGGGCGAGGGAAGCTGCTCTTCCACAAGAGAAGCTACATTATTCCAGGGATTATGCGGGATCAGTTCACTTTGCAGAGAAGAAGAAGAGAAAATGAATGAAGATTCTTGGTGGGCCAAGACTGCAGAGAAAGGGCTTGTCAGGTAATATAACTGGTGATAAGAAAGTGGCTTATTGACTGGGAGGTGTCTCTAATTAGATGTTCATTTGCATAGGGGAAAGTGCCAGTTCTAATCTGGAGTGAGGGTAGAGGAGACAGAATCAGAAAAACGGCTGTCACTCAAATCTGCAACAAGCTAAGTCTAACATAATTAGTAAATTGAATACTAACTTGTTATTTACATTGACTTTTAAAGTGAAAGTATATACTTGCTTTGGAAAAATATGCATTTTAATCAATACAATAACTGTCCACATCTTATAAATCTTCACAACCTTATGCACATTAACCCGTGGATTAGAACTAAAATAGCTAAGCACACATGGATAAAAAGAGTATACCTGATGTTTTAAAAGGATAAAAATTGAAAAACAGTTTTAATGGTTTTAGAAAGATTATTTTAAAGCAAATTATCTTAATTGTTATATTATTTTATATTATTTATTATAAAAATTATTTTAAGTAGTCTTCTAAAAATATTATTCACAAAATTGGCTTTTGAACTTTTTCAGTTAAACTTAGTTCAACATGGGAAATCCTATTTGGTGGGTAAACCACAACTAATTTTTATCTGGAGGAGATTGTTAGCATTGAACAAAATATATCTGGTTATCCACAGAATTGTTCAAAAATTATTTAATTTTTGTATAATTGTTTTTCTAGTTCCCAATAACAATTATGCACTTAAAGTCCTACAACTTTAAGATCATATTTTTAAAAATACTATCTCAGCTTTAGCAAAATAAGCAAAAGAGTAACTGCCTTTCCTTTCTTTAACCTAGTTAATTTATCTTTATTTTTTAATGCCATTAAATCATTTGTAAGAATCTATAGGAACACAAACTGTCAGCACAACATTTGCAAGAAAAGCTTTGTCTTCCCAAAACAGTGGCCTAAGTCTCTATTCCTGTTCTGAGCATTCTTGCCATTTATGTTTCCCTGGAGCCATTTATCAATGTTTATATGAGTCCTCAAATGAATTGATAATGATTCAAAAGGGCAAACTTGAATTCTGCTAGTGGAGTGCAGTTAAAATTAAACAACACACAAATCTGACTGCTTTCATTTCTGGTATTTTCCTTTTAATATCCCTACACATTTGTTTCACTCAGGTTGGCAAAGTGCATTTAAGTAGTTTAGCAACAACTGAGTTATTTCATGTGTCTCCACCCTAAGCAGCAATACATTATTCAGTGAACTGCATGTGGAGAATGGTACATTACCTAGTCAAAGGTGTTACAATTCAAAATGTTTGGCATGATCAATATCACAATATACACTAAGTTTAAAAGAACTTACTTGATTGCATAGAATTTTATAAGTGTAAATCTGACAGTGAGATAATGTGGTTAAACTAAATGCCACAAGCACACAAAACTTGCATCTATCAGATATTTAAAAACTAATAGGGAAAGAAAAAAATTTTTTCAGCTTTCACAGAGAGCATTCCTATAGGGTGCTTGTATAATAAGATCACTTACAGTTAGGAAATGACAGAAACAAATAATATAATACAGTATTTTATAATATATTACAAAAGATAAAGCTGATTCAAAATTACATAAATAGGTTCATACAATTCTTACACATGAAATTTGTTTATAACTTGTTAGAAAACATTGCAAAATATTTGTAGTCCCAAAGTAAAGGCACTTAAGGGATTAGAGAAATGCTTGGTCATGTGATCTGGGTGCTCCTTAACTAACAAATGTGAAATATGGAACAGATATAATCAAGAGGCATGTATTCATCAAGAATTGAGCAATTTAAGGCTGCTCAGGTGAAGGCAAATGAATATATTCACAAAATCTATTTTATCAATGAGCTTAGCAATTCATATGAAATATGTTGTGATCATGCATTGTGTTAAATAACATCAGTCTGTTTTCAAGCAGAAAATAAATTTCACTTCCATTTATCTTGTTAGGCTCATTTTACCCCAAATTAACTATTTCTGACCATAACTATTAACAAATAAAGAATATTATTATTCTCCTTTCAGATGTATTTAAACATACTTAAATGGTTAGAATTCTTAAGTTTTAAACACTTTATGAAAAAAGCAAAAGTTGACTTAAGAAAATAATGAAACAATATAATGATTTTAATAACTACAGTTAAATTTTCAGAAAATAATGCTTATTTGTTTACCTATCACCCTTCATACACAGAAAGAATCACTAAATATTGGTATTGATGGTGCCCATCCTTATCAGTCCAATGCCCTATATAACAACAGTTGCCACTGAGATCAGATGTGTTGCATTTTACTCTCCCATTGCCATTGGCAACCCCTATCTTAGGGGAATGTTCTGCAATTTATAAAAGGCATGGCAGATTTTTAAAACTCTCTCAAATGTGAGATTTCTAAGGTGACTACATGTTTATTAAGACACAAAATAAATGTTGTGTAATATTTATGGTGGGAATGAATGGCTTTCCTCCAGCATTCAGCTGCTCTAGTTGATGTGAAATAAGTCATCTGTATCGTGTTTGTGTAACTTTACCATCTCTGGCAAAGCATATTATCTAGTGTCACATTATGAAAGTCCCAGTAGAGCAGGCTCTTTTCTTCCCAATATGTATAGAAGAATTACTTTAATCTTTTTCTTCTATGTGAAAAGATAAATGTTATCTGCTGTATATACCTGATGAAACACTTATCTATTTTGATAATTAATGAATCCATTTGAAGCACACATTATACTATCCATCTTTTGTGGTTCACATACGGATGACAGTGTGATTATGTCTTTGTGAGATAAGCAAATGTATGTATTCTTAGGTCATCTGGCTTTTAAAATACCAGCAAAGTAAAACTGTGGCAAATTAGGTTGTTTTTGTTCATCTTGATGTCACATTTGGTAGTTCCTTCTGTCTCAATAAATGATGGTGTATTACATTATAATTGATAATTTGTAAAACATTAAATTACACCAAATTTAAATATATGAATGATTAATTATTATTTCATACAATTATTTTATGAAATGTATAACATAAAACATATCTCTGGGTAGGTTTGATGTAGATATGAGCAAAAGATATAGTCAGCCTTATTTACTCATTTGGGAAAAGAGTGTTAAAAATGGAAGACACATGGACCTCCAGAGAGTTCCACTCATGCCGATGAGCAATGAATGAGAACAGTTGACATTTTTAGCACTGTAGCCCTCCACTGTGAGTAAGTACAACTAAAACTGTAGTGCTTGCCAGCAGAGCCATGACCTCCAAGGCATGAAGAACACTAAAGTATGTTTAAGAGCCAGAGATTTTTAATTTTAAACTTAGAAAATTTTATATTATTTTATATTATTTTATTTTACCATACATATTCAGAAGTGTCTAGAAACCTAATTTTCATATTAACGGTAATAAAGTCCTAAAATGTATTTTTCATTTTTTGGGGGATGGAGTCTCACTCTGTCACCCAGGCTGGAATACAGTGGTGTAGTCTCGGCTCACTGCAACCTCTGCCTCACGGGTTCAAGCAATTCTCCTGCCTCAGCCTCCTGAGTAGCTTGGATTACAGGCTCCTGCCATCACGTGCAGCTAATTTTGGTATTTTTACCATGGGGTTTTGCCATGTTGGCCAGGCTGGTCTCAAACTCCTGACCTCAGGAGTTCCACCTGCCTCGGCCTCCCAAAGTGCTGGGATTACAGGCGTGAGCCACCATGCCCAGCCTCTAAAAAGTATTTTTCTAGCATACTCTCTCCATCCCATCATTTAAGCATTGTCCTATTCTCTAAAGCTTCTCCCTATGTTCATAGAGACCTGTTGCCCCTTTGCCTATTTTCCTGTACTTGAAGTAAAAAAAATGCCATCTGCTGGAAACATAATAATGTTCCAGAATGTACTATAAGTAGAGAGTATAAGGGGTATAAGCAGTAAAAGTATGTCAAGCTAAAATTTGTATCAAGAACCAGACATCAAATTTTGAATTAAATATGCTCTTAAAAAATACTTTTTTTCCTTTTTATCATATTTCCCACTGTGTGTTCTGGAAATTTCTTTCTGTAGCCACACTCAGGATGTGATACGCCTGTCCATACCTACTGCCAGAATAGCACTCACGTAATTCAGTTGAAATCAAAGACAAAAGGCAAATTATGCTAAATTATCTTTAATATATTATGGAAGCTGTAATGTCCTTTCATTAGAATATATTTTATATGGGGGAAGAAGAGGGCTCTGAGACTTACTAAATGTCTCTTTTAAGCTACTTCTGCTGTGCACACACAATAACTTCGATTTTTAAACCATTTAACTAAAATAATGAATTTCTTCCCCTTGAATCAATCAGTTATTTTGGCCCCATTTTGGCAATGGAATGGGAAATGACTAGAGGAAAAGCAGGTTAAACTTTGAGCATTTTCTACTTGAGTAGTTTTGTTATCATCTTTTGTCTAAATGGCATGCCACCATTGGGATTTGCTTTCCCAAAGTGATTAAAGAAATGCAGAGATAGAAGGAAGGGAGCTGGTTACACTAGTGATAACAGGCTATCTCTATGGGTTATATTTAAAGTTGTGATGACACTAAGTTCCTCCCTCAAAAATACATTGTTCTTTGTGATGTGGCTTACAGACTTGAAGATTGACCAAAAAATATACAATATGATGAATTTCTTATGTATTTGTAAATTAATCTTTTTCAATGAAAATCAGTCTCTTATAAGGAGAGGAGATTTGCTATAGTTTTAAGTTACACATAATATCACATTAGAGAATGTCAAATATTTTTTAATGCTGATCAACAAAAACTTAGGCTATGAAGAATTTTCCAAAGTCATTTGGCTCATCAACTTTATTCAAAGAAACTCCAATTGGACAATATTTCAATGAAACTCATGTTGGAAAATGCTATTCTATTTTAGTAGTAGGTAGAGACAAATTATGCATACATAAATTAACTTGGGGTCGGGGAACCAAAACATTCACTCACAGTGCAGATGGTTTTAAATTTCTTAAAAAGTGTAAAGCAAAAGAGTTTTCCCAAGGGCTAGACCTTGCTACAGAAAATGTTTTAGAAGTTAAAATTGTAACTGATAGGCATGGTTTAATTTCTATATTTCATGAACATCAGGGATTTAGAGAACTACCTTTTTTCTCTCTACTTCCATGTCTCTTTATCAGACACTTAGCACCATATATTTCAAAGTAGTCTCTTTGCCTCCAGTTGCTCCCTTATCAAAATCTACCCTACATAGTATCATAGTAAACTTTGAGAGAGAGCACAGTTTTTTTTTTTTTTTTTTTTTTTTTTTTTTTTTTGGAGACAGAGTCTCACTGTGTCGCCAGGCTGGAGTGCAGTGGTGTAATCTCGGCTCGCTGCAATCTCTGCCTCCTGGGTTCAAGCAATTCTCCCGCTTCAGCCTCCCAAGTAGCCAGGACTACAGGCATGTGCCACTACACCCAGCTAATTTTTTATTTTTAGTAGAGACAGGGTTTCACCATGTTGGCCAGGCTGGTCTTGAACTCCTGACCTCAGGTAATCTGCCTGCCTTGGCCTCCCAAAGTGCTGGGATTACAGGCATAAGCCACCGCGCCTGGCCGATACCACATAATTTAAGACAATGTATAATTAGAGAATAAGAAAAATAGAAATCACCATGTTCTAGAATGCTTATCAAAGCTCCTCAGGAAACGTGGACTTGAGTCAAGCCATCACACAAATGTTAAAGTAAAGATATGCTTTGGTTAGGAAGATGCATGAGAAAATGTCCTCTAAGGACAATAAATATATAAACTAAAATGATGTGACAATGTGACCGCAGTGTGGTTTTTGGTGTTAATTTTTAATATTTGAAGTGTTGGTGAAAGCCTGAGCTAAATATGAATGAGGAGAAGACTCTGCTGCTGCTGCCCTTCCCCTGGGCTCTTCTGCCTTCAACAATGGCTCTTCCTCAATTTTTTCTTTAACTAAGAAGATAATAATGAGATTCTCATCACTCTGATCCTTAACTTGTGTCAGAATAAGACATCCAATGAAAAGGATTCTTGTCTCTAACTTTGCAAATAATGTTTGGATTTGAACTATGTTTTCTCAATAGCCCTGCCTATTTCTGTCCCCAGAATTATGCAAGAGAGGCAGGGCAATGTGTGCCTGGATCTAGTTATTAGGAAAGATTTATAGAGTGCCTTGGATCTGAGGAGTAGAACACCATCTGGGCTGGAACCTACAACCTCAAGGACTTTCCCCTTATTAGTCAAAAAAGAGATGTTTCTGTCTATGTTCTGTGTCACACTTTCAAATGCTCTTTAACCTCCACTCAACCTAGCCATGAGTAGCTTGAGATTTAGGTGATGAACTAAATCAGGTTTACCTAAATATTGTTTTATAATCATAGTGTCCTTTATAAACTATTGGCAATTAAGCTGTGTTTAAATGAGTAATATAAATTTAAGTGGTAGTTTCCTTAATCAGTTTAATTAATTAAAAGTTGAGTAGCTTTGGTTGTAAATCCCTGAATTTCCTCATTCCTCTAATGCTATGCCTTTCATTCACTACACACACACACACACACACACACACACACACTCACTGCCCACACACACACTCACAAAGCACTTGCCATGTAGCCTTCAGAAACCCTCAGGTTTCCAGAACTAGCCTGCTATGACAACAGCCGAAGGAGAGACTTCAAGGGTGAAGTGGTCCTAATATCCCCAGGAATTACAAATACAGTTCAAAACTGATGGAAAAAAATAGAGACTAAATTCTGACTTTTATTGTTAAGAAATAACGTGGAAATTTGCATTAGGTGACAATATCCATTACTCAGGTTCAATGTCCAAACAGTAGAAAGAAGTTTCAAGAGGGAGAAAGTGCTCAATTGGTAGGGTAAGTGATAGAGATGAGAAACTGACGGTAGCTGTGACCACAAGGAAAAATGATTCACAATAGGGTTGGTGGAAACAAAAGCAACAAATGTTTCTTTTTCCAACCAGTGCCAGGCAGCAAATTACAGACACTCTGACAATGGAAAGTGTTAAAAAGATAAAAGATAGAGCAACTTGGCACTTGACTAGATAACTGGATGCTGGGGAGCAGCGGCCAATTGCAACCTGATACATATTCCCTAAAGAGCTTTAATGTGTCATCTGCAGGCGTGCCAATCACTGAGACTCAGGAAGCTTGAAGACACAGGACTGTGCAGTGAAAGACACACAGTGCTCAGTAACACAAACACGGGTTTGAAAATCGGCTCCATTACCTAACTAGCTCTGTGACTTTAAGCCAAAATCTCAAGCCTCAATTTCCAAATATGTAAATTAAGAATAATAAATGATATCTGCCTTATATGGTTATGATAAATAATAAATAAAACCACATATGTTTAGTACAAAACCAAAAGCACATAGTGAGTGCTCAGAAAATAATGTTCTTATGTTGTGTAGCTCTGGGTTCCCTGCCATTTATTAGAACTATTGATTTTTATTATGAAAAGTGTTTTGGAAAATGAAACAATAAATTACTGTTTAGTGAATTTATTAATTAGAAATAATATAGAACATATACAATGTAAATGATCATTTAAGCACAAACTGCAGAATTTCATTTATTTATTTTTGAGACCATTTATTAATTCAGTATCTGGAAGTAGGTATTCAATGTGAGTGCTTTAGAAGATAACTGTAGGTTATCTTAATAGTTATAATATCTTTTGGCCATTTGGTATGAAAAATCCTTGTAAGAGTATAGTCTTCCACATTTTCATAGTAACAGAGTCAAAATAATGAATTGGAGTGACTGTTTTAGGGGAAAATATAGTAATGCTATAAATGCTACAGATTACTACCATTTGAAAGTTTTTTGTCCGATTTCAGGATTTTTTCCTGTCTTTCATCCTTGCATCCCACCAATCATTAATACTGGTTAGTCTATCTGCCTCCAAAATTCAACTCAGTAAAACTGCAAAGCATATATACAACGGGC
Source organism: Homo sapiens (assembly GCF_000001405.40). Lineage (NCBI taxonomy): Eukaryota > Metazoa > Chordata > Mammalia > Primates > Hominidae > Homo > Homo sapiens. The sequence continues at coordinate 51,656,657 of NC_000005.10, read as the reverse complement.
CTCTAAATACAAATGTGTTCATTCACAATCATAACTGTCATTCATCAGCTACAGTCTAGAAAATCATAACCACCAAACTTCTTTGGATTTTCAGTAAAATATGAGTCCGTAGGACTTGGTGAATGTTTGTATGAAGACAAGTTTTGGGAAGCTACACAGACTTTGGTGTGGAGAGTGACGAGATTTATTTGTCGTGTCAGGAGACATTTTTTTCCTTATCTGTAGGTTCTTAGCTGTGTTCCAGATAGGTGAGTACACCAGATGAATGACCCCAGCCAAGTGAATTATAACTACCTATTTGCTTTGGTTTAACAACAACAACAAAAAATTGCTTGTCTGGAAAATATATCATTTTTTGTTTCTGAAAGCAAATCTATTTTCTATTATATTTGCAGAAGGGGCTAAATAACTCTGTAAACTGTTTTATACATCAGCTTACATATAAGTTTTCCAAAGTATTTCTAGAGGGGAAAGAAATTGGCAAAAATTCATGGCATGTAGAGATCACTCAGACAGTTTGGAAATTTATATGATTCTTTACAATAGGTCAGTTGACTGTGTCAACATAGAATAGAACAAAAGATAAATCTTTAAAAACTCTGTCTATAGAGTACACATACATGATATAATATTCTGCTGAGCTTGTAGGTTTTACATCTGCTGCTTAGAAAGTCCCTTGACCTTGAGTTTTGGCAATCACTATGAATAAGTTTGTATAATATCCATACTGAGTCGTAGAAATTGAACCTGTGTGGGTGAAACAGGTCAGTGTCTTCTACTTTCTCAGACACATTCCATACATCCTGAGTAATGTAGTGCAAATTTGTTGTTCCTAAAACACCCATCTGAACATGTCATTCTCCTTCTTAAAAGCTTATAAAGATGAAACATGGTAGAAGTTTCTTCATTATCAGGCCACAGATCACCATCTAGATCCATCTCTCACCATAACCCCTGTTCACCCCAACTTGCCACACATCAAAAAGCCACCCTCCTCCCTGGCCATATCAAAGTGCTTAGTTTCCTGAACGCTCTGATAGCCTTTTGCCGCCATGCCTTTAACCATGTAGTTTCCTCTTCCTAGAATTCCCTTCCTCAACCTCTTTGCTAATTCTGTTATGCTCTGCTTCTATGTCCCCAGGAACTTTGCAACTGCCTGGCTATTTTCTACTTGTCTTTTGAGTATTAATTCGGATGTTGTATGTTCTAGGAAGGCTTTCTAGCCATTCCCAATTTGTAGTTTGATTCGGGAATCCTCTTATATTCTCCAATAATTTCTTATGCTTACATTCATGCTACCCTTAAACGATATAGTACAGTCTACTTCTCTTTACTGGCATTTTCTCTATTAAATTACGAATGTGCTGCAGTCGAGATTATATTTTAGTTGTCTTAATTTTTCTAACACTATGTGCTGTATAGTAGATGCTCTATAAACTTCTGTTAATTTTGTGAGTGAATCTAGAAGAAAAGAGGTAATGTTAAAGGCAGTTAAAGAAGTCTTTTATTTCTTCTTTCTTATTCCTAACATTTTTCTGAAACAAACTAGCGTATAAATTACTGTCTAAATTTTATATTTTATTTGGAAAGGCTAATAGGCATCGACTCCCTTAGTGCTCTCTCTCATTTTAAGAAGTATAAAAGAGTTTCAAAGACAGTATTTTCTTTACTTCTACAGTGAGTTAGATGCTCATGATTCTGGAGAAACATAAATTATATTTACAGAGGAACCATAACAAAAATGGAAAAGGAAGAATGCAAAATACAATTATGCTAACCTCACAGCCAAAACCAGCGCCAAATGAAGTCGTAATTAATTTAGCCAGTTGTATGTATGTTTTCCTCTCTCTATTTTTCTATTATAAGAAAGTGACCTTTCAATGAGAAAGGGTAAAATTGTATTGATTTGAAGGCAGTAAAACAAACGAAATATAGGTGATTTTTGCATACCAATGTTACTGAGAGTACTATTGAACTATTTTAGTGGTTATGGAGAGAACATAGGGTATATTTGTTTTCTGAGATTTTAAAAATAATGATCCAATTTTAAAAATAATGATCTATTTCTTCAACCACAAATATGTGACTTCATTATCAATATTGAGAGAAAATTCTGGACTGGATTTTAAAACCATTTTTTTGGGCATTGAGAGGGAGCTATGACTACTGGAGGTCAGCAAAGAGGAAACAAATGGATCAGGAGCACATTTCATTGTGTACAGTTACTATCCAGATAGAGAAGGAGACTTCTATAGATTTAGTGTATCAGAATTCTTGCAATACACTTGACAACATTTCTGATGATATTTTAGTGATTACAAGCCATATGTGTGATCTAGGTGGTAAAACGATAAGTTGAAAGTGAGACCATTCCCAAAGAGTGCTTATTTACAGTTACTTTTAGTATAAACGGAGATGTTTTTCAGGACTCTACCCTCAATCTTGTCTACTCAACATCTTAAAAATGGGTTGGATGAGAATGTACATTAACTTTGCTTTTTGGCCCAGCTATTAAGATTAAGTTAGAAAGGATAACAACAGCAACAAAAACTTTGCAAATTTGAAAGTGAAAAAACATGGAGATTATAGTGTACTGTGAGCCTAATATGAATCAATAATGTAAAGGACTTCTCAAATAGCTAAATAAACCTTGGTTTGCAATAAACAACCTGGGTTACTTATCAAGTCTTAAGCACCACATTCTTTAAGAAGTATTCAAATACTGGGTCATGACTAGGGGCGGTGATCAGAATGGGGATAAAATCAGTTTTGAAGACAGCAGAAAATAATTTCATGGATCTAGAAGTAGAATGATTGTTCCCTTCCCATACATAAAAGATTGTCATAACAAAGAGGGATTGTAACTGTTCTGTGACACCCCCATTCAGCTGAACTGAACTCAAAGGGTGAAGGCCACAAAAGACATAAGCATAATGCACACACACATACATACATGTGCACACACACATACTTCCTAACAATCAGAAATCAGAACTGCCCAAAGATAAAATAAACTTTCATGGGAATTAGAGTTCCCAGTTGGAGCAGGTTTCAAGTAAACTTAACGAGTAATGAAAACTATATTGGAAAATCATGTGCCAGGGATAATGTAGAAGAAATGTAAATATTTGCTGGAGTGGAAAACAGAAGAGTTTACTTAGATGACCTCTAAGAGCTCTTCTACTGAGAAAGATTATGTTTCTCTATAAAATAACAAGTGTAGGAATAGTAAGAATAATAGTAGCAGTAGTGGAAGTATTAGTCATACATTTTTTTTTTAAATTGAGTATTTTCTATTTTCCATACTCTGTGCTTGGATCTTTATAACCCTCACAACTAACCTATTATGTCAGTGCTATTATTATGTTTAATTCATAGGAGGGAAAGTGGAGGTTTAGGGAAGATACTAACTTGCTCTGGAACACACTGAAAGAGTGAGTCAGGATTTAAACAAAGGAATGTGTGACTCCTGAGGCTGCCCTTTCACCCAGTACTCAGTGCCAAAGAGGTAAATTAGTGAGCCCGAACTTCACAGCACAATCATACAAAATCAAAATCTGTGCGGGAGAGGAAGTCATCAATTGCCTACATCAAGGAAGAAATATTTGTCTCTAACTAGGATTACACACTGATTTGGACTCTCCTGCACATACTAGAGAACAGGGCAAATAATGTCAGAATGTGTGAAAGTGAACAAGTTATTCCCATGAGTCTGTTAAGGTTCTTAGAAGGTCCATTGATTAGCCCTAAGAGTCTTAAGGAAAAATCGTTAATGAATTATTACTAGAGTATACTAATAGGACCAATGTGGACTATGAAATTTAATTTTTCTCCCAAAGAGCTTCACCTGTATTTCAAAGTAATTGATAACAATGGAAGAGTCTGTAATTTTCCTCTCCAACCCCCATTTCTCCACACAAACACACACACACAGAGGAAACTATTATGTTATTAGCATAATCATTAATTTTTAACTGGAATGTAATTGGCCAATATTATTATTTTATGGGTGCAGAAACAGAAACAAGGAGAAATACATTAGTATTCTCTACTTCACCAAGCAAATAACTCACGTATTTAGGAATAACATTCAAGTTTATAAATGAATTCAATAAGATTTTATAAAATGTTTCCTGTGCTAAAGATGTATGAAAAAACAAAGAAATAGAATGTAGAACGTACTCCTTGCACTCAACACACTCAGACACACACACACACGGGAGCAAAGCAAGAGAATATTAAGTACTAAGAAATCATTAAGTATACCTATACATTTGGAATTATTAACCAAAAGTAAGAGAAATAAGAAAAACTCTTTGGAGAGCATGATTTTGATGCATATCTAAAGAACTAGAAAATGATTGTGCCTGGAAGAAAAACATTTTATAAGCCAAGGAAATTTAAATAGCAAATATTCTAAAAGGTCAAAGAAAGATGACACAAAAAGAGATGAAGAAGGTTGTCGTGTGTTTAAAAAAAAAGAAAGGGGATGAAATTCCTCATCTCTTACATTCCATTTCCATCCTTATAAAACTTCACTACTACTCACCATATACACAATGCACATTCCAGTAGATTATCTAACTGTATGAGTCACTCTCAGCCCTGAAAAGGTTTTGGCATTAGTCTAATACAGAGCTTAATGAGGAATATTATTCTAATAATGAAAGCAAAAAAAAGAAGATAAATATCGTATATCAGTATTGTTTTATCTTGAGCAAAAAAAAATTTAGGTAACTTTAATAGCCAGAACATTAAAGGAAGTTGACTAACATACAGAAAATTTTTGACACAGTGAACATAAGTTTCACAAAAGCTATTATACATATTCCCTACCCATTCTACCTCCAAATCAGAGTCTTATTCAAAATTAAGAGGTTTGAATTTCTGCATTCTGAAACAATTCCACTCTGTGTACTCCTGGAAGAGTGGAAAGTACCCTTAAACCATAAATTCTGGGAGCTCACTCCACCATGACAACAAACCGCCTGTGAGATTTTCCTGTCTATGTCTGATCAGACTGGTTTCAAGTGGCTGCTTTCCAGAAATTCCCTGCCAGGACAAGATCGTCTCACACTCAGGTCAGGACACAGAACCACCAGACCCAAATTGTTCAAAAGAAATAGTTACTTGGTATCAGCCTGAGACAGATGAGATTGAGCAGTGTTTTTTAGGTAAAGAAAAGATCTGAAGACAAAGGCAGTCAAGTGTTTTAGAACCCAAATGATGCCACAAACTTGCCACTTGCAAAGAAGTAGGAGGGCAGAACGTGGGGCACAAGGAAATCCCCTAAAAGAGAAAACCTGATATCAAATGAGTCTCTGTGATGGTCCTGAAGAGAAAACGAAGTCACAAATAAAATGGCAGCCTTGGAAGCAAAGGGCAGACAGAGGTCCCTCCTCAGCCTAAGGACCCAGTCTTGCCTTGTTTAATATGGATAAGCAACTCCTTACATTTCTAGAATCAAACCTTGCCAGCCCTGCTCTGTGCTTTTCTTTTCAGCTTTATTGAACTGCTTTTTGCTCCCAGAACATGTACGTTTGTTTATCTCTAGGTATTTACCACTCTTGAGCCTGGAACACTGGCACTTTCTTCCCCTGCCCTTTGATTGAGTCCACAACTTCCTGTGTTTCAGTTTAGGTATCACTGGCACCAGAGAGCTATTTTGACTCTCACTACCACTTTCAAAATCTAGGGTCAATGTTCCATCATGGCACCCTGTGCATTCTCTATCAAAGCACCTTTCTTGGTCATTTAAGTATTTGTCTGTATCCCCTACTAGAATAAGACTCAGGAGGGCAGGGACAGTGTCTATATAGTTTACTTTGGTATCTTCACAGCTTAGCACCTGTGGTAAGCATTCAGCATGTGGTAGCTGTTTAGTAAATATTAAGTGAATGAATGAGTGAATGAAGAATTTATCTTAGCCTAGAAACTTCCCCAGGTGTCTCTGTGATAAAAATTATAATGATAATTACAAAGATAACCAATACTCACTACACTTCTATGGTGTACCTGACAGTTGTTAAGCACATTAAAGTTATTATCTGATTTACAGTCGCAACTATATGTTAAATACTACCATTATCCATAGATGAGAAAATTACAAATTCTTAATATCACACAGCTAAAAGTTTAGAAGCTGAAATTTGGATTGAGGTCTATATGATTTCAGAGGCTGAACTGAACTTAATGTATAAGTATTAATAGTTATGTTTATTTTTATTATTCACTGAGAGGTTACTATGCTTGAATAAGTGTGCCCTAACTTTATTTCAGCAACAACTACCTTTCTTTCCTTGGTTATTTAGAGTTACCATTGTACAATCAGGAGCTGCTGTCATAAACCTGGCCATGAGATTGTCAGGGTGAAAAGTAAAAAAACAGTTCACGGCAGTGGATAAATTAAGGTACAAACTTTTATTCACTTAAATTTAATGTAAGATTAAGTGTGCACGATGCTGAATGTTTTTACTAATGAAGGGAAGACACCGTGTGCGGGTCAATTGATGACTAGGTCCTGAGCAGCACTCATGTGGTGTGTGTAGAAGGACGTACTAAAAGCGTGGAATTACAGCCAAACCTGAGTCAAGAAGAAGCAAAACAGCTAGAATCCATATGTAACCATTCATCCTGGTGTCAGAAAGGTGGCCTGCATGCAGGGAGCAGGGTGGGTCGCAGCTGGCCCACCCCTAGCCCAGCTCAAGGCTGTGTCTTTTAATACTGTGATGGAAGGGGAAGTGCTGTTTAATGGTTCATCTACCACCTGTTGCCAGGCAGGATAAGCGATAGCAAGAGCCTTCCAGACTCTGATTACTAACTCTCTTTAGTAGGAAGCATTGTGAACAAAACTTTTTTGTTGTCTTTACAAAGAGATCAGTTTTGCGTATTCTTATTGAAACAGAACAGAAGAGCTTGGGCAACAGACTTTCGAAGAAACAGAATCTTTAGGGCTGGATGAAATAGGTAGGGTAATAAAGAAGAAGTAGGGGGAAAAAATCTCAGAAAGCAATTTCTCTTATTCCAATCCTAGAGTTGTAGGCACCCAGAAGGTTAATAGCTATGCTGTTCAATATAGTTGCCTCTGTTCACATACAGCTCTTGAAAACTTGAAATGTGGCTTGTCTGAATGGAGATGCACCTGAAATGTAAAATACACACTGGATTCTAAAGACACAACATGAAAAAAGAATGTAAAGGATTTCATGAATGATGTTGATGGTGTAGAAATAATATTTTAGACACATTGAGTTAAATAAAATATATTATTAAAATTAATTTCACCTGTTTCTTTTTTACCTTTTAAAAATGTGACTACTATAAATTTTAAATTTATACATATGGCTTTTATTTGTGGGTCTTTTTTATGTCTATTAGAGAGTGCTGGTTGATAAGATGGTTACATATATTATTTATATGTATATATTTATATTATTATATTTAATATTACCACAATAGGATCTTTAATCCTCTTTAATCTCTAAGTTTTTGATTTGGGGAGTCTTTTAATTTTAAGTGAACTGCAAATAATGTTATCAATTCTCAAAAAATCTACTTTTGACACTTCAAAACATTACTTTTGAAGGATATTTCTATATTTCAATATCTTTGACTCAATTTAAATAATTGAGAACAAAATCCAACCTGAAAAAGCTGAAGGAATTATTAATAGCAGCTCTTACGACCAGCAGCTATTTTTTCTGTGAAAAGAAATGTCTGAAATGGAACCAAGGTGAAAGTGAAAACTAATTATTGATCCCTTGCTGTTATTTGCTCATAAGGTGTACTTTATCTGAGAAGCTACACATTATCAACATAAGTCAATACGAAACAGAGATTCTGTAGATATTTGCATATGACATTTAGCTTGAAAATGTATACATAAACCACAGTCATAAGATTTTTAAAATTAAAATTGCATTATTATAACTTTTAGCATTCTTGATTTTTTTTAAGCTGCGTCAGTCTGAGGCCCTGTTGAGAGAATATTTCCTAGATGGTTCAAATAAGATTTAATGAAAGACAAGATTAAGAACAAAAACAAAACAAGGAACAAAGGCTAGGAGCAACACAATATCATTACCACTGCCAGGGCTGATAGAAAAAGGTTTGAAATGGTTTTAACAGAATGCAAAACAGGTAGAGCCAAGGAGTATGAAGTCTTCAGAGCTACCTGTGGTCAGGAATGCAGTGCCAGGCAGTGAAATAGTAGGGAAGAAGTATCCTGATACCTCTCTCTCCCCCTACCTTCTGACGTCCTCAATTGGTCCAGCCCAACTGGAAACACAACTTCATGTGCAATGACTCAGAGAAAGATGGAGAATGAATTTGGAAAAAAAATAATAATAAAGTTAGCACACTTAGGAAACAATTTTTATCCAGGATTATTTTGTCTAATGTCTAAAGCAGTGTGAATAAGCATAGTGACCAATGGGAAAAATCAAATGATATGGGAAAGCACAACAGCAAGGTGGTTAATTAAATAAGACATGCTACATCAGAATGAAGAGCATTAATATGGAATAAACTGTGTAGTGGAAATAGACATCCAGAAGAGTCATAATGTTGTAGAAGGATAAAAGAATATGTGGTAGATATAGAAAGATTATAGTGCCTAAGTTTCTCTTTTGATTAATTTATGAATAAAAATTATAATTTATTGTAATGAATAAAATTTAAATTAAAAGGCCAAGAGTGCCTAATTATATTTCTTGAAAACGGGAAATTGGATAATTTAGGGGAAATTGCCAAAAGATTAGAATTTAATAAGTAAAGAATGTTATATTTTCAACTTTTGACATTTGACACTAGTTTTTATGATAGCAGTGGTTTTTGGTTAGTTAAAACTCTCGAGAAAAATTTAAGACTCAGGTACAAAATATCACAGATTATTCTTTCAGTACTTTATTATATACCTGTCCCCTATATAGCTTCATTGGTATAGGCAAATAAAATGGGTTCAAAAAACTGGAATATATGCATGAGTTTGTGTTTATTTCTAGGCTCTGAACATTTCTCATGCTGTGAGTGATCTGACTTACCTTGGGTATGGCCATTCTCTACCTTTCCTTGATCTCCTGGATAATATCTACTCAACCACCAAGAATAAACTTCCTCACAAAAATCAATGTTCCTTTCCGGGAAAGCTTTGCCAACTGTCCTCCCACTCCTAGCCCATTCCTACTCTTAGGTGGAGTTGAGTCCAGCCTCTTAGAATAATATGTGCCATAGAACTGTTGAACCAAAACAATACTCAGAGAAAGAGGATAATGTATTAGTCTATCCTCAACACTGCTATGAAGATACTACCTGAGACTAGGTAATTTATAAACGGAAGAGGTTTAATTGACTGACAGTTTCACATGGCTAGGGAGGAACTTATAATCATGGCAGTAGGCTTGGGGAAGCAAGGCACATCTTGCATGGCGGCAGACAAGAGAGCGAGAGCATGAGGAAGTGCCACACTCTAAAACCATCAGCTCTTGTGAGAACTCACTCACTATCATGAGAACAACAGGAGGGAAACTGCCCCCATGATCCAATCACCTCCCACTATGTCCCTTCCTCCACATGTGGGGATTACAATTTGAGATGAGATTTGGCGGGGGACACAGAGAAAACCATATCAGATAGATAGCATTTTGTTTCTATTCATGTTTGGTTGAGACTTCGTTATCGGTTATGGTTTTCCATCCAGGAATAGCAGTGCTAAAATTCTATATCATAACTTAAGAGAAAAACCATACCCTTATTTTGATATAAGCCTGGCAGTTGAGGAAGTCAAAATTCTATTTTGAAAGGAATAATTCTCACCCTTCTAGAAGGTCACAGTTATACTTGCTGACAAAGTTACCATTTTCATCAAGGTTTCTTTCAACTGCTCAGACAAGTACTTCATTGAGACCCCAAACTGTCATTCTATTAAGCATGGGTAGTATTTAACTTAGACAATTTTCAGAACATGCACTGACACCATCCTGTCACCTGTAGAAAACATCAGTTATGTTGTATGGAATATCTTGTTTAAAGCAATGACACAGACTTCTGATGGGCCTGCCAGCTTTGAAATGCAACCTGAATAACAGGACAAATTGATCTATTGAATGATGTTATTTAATATAAGAGTTCTTACCATTTCTGATGCCTGTTTTAAAAAAGCATTTACAATCATTAATTCATATCGATAGCCATATTATTTGGAAATATTTTCCATTCAATTTTCCCCAACTTTCCTAATCTTAAAACATTTTAGAAATACGTAATACCCTGCTAAAAAATAATTAATAATCCTGTGCCAAGTATCTCAATATTTTTGGCAAGTCTACAGGGGACTCTAGGACTCTATATTCTCAAGAAATCCATCTTGCCCCCAACCCAGAGGACTCCCATGATCAGGCAAGTCTGGAGAAAACTACTTCAATTGAAAAACAGCTGGTGATATTTTAATTACAATGTTTTAAAGATGTACTCGGAACCACTTAATTTTACTTTCTTAAATAAAATTAATCACCCTAAAATAAAATTCATGGTGTATTTATTACACATGCAGAGAACTATTATGTAGCTGGCAATTTTTTATTTTCAAAATAAGATTGCATATATGTGTTTTCAGATAGACATAATTCTTGATCTACAATTTTTGTGTTTATAAACAATCATTCTTAGAAAATTTTTTAAAAATTTATTGTATTTTATGGAAAAACCTCCAAGTATCTAAATCATTGAGAGTAGCCACCATTTATTGAACGCCTACTATTATATATGATACTCTTTACACATAATTGTATTATTCCCCACAAAAAGGTGAGCATTACTGTGCTTATTATTTTACAAATGAGGAAAGCAAAGATCAAAACTGTTAAGTAATATATCCAAAATCCCACAGTTAATATCAGAACATTACTTTAAAATAGATCATTCCTGAATATTGCATTGCCTTCCAGAAAAATAATGTAATATACTAATTTACATGTAAAACCAAATCAATAAAATTTTTCATCTGTGCTGTTCTTGAAGCATTTATTTTCATTATCTAATTATAGTAAAGTTGTGACTTAAATTAGTTATATAAATATATAGTTTATGTCTAGAAGTATGACAGCTTGAATAGCTTTTTTAATTTTTTAATTCAGCCATCAATAAAGAAGAAATGGTGATGATATCATTGCTTGTGAATGGCTGTTAAGATGTACACACCATAGAGTAAAATTTATACTTGAATCAGTTCTTAGGGGAAGAATTTGACAATATCTTTCTAGATAAAATAAGAATGTCCCCAGGGTTTATAGCCAAATCAACGAACTTACAGTCATCTTTCGAGAGGTTTAGAAATATAAGGAAGGAACCACACTGTTTAAATACTGTTGGTGTCAATTTTTAAAATTGCTGTGCTTTTCAGATCTTGCTTTTGCTAGTTATGTAACCATTTACTCCTCAATAAAGTAAACACAAAAATAGTCTTGATAAACTTTTAACTTGTCAGCAAAAATACTCCCAAAAGCATAGAATAACTAATATATTCAGGCTGATGCACACACACAGAGAAAGAAGGGAGAGGGAAATTTTGACAAGCTCTAGCCTTTATGCACATACTTAAGTGAAGTTATTTGATTTAAAATGGTTCTTAAATTTATCAACCTAATTATTTTATTATTGATGTGAAAGAACATTCTTGGGAACAAGCACTAAAAAATGTATATTTGGCATGTAAATAACAAGCTAATTCTGTAACAGAAAAAATTCTGGCCAATTATAAAGAAAGTACAAAGAAAGTCAGTCTCCCTAAATTTACTTGCCCTCAATCTATTTTGATAACTAAATATAAAAGAAAATGTTATCCCACTGATTTATCCAAAACAATTGCATGCATTATCTGGGAAATTTCAATAATTTATTTATATCTGGTATTAAACGAAAAAGCCAAAAAAGAGAAAGGTTTATTATCTCATTTACTTAAGAAAAAAATAAGGTTTTTATTGGTGTCCTAAGTGTATGTACATCATTAGCAGAATTATTAAATGAAAAAAAATTTAAACTATTTTTAAAAGATTTTAGAGATAGAATCAGAGAGCTTGGTTGCTGTGTAATAATCACTGGGAATTGATCATATGCCAGTAATTGTCCATATGCATTTTTGTTCCATCAATAGATGCTTAAAATTTTTGCTCTAGTTCAGTAGTACTTACCTATGTGACCCCAAATGTCATTACTCTCTTTTACATCTTATGGTGAATTAAGATACTATATTTCAATAGGTCTGTATTTCTTCTTCTATTTCTGAAAGATTGTCACATCCACAATTTTTCTATGCACCTTTTGCAAATAACTATTATTCAAGAAAATAGTTGAGTTTACATGAGCAGAATGAGTAAGAGATAACACTTGCGTCAGATATATGAGATGCAACCAAAGCTATACGCAGAGTAAATGTTATTTTCACTATTTTTGAAATAAATGAAATATTTTATTAAGGACTTAATAAATAGGAAGAAAAATAAACAAAATCTAAATAAGTCAGAAGGAAATAATGATGCTTTAAGCAGAAATAAATATAAAACAAAACAATGGATATGATCAATATGAGACATTAATTATACAGAAAAAACTGATCAAATTATTTTGAAAATGAAAAAGAATATTTTTAACAATTATAAAATATGTTATAAGGTAAGATTTTTCTGAGAAAAATTTATGCTAATATATTTAATTACCTCAAGAAAATACAATTTTCTAAAGAAAAACATACAAATATCCAAAACTAATTCGATAAGAATTTAAGAAAAGAAAACTTAAAGCAAAAAAAAAAAAAAGTCAAAAACTTAGCACAGAAAAGCATCTTCAGAGACAGATGCTTTTACACTTGACTTATTTGAAGTTTTCAAGACACAAATGTCTATGCTTAAAGAAATGGTGCAAAACATAGATTTAAAAAGTGGAATGTTACCAAATTCACTTTATAAAGCAATAACTACTGTGACAAAACTGTCTGAGATATACAGAAAATAAATATGTGTATCCAATTATTTATAACTGTAGACATGTAAAATCCTAAATAGACTATTACAAAATGGTCTGTAGTCCAAGAATTAAACTATTAATCATTATGAAATCTACTAATAAAATTTGTCACATAGATTAGTTAAGTAAGAAAAATAACATAATGTTTTCCATTGGATCATCAAAAAGGCAACAATAAAAATCAAGGACGATTAGCTAGTATAAGATTTTAATATACGGAAGTAAAGATGCTTTCTCAACATGAAAAGTATCAAACTGAGACCAAGAGACAATGTGGCACTTAACCCAAAGCCACAGGAAGACACCATTAATATGGAATATTGTCCTAAGTCTAGCTAGTGAAACTTGGAAAGGAGAAAGTAAAATAATTATTTGCAGATGCTATCATGTTAAATCTGGAAATCCCAAATGTATACAGATGTAAAGCAATGTAACACTTGAACCTCATTAAAAATGAAACCTCTATATAGAAAAAGACTAGAGTATAAAGAGTGTCTTTGGAAAGAAGAATTGTAGTATCTGCTTTTTTTCTATCTTTTGTTGATTTCCCAAATTTCTGAATACATATATAATGTTTAAACGAGGTAAATGAAAACAGTAAAATTATCTGGAAACAATAACATTAAACAAACTGGCAATAGGGGAGAAAAATCATTCCTGTGATGCTAAAGCCACAAACAATTTTGTGTGTAGACTTGTAAATGTATGTGATACACACACCTATTCAAACATATCCATGTGTGTGAATTCATACTATATGTATTTTTTTTATTTTAGCATGTTTACAGTGTTCATTAAAGCATAAATCTATCTGGGATTTATTTTAACGTATGATTTAACAGTGTGATCTAACCTTGTTTTTTTTTAAATTTTATTATTATTATATTTTAAGTTTTAGGGTACATGTGCACAACGTGCAGGTTTCTTACATATGTATACATATGCCATGTTGGTGTGCTGCACCGATTAACTCGTCATTTAGCATTAGGTATATCTCCTAATGCTATCCCTCCCCCCTCCCCCCATCCCACAACAGTCCCCGGTGTGTGATGTTCCCCTTCCTGTGTCCATGTGTTCTCATTGTTCAATTCCCACCTATGAGTGAGAACATGCAGTGTTTGGCTTTTGTTCTTGCGATAGTTTGCTGAGAATGATGGTTTCCAGCTTCATCCATGTCCCTACAAAGGACATGAACTCATCATTTTTTATGGCTGCATAGTATTCCATGCTGTATATGTGCCACATTTTCTTAATCCAGTCTATCGTTCTTGGACATTTGGGTTGGTTCCAAGTCTTTGCTATTGTGAATAGCACTGCAATAAACATACGTGTGCATGTGTCTTTATAGCAGCATGATTTATAGTCCTTTGGGTGTATACCCAGTAATGGGATGGCTGGGTCAAATGGTATTTATACTTCTAGATCCCTGAGGATTCACCACACCGACTTCCACAATGGTTGAACTAGTTTACAGTCCCACCAACAGTGTAAAAGTGTTCCTATTTCTCCACATCCTCTCCAGCACCTGTTGTTTCCTGACTTTTTAATGACTGCCATTCTAACTGGTGTGAGACGGTATCTCACTGTGGTTTTGATTTGCATTTCTCTGATGGCCAGTGACGATGAGCATTTTTTCATGTGTCTGTTGGCTGCATAAATATCTTCTTTTGAGAAGTGTCTGTTCATATACTTCGCCCACTTTTTGATGGGGTTGTTTGTTTTTTTCTTGTAAATTTGTTTGAGTTCATGGTAGATTCTGGATATTAGCCCTTTGTCAGATGAGTAGGTTGCAAAAATTTTCTCCCATTCTGTAGGTTGCCTGTTCACTCTGACAGTAGTTTCTTTTGCTGTGTGGAAGCTCTTTAGTTTAATTAGATCACATTTGTCAATATTGGCTTTTGTTGCCATTGCTTTTGGTGTTTTAGACATGAAGTCCTTGCCCATGCCTATGTCCTGAATGGTATAGCCTAGATTTTCTTCTAGGGTTTTTATGGTTTTAGGTCTAACATGTAAGTCTTTAATCCATATTGAATTAATTTTCGTATAAGATGTAAGGAAGGGATCCAGTTTCAGCTTTCTACATATGGCTAGCCAGTTTTCCCAGCACCATTTATTAAATAGGGAATCCTTTCCCCATTGCTTGTTTTTGTCAGGTTTGTCAAAGATCATATAGTTGTAGATATGTGGCATTATTTCTGAGGGCTCTGTTCTGTTCCATTTGTCTATATGTCTGTTTTGTTACCAGTACCATGCTGTTTTGGTTACTGTAGTCTTGTAGTATGGTTTGAAGTCAGGTAGTGTGATGCCTCCAGCTTTGTTCTTTTGGCTTAGGATTGACTTGGCGATGCTGGCTCTTTTTTGGTTCCATATGAACTATAAAGTAGTTTTTTCCAATTCTGTGAAGAAAGTCATTTGTAGCTTGATGGGGATGGCATTGAATCTACAAATTACCTTGGGCAGTATGGCCATTTTCACGATATTGATTCTTCCTATCCATGAGCATGGAATGTTCTTCCATTTGTTTGTATCCTCTTTTATTTCATTGAGCAGTGGTTTGTAGTTCTCCTTGAAGAGGTCCTTCACATACCTTGTAAGTTGGATTCCTAGGTATTTTATTCTCTTTGAATCAACTGTGAATGGGACTTCACTCATGATTTGGCTCTCTGTTTGTCTGTTATTGGTGTATAAGAATGCTTGTGATTTTTGTACATTGATTTTGTATCCTGAGACTTTGCTGAAGTTGCTTATCAGCTTCAGGAGATTTTGGGCTGAGACAATGGGGTTTTCTAGATATACAATCATGTCATCTGCAAACAGGGACAATTTGACTTCCTCTTTTCCTAATTGAATACCCTTTATTTCCTTCTCCTGCTTGATTGCCCTGGCCAGAACTTCCAACACTCTGTTGAATAGGAGTGGTGAGAGAGGGCATCCCTGTCTTGTGCCAGTTTTCAAAGGGAATACTTCCAATTTCTGCCCATTCAGTATGATATTGGCTGTGGGTTTGTCATAGATAGCTCTTATTATTTTGAGATACGTCCCATCAATACCTAATTTATTGAGAGTTTTTAGCATGAAGCGTTGTTGAATTTTGTCAAAGGCCTTTTCTGCATCTATTGAGATAATCATGTGGTTTTTGTCTTTGGTTCTGTTTATATGCTGGATTATGTTTATTGATTTGCGTATGTTGAACCAGTCTTGCATCCCACTTAATCTTGGTGGATAAGCTTTTTGATGTGCTGCTGGATTTGGTTTGCCAGTATTTTATTGAGGATTTTTGCATCGATGTTCATCAGGGATATTGGTCTAAAATTCTCTTTTTTGGTTGTGTCTCTGCCAGGCTTAGGTATCAGGACGATGTTGGCCTCATAAAATCAGTTAGGGAGGATTCCTTCTTTTTCTATTGATTGGAATAATTTCAGAAGGAATGGTACCAGCTCCTCCTTTCTTCCTGGTTTAGTCTTGGGAGGATGTATGCATCGAGGAATTCATCCATTTTTTCCGGATTTTCTAGTTTATTTGTGTAGAGGTGTTCATCGTATTCTCTGATGGTAGTTTGTATTTCTGTGGGATCAGTGGTGATATTCCCTTTATCATTTTTTATTGCATCTGGTTCTTCTCTCTTTTCTTCTTATTAGTCTTGCTAGCGGTCTATCAATTTTGTTGATCTTTTCAAAAAACCAGCGCCTGGATTCATTGATTTTTTTGAAGGGTTTTTTTGTGTCTCTATTTCCTTCAGTTCTGCTCTGATTTTAGTTATTTCTTGCCTTCTGCTAGCTTTTGAATGTGTTTGCTCTTGCTTCTCTAGTTCTTTTAATTGTGATGTTAGGGTGTCCATTTTAGACCTTTCCTGCTTTCTCTTGTGGGCATTTAGTGCTATCAATTTCCCTCTACACACTGCTTTGAATGTGTCCCAGAGATTCTGGTATGTTGTGTCTTTGTTCTCGTTGGTTTCAAAGAACATCTTTATTTTTGCCTTCATTTCGTTATGTACCCAGTAGTCATTCAGGAGCAGGTTGTTCAGTTTCCATGTAGTTGAGCAGTTTTGAGTGAGTTTCTTAATCCTGAGATCTAGTTTGATTGCACTGTGGTCTGACAGACAGTTTGTTATAATTTCTGTTTTTTTTACATTTGCTGAGGAGTGCTTTACTTCCAACTATGTGGTCAATTTTGGAATAGGTGTGGTGTGGTGCTGTAAAGAATGTATTTTCTGTTGATTTGGGGTGGAGAGTTCTGTAGATGTCTATTAGGTCCACTTGGTGCAGAGCTGAATTCAATTCCTGGATATCCTTGTTAACTTTCTGTCTCGTTGATCTGTCTAATGTTGACAGTGGGGTGTTAAAGTCTCCCATTATTATTCTTTGGGAGTCTAAGTCTCTTTGTAGGTCACTAAGGACTTGCTTTATGAATCTGGGTGCTCCTGTATTGAGTGCATATATATTTAGGATAGTTAGCTCTTCTTGTTGAGTTGATCCCTTTACCATTATGTAATGGCCTTCTTTGTCTCTTTTGATCTTTGTTGGTTTAAAGTCTGTTTTGTCAGAGACTAGGATTGCAACCCCTGCCCTTTTTTGTTTTCCATTTGCTTGGTAGATCTTCCTCCATCCCTTTATTTTGAGCCTATGTTTGTCTCTGCACGTGAGATGGGCTTCCTGAATACAGCACACTGATGGGTCTTGACTCTTTATCCAATTTGCCAGTCTGTGTCTTTTAATTGGAGCATTTCGCCCATTTACATTCAAAGTTAATATTGTTATGTGTGAATCTGATCCTGTCATTATGATATCAGCTGGCTATTTTGCTTGTTAGTTGATGCAGTTTCTTCCTGGCCTTGATGGTCTTTCCAATTTGGCATGTTTTTGCAGTGGCTGATACCGGTTGTTCCTTTCCATGTTTAGTGCTTCGTTCAGGAGCTCTTTTAGGGCAGGCCTGGTGGTGACAAAATCTCTCAGCATTTGCTTGTCTCTAAAGGATTTTATTTCTCCTTCACTTATGAAGCTTAGTTTGGCTGGATATGAAATTCTGAGTTGAAAATTCTTTTCTTTAAGAATGTTGAATATTGGCCCCCACTCTCTTCTGGCTTGTAGAGTTTCTGCTGAGAGACCAGCTGTTAGTCTGATGGGCTTCCCTTTGAGGGTAACCCGACCCTTCTCTCTGGCTGCCCTTAACATTTTTTCCTTCATTTCAACTTTGGTGAATCTGACAATTTTGTGTCTTGGACTTGCTCTTCTCGAGGAGTATCTTCGTGGTGTTCTCTGTTTTTCCTGAATCTGAATGTTGGCCTGCCTTGCTATATTGGGGAAGTTCTCCTGGATAATATCCTGCAGAGTGTTTTCCAACTTGGTTCTATTGTCCCCGTCACTTTCAGATACACTAATTAGACGCAGATTTGGTCTTTTCACATAGTCTCATATTTCTTGGCGGCTTTGTTCATTTCTTTTTATTCTTTTTTCTCTAAACTTCTCTTCTGACTTCATTTCATTCATTTTGTATTCCATCACTGATACCCTTTCTTCCAGTTGATCACATCGGCTACTGAGGCTTCTGCATTCATCACGTAGTTGTCGTGCCTTGGTTTTCAGCTCCATCAGGTCCTTTAAGGACTTCTCTGCATTGGTTATTCTAGTTATCCATTCGTCAAATTTTTTTTCAAAGTTTTTAATTTCTTTGCCATTGGTTCTAATGTCCTCCTTTAGCTCGGAATAGTTTGATCGTCTGAAGCCTTCTTCTCTCAACTCGTCAAAGTCATTCTCTGTCCATCTTTGTTCCATTGCTGGTGAGTAGCTGCGTTCCTTTGGAGGAGGAGAGGGGCTGTGATTTTTAGAGTTTCCAGTTTTTCTGCTCTGTTTTTTCCCCATCTTTGTGGTTTTATCTACCTTTCGTCTTTAATGATGGTGACGTACCGATGGGTTTTTGGTGTGGATGTCCTTCCTGTTTGTTAGTTTTCCTTCTAACAGACAGGCCCCCCAACTGCAGGTCTGTTGGAGTTTGCTAGAGGTCCACTCTAGACCCTGTTTTCCTGGGTATCAGGAGCAGTGGCTGCAGAACAGCGGATATTGGTGAACTCCAAATGCTGCTGCCTGATCGTTCCTCTGGAAGTTTTGTCTCAGAGGAGTACCCGGCCATGTGAGGTGTCAGTCTGCCCCTACTGGGGGGTGCCTCCCAGTTAGGCTACTCGGGGGTCAGGGACCCACTTGAGGAGGCAGTCTGCCTGTTCTCAGATCTCAAGTTGCATGCTGGGAGAACCACCACTCTCTTCAAAGCTGTCAGACAGGGACATTTAAGTCTGCAGAGGTTACTGCTGTCTTTTTGTCTGTGCCCTGCCCCCAGAGGTGGAGCCTACAGAGGCAGGCAGGCCTCCTTGAGCTGTGGTGGGCTCCACCCAGTTGGAGCTTCCTGGCTGCTTTGTTTACCTAATCAAGTCTCCACAAAGGCAAGCGCCCCTCCCCCAGCCTCACTGCCACCTTGCAGTTTGATCTCAGACTGCTGTGCTAGCCATGAGTGAGACTCTGTGGGCGTAGGACCCTCTGAGCCAGGTGCAGGATATAATCTCCTGGTATGCCGTTTTTTAAGCCCGTTGGGAAAGCGCAGTATTAGAGTGGGAGTGACATGATTTTCCAGGTGCCGTCTGTCACCCCTTTCTTTGACTAGGAAAGGGAATTCCCTGACCCCTTGCACTTCCTGGGTGAGGCAATGGCTCACCCTACTTTGGCTCATGCACAGTGCGCTGCACCCACTGTCTGGCACACCCCAGTGAGATGAACCTGGTACCTCAGTTGGAAATGCAGAAATCACCTGTCTTCTGCGTCACTCACGCTGGGAGCTGTAGAGGGGAGCTGTTCCTATTCGGCCATCTTGGCTCCTCCCTCCTATGTATTATTTTTTAATTTGTAATGATATTGGCTTCTTGTCGTTATTTCATAAAATACATGTATTTATTCTAATCATTTCAACAGCCAGACACATGGTAGTTTTTATATGGGTTTGCTATAAATTTCTTAACTAGTCCCTTATAAATGGAATTTAAATTGTTCACAGACTTTACATTTTACAGACAATGTTTCAGTGAAGATTCCTGCATATATGTCTTTTTTAACTTATGTATTGCTACAAAACCTACTACCACAAAATGTAGTAACTTAAAACAATAATTTATTCTGTATTGAGATTTTGTGACAGGAATTCATGGGTGACTCTTCTATTACATATGCCGTGAATGGAAGTCACTAAGTGGTATTTAGGGTCCAGTGTCTAAGGTTGCTTCCCTTCTAGGACTGGCACCTAGACAGGAAATCCTGGGAAGCTCGACTCAGCAGGCTCTTGATAGGAATACCTATGTGTAATCTGTTCAGAATGGTAGTATTAGTATTTTTGGGCTCCCCAGTTGGTAACTCCGAATTCAAAAAAAAAATATCCTAAGAAGTCCAGATGGAAACTGCAAGGTGTTTTATGATCTAACCTTAGAAGTCCCATAACATCACTTTTGCTACTTTCTACTGGTCAAGAACTCCACTAACACCAGCCCAAAGTCCAAGAGAGGAGAATTAGATTCTACCTCTCCATAAACATAGTAAATAATTTGCAACCATCTTTTACTTAACATCAGTTGTAAGTCTAGAGTACCCTGAAGTGCAATTACAGGGTCAAAGGGTCTATGCCTTCCTGTCACCCATTTGTACCTATGGCTCTGAGGGATGCAGCCTCAAGTCCTGCATTTCCTTTTCTTGTTTCTTTTCTTTCTTTTTTTTTTTTTTTTTTGCCCTTGGAAGAGAGAAGAACAGAATCTTCAGTTCTGCTTATTTGTTTTTACTTTGTGTGTGTGTGTTCTTGTGTTTTTTTGTTTTTGTCTTAATAGGATCTCCTCCCTCCTTTCTCCCCGCCCACGCTCTCACTCCCCACCTCCTGCCTTTTTTTCCTTTTGCTGCTGTTGTTTCAGTGTGAATCCACATTCCTGTTTGTACTCCTTGGTTCACCAAGTTTTAGGTTTGCTGTATAATTTCATTACACTGAAAGAAAACAAAATCGCTTTCCACAAAGTCTGTATGAAACAAATTTTGAAGAAATCTCCAAGAGCACTTTTAAAATAGATGTATGCACTGACATGTTGATTGTCTCTGAGTGGCCCTCAAGGCCATCCAACATCTTCAGTAAGGGTCCATTTGTCATGGTACATGCAGCTGAGCACATGAAATGTGACTTTTGGTATAGATATTTTATCTATAATCAGGAAATTAAAAACAATATCAAGATAAACAAGTCAGAATTCTTTATCTGTAAAGCTCACTGAAATCCTATCAGGCTGATTTTTATATGGCTTGCAATATGTTCAAGGCTATCTCCTGAAGGTAGATCATCAAACTGTTATGCTGGGAGGTTAAATGGTGGTATTAACCATATTAGAATGAGACCTATACTGAGGCAAGAAATCTTTTTGCTTTCCAAATCTTCTTTAGATCATTTCCATGAATCGCTTTCCATATTTTCTTCCCTTCCCTGAAGCTGATGAGGTATGAGGAACTCAGAACCTTCCTCTGCTTAGATGGAGATGCTATACACATGCCTAACACTCCCAATCTGAAAGTTTCATTTACATATATTACCTTTATCTGGCTACAAGCAAAAGAGAAACCAACTAACAGTGACTTAAAATATAACATTTATTTTCACTTAACAAGCCTGAGAATAAGTAGTCTCAAGATAGGTCAGCAATTCCATGATATTATCAAGGATTCAATTTCTATCTTTCCACTCCACTATTCTTATCTGTTGGCTGATTGTTCTCATTTTTATTGACTCGTGGGGAAAAATGGCTGCCTTAGCTCCAGATAGTATTTTCATGCTCAAAGCTTTTTAAAGAATGGGGAATGAGTTTTTTTCTCATCTTATTCCCTTTTTTAAGGTACTTAAAAGCTCCCCAGTAGGCACCTCTGCAGCTGTTCTTGGTTACCCTTTGTCTTCAAGGAAGCTGAAAAAGAGATTACCTGACTTTCTGTTGTGAATAGGTAAAGGAGAAAGAGATGAGTATGGCTTTCTGGTAGTTAACCAACAATTCTACTACATAAGACAAAACAGAAAGCAGGTTCAGTCTTGAGATAAGGTTGAAGAATCACACTCAAGAATGCTTTTAGAATAGGAAAAAGAAGCCTTTACAGGTTATGTATGGTCCAATCTAATTCCCCAATACAGATCTAGCAAATAATGAAACCCAAGATATTCTTATAGTCTTGGCTCTTATCCAAGACCACTTTTCTTGAAGAGTTAATGAAGGTAGATTTTAATGAGCTTGTGGCAATGTGAGAATTAAGAATATTCTCTCCCTCTCTCGCTGCTCTCCGTCTCTCTCTTTCTTTTTTCTTTCTTCTCTAAATTTGGCCTTAGTATCTGTTTTCTACTTGCAATGTTTACTTTTTAAAAATGTTTGGAGCAAAGGATAAAAGAAGTTTTTCAGACAGAAATAACACAATATAGAGGAAAAAACAAGAACTTTAGATACCTGGATAAGGATTTGGGGTTTTGTTCTTGGCTCTGCTGCTAATTCTAAAGTCAGGGTCTCTCTCTTTAACTATAAGTCTTAATTTCCTTACCTGTAAATGAGGAAGTGGCAAAAGATTTCATTCAGGGCTGCATTTTATTATTTCATTATGATTCTGCTACGTAGTGACCAAAGTATGCTTAAGCACTGAGAGGTTTTTTTTTTTTAATTTTCCTACCTTTGCTTCTAACTGGAATCACTTAATTGTCATCACCATCATCATCATCATCATCATCATCATCCACATCGTCATCATGAAGCACGAAGAGCCAGGCAATGTGCTAAATACTGTTTGTAAACTATATCATTAAATTGTACTTCTATCCCCATCTTTAGAGATGACACAGGTGAAAGTAGGAGTGGTTATTTGCACACAGTTGCTTGGAAATTTATGTGGCCAGAAATTATACAAAATTACAGTTGATTACACAGACCAGGTACTTAATCATTACACCACTGATTAACTGAGGAATATCTCAAGGAAGCAATGAGATTAGTATAAATGTCCTTCGTTTCAAACAAAACTTGTTAAATAAGATATTACCAAAATAAGAAAATATGAGTTTTTTTTAAGTTTTCTATCATATTCTGACAAGACTGACCCAACTCTCAGATCTGTGTTCACTTCGAATGTTTGTAAGCAGACTACACAGATTTAGGAGAGGCAATGGACACTCAAGAACAGCCAGTTCAAGTGTGGTGGCATGCACCTGTAATACCAACTATTTTGGTGGCTGAGGAATGAGAATTGCTTGAACCCGGGAGGTGGAGGTGGCAGTGAGCTGAAATCCCACCACTGCTCTCCAGCCTGGGCAACAGAGCAAAAGAATGGCTAGTTACAAGGTTGCCTAAATATTGATGAGGAGTAAGACATACTGATTTTTTGATAGTTTCTAATGCCAGTACCAGAAAGACAAACTTTAAAAACAGAGAAAGACTGGCAGAACAGCCTGGGATAAGATAAAAGTAATTGAAGGATTTGTTATAGTCCCCTCACACACTAAGTAAATCAGAATGCGGTGGTGGTCAGGGCAGAATAATGGCAACCTATTGGACAGAGCAGATGCAACATGAAGCTTGTAAAAGCCTTAGGTTGAGAAAGAAACAGATCATTCCTTTGCCAAAGTGAACTCCTGCCAATTCTACACAAAATGGGTTGGCAGTCAGCCTGCGGTGTGATGTTTGGGGCCAGACTCTCATGAGGGGACAATGTGGAACTGCTACTTGCATGCTCAGGAAGCAGAAAAGGCAAGACTTTATTTTTCCTTTTTCTTTTGATGCTTTAACTGAAGAGGAAAATATTTTTATTTTCTGCCACACTCTTTGAAGGATGCTCCAGACAGCCATGCAGAGACATTTGCACCTGAACAAAAATAAAATCAATCCCAAAAAGGGAAGGGGTGCTGAAGTGAATAAAATTTCACTCCTAATTTAATGGAAATTTGATGGTAATGTCTATTTTCTGAGACATGGCCGTCTGAAAAGCTTTAAAACCAGCTGTGGCCCAGAAGTATACACCTGAAGCCTAACAAATAAAATAATAGTTTTTGAATAAAGGTTTTTCTTTGCTGCGTAAAGCTAGATTGGCAAATATTTGTATTTTCCATGAACAAAAACACATTCATTGAATAGTATCTCGAAACATACTGGATAGAATTACAAGTTTAAAAGCTATTTACACCCTTGTACATCAACAGAGCAATTCTTTTATAGCAAGAATCACAAATTCTTAGTAAGTTTGAATTTGAGGATGAGAAAGCAAGCAGAGAGTAAAAACTAACATCTCTATAGGCATAACCACAGTATAGACTCTGCCAATGTCAGCAGTTCAGAGATATATCTAAGTAGTGATTTCACTTGCCAAGGGCTGGTTTGAATTAGATGTGTGAGGTTTGCCTCGAGCAACAATCAGATAGGCTATGGACAGTCAGGAGAGGAGAACGAAACAGAGAGAAAATCATAAAAGAAGGGTGAAAATGAGTACTTTATCCTGGTAGTTCTCTCTGTCAATGTTTTGTGTTCACTTACTTGGAATCCCATAGATGGAAAGAGAAATAAGAAATAAGTCAATGTTAATTAGCTTGACTTAGCTAGTCCATGATGTATATATTTTATAACATCAGGTTGGACAATATAAGTATATATAAATTTTGTCATTTAAATATTTAAAAACAAATAACAAACCTAATTCAAAAAAAAATTAAAGTGAGAGAAAAACCTCACTTTCTCTAAAGAAGAATAGCAACTGTCATCTTTAGATCATTACTGAGCTACTCTGACCACCACCACTTATTAGAGAGCTGTGGGGCAGAGCTGTGCTGGTGAGAATGGTGCCTGCATTGCATTCTGAGATCTTGATATAGAGTTAAGTTACGGGAAAAATGGTATCAGTGACCCAAGGTGTAGTAATCTTAATAGGTATTTCCCTGAAATGGAAATCCTACAAACCAGGATTACATATGTTATTTCCAGTCCTACCTAATTTTTTACAACTTGCATTGACATTTTCTAGTACTTGTGTTTTATAACTCTATTGGGATACTGAGGTGATTTCTTTATCAAAAACTAAACCCATACATTTCAAAACAATTCTGTGTTCATTAGCTTTTTCCAAGTATTAGAAGTACATTATTTATTTAGTAAAAATTACCCCATGTCTTCTTTTTATTGGAATGGCTCAATTAGAGAATCCTAACCTGGCTCAGACTTTTGCATCTATAAGACAAGTGATGACCTAAGAGTATGATTTGAGAGGTACCAGAAGACTCTCCCAGAATAAAAATGTTGCCTCCTACATTGTCTGGGTATCCATTATTTGGTG
This sequence comes from Homo sapiens, assembly GCF_000001405.40. Classification (NCBI taxonomy): domain Eukaryota; kingdom Metazoa; phylum Chordata; class Mammalia; order Primates; family Hominidae; genus Homo; species Homo sapiens. Next base: position 51,631,287 of record NC_000005.10, on the reverse strand, counting down.
ATTCTGTGGCTTACACAATCTCACCGTCAAATGTCCTCTTTTGCAAGCAAACATTGCTTCTGAGTTAAGTAAAGCCTTGAAATGAAAGAAGTTGTCTAGTTATTTTCTCCTTAAATTGTCAATACAGAAACAGATCATCCTTCTCCTTGCAACAGGCAAAGTAATTTTTACCCTTCAAAATCCAGTTTAATTACATGATTTTGGTATTTCTTTATTTTATTTTATTTTACTTTAAGTTCTCAGATACATGTGAAGAACATTCAGGTTTGTTACATAGGTAGACATGTGTCATGGTGGTTTGCTGCACCCATCAACCCGTCATCTAGGTTTTAAGACCCGCATGCATTAGGTATTTTGTCCTAATGCTCTCCCTCCCCTTCCCCCTGACTCACTGATAGGCCCCGGTGTGTGATGTTCCCCTCCCTGGGTCCATATGTTCTCATTGTTCAACTCCCACTTATGAGCGAGAACATGCAGTGTTTGGTTTTCTGTTCCTGTGTTAGTTTGCTGAGAATGATGGTTTCCATCTTCATCCATGTCCCCGCAAAGGACATGAAGTCATTCTTTTTTATGGCTGGATAGTATTCCATGGTGTATATGTGCCATGTTTTCTTTATCCAGTCTATCATTGATGGGCATTTGGGTTGGTTCCAAGTCTTTGCTATTTTAAGTAGTGCCGCAATAAACATACGTGTGCATGTGTCTTTATAGTAGAATGATTTATATATAATCCTTTGGGTATATACCTAGTAATGAGATTACTGGGTCAAATGGTATTTCTGGTTCTAGGTCCTTGAGGAATCACCACGCTGTCTTCCACAATGGTTGAACTAATTTACACTCCCACCAACAGTGTAAAAGCATTCCTATTTCTCCACATCTCCACAGCCTCTCCAGCATCTGTTGTTTCCTGAATTTTTTTTTTTTTTTTGAGACAGAGTTTCACTCTGTCACCCAGGCTGAAGTGCAGTGGCACAATCTTGGCTCGCTACAACCTCCATCTCCCGGGTTCAAGTGATTTTCGTGCCTCAGCCTCCTGAGTAGCTGGGACTACAGGCATGCGCCACCACGCTTGGCTAATTTTTTATATTTTTAGTAGAGATGGGGTTTCACCATAATGGCCAGGCTGGTCTCAGTTTCCTGACCTCGTGATCCACCCGTCTCGACCTCCCAAACTGCTGGGATTACAGGCATGAGCCACTGGCCGGCCTGTTGTTTCCTGACTTTTTAATGATCTTCATTTTAACTGGCATGAGATGGCATCACATTGTGGTTTTCATTTGCATTTCTCTAATGACCAGTGATGATGAGCTTTTCTTCATGTTTGTTGGCTGTATGAATGTCTTCTTTTGAGAAGGGTCTGTTCATATCCTTCGCCCACTTTTTGATGGGGTTGTTTGTTTTTCTTGTAAATTTGTTTAAGTTTCTTGCAGATTCTGGATATGAGACCTTTGTCAGATGGATAGATTGCAAAACTTTTCTCCCATTCTGTAGGTTGCCTGTTCACTCTGATGATAGTTTCTTTTGCTGTGCAGGAGCTCTTTAGTTTAATTAGATCCCGTTTGTCAATTTTTGCTTTTGTTGCCATTGTTTTTGGTGTTTTAGTCATGAAGTCTTTGCCCATGCCTATGTCCTAAATGGTATTGCCTAGGTTTTCTTCTAGGGTTTTTATGGTTTTAGGTCTTACATTTAAGTCTTTAATCCACCATGAGTTAATTTTTGTATAAGGTGTAAAGAAGGGGTCCAGTTTCAGCTTTCTGCATATGGCCAGCCAGTTTTCCCAGCATCATTTATTAAATGGGGAATCCTTTCCCCATTGCTTGTTTTTGTCAGGTTTGGCAAAGATCGGATGGTTGTAGATGTGTGGTTTTATTTCTGATGTCTCTGTTCTGTTCCATTGGTCTATATATCTCTTTTGGTACTAGTACCATGCTGTTTTGGTTACTGTAGGCTTGTAGTATAGTTTGAAGTCAGGTAGGGTGATGCCTCCAGCTTTGTTCTTTTCACCAGAAGCATATCAAAAAGCTTATCCACCACGATCAAGTCAGCTTCATCCTTGGGATGCAAGGCTGGTTCAACATACACAAATCAGTAAATGTAGTCCATCACATAAACAGAACCAATGACAAAAACCACATAATTATCTCAATAGATACAGAGAAGGCCTTTGACAAAATTCAACAGCCCTTCATGCTAAAAACTGTCAATAAACTAGGTATTGATGAAACATAGTTTATCTCAAATATAATAAGAGCTATTTATGGCAAACCCTTAGCCAATATCATACTGAATGGTATTTCTACCTCAAGGGGAATCAACTACTCCTTTCTTCTGGCTACCATAGGCTTTATATTCACTATTATCATAGCATGTACTACTGTGCTTTATAATTAGTTGTTTACAGGTGTCTGTTCTCCCTATTGAATTGTGACCTCCTTTGGGCCAATGAGTAGGACTAAGTCTGATTTGTATTTATCTTCATATTCCCAGGATCTACAGCAGCAGCTTAGTATAGTGGGTGTTCAAATATGTTTCTAAGAAGATTTAATGATGAAAGGAGTACCAAAAATAGCAAATCCTTCTTTACTATCTTACCTAGGGTATAAGTCAGCCCTGTGCCTAACTACATGTGAATTCAGTCAAAATGGCTGACTGGCTCATTCCATGCATATTGACTGAGCACCTGCTGTGTGCTGTGCCCTGCTCTAGCACTGAGAAATCAGTGCATCAGGCAGTGGGGGAAATAAATGGGATCTGTGCCATGGAGCTTACATCACCCTGTGGCAGCTAGATAGTGAGCAAATAAATAAAAAAAATACTCTATAATTCCAAGTAGTGACAAATGGTATGAAGAGAAGTCAAGCATGGTGAGGAGAGAGAGAGTGATGGACTAGGAAGAAAGGGAAGAAGTTGCTGGATCAATGGTTGAAACAATTTTGTGGGTTGACAAGGCATTCATTTAAGAAAACACATACTCCAGATACTGGATGACCAAAAGACAGTGGTGTAGCAAAAGGGGAGAGATGGAAGCAGGCTACCTGGGATCTATACATTAAGGGGTTGCATTTTCTGTACCCATGGAGAATTTTAAAATAATCATCTAAGCACAAAATCTGTCTTTTATTAATACCATGTGCTAGTAATATTAAACAATGTTAGTAATAAAATATTTCTCCCCACTAGGGAAGATATGCTTATGCCTCCTCCTCCTTGGTGCGCTAAGGCAGAAGTATATTGTCATCTTTTATATTTATTCTTATGTTTCAAGGCCTACTCTAATTTCTCAGCTGCACCACCAATATAGTCATTTCAAGTTAGGCTTTTAGGTATTTAATTGGGTTTTCTGTTCCACTAAATACAAAATTTGATGAGTTATACTTTGCATTATGTTTTTGGTCTTAAAGCGATCTAAACAGGCTCATTTTCTACTACAAATTGAATGAATCATACAATCAATCAGAAAATACAAGTTAAATCAGCTCTCATTTGGTTCTATTAAATTTACTTTCAGCCTGGCAAGGATTGTGAGTCCATTGTTTCTTCAGTGATCTTTTTTCTTTATAATCTATCTCAATAATTTTTTATTTGGCAATAAAACTGTTTGAGACTTACTTATATTGGCATGAAAAATCTATTAATTGAAAGAAATCGGTAGATTTGGGAAATGTTGTTCATTAGTAGCTCCCCAGCTGTCCCTCCTTTTGTAGTCATTCTATTGGTGGACACCATAGGAGAAAATATGCAAAATATTTTCAAGAACTTACATATATCTGGCCTGGCACGGTGGCTCACGCCTGTAATCCCAGCACTTCAGGAGGCCGAGGTGGGTGGATCACGAAGTCAGGAGATCGAGACCGTCCTGGCTAACATGGTGAAACCCCGTCTGTACTAAAAATACAAAAAATTAGCCGGGCGTGGTGGCAGGCGCCTGTAGTCCCAGCTACTTGGGAGGCTGAGGCAGGAGAATGGCATGAACCTGGGAGGAGGAGCTTGCAGTGAGCCAAGATCACACCACTGCACTCCAGCCTGGGCAACAGAGCGAGACTCCGTCTCAAAAAAAAAGAAAAAAAGAAAATAAAGAACTTACATATATCTGTCTCAAGATTATGTACTTATAGAAGATGAAAGCAGACTGTGCGTTCTTTACCTTTAAGAAATGTACAGCCTCACCACACAGATAAACAGCATGTTATTTATCAAAAATCTTTCAAGACAAAATTTGAATGAAGAGAATATGTTTGGCTCATAAGCGCTGCCATATTGAAGCTATTCAGGCAATTATTTTGGTTTCCAAGTAGAAATATGTTACAAGAAAATGTTGGCATTCTCACTGATAAGAACCTAATAGGTTAGACATCTCCTCTTTCTTTTTCAAGCCTTTCATGTATTTTTTTCTTAGAAAAGTAGTTCAAATACTGTTGCAGATTAATATTTTGATATATTAGCCAACGGGATTTCTGCTTGTTTCTGCCAAACTTTGTCTTAGTCTTAGCAAAGTAAAAAAGGAATGATAGCAAGAGAAAGCTACTTATTAGTACATCTACAGCTATAACCTCAAGCAGTTATGAAGATCAGGGGCTAGAATTAAAATATTTGAAGTCCAAAGAGATTTCAGTCCTGAGTCAGCCACACTTCTGCCATGTGACCAAGGATAATTCACTTAATTTACCTTAGTTTTAATTTCCCCATTGTTAAAATAACTACCTGACAAAGTTCTGTGGAAGAGTAAAAGATATAACCAATTTGAAACTCTTTATATGCCATGCACATAATTGTAATCATGTTTAACCTTTATTGAGATCGGATTACATGTCCTAAATTATTCTAACCTCATTATATGAATTATCTCATTTAATTTTCACATTATTCCTAACATGTAAGCATGCCAGAAGCAGTATAATAATGGCTTAGATCATAAACTCATAATCCAAACTGTGGTATTAAACAACACATTCAACCTCTCTATGCCTCTACTTCCTCACTTATAAAATGATAATGATAAATCCTTACTTATATATCTGATGTAAGAAATAAATGAGTGTGTGCCTGTCTGTGTGTGTGTTCAGCTTTAAGAACTGTGTGCTTCCTATGTAAGTGTTTGTGGTTATCATTCCCCACTTTACAGATGAGAAAAGTAGTTAATTGCTCATCCAAAATCCAAGAGCTTTTAGATGCTGGGGTGCTGGAAACAAGATTAAAACTCAATCTTTCCATGTTGCTTCCCAATATTAAAAAAATACTTAATCTATGTTCTATAACATAATAAAAATCATATCAAAACTGATATAAAGGAATTTGAAATGACTTATTTCCTACCAATAGATGGTGTGAAGGCTTTGCATAAGATTTTTTTCACTAATTTTTTTAAATTCCATTAAATTCATTTATTTGCAACCATTGGAATTTTTAAAAAGAAAGGACTCTGCACTTATAAATGAATGTTTATAGCAGTTTTACTCATAATTGCCAAAACTTGGAAGCAACCAAGATGTCCTTTAGTAGGTGAATGGATAAGTAAACTGTGGCATATCCAAGAAATGGAATATTATTCAGCACTGAAAAGAAATAAGTTGTCAAGCCATGAAAAGGCATGAAAGAAACTTAAATGCATATTACTAAAAGAAATAAGCCAGTTCAAAAAGGCTACATACTGTATTATTTCAACTATATGACATTCTGGAAAAGGTAAAACTGGAGACAGTAAAAAGATCAGTGATTGTCAAGGATTAGTGGGGCAGGAAGGACAAATAAGCAGAACACAGAGGATTTTTAGGACAATGGAACTACTGTGTATGACACTATAATGGTGGAAACATGTTACTATGCATTTGGCAAAACCCATACGACGTACAATACCAAGAGTGAGTGAACTCAAATGTAAGCTATGGACTTTGGGTGATAATGATGAGTCAATATTGGCTCATTGCTAGTTGGGGAGGCTGTGCATGTGTGCAGGAAGGGGAGTATGGGAACTCTACTTTTACTTAATTTGCTATGAACCTGAAAATGTTCTTAAGAAAGAAAAAAGGCAAAAAAGAAGCCTTCGTCCATCTGATATTTGCTAAACTTCTTATTTTAAAATTATAATTGCCCTAATTTGTTGCCTTTGTATGGTATTTTATAATAATATCAAGCCAAATGTGTGTGATTCTCTTTCAATCATATTTTGGGTTTTTAAAAGTATAATTTACACAAAATTATTAAAAATTAAATCTTTGATTTTTTTCATCATTATCATTCTGGAATTTAAATAACTCAGATAAAACATTATTAATTATTTGAGAAGGCCTGCCCCAGAAATCTGACCTAATTTTACCTGAAATTGATGTTTCAGTCTGAGTCCTGTCCCTAGAGTGTTACTTTAAAAACATCATAATTTTCACCAAATTTGACCAGGTACTTGCTGTTTAAATTCACTTGTTTCATGATGTAACACATTCACAAAAGGGAAAACCTGTTGGCAGTGAACTCTACACTTCACCATGATTGTCTCTTCTTCTGTTATCATGAGCTACATCCTTGAACACTCTCAACACTCTCAACACTCTCGACACAAAGCTTTCCTCTACCTTCTCTTTCATTGTCCCGGAATGATATCAGATCCCTTCGGGTTATTTTGTTATATTCTTCTTTATTATTTCTGTCAGTTTCTGAAGCTTCTAATCTATTCCCAATAACATTCTCACTGCTGAGGAGCATTCTCATTTATCCACTCATCTTTGCAATCATCCTCACCAAATTTGGGAGATTTATATAGAATTTGTTTTTGTTTGTTTTTAATTAACTTACTACTAACTGGTAAGACAAATGCCAAGAAATGTTTGGTTAATTTTTTCACACTAACTTCCATCACTATTTATTGCTTCCTCCTTTCTCTTTCTTTCCTTCCTTACATCTCGCTCTCACCTTGTTTCTCTACCTCCTCTCTTTTCATTCCTATAAGTTCGTTTACAATCTAAGTATAGGAAACACTGGATTAAATTACTTTTTAATTACTAACTCCAGTGGGGGACCGTTGATTGATTTCAAGGATGAAGCTCCCCAAGAAAACTTTTCTGTCGGTGTGGTAATGTGTATGCCCTTGCATGTCCCCTGAATGCCCAATAACAACCACAACAACAATAAAATCACATGCAGTTTATATAAGCCTTGATGCAGAACTTTGGAGAGTTCACACCTTATCCTATGTTATATCATTTCTCCAGTTTTTTCTCTTGAATTCTGAAAAATATATAAAAAGATGCGCAAAGTCATTTCAGCACATAAAAAATAAAAGTTACCTTTTTTTTATAGATCCAAACAGGGAAATGTAGTTTCCTGAGGGTGAGATCAAGCTGTTTGGACCTGTGACTGGCAGCATTTCTCAAAATCCTATAATACCTCAAATTTTCTGAAGACTCAAAGAACAATTTGGGATGATGAGACATTTTAGTACCAATAACTATTTTCATTTAGGAAAAGTCAACACATTGTTACCATTTTTGACTCAGATGGGATGTTAAATCTCTTGGTCATGTAGCCGACAACGTGCATAAAAGTTGAACAGATGCTTGGTTCAGTCAATTCACCTGTAGTAACACGTCTGAAAAGCATCACTTCTGACTGAAATAATCACTGAACCTGAAGCATTTAGTGGAAATGGAAGTTAAGTGGTTAACTCATGTATCTGCTAAGATCACCCACAAGTTTTTCTGTGGTTGTTTTGTAAACAAAGCCAAAGCGACCACAGTAGAATAGGAATCCATGGAGTGTGTAGCATTAGTAAACAAGTTAATAGAATTTAATAATAATGACATTAACCAGAAATATATAGATCTCTTTTGAAAAAAAAAACCACTTAGTAAAAGCTATGCAAATTATCTCATTCTTTCTCTGCAATGAAACTATTATACAAGGCAGTAAAAATAAAGCAAATGATCAAAGAATTGGCCAATCTGTGAGCAAGAAAGGAAGATTCAAGTAGTACAGTAATGAATTAAACAGAAATTAGAAAAATATGTCTTCAAATGTCCACATCTAAGAAAATTCATAATAACAGAGGCCTTTCTAAATATAAAGATATATAAATAAACTAAATGAGTGACATTAACAACTTTTGAAAAACAAATAGATAATCATCATCTGCTTGGATAGTCTTCAGTAAAAGAAGTAAACTATATTACGATCTGAGTTTATTTACAATCTGACAATCTGCATACTCTGGTATCTATGTAATGAGACAGCCAAATAAATATTTGATCTAATTAACTAATTCATTCCCCATGATACTGTAATCTTATAAAAAGTATAAAAATGGAATTGAGAAATATGCAAATACATTTTTGAACTTTTCAAAAGATACAAATGCAAAAACAATATATAAACTTAGACCTCCTTTGGACTGCAAAAGCCTAAATTTTTTTAAAGGAGTTTGAATAGGTGCAAACTATTTTCTTCCTAAAGCAGATTAACTAGTTGGGTATTTCTTTGAATAGTTTAAAAGGCTGAAGTTATATCTGGCAGAGTGAATAGGTAATGATATATGCCTCATTCACCAAAGAAACAAATGTTTTGTTTCCCAACTCTAATTCTGTATTTTGTAGTAAGCTAGAATGATATAATATACACTAGTATTATTGTAAAACAAGAGCTTATTACCTGGCTAAGTAAGTTGATCTTTGGAAAAGTGTACAAGTGCTTTGAAATAAAATAAAAACTACTTAATCCAATCTTCTCTCATACAATTTCTTTCAAGGAGAACAGACACAGCCTGTTAAAATAACAAAGAATGTAGAGTTTCCATTCATGGACAAAGTGTCCTCATTCAAACTCCCTAAAGCTACCTTGCCCCTCTTCTCAACTTTCTTTGCAGTAGGGAAATGTGATTCCATGAAACCACCGGGATTCTGTTTTATGTTAACTGGCAGAGCTTTTCACGTCTCACAGACCTGGTGACACCTAAATGACACACACTTTGGATTGTCTTGTTGTGTGGAAAAGCTAGATAAAGGGAGGAGGAGAAACTTAAAACAGGTGGGCAAGGGCAAGGTGGCATTCACAAATGTTCCTGAGATCAGGGCCAGGCTTAGGATCATTGGGGAGATAAAACAATCACTCCAGTGAAATGATTTCACAAGAAGTGTTAAGTTACAAACAGAGTCCTGAGAGTGCCCTAAAATCTGACAGCCCTAGAATGGAGCTTTGCAAAGGAAAAGGTAAAAATCTTCAGAATCTACAACCAGGATATGAGCAGAGAGTAATACTATTTAAATGTAATTAGTAGACTATGTCTGGCTTGCAAAGTGACTGTGGAATTGTGTTAGATGGGGACTGACTGGTTTAAAATACCAGCATTTCCAGCTGTACTGGGGGATAAGATAGAATGTTTGGAATGGAATTCTATATGGTCTCATATTTACATCACTTCTAGAATTCAGCTATCGATGTGTATTTAGTATATATATATGTATTCAAATTCTTTGTAAGAAATTGTAAACAATGCATGTTTTCTAGTTTCAGAATGATTTAGTGATTTAGAACAAAAGATTTCAAACTAATTTGAACAAAATATGCATATACCTTCTAAGTTTCTGACTATAGAAATATATCTTTAATGCATGCATTCCCAAAAGACTTTTTAAAAGTGTGTTCAATAAAAAAATCGTAAAAGGTTGAAATGTGATTTCCACAAGATTACAAAATGTAAAACAAATGTCAAAGTAAATTTTTGCAATTGCTTTTGATTACAGCATTTTGAGATTCTAGAGCCTTTAAGGAAATTCTTAAACCAGCCTTTTTTTTTTTTTTTAACTAAACATAACCTCCCTTGAACCTAACCACATTTCTTTCCCCTCCTTGTACTTCTTTTGAATCGCTATTTGTAAGACAGGCCCCTAGGGCAGAAAGCATTTGTTGGGCCAGCTCCCATTATAAAAAGATCTTTCTGAGAGCTGGGATCCTCTTCAGTACTGAGAAGGCAAGGCCTCTTCTGGAGGTCCATTTTATTAGATTCCTTGGTCCCACTGTCAATGTGAGTGACTCACAACTTCTTAGAAAAAGAATGAAATCAAGTGTGAACCCAGGGTACAAACCAGAGCTTTTATATAGTCAATGAGAATATTTATTTTCTTCTCTGAAAGTTCAGTAGTGGCTAGAGTTACTAATGGGACCAATCATTACCAAAACATATCTGTATCATTGGCTGTATTTTTTTCCAGTTCTGAACACAACTGTATTATCCTACCACAATAAAGTGCCTCCTTTCAGCTAATGAGTTCAAAACTGAATCTAATCTTGGTAGTTATATGAGTAAAGCAGCAGGGCTCATTCCCATTTAGGAGAGCGGTTCTGTGTGTCACAAAAGGAGGCCAGGTGGAAATAAAATGCACATCTACTGAATTCCTTTTCACCATTCCAGCTACTAGAAAGCACTAGCCTCATTGAGTTCCACTCAATCGCTTGCTTATTTGACATCATGATTATATACATAAAGTTATAACTTTCTGTTTATCAAACACCATAAATTTCATGAGGATTATAATTTTGAACTTGGTCTATTTGTGCCAAATGGACTGAAAATAATAATTAGAGACAATTTAACATAATGAATACAGTAGTTTCAGATAAATTGCCCTTACAGAACGTTAATTTTATTCATTAAATAGAAAAGGATAAAATTCCAAGGCCACATCTATTATGGTTTTATTTTTAGAAATCATCTTCAATTTCTCTTTTTAATTTAGAAGACAATAATTTAGACAAAATGAAAAGATATTTAGCTAGTAAATTTACTATATTAAGATGTTAGTTTAAATTAAAAATTTGACTTAAATTCACTCAAAATCACATTCTAGTTACATTATGATTTTGTGTGTATGCATTACTGTGAGTTTAAAATCTCCTTAGTATCTAAGCCATAGAAGATTATTCACGTTTGAATTTTTTCTAGTTTGTTAGTTTCATTAGCCTAAATGAATAAATATAAAAGTAGATACATTGAGAAAAGCATACTGAATTTTACATTGGGAAGTCTAGCTAGAACACTCTTTTGAATATGAATGATTGGTCAAATTTAAATAGAATAAATGTCCTTAGATGTCTTAATTTACTCTTTTTTATTGTTATGATTATTGATCCTGAAGGATTTACCAAAGGTTTATCAAGGACAGGGTTATGAACTTAATGATGGGATTGAAATGTGACTTATACAGGAATAGTTATGAATTATATCTCTTCTGACCCAAAGTCAATCTGTGTTGGCACAAGCCAAGGATATGGTATGTATTCAAAATGTAATACGCTGAACAGAGGGAAGTATAGAATATTTGGTACTAAAGCATGACTGATCATTCATGCTTTTCTTGATGAGAACCCTCACAAAATCACAAGATGCCTTTTTATCACTTTCCAGGTTTAATGTGTAGCTACCCAATTGCTAATTCAGTCACCATTGCTAACTGAAAAAAATGAATGACCTGGGGAAGTCCCACCACTAGACTTGTATACTCCTCACTGAAAACCAATAAAACGTCAGCTTTTGTTTTAAATCTATTGTTATGACCTGGGTGAATATATGCCTAAATGCTTAAATCTTGTTAACTCAGGCTGAAGTATTAAAATCAAAGTTCTGCACTTGGAAATCTTAGTCATTTGAACTCCACCAAAATGACTCCCTACCTCTAGTCAGAATGTATCTATTTGCCTATCTAATAGGCATCACGAACTTAATATGACTAAAACAGAAATTTTTCCCTTCAACTCCAAATCTGTCTCACTGTGTAAGAAAATGGCACAACCATCCAGCCATTTGTTCTAACAAAACAACTAAACAAAAACACTAGGAGCCATTCCTTGATTTCTCTTTTTCCCATTCCCAACACACAAGCAATCTTGAATTCTCTCCCCTGAAAATAAAACCCACTTCAAACCACTTCTCATTATCTCCATTTGTACTTCCCTGGGCCTAGACACAATCTTCTGTTACCTGGACTCCTATGACTAATTCATCCCCCAAGTTCCCTTCTTGCACTCCATTCTATACTCTATGGAACCGTTCTTTTATAACATAAGTCATACGGTATCTTCCCTCTACTCAAAAACTTCCAGTAGCTCCCATCTTACTCTCAATGAAAGCAAAGGTTCTACCATGCTTTACATAATCTTGCACAGGCTGGGACTTTGACCTAGGATTTTGTCCCTCTCCTAACTGGTTCACTTGGCTTCAGGGGTACTTGCCTCTTTGCTCTTCCTCTAGTTACTCAGGCTCATGTGTGTGTCAGGACTTCTGCCATTGCCATTTCAGTGGTCAAGGATGCTGGTTCCCCAGAAAGCTGCATCGTTCTTCCTCAGACTATTCAGGTTTCTATTCAAATTTTGCCTCATCAGAGAGCCCTTTCCGGCCCACTCCAAGTAAAACAGCAATTCCCCTCCCCAACCATTCTCTTTCCCTTCACTCCGTCTTGTTTCTTCTCAGCCCTTACCACTGCCTGAAATAGTAAATAAGTATTTGTTTGTTTTTGATCCGATTCCCACACTAGACTGTAAAGTCTATGAGAGCAGGGACTTAGTCTGTTGCGCTCAGTCTTCTATCTCCAAGTTACAGCAGTGCCATGTATAAAGTGTAGAAGCTAAGTAAATGTGTAAATATCCATTCAGGGAACAAACGAATGCTAGACTAGGTATAAGAAATATATTTTTAATCTGGTGACCCTGCTGCTTGGCCCACAGAGTATCTTTCTTCATTTCTATATTGTTTATAATAAAATGGAACACAAGGTCCTTATTTAAATGTAACGCTTTGATCAAGCCAGGCGGAAGGATTTGTGTGTCTCCTTACTCACTATGTGATTTCAGTCCTATGTGAAACATGACACCTGCCTCCACTGCCCTCCCCAGTCTGAGCTCTCCTGGCAAATATCCACCAAGTTAGCTTTTTGAAAGCTAATTCAGCAGACTTCTCACAAGTAAAATTATCATTCCTATTTGTAGCTCTATAACCCATGTATAGTTTTCTCATAGCTCCCAGAATATTGTCCTTGTTTCTTACTAGTGCATCTCTTTCTACTAGGCTGTTAAGTTTCTTGAGAACAAAATCTATGTGCTCATCATCTTGGTGTCCTCCAGATCAAAAAGTACTTCACTCATTTCAAAAATAATTATTATGAAATATGTTCCGAGCATGAGTTTGGTGTCTTCAAGTGATAGAAGGAAAGCCAGTGCAGCTTGAGAAGAGATAACAAAGGGGAGATGGTAGGGGATGAGACAGACTAGGAATCAATCATATTGGGTATTGTAAGCATTAGTACATTTCATTATTTTAAGTGAAGTGGGAAGGCATCAGAGGTTTCAAACAGGAGAGATATGATCTGATTGATGATTTTTAAAGCTTACTCTAACGATGCATGAAGAATAGGCATTAAAGGAGCATGAAAACAATGGGAAAAAACAAAATAATGAAAAACAAAACAAAAGAAGAGCATAAAGTTGGGAGGGCCATTAGGAAGCTTCAAGTAGGTTGAACTAGGGTATCAGTAGAGGAGATGGAGAGAGGTTGGTTTCATGTTACGGAAGTAATGTTCTGGATGGATATATGAGATGACAGAAAGAAAGCAACCAAGGCTCATGCAAGGGTTTTTGGTTTGAGTAACTGGGCGTATTGTATCATTTATGAAATGGCATGAGTAGAGAAAGGGTTGGTCTGTGTGTATGGTATCAGAAGGTGTTTTTGTTTTGACGTGTTTTGTGTCCACATTTAATTTTAGATGCCTTTTAAACTTCTAAGTGAAACCACCAAATAAGCTGTTGAATATGCAAATGTAGATCTCAATATTGATAAGTTAATTAACTAACTAACACCTCATGGAAGCTTCTCAAATTGTTCTTTGTCAGAACACCAAGATTTTATGATTGTACAAATTACATAAATGGCCTTCATTCAATAAATGGGAGAAAGGTTTATACAAGAATCTTCTCAAATGTACATTTTATCCTAATATATTTTTTCTCACATTTTCACTTATCTACATTAGAGTCTGGCAATAGATAGATAATTATATATAAGAAACATATACGTGCTATAAACACAAATCCATACATACATAAATATTCAATATTTTTATTATATGTTTAATATTTAGTTCTTTTATGACTTTCTATCTAGATGTCAGTATCTTTCAAATGACTTAGCACTTGAAAACATTTGAGAATCACTCTCTAGGGGATCTGATGTGGTATCCCAAGAACCCAGCCATGACAATCTCCCATATGCTGCTTTTCTCTTCTACAGGGACTCTGGGTACAAGTTACAGATGAAAACGTCTCTACAAAGGGTTAGAAGCTCCAAGAATATGGATAATTAATTAAAGCCAACTGTGTTCTAACTAATGATCCTAAAAGGGAAGTCATGGGTGGTTGGGCCAAAATTCAGAGTGTCTATAACTGAACTTGCCGTTAGAAACTCATTGCTTCAATCACTGGGATATTAGCAACCACATGTTACCATTAATGTAGAAGAATTATATACAGCATTAGAGATGAAGAAATAATTTTAATAAAGAAAAGAAAAGTGTTACCCAAAGCAAATATAGCAAAGACAGTAGGTTGATTTTTTATTGGTTTATTTAACAGCACATTGTGAATTCTAAATGAAGCTGTTTTCTACCTCATAATGTTCACACCTGGTGCTGTAAAAAATTCATAGAGTTTTATGGGCTGTGGCTGTCAGTGCTTCAACAATACTGACTCATGAATTGTTTATGTTGTTGTTTTAATATAATTTAGAGGACACTTATATCTTCTTCAGCAAAACTTTATTTTTCAGATGAGTTTTCCTATATCTTTAGGCTATTTTTAATTTCTTTGTTAGGAGATTTCTAAACATCTCACCTTAAAAAATAATTCTACAATTTCAAAAACTGGTAGACATTGACACTGATTTCTTTGGTCTCACTTTAGAAAAGATGACTCCAGTTAGTTTATTTTAAAATCTTAGGGAAACAATTTAAAAATTGTATTAACAAAAAAGGAAAAAAATGGAGAAGTTACACATAACGATTATCCTTCAAATTGACTCCTAGCTAAAATCTCCACATGAAAGAATACAAACAAATGTAAAGAAGTTACCACTTCTTCATTTGCCGAAGAGCAAAATGATGTACTTCATTGCATTTTTTTGTTTTTTTGTTTTGTTTGTTTTCAAAACAGTCTCACTCTGTCCCCCAGGCAGGAGTGCAGTGGCATGACCACAGCTCACTGCACCCTTGATTCCCAGGGTCAATAGATCCTCCTGCCTCAGCATCCCAAGTGGCTGGGACTACAGGATTGCACCACAACACCCAGCTAATTTTTGTATTTCTTGTAGAGACAAGGTTATGCCATGTTGCCGAGGCTGGCCTTGAACTCCCAGCCTCAAGCAATCTGCCTACCTTGGTTTTCCAAATTGCTGGGATTACAGGCATGAGCCGATGTGCCCAGCTCTCATTCTTATATATGTTTTAAATTTAAAAACAGTTTAATGCATATTAAAACAATGTTTATATGTATTTAAAAATTCAAACACTGAGGATTTCTGTAGATAAATAGTAATATCACCTTTAATTTTTACCCCATCTCACTTCTCTCCCCACAAATAATCACTCAATATTTTTTCGAATATTCTGCAAGATTGATTTGTATTATTTTAAATATTACCTTTATAACATGTATATGTGTGTGTGTGTGTATATATATATATATATATATATATATATATATGTATATTATATAAAGGGATCATATTATACATACTGGGCACCCTGCTTGCTTTTTCAGCTTAACAATACATCTGCAATCTTTTCCTACATAATTCACTTTTTGTATTTATTACACAGCTTAGATAATGGTGATGTGCAGTAAGCAATGCTACTACTATTTAAGTCCCTTTCTTTCTTGAACTACAGAGACAAATATAAAAAAGTTGTTATGCTCTAACCAAACACATTTGAAAAAATGAACAGATAGATAGATAAACGAATAATCTGGCAGTGATTGAGATTTCATAGTCACCGTGACTTTGTTATAAAATATTTCTGGAAAACTTGGGATTACACAAAAAGCCCCAAGAGGAGTTGAATTAATCACTCTTTTGGATATCCCATTAGATGTTTGCCAGCACAATCATGTTGTTCTTACAGATGTTCACAAGAAAAAGTTATTAATTAATAATTGGGCTAAACATTTATATTTGTCATGATAAGCTCAATTCTTAACCCTCTTAACAAAGGAAGCATCTGCCTTGCTTAAATGTCATGGTCAATAAATATCTACCTGGAAAAGTAGAATTTCTGTATATCATTCTACAATGTCAAACACGTAGTGTATACTGATTAAGATAATGTAATATCTAAAAGGAGAATATGGGTAGGAATAAGCCATGTAAGCTTATTCACCTAGGAAACTCCCTGATTCAATTTTACTCCCAGACCAGAACTCTGTAAATAAAATTTAATCCAGAAATTGCTAACAGACCATTCCCTACAAATTGTGTAAACATTTCTAACATGAGAAAAACAGGAATGATATAGAAGCACCTCTTTTATCTCCTAATGGGGAACAAATCAGGTTTAAAACAAAAGATGAAACTTCGGGTTAAAAATAAGGAATAAAGCAAGCATTGTCATTTTGGAACCCTTTCTTTAGACAGAATATTTTATACTTCCTTCATATTTCTCACTTAAAAGTAGGTAGGAAGCCATTTGGGAATGCACTGGGGATGAAATAATATGCCATCATGATGGGATGAATGTCCTTAGCTTGAAAATAATTCCTATGATTGTACCATCATGATGTAGCAATTCTAGTCATGATATTAACATTGATGTAAGATTTCTCTGGACAAGAACTATAATAACAATGTAGATGACAATGGTTTATGTGTATTTTGGATGGCAAAATAAATTAGGTCATCCATATTGAATGTGAGATGACAGAAAAGGGAGACAGAAAACCACAGATTCAATGATTACTCAGTTCTATTTTTTCTATAAAAAATAGAAAATTTATTATAGGCCGCTATATGGATCACTGAGAGCATTAAAGATATAAAAACAGGAAATGGACTTCAATTGTCATAGAGGATTTAAGACTGATGGCAAAGACTATTAAATTCTGAGTTTCTTTCCTGAAAAGTATTTAAGAATATAGAGGATAGCTGTTTGCAGTAAGTATTTTACAACATCTTTGTCTGTGAATGCCATTTCCTACTTAATCAGTTATATAATCCTGTGATTTCTCTGCTTGCTGTAGGTCCTCTCAACTTAGCAGCCAGTGCTCTTTTTATCTTGTTTTATTGCAAGCCACGTTTACACAATTCTTAACTACCCAATAACGAAGATTGCTTGCAGTGTGCATATGTGATCATGGAAATGCTGAATGTTCAGACATTGAGTTCTTGCTGTTTTCCTAAATTGTTAGGAAGAGAAAAAGGAACTGTTTTATTAGAGAATGTTCAAAGTAAAAAGGCTGAGTCAATATCATCGTGGGACTGTTCCTAGTATTAGAATTGACATATTATATTTCCCAGAAGTTGTGGCAATTAGTTGTCTTTGGACTCTTAAAGAACATTTTCAGAATTTCCTTAAGAATCGCCCATCCATATATTGCCTTAATGCAATATTAGAAAAGATAACCTTACAAGATGAAACGGCTATAAGTCAAATTATGTCAAATTATATTTTTTGTGTCCTTGGAACCACAGATGCATATCTGTTTAAGGAAATAAGTAGGTAGTTAAAATACTAACTAATCTACAAATGCTGGGAACATCTTTAGAAGTCTGTCTGTAAACACAGACTAGAATCATTTCAAATCCTTTACAGTCTCATCTTCTTTCACACATTCATGCACATCTGCAGGTTGTTAATCATGAGTGTGTTTGTAATCTGGGAGGATTTCAGCCTCAGTCTGAATCAATGCTCTTTCATAAGTTTAATGCATTTATCATGAGGTTTAGGGGCAAGGGCCATCATCTCGCTCTTGTTATGCTTCTAGTAACACATGGTATAGTACTCTATATACAGTTGATTTTAACAAATCCATGTTGAATTGAAAGGACTTCTGGTGAATTCATAAATATGAATACTATTAATCCCAATTTTTTAGCCCAATCATTTTCATCAGTGTTTCTTAAATGTCTAACATATCCATTTGTCGTAGGTGAGATTCCTTGGAGTGGACAGTCAAGTACAGTTTACACAGCGAGGTCTTCAGGAATAACATTAGTGGGAGAGTGGATATATTGGCTAGAAGGAGAAGTAGTTGAATTGCAACACAGTCACAAGAAAGACCTAACTGGATGTAATTGTGGCTCTAGGGCTGCTATGCCCTCCATCTCCAGAGTTGTCCCACTTTAAGGAAAGGAGGTTTGCCTTAATACTACCTCATTGACCAGTGTTGAATGCAGTCTACCCACAGAGGAGGGGGCATGACTTTGGGTGAGCAAACTTTCTTCAGACAAGGGTAGTTCTAAGAGAAGGACTCAACTAAGATTTGTCAACCACCAACATTACCAGCAGCTGGAGGAATGAGAGCTTCAGTCCCAAAGGGGATCTAAGTGTTACACTACATCATCCACTACACTATTTTTATCTCAATCCTTTGTAATCTGATAATTCTTTCCTCACTACTCTACTAAAAAAAAAAATTTCAGACATCATTGATTCCTTTATTTTTCAATATTCAACATTTTTATCTATAATTGAGCAAAAATATCTTGAAAAATTCTCTACTCTTGTTTTATATTCTTCAGAGATTTTTTCCTAGCCCAAATGCTACTTTTCTCCTGCCTTGTACTTGTTCTCTTTATTCTCTTTCTATCAGATGATTCATCCTCTTGCAGTTCAGTTCTTAAGGTATATGAAGATCATACTAAATTGATATCTCCAACTTGTCTACACTTCCAGGTGATTCTTTTATTTCCAAATTCATGTTGGATATTTTTCACTTGAATATTTCTTTCTTTCTTTCTTTTTTTTTTTTTTTGAGACGGAGTCTCTCTCTGTCGTCCAGGCTGGAGTGCAGTGGCTTTAACTTGAATATTTCTTTCCATTACGTCAAAGGAAACAGCAAACCAATACTATTTTATTAGTGATAAAACTAGTGTTATTTTATTACTATTACTATATTATTATAAATGACTTAATGTAAATAATGCCAGCCCCTGCTTTCACTTCTCCTTTCATGAGCTCTTTCACTAAATATCTTTGTTTATTCCAGTGGATCTTCTATCCCTAAATACCTAATTTCACACCAGAATTGTGATTTTTTTTCTTCCTCTTACCCAATAACCAGCCCTAAAATGTTAATTCTAAGTAACTACTCTCTTCGTTTTGTTCTATTTCATCTTGACCACAAGATATGTGGTAAATTTCCATAACATACTTCCAGAAGATGGGCTTCTTTTCTTAATCCTGTGCAGCTTTGGGGCATTCAAGTCATGATCATATATTCA
Source organism: Homo sapiens (assembly GCF_000001405.40). NCBI lineage: Eukaryota > Metazoa > Chordata > Mammalia > Primates > Hominidae > Homo > Homo sapiens. The sequence continues at coordinate 51,611,825 of NC_000005.10, read as the reverse complement.
AATCCTAATTTTGGAAATTAATCTTACTATAATACCTCTTTGACATAACACTTCACTGTGAAAAAGATCCCACAGGTGTCTCAGAGCCAAGCAAACACAATTTTCAATCTTTAGCCTAATTCCCAGGACTTTGAAAACACAGTCAAAATTGAACAACCACTATGTGCCATGTACTCTTCCAGGAACTGAAGTACAGTAGTGAGCAACATGGACACAAATTCTTGCTTACAACTATTGAAGAAGTGACATAATAATCTAGATAAATAATAAAATATTTAGGATGTAAATGGTATACTTATAAGTACTAAGGGGGAAAAACAAAACAGGAAAAGGGATATTAAGTACTGGGAGAAAGGGTTGTGATTTTATACAGAGTTGGTGCCTCAGTTGGTTTTGCATTACAAGTCTGATAGACCGGGTACCTTAAACAACTGACAGTTATTTCTCATTGTTTTGGAGACAGCAAAGCCCAAGATCAAGGTGCCAGCAGATCTGGCATTGGGTGAGAACCGTTTCCCTCGTGTTCAAATGGTCATCTTATATTATATCCTCACATGGTAGAGAGAGAGAGATCATCTCTGTCATGTCTCTCTTAAAAAGGGCACTAATCCAATTCACGAGGGCTCTACCCTCATGACTGATTGCCTTCGTAAAGGCTCCATCTTCATATAAAATCACGTTGGGGCTTAAGGCTTCAGCACATAAATTTTGGAAGGGCAAATATTCAGTTCATAGATGCAGAATTTACCAAAATTGTGACTGTTGAAGGAAATGAGAGCACATGTCATATAGATATCTGGAGGAAAAGGGAACAGTGATTTCAAATGTCCTGATAAAAGAACTTGTAAAGCAGGTTCACTGTGCATTGGTTACCAACCTGTGTGAGTCTGGCGAGATGGAACACCCACATAAAACAATTTACATAAAGCATGTTTATTTCAAATACATAAACAGCAAGGGATAACAGAAGCCTAAGAGTCATTGTTAACCTGTCTCCCAAGGCCCAGGAAAGCTGCCTGGGTTAAATGGGATCTCATCTACCTATGTTCCACTTGTACTACAGCTGAGGGACCCCCAAAAGCAGCCCACTCTGTGTCTTCTACTCTAGGGTGAAAGAACTCTAAAGCATTGAGGGACACTTTTTCCTGTGGGGAACAAAGCCTGGGCTGTTCTGGTCAGCTCTCTCTTATTGCAAGATGTTGCATCCCCAGAACATTCTTGAGAACTACAAGTAAGAAAGAAGGAGGAACTGGGTTAGTCTAAGGTCACTATACTGCAGACCTTATCTGTATGTTTGAAAAGTAGTAAAAAGAACCATGTGACTGGAGTAGAATTAGTAAGGATAGTACTAAGAGATGAGGTCAGAGAGGTGAAGAATGCTAGATCACTCAAAATGTTGGGGTTATTGTAAAGAACTTTTTCCAGTCATCTCTGAGTGAGATAGAAGCCATTAAAAGATGTTGAGCAGAGTTGTAAGATGATTTGGCCTTCATTTAAAAAGCTATTCTCTTGAGACTGTACTGAAGGAGGAAAGAGCAGACTAGGAGGCTATAGTAATTCAGGTAAGAAATAATGATGGCTGGATCAGGGTGGTAGTTGTAGAGGAGATGAGAAGTGGCTGCATTCTGAATACATTTTGAAAGTAGATTCTATAGGACTTACTGATGGATTGAATAAGTGGTAATAAGGGGAAATGAAAATGAAGAATAAATCTAGTTTACTGTACAAGTGATATAGATATATATATACACACACACATATATATATACATATACATATATATATTAGAGCTATAACTTAACAAGACAGGGAACAACACTACAAGAGAAGGACACAGTGGTGAAGAGAAGTAAGGTAGATAGCAGAAGTTCAGTTTGGATATGTTTCATTTAATATGTTTATTAAATATTCAAGAGATAATATGTTACAGATGATCAAGTAGATGGTTTTATAGCTGAATGTGAAGTTCAGGAAAGTAGAAGGTAGAGATATACGTTAAGGAGACATCAATTTGTACATGGCATATAAAACTATGTGACTGAAACAATACCACCTCTGAAATAAGTACAGAAGAATCAGTAAAGGAAACTAGAAGGAGTATCCAGAAAGGAAGAATAAAAGTAAGGCATGGGTAATGTGTGGAAGCCAAACGATGGGTTTGTTTCAAATAGGAGGGAGTGATCAGGTGTATCAATGCTCGTGTTTGGTCAGGTAAGATGATGACTGTGAACCAATTATTTAACTTGGACTATGAATGTCACTGGAGACCATTAATGACAAACTCAATCTCTTCTTCCAAACAATTATTTCATGAACATTTACATACATGCTTTTTTCCAGTTATATTTGCCTCCTCAGTGTCTTATGAAAATGACATATTTGGTTATGCCTCTTTCTGTATTCTTAGACATATATTCTGCAACTAAAATAGTTACTTCTCTACCTATTCAAAAGCTATGCATCTTTAAAGTACTAATCTCATTATCCTGTAACCATTCTCTGCAGCATACTTTCTATTCAGTGTCCAGGACAACAGGTTTACTATCAAAACCACATGTTTATCAATTGTCATAGAAAATACTGCTTGATGGAGTATACATTCATGAAGAATCTAAATTAGCAAACTTCAAGATTATTTAGACAGGATTCATGCATGCTATTGACCTTGGAGCCAATTTTTTTTTTTTTTTTTTTTTTTGGCCAAACTTGCATCTAAATTAGAAAACCTATTCCATTTTAGAATTTCTAAATTTTAAAAAGTTCTTCCTTTTATAAGTCAAGCCTTGCCTCCTTTGAACTTAATCTACCACTACTAGTGAGACCTTTTGTGACCCCCCAAAACAAATCCTCTTTATTTTGTTGGTCCTGTAAATGTTTAAAAATAGATGGCTATCATGTTCCTCCACCAATCCATAGCCCCATCATTCTTTCCTTCTGCAGACTAAACATTCCAGTTTTTTCTAAACATTTCTTATGTGACACCACGTCTAGCCCTTTTACTATCTTGGTTGCCCTATGTATTAGCTCCAATTTGTCAATGTCTCTCTTAAAGAATGGCAAATCAAACGGAACCCAGCACTCCAGAATGCCTCAAATCAGTGTATGCTGAAGTAGGAATTTTCATCTCTGTGTTCCAATCATTCAAATTGGTTAAGGTAATCTAAGATTTAGCTTACTATTGGCTGATAATCTCTTCTCTGACTTATAGTCAATGAACATAATGATTATGTTCAACATAGATAAAATTAAATTTTTAGTATTGGTGAAGGAATCTACATTTGTACCCACTATTATATGTCCCTTTATTTCATCTTTACTTTGTAGTGTTTAATAGCAGTTGTTAGTTGTTTGCAAATTCCGTGAGAGACAAAATATAAAAAAGTACTGTAAACAAATAAATTGAATGTCAAATTAAAGAAATATAATCATTTATAAATTTATAAAACTTAAGGTTAATACAAAAATAGTTTTTCTAATAAAAGATTACAAGCTTCCTAAATTATAGGATGCAAAACTCATTGTTTTGGTTCCAAATCACAATTCAAATCCAAATTTTTTTAGCTGGTAAAGAAAGAAGCACAAAGACATAGAGACATGCAAAACTCTTATCTTTGAATAGAGAGCTCAATATTGTTGTTTATAAATATATTCAAATAAGTTTGAGTGTTGTTTTTAAGTGTAAAATGACAGGGATAATAATAGTCATATAACTGTAGAAATTAACTAAGATTCATTAAATTATACTACAATAGGTATATTATACCACAATAAAGCTTAAAAAATCACTTCTGACAAAGAACTTGTATCCAGAATATATAAATAACTCTCAAAATTTATAGAAAAGAATTCTATTAAAAATGAGTAAAATATTTTGAACATACTTTTCACTAAAGATATACATATGGAAAAATAAGCACATCAAATAATGCACAGAGTCATTAGTCATCATAAATCAAAATTCAAAAACCAAAAAGGTATCATTGCATAGCTACTAGAATGGCTAAAATAAAATAAATAATACTTGAAAGCCATCTTCTGGCAAAAAAATGCAGAGCAATTGAAACAATCTGACATTGTTGATAGGAATACAATATGGTATAGAGCCGGAAAACAAGAAAGTCACAAAAGGAAAAAAAAAAAGAGGAAAAATGTAACAATAGGAGTATGTCAAAGGAACACAGAAGTCAGCTAAAAAGGCCCCCAATGGCTAAAGTTGGAGCAATATGAACATCAAGATAATGTAATATTAGCTTATAACACAAAGTATAAAATACGTATTTATGAGTCTGCGCTGATACAAATAAATAACTGAATAAATAAATGGGGATGAATAGAAAAATTTCCTGTGCAAAATAATCTAAAAAATTTATGTAGACATTTCCCCATTAAATAGGCAGAGTAGAATATCCTAGCCATTACAAGTGGGTTGTTCACAGTTACTTCGTTCTAAAGAATTCTATATGAAAAGTGGGAGAACAGGAAAACTTATAGTGAAAACACTCAACAAACAATACATCAGCCAAGTGATTAACAATGATAAGTTTCACTAATAATCTGCCCCTTTGATATAACATGAAGAGAAATGAAATTTTACGTCTGTGGTTTTCCTGCCCCAAATCCAGTAATCCCATGAGAAAAACACTGGACAACCAAAATTGAACGACATTCTACCTGATGGGTACTCCTCAAAACTACCAACGTCATCAAAAACAAGGAGAGTCTGAAAAACCGCCATAGTCCGTAGGAACTTAAGAAGACATAACAATTAACTGCAATATGCTATTCTGGATAGGAGTATGGTCCCCAAAAAAGGACATTAAGTAAAAATTAAGAAAATCTGAATAAAATATAGACATTAATTAATAATAAGGTATAAATATTTATTAGTTGTAACAAATGTATCCTACTAATTTAACTTGTTAATAGAGGAAACTAGTGTGGAATATATGGAAACGCTACTAAATTAACTTTTTTGTAAATTTAAAACTTTTGAGAAATAAACTTTTACTTAAAAGTCTCCATATGAATATTTATAGTGGCTTTATTCATTAATACTCCAAACTGGAAACAATCCAAATGTCCTTAAACTAGTAAACAGGTAAACAAACTGCTGCACCTCTGTCAATGGAATACTACTCCTTAATTTTAAAAGGAGCAAACTACTGATATATACTACAATATGCATAAAATCAAATGTATAAAGCTAAGTAAAAGAAGTCATACTTAAAAGGCTACTTCCTGTACGTGTCCATTTACACCCCACTCTTGAAAGGCAAAACTATAGGAATGAAAATAAGTTAATCATTACTGGGACAGGCAGCTTGGGAAAGTGACTAGATACAAAGGGGCAGCAAGAGGATTTTTTTTTCAGACAATAGATCTATTTTTTGCTTTTTTTCAGATGATGGATTTTTTTCAGATGATGATATTTTTGGATTGTGTCTGTAGTTACATGCCTGTATGCATTTGTACAACCTCGTAGATCTATACTCCAAGAAAACTAAATTTTGCTGGATGTAAAATATTCTTCAATTATTTTAAAAAAATGACTGTCAGAATTTATACTTTCCAAATAAAGAGAGGAAAAAATAAAGAAAATAGAACACTTGGGCAAGACACAGAGGTTAAAAGAGAAGGAAACAAGAAGTAAACATAACCAAAAAAAATTAAGATTAAAGATATAATACCAGAAATATTGATTACTATAATTAATATACATAGATTTAACTTTGAATTGGAACCTGCATATGTTGAGCATTATAAGACCTGCGTGCTTAACTAAATGTGTGCTTATCCCATGCAGCTTCAGTAGGCAAAGGGGAACATTGCTTCATTATTGCCAAGTATGGGGTGGAAATCCAGGTTCACCACCTCTCCTCTGTAGACATGAGGAGAAGGAATTATTTTGATGATTGTTGTAGTAATGGCAATATCCATTCTTAACTTCTCCTAGACTGTTTAGAGTTACTATTATAATATTGTTATAAGATTTACAAAAATAAAATAATTTTACCAATGCTTGCTACTAAACTTTCTGATATTGTTTTCATATATATTATGTTTACATGCATTACAACCCCCCAAAAAGGTTATAATTTTTCTATCAATTGTACTATGTATTTTAGAGATACTAATGGGTTATTATTTCATATTTACCCAAATATTTATTTTCTATTTTTTTTGCATTTATTCCTGAAAATCCAACTTTCCTTTTGCTATCTTTTCTATCCATTATGATTTCTTATAGCACAGGTCTGCTAGTAAAAATTTGTCTGAAATTTTCTTTATTTGAAAATGCATTTGTTTTTATTTCATTCTTAAAGTTGGCTTGATATAGAATTCTGAGTATACATTTTTACTCTCTGCAATTTAAAAATATTCTTCCACTGTTTTTTGCCTCTATAGTTTCTGATAAGTCTGTATCATTGAAATTAATGTTTCCTTGTATCGAATGTATTGTATTGTTATGGTTGTTTTCAAGACATTTTTTCTATATCTTTAGTTTTATACAGTTTGATTTTAAAGTATGTAGGAGTAATTTTCTTTGATTTTTTTTTCTTCTTGGTTGTTGATCTTATTGAACCAGGTATTTTGCCAAATTTACAAAGTCTTCGACCATTATTTCTTCTAATCATTTTTTTAGCTCCATTCTCTCTTCTGTTTCTGAGACTCTGATTATGCATATATTATACCTTTTGATGTTGTCTCACAAGTCTCTGAGGTGCTGTTTATTTTCTCTCTCTTTTTCAGAGTGGATAATTTTCATTTTCCTATGGTCAAGTTCACAGACCCCTTCCTGTGTCATTTTTATTTTGCTATTGACGACATCTGGTAAAATCTCTATTTCAAATATTGCATTTTTCAATTTCCAAATATCCATGAGCTCATATTTTGTTCTTTACATTTATCTGCCAAGCATAACTTTTTTTCATTCATTTAGAGTCATTTCTTTTACAGTATAGCTTTTTATAATCTGCTGTATAACTTTCTTAGGGCTGCTAAAACAAAGTGCCACAAAGAGGGTGACTCAAACAGCAAAAATTTATTGTCTTACAATTCTGGAGGATAGAAGTCCAAAATCAGCATGTCTGTAAGACCGATTCATTCTGAGAACTCTGAGGGATAATCTCTTCCATTCCTCCCTCCTACCTCCTGATAGCCTCAGGTATTCCTTGTTTTGTAGATGGCATTCTTCATGTGTGTTTACATCATGGTTCCTCTACACATATCTATCTCTGTGTCTAAATTTTCCCTTTTTGTAATTATGGAGTCCTATTGGATTAAGGCCCACCCTGATGACGTCATCTCAACTTGACCATTTGGAAAGACCATATTTGTAAATAAGGTCACATTCACAGGTACTGAGGGTTAGGACTTTAAAATCTTTTGGGGAGACAGATTTCAATCATAACAGTTGATTTAAATTTCTTCTTTGATAATTGCAACATTGAATCATCTCATGACATGAATCTAATGACTGCATTTTCCCTTGGGAGTGTGTGTTATTTTTCTGATTCTTTTTATGTCAAGTAATTTTGGATTATGTCCTAACTATTATGCATGTTATGTTAGAGAGACTCTGTGTTCTATTATAGTCTTCTGAAGAATGTTGGTGGTTTTGTTTTAGGGAGAAATTAACTTTGTTAGACTCAGATTTGAAGCTCTGTCTTGCTCCTCTGGTTTGTAGCTCAAATCTCTGTCAATTGTTGAAGTTCAATATTGAAACAGGTATTACTGATACATGCATGATTCAGTGGTCAGCCTGAGACTTTGGCAGATTTCATACATAAAGTTAATGAACTTTTCTCTAGCTCTTTCTTCTCCAGCATTCACCCCTTACTCTCCAGTGCCCTTGGTTACTTGGGCTCCTTTCTCTGTTTTTTTCTAGCCAGAAAAATATTAGGCTTTTTATTTCTATTGGAATTTCACCTGTCCATGCTATAGTGCTCAGCAACTGCTGCCCACACTTAAGGCAAAGCTACCAAACTAAAGAAAATGAGACAAAACCCAGGAAACGCACACACTGTCAGTTACTGTTCAAAGTTTTAACTCCACCTCATATTTTATCTGTATTCATTTTCTCCTTAGTCCCTTCAGGTAGAAGGGATTTAATTTAGAGTTTTTCCAGAGTTATTATCTTGTGGTGGGCTAGTTTGTGACGGATTTATGCTATCATATATAAAGCAGACAGCCTGTATTAGTCTGTTCTCACACCGCTCTAAAGAACTACCTGCACCTGGATAATTTATTAAGAAGTTTAATTAACTCACAGTTCTGCAGGCTTAAGAGGGAAGCATGATTGGAAGGCCTCAGGAAACTTACAGTCATGGCAGAAGGTGAAGGGCAGGCAAGTACTTTCTTTACATGTCGGAGCAAGGGTGGGGGGCAGGTGACACACTCTGTTAAACCATCAGTTCTCATGAGTACTCACTCACTCTTATGAGAACAGTATGGGGGAAATCCACCCCCATGATCCAATCACCTACCACCAGGTACTTTCCCCAATAATTGGAATTATAATTCAACATGAAAATTTGGGTGGGGACACAGAGCCAAACCATATCACAGCCCTTACTTTCTTTTCTATCCACAATGATATTTCAACAATTTTTCCATTATTTATACGTGTTTTTAGTCTGTGTGTTAGTGTGTGGGAGTGGGTGTGTTTTGAGAGCAGGTGGTGTGTGTAAAACTCCTTACATATCAACTAGATCTGCAACATGGAAAAGTTGAAGTTGCAATGCACCATTACCTCATGAAAAATTAGCAAAACTAGAAATTAGTAAACAGTTTAAACACTCAGAGACCTACCAATGTAAATTTTATTACATTATAACCTATGACTTCCATTAATAGGATATAAAAGATTAATGTTTAGCCTAATTAGAAACTACTAATAATGAAGACAGGGCATATTAAAACATATAGGATGCTGTCATAGTTATCACAGAGAAAATTTTACAGCTTTAAGTGTTTTTATTACAGAATAAAAGGGATAAAAGTATTTGAACAAAAACAAACCTCAGGAAAGCAGGAAAAGTGATAATAAAAGTAGACATGATTAAAGAATAGAAAAAGTAGAATTGATTTATTTAACAGAAAAAGGCAACAAACATCACTGTAGTTATTGTAACCCACCAAATAAGAGATAAAATGCAAACACACAAAATTGTGAATGAGAAATAGAATATAACCTTTCAGAATAAAACAAAATGATTTTACAGGTGACAGCTTTTAAATTTTAGGGAAAAAAATGAGAAAAAATCCATGCTATACATAGTTTTCCAGCACAAAATAATAACTACAAGTACTTTTCAGCAGTTTTAAAAAATTCATTTACTGTGGATCCATAAGTCTGTTGTGTTGCCAGTTTAGCAATGGTTTTGCCACTTTGTCTGACAACAATATGGCCCAAGAGAAGAAACAGAATAAAAATATATCATTGGAATAACTCACGCTGGTAATTAGTTAGACAATGGCAGAGAACAACGTTGCTGGACTTTGAACGAATAGGTTAGGAAATACATCCAGTACTTGAAGATTGGAGATCTCAATAATGTAAAAGAGATTCCGTGTGAATGAGGGCATATGGTTTAGAAAGAAAGAAATCAATAATTGAATTGGAAATGCTTAATTCAAGATTTTCAAAGAGCATACCTGGAAAATTACAAGTTCCAAATAATGTCAAGATCAAGGTAAAAAAGCACAAATTAAAATAAAAATTAAGGTCATTGGTGCAGAAATATTTCAGAGGCTTATTAGAGGATTCATTCATGAAGATATTATAGATATCCATATTGATAACATGATTTGAAGTAAAAGATGACTTTTCAATTAGATGACAATGTAATCCTTGAATACCAATTATTTATGTTTAATTCTTTAAAGGACAAAATATAAATGAGAATCTAAAAAAAAAAAAAAGCCCCATGGCATAGACCATGAACGGAGCTTGTTTTTTCTTTGTGATGGTGAAAGAGCAGTAACTTAGCAATGGCCAAATGGAGTGAAGACAATGAACTGTAATAGCTCTAAAAGAAAGGATCAATTGAAAGAATGAGCAGCCCCCATTTGAGAGGACTTTGTGGGTAACAAAGTTCTCCCGTAAAAGCTTTTTGAAGTTTTTACATCAGTGATAGTAGTAGTGTTACGACTCCATAGTAGGGAAAATGGTGATGGATTCATTAGCCTTAGAGCTTCTCAAGCTTATGGTTGTGACCAGTGTCTCTAGAATCATTTTACCTTTGTGGGGAGCAGAGGGTGATCATCAGGAACTACAAGTCATTCCATGCCAGCAACTTTTTTATAGCAAAGTTTCAGAAAATAAACCCTATCCCTTAATAGAGTCTGTGTATATACCACTTAGACTTCAACTAATAAAACAGAAGAGAAATGAATAAATAGTTGCTCAATTCTATTCTCAACCCTGTGTCCTAACATTATTAAAAGTCAAAATATATCCTCAGATTAGACACTATTTCCTCCACATTTTCATGGTTTCACATGTGTTCTTCAGTTAGAATCCTTATGGTTTCAGAATGGAAACAATGAACATTTTACAGATGACTTGAAATGTGACAGGGTCCAAGATTTTTATTCTTCAACCTACATGTCAATCTGCCCTAATCAATACTTACAGGCTTTTAGTTGAGGAAAACAAAACCATTTCCATTTGACTACTGTGATAAATAAAAATTTATTTAAAAAGTTCTAGAATACTTATCCATGATTACACAACTCAATATATGAAGAGTATTAGCTGGAAGAACAGATTCTTAAAAGCTTATTAGTTTCATTCTAATCACTATTAAAACTTGTTTTTGAATCACCTCCACAGCAAAATAGTGGAACCACTGATTCCACTGTAGCTCATTCCTATGGTCTCATGACTAAAAATGCACACTAGTCTAACCCTTTTACAATATTCTGTTCATCCAAGCTAATCAATACTTCATTTATAGAATGATTCCAGGCCAAATTGAACTTGAACAAGCTTTTAAAGTAAAAAAGTATAGGTCTTTGTCTGGAATATTTTAATTTGGCTTTCACTGTGATTTAAGAGAAGTGGTATTCCTATAATAGCATGTGGTCCTGGAATCAGAACCACTGGCATGAGCAAGCAGAGACCCAAGTAGAACAAATGGGAAAAAAAATGGCTTCTCTCCAAGCAGCAAATTTCCTTGAAACATATTCTCTTAGAGCATATTAAAAAGAACTAGAATGTCTGGTTAATGTTTAGATCACTTTATAAGATCTCACATGTAGGCTTCAGGTTGTGTACAATAGTGGCCATATAATAAATCCACTGGAGATTTTGGTTTTGTCTAGATTTATTGTTTTATCCATCATTCAAAAGATCTTACTTGATTTCATTTACAAGGCCATTGTGAAAACTCCCCACTTCTAGATGGCTTATAGGGAATGGGGTGTTTTAATTTAAAAGCCAACAAGCAGCAATATATGCAGTAAGGATCTCTGTTCTAGAGCCTTAGAAAGCCTTTCATATACCTTGATAGTTAATTGTCAGATATCTGAAATCTTTTCAAATTTGATTCCTCTATAGTAATTTAAGTTAAATTTAGGAAATATTTTGTGAAACTTGGTCATTTTCAGATATGAATCATAAAGTACTGTAATAAGTCAGTGTACATTTTAGAATAGCTGTGAATTGTTCTCACTGTAATAAAAAGATAACCCTTCTAATATTTGTAAATTTAACCATTTCAATGGATTAATATTTTATCTCACTTCTGACAGTAGAAAAAATTCTCATTTCTGTCCAAATTAATTGTTAATAATTTTCTTGATCTTTAAGTGAGATTAGGTACAGAATTCTCATACAAGTTAGAATAAGCTATCGAAAAGAAACTGACCTCATGGGGGTTTTATCCAAACCTACAAATCTTTGAAAGTTTATGCATCACCACTTTTTAACTTGAATTAGGAATTCCAGCCAGAAGAAGCAGAAGGACATGAGCCAAGTGAATTATAATACCTAATAGTTGTTATTACACTGGGAAGAATTGGTTGAAAAACTGGGCCTGGAGCCAGGCAGCTTTTAGCTACTAACACTATACACAAAAATCATGGTCCATATTCTCAGCATGGGTTAGAGGAGTAATAACAGAGTGGAGCTTACAGACCACACCCCTAAAGAACTAAATTAAAATTACCTTATCTCTAATTAAAAGTTGGCAGAAGTCACTCTATTTCATCTGTCAGTTCTCATAGTACAAGCATGCATTGCTTAAAGAGGGGGATATATTCTGAGAAATGTGTCATTAGGTGATTTTGTCATTGTGTGATCATCTAAAGTATACTTACACAAACGTTAATGGTAGAGTCTACTATTCCCCTAGGTCACATGGTATCATCTATTATCCTAGGCTACAAACCTATACAGCTTGTTACTGTTTTGAATACTGTAGGCAATTGTAACACGATGGTAAATATTTGTGTATATAAACATATCTAATCATAGAAAAGTTGCAGAAAAAAATATGATATAAACTTAAAATGTGGTATACCCTTATAGGACACACAGCATGAATGGAGGTTGTAGAACTGAAAGTTACTGCAGGTGAGTCAGTGAGTGAGCCATAAATGAATGTGGAGATCTAGGGCATTACTGTACACTACTGTAGACATTATAAGCACTGTACATATAGGCTATACTAAATTCATGTCAAAATAGTTTTCTTCATTAATAAATTAACCTTAGCTTACTATTTTTTATTAAATTTTATTTTAAATGTTTTTTAATTGAATTTTTTTTTAACATTTTGACTCTTTTGTGAAAACACTTTGGTTGGCCAAGTGCGGTGGCTCATGCCTGTAATCTCAGCGCTTTGGGAGGCCGAGGCGGGTGGATCACTTAAGGTCAGGAGTTCAAGACCAGCCTGGCCCACATGGTGAAACCCTGTCTCTACTGATAACAAAATTAACTGGGCATGGTAGCGCACGCTTGTAATCCCAGCTACACGGAAGGCTGAGGCAGGAGAATAGCTTGAACCTGAGAGGCAAAGGTTGCAGTGAGCCAGGATCGCGCCATTGCACTCCAGCCTGGGCAACAAGAGTGAAACTCTACCTCAAAAAAAAAAAAGAAAAAGAAAAAAAAGAAAACTTGGGTTAAATACAAACACATTGTACAACTGAACAAAAATATCATCTGTCTTTCTATCTTTATTGTATAAGCTTTTCTATTTTTAGATATTTTTACTGTTAAAACTTTTTTTTTGTTAAAAAGTAAGACACAAGTACACATACTAGCCTAGGCCTACACAGGGTCAGGTTCATTAATATCAATGTCCGCCACCTCCACATCTTGTTGCACTGGAAGGTCTTAGGGGTAATAACATGCATGGAGCAGTCATCGCCTATGACAATGCCTTCTTTTGGATACCTCCTGAAGGGCCTGCCTAAGGCTGTTTTACAGTTAACTTTTTTTATATGTAGAAAAAGTGCACTCTAAAATAAAGGTGAAAAGTATAGTATAGTAAATCCATAAGCCAGTAACATAATTGTTTAATATCACTATCAAGTATTAATAACTGTTTGTAATTGTACGTGCTAGGCTCTTACGCAACTGCCATTGCCACAGACATGTGAGTAATGCCTTGCACTATGATGTTAAGATGGCTACAAAATCACTGGGCAATAGGTCTTTTTCAGCTGCATTATAATCTTATGGAACCACCATCATAACTGCAGCCTGTCATTGACTGAAATGTCATAATGCAGTGCATGACTATATTTTGAGAAAGCCTGTATTGATTATCATTAGCTCTGAAGGGCCTAATGTCATGCCTAAGAAATGTTCATAATAACACAATTTCTGCTGCGCATGGTGGCTCACGCTTGTAATCCCATCACTTTGGGAGGCTGAGGCAGGTGGATCACTTGAGGTCAGTTTGAGACCAGCCTGGCCAACATGGCGAAACCCCATCTCTACTAAAAATACAAAAAATTAGCTGGGCAAGGTCCTGCATCCCTGCAATCCCAAGTACTCGGGAGGCTGAGGCAGGATAATCACTTGAACCTGGAGGCAGAAGTGAGCCAAAATAACACTGCTGCACTCCAGTCTGGGTGACAGAGTGAGACTCTGTCTCAAAAAAAACAAAAACAAAACAAACAAACAAACAAACAAAACACACACAAAAAAACCACATACACACATAGTTTCCAACCAAACTATTTATCAGCAATAAGAAATTATTTACATGTGAAACTCCTGGTTTTAAATATATTTATGCTTTTGTGGACAGAGCTACTAGTTGAGTATCATATGATTAAAAATTGGAATATTATAGGAAATTATAAATAAAATATTGCATGAATGATTTACATAAAGACTTAATGATACAGTCAGATGTAAAGTACACTTTTTCTTTTGAATTATGAACTCATCGTAATGTTACTCAGGCCTAATAAGACATGTGAGTCCTTTGTTTTAAATTACATATATTCAGCTTCCCTTCTCATTCACTAATCATGCAATCACCAGTTTATATTTTTGTTATTGCTGCTACTCTTCTGTGGATAATATAAAAGGGTATAATTTACTTGAATTAGAAAGATGAAGAAAAAGAAGCGTCTTTATCCTGAATTGAATAACCAGGGTTGGTCCTCGTTGCAATGGAGGTAACAATTGATGGTTTTCAGAGATCATCCTGTGAGTTTTATAGTTAGACTGTAAAACACTGTGAGAACACGGACTGCCCCCTAAAAGTAAAACTACAAAGAAAGATCACTCCAAGGAGTGGGCACATTGATAATTGTATCAGTTGTCAGGCACAATAAATGTTTTCAATTATTCAAGAAAAAAATGAGTGTATATTAATATTAATAGAAATTATTTAGAACAAAGCATTTTAGATCACACTGAGTTTGGATTCCATTCAGTTTTCACCAAACAAAAATATTTAGTTTATTTTCTTTACCTTGCTACTGTGACAGGTAAGCTATATATATAAAGTAAAATCAAAAGTAAGAGATATTTAATTTTTAAAAATATTGGATGGAAAGGCTTTTCCAAGAAGACTTAATGCAAACAATTCAAAATTTACTACGATTTCTTTTTTAATCCTATACAATAACAAAATATCATAAAACAAGTCAGTAGCCAAATGATAATCAGTAAGAAATATTTTCAACTCACAAGAGTCAAAGTGCTGATAGCCTTAAAATGAAAAGATCACTTACAACTCAATAGCAAACTGATGTGCAAATGAAATAGAGGGATGAAAAAAATGAAATAAGCAGATAATGAAAAAAGAAATATAAAAAGGTAGTAAATATAGGAAAAGTGCTGATCAATTCTCATAATTTAAAAAATGTACATCAAAATGTAATACTGTCTTTTATCTATCATGTTGATTAAAATTTCACAAAGAAACAGAAAAATAGATCTTTTCATACTACTCTAGTAATTGATCCAATCTCTATGGAAGATGTTTTGTCAATATCAAAATTTGAAATACTTAAAATTTTGACCCAGATTCCTATTCTAGAAATTTGTTCTATGAACATTTCCCCACTGCTACACAAAGGCACACATGCAAGGACCATCAAGATATATTTCAATAGTAATAAGTTAAAAACAAACTAAATATTCACTCATAGGACACTAGTTAATTAAGCAATGGTACATCTATACAATGGGTTTCTGGGCAACAGATCCAAGTAATGTTGCAAGTGTTGTTATGGAAAATAGCCATAATATATTATTAACTGTTAAAAATCAAGTTGAGAACAGTGTATACTGTAATTATATAATATAATCCAATCTGTAATAATATTTTAAGAAGTGTGTATGTGTGTAGATATGGATAGCATCTTTTCCTCTGGTTATTAGCTTATTAGCTTTTTATATTTCTTCTTTTTACCCATTTATTTCATTTTACTATAAAATTTTGTAGTAAATATTTTAATATTGCAATTACATAAGCATCATGGAATCTGTTCAAAATCATTCTTTGTCTTTGAGTTTTCTGTAGAATGTCTATATTCTTTAAAAACATAATTTCTCTACATGAGTGCTATATTTCATTATTTACATCTTCTGGTTTCCATTGTAAAGTACAACTTTATCTACACATATGCACAAGTTGAGAACAGTATATACTGTAATTATATACCCCAATCCAATTGGTAATCATATTTTAAGATGTGTATGAGTATGCAGATATGGATACAGAAGAACCTATTAGCAATAGTACCTATGTGAAGTAGAAAGGTGGGTATGGAGAGTTTTAATTTTTACTTACTTTCTTCAGTACAGTTTGAAACTTAAGCATCTCTTGTACAAAACTTTCATTTTATACCTATAATTTACTTAAGACCCCCCCCTTAAATTGAATGGTAATTTTTTCCACTCCATCTTTATTTTCAAATATATACAAATATTTTAATATTGTAAATACTTAAGCATCACAGAATCTGTTCAAAATAATTCCTTGTCTTTGAGTTTTCCATAGAATGTCTACATTCTTTAGAACACAGTTTTTCTCCGCTAGCACTAATTTTATTACTTTTTTTCTGATTTCTATTGTAAATTAAAACTCAGTCTATACATACACACAATTTAGACATGACAGATAATTTTTCTGTATTAGTTGTTAACTTTGTAGTTGGTGATTTGGGGCACCTTTTTAATTCAGAGTAGCATCTCCATCTCTTAATGATGAAACTAACCAATGTCTGCAATCGTATAGACCTAGTTGCACTAACTTTATTATAGGTTATTGATCATGTTTTTGTAATGTCTTTGGCCTTCAGGCCAGGCAGTATCATTTTTGCACAGAATGGTCCCCTTGTTGATGAGGACCAATTCCCAGTTTAGTTATCATATGCCACTAGGTAATGTTTCTTTAAATATCTACATATGTTCTTAATGAATATAGTATTAGAAACTAAGGTGCATTAAAATAGCAAACAAAAGTTATTTTGAAAACACAGGATTAGAGCCATATTATAAATAATTAAAACACAATAAGAACCTCTTTGTAGCATGTGAATGACCTGATTGCTTGCTGGGAAATTTACCCACCAAAAGTGTAACAACAAAAGTACTGCATTTATTCGGTATGCAATTTAACATACTCTAATGAATACTGCATAATATTAATAATTGTATATGAATTGTAAGACCAATATATCAATATTCACAAGGGGTCTAATCTATGTTTAAACTAAGAATTTATAAGTAGTACCTGTAGAAGAAAATTGTGTTTCTTTTGTGAAATATGATCTTTAGATAAAGAGATTAAAGAGTGAGTGAAATGTTCTGGAAACCCTAGTCAATATTTGTTTGGATTTCAGTTGTTTAAAAAAGTGACTACCAATAATGAGGCTAATTTCCTAGAATAATATGATAGTATTTTAGATCTTTCTCAGTATTCATATCACAAATAAATTTGTGGGATTCAGCTCCACACAAAACAATTTGATAGCTAAAATGGCTTTTGATAACTTCTTCATCTTTTCTTCATTTCCTAAGTACTCGGTGCTAACCATACATTACCAAATTATTATATACTTACAGAATTTCAAACCCAACTTCTAGTGTCCATAGCTACAAGCACCAGAAGGAATTATGCAATATACAAAACACTGTAATAAATGCTTCTGAATTTTAATTTTAGAAACTGCTTCTTCTATTTACGTTTTCTCTTTAATACAATTACATGCACTTGGCAAGAATAAGATGTGCTTTTAAAAATTCTTTGAACTTTCTGGATCTTAAGACTTATTCGGTTGGGTGTGGTGGCTTACGCCTGTAATCCCAGCACTTTGGGAGACCGAGGCGGGCGGATCACTTGGGGCCAGGAGTTGGAGACCAGCCTGGCTAATATGGAGAAATTCCGTCTCTACTAAAAACACAAAAAAATTAGCAGGACATGTGGCACACGATTGTCATCCCAGCTACAATCCAGTGAGGCTGAAGTCGGATAATTGCTTGAACCCGGGAGGTGGAGGTTGCAGCGAGCCGAGATCGGCGCCACTGCACTCCAGCCTGAGTGACAGAGCATGACTCTGTCTCAAAAAAAAAAAAAAAAAAAAAAGGAATTATTCATTCACAAATATGCATAAATCAACCTAAACATTCAACACAATGATGTTAACCCATGCAACATCCAATGTTCTTACTCCGACAAGATGCTGGAAAAGAGAACACTGAGGATTAAAGAGCTTGGCTTTTTGGAATCAGACAATTTGAGTTAGAATGCCAGTTCCTCCAGCTGCTAGATGTATCACTGAGCCACAGTTTTCTCATCCGAGAAACAATTATTTATTGAATGCCACTATGTGCCAAGCATCAGATCATAACACTTCCCATGTAAATTCACTGGGGGAATTAATTATTATAGGGATTCTTGATAAGGCAATTTACACAGTGTCTGAAACACAGACCATATTCTTTACATGGTAGCCACAGTAATTTTATTGTAGAAAGGGATTTCATCCTTCTTGAAATCACCTTTAAATATTATATATGGCCCTCAAAACAACTTCATTTCCTTTACTGATAATCTGTCGTGAGCATTTTGGGCTGAATATATTTAAACATTTTTTAAGTGATGCTGTCTGCAGTCCATAGTGCCTCTTTAAACTGTTTTATCCATTGCATGCTTTGATTCCTTATGCTCCATTACAGAGTGTCACTGTATGTTTAGAATAATTGAATTCAAGGTGAATAAGCAGTTCTTATTGACTAATGCTTGTCAAGTACAACATGCTTATACTTTTATACATTGTGTTTTAGAGACTTGAAATTCTCTTTTTATGTGTGGCAAAACCTGAGATAATGAGACGTGTCCCGTGTGAGCACAAATATAATAATTTTGACAAGCTCTTTTACGTTGCTTCCAAAGTACAGTTTGCTACTCTTTGATCATAAACATAATCCCCAAGCCAAAGCCATGATGGTAAAGCAAGCATTGCAGAGTGACAAATACTTGTGTTACTAGAAATAAACTTGTGGCAGGGTCTTAACTAGGAGACCACGTAATCATGTTTAAAAAACAATTCAGTGTTTTTTATACACAAGATTGGACATCATGAGACCTGAATTCTAGTACTGGCTCTGACACTGACCAGCTGTACCCCTCTCTACCTGATCCAGATATTTATTGCCTATATAAAGAAAATTCTGGGCTGGGCGCGGCGGCTTACGCCTGTAATCTCGGCACTTTGGGAGGCCGAGGCGGGTGGATCACGAGGTCAGGAGATCGAGACCACCCTGGCTAACACGGTGAAACCCCGTCTCTACTGAAAATAAAAAAAAAATAGCTGGGCGTGGTGGCGGGTGCCTGTAGTCCTAGCTACTCGGGAGGCTGAGGCAGGAGAATGGCATGAACCTGTGGGGTGGAGCTTGCAGTGAGCCGAGATCGCACCACTGCACTCCAGCCTGGGTGACAAAGTGAGACTCCGTATCAAAAAAAAAAAAAAAAAAAAAAAAAGAATGTGAAGATCTCATTCAGATAAAAATTGTCACATTCTTATGGTGAGCAGAGCTTCTGAATGCTTTGGTAAGCAGCTAAAACAATCTTTGACCTGGATTCTTCAACCTGTATCTCTACAGCTTCAAACATTTCTGAACAGATGCAGAACCACTGACTCTAAAACTATGGATAGAGCATAAAGCAATGATTAGAGATGGTGTATTTAATAAACAGGAAGCTCTTAATAGGTGCCATGCACACTCCTAAGTATTTTACAGTTGTTAATTTATTAAATCCTCATAACAACCTTATGAGGTCATCACTACTATAAATCCGTATTACAGATGAGAAAACTGAGGTAAGTAATTCACCTAAGGTAATACAAATAGTAACTGGCAGAGCAGAGCTTCAAATTAAGGCAGTCCAGTTCATATGGGCTCTTGACTGCTATGCAACTTGCATAATCATTTGATGTAATTAATTTATTTTAGGAATCATCTAGTCTTTGGTAAGGAAGGCAAGACTTTTCCCCCTTTTGATTAGTCATGAGTTTTAAGCACCGACAGGAACTGATAAATAATATTATCATGAGGCCTGAAATGTAGATGGTGGTGCTGATATGGAAAAATAAAACTTGGTCACTTGGGAAGGCAATAGTGAGGTGATTGTTAATGTGGACTCCAAAGTGAGCAGCTTCAACAAGTGTTTGCAGTGTGCCTTTGAGCAAGTGAAAGTACCTCTCTAAAGTTCGGTTTTCTCATCTTGGGATAATTACTGTATCTCACAGAAGTGATGTGAAAATAAAGAAAATATTGCTTATAAAATGCTTACCACAATACTCACAAAAATAGCAAGTGCTCGATAAATGCCAGTTATTGTGATTCTAAGGTTATTGTGAAGTATACTCCAAAATGTTTAATTAAAAGCTTTCATGTAAGTAAAATAAAAATTCCATCTTTATTCACTTTTTCCATGGCCATTCTCAGCCATGTCACCATCAACTTCATCTGTGCTATGACAACCCACTTCTAAGTAGTTCTCTTGCTTCTACCCATGTCTTCTTCTCAAATCCATTCTCTCCGTACCGATCAACACGGCTTTTAAAAACTCTCATGCCTTTTTACTGCTATTAGAACAAAATGCAAATTCCATACGCTAGCCTTTAAGAAACTTCATTGTTTCATGAAAAACCAGTCTGATTCCTGCCCTAGAGTCTTCACACTGGTTAGTTCCTCAGCCTAGAATATTCCACTTCCAGAACTGGTTCTTTCTGCTTACAAACCTCTCAGGAAAACTAATCCCTCCTCATCCCTTCACTTACCCAGCTTCTTGTTTTATTTGCATCATAGAACCAGAGTACATCCTTAATTATTTAGCTGCTAGATTATTCTCTCTCATGTCCATCATGATAGTAGGGACTGTGCTCTCAAATTTTTCACTTCTTTTGGATTTTTCTCATCGGTCCACAAATACGTTAATTTTTTTCCATTAAATAATCCTTTCTTGGTTTCACTTACAACTTCAGCCACCACTCCTTTTCCTTTAATAATATATATATATATGAAATTTATATTGAATGAATGTATTCTGCCTAATGGGAGAATTTCAGGAAATCTAATGAGATTGTCAACTGCAATTACTTCTGGTTGGTGTTGCATCCTAAAATCTCGTATTCAGTATGTAAGACTATTTTTTCCTGACTCAATGAGAGTCATTGAAGAGTACTCTATTTTAGCGCATTCCTGTACTTGAAGTCAATAGGAGGAGGAGAAATATGCCTTCTCTATGAATACATTATAATTGCTAACTTTTACTCTTTTAGAGATGGGCAATGAATAGACTACTCTTCAAAATGATTTCACTCTAAGGAAGTATTTTAAGACCCTTTAAATATGTTAATGACAAGTGAATCCTCTTATATATTAAGTACCCTCACACCACATGGCCAGACAGGAACTTCCATTTTAAAGTATTTAACAGGGAATCAAATATCACAAAACAAATAGAGTATCACTTTCATGGATTAGACAGTTATAATGCATACTCAGGTAAACTTGATTTACTACTTCAAGGCTCATGCCTGAAAGCTTTTAAAGGAGACTCATATATTTTTTAAAAAATCAAAATTCTTAGGACAAGGACATCTAAGTGATGTTCTCTTGAGCACAGAGCCAAGTTACACAATTAGAAATATATGACTCTATGACCACACAACTTCCTAGGCTGAAAAGATACTTCTCATGCTTAATACACTTGGCTGTCTTCTTGCTACATAAAGAATGAATCTGATTTTAAGCTTCCACATGAATTATTCTTTATTGTATTAAATTATAGTTCTTTTCTTATTTACAGTCTTCATAGAATATAAGAACTATTCTATAATGTGCATTTCAGGCAATGAAGGAAACTTTCTAGAATCAATCAGATTTTTGGAGAAAACTACAAATAATATATAGCTTACAAATAGTTGTGTAAATCTATAGATTAAGAAGATGTATTTTTATGCTTTCAACTTTTATAATAAATAGAAACTTTTATGTATAATGAGAGTATGCATTGGCCATGTCAAATCCTTTTTCATTTGTTGATTCATACATTCAAAAATATTTAGGACTTATATCCTTCTCACCCCCACCATTGAATTTAGCTTAAGCTGTTTCAGAAGTAAGTGGAGAATAAATTTTATATTAATGAATTATCTATTCATCAGCAACCTCTAATAGCAGGATTTAAATATATATACTTTTTAATGTTTTATGTAATAGTCAAAAAAGATATTGTAGGTTTAAATTGCTCTCCCAAGTTAAACACAATGAATTAGTTAATTTATGAGACTAAAACCTATTACAGATTTTTGTGACATTGGAAGTTTCTCCTTCAATATGAATTTGTTTCTATCAGAATGTATGCCTATGAACACCAGCAAAAACAAGACTGCCTTACTCACCATTACAGCAATAAATTTGGGGTGTTAGAATAACCATGAAATTTAAACATCAAGTAATTAACGTTGCTCTCTTATTCCTTTAAGTTTTCATCAATATACTTAGTTTTTACTAGCAAAAATAATGCAAGGTATTTGTAGCTATTAATTATAAATATTATAATTTTAAATTATAATATAAATTATTGATATCCCTGTGACACGAGTTTACCTATATAACAAACTTGCACATGTATCCCTGAACTTTTATTTTAATGAAAGTTTAAACAATTTTTAAAAAGGAAAATGAGTGAAAAAACTTTTTTCACCTTTAAAATTTCTCTTATCAACATGCATGACTCTCTTTACCAATGCAAAAAAGTAATTAGAGTTTGCCCTTTACATAAGAAAGCATATACTGCTTCATAATAGGACATGAAGTCCTATTTTTCCTGTATTATATTTTCTCCTCATTATTCTTAAGAAAAAATGGCTATTTTTATAATATCAACTCTGCCTAAGTAATCACATGAACTTATATAAATTAATAGACTCTTTAAGATACATTGCATGTTTATTTAAAAATGTCATCCTGCAGTAAGACAGAGAGGCCTGAATGGAGATCATCAAGTCACAGTGAAAAACTAGAGACCACTAACCAGAGTAATAAACAGGAAGGGCTCATTTAGGTTCTGCAATTAAAATCTTTGTGTGAGAACGGGAATGAGTAGCACAGGGAAAGGGGACTGTGTCTGTCATCATTCTTGTAGATAAGTTTATTATAAAAGTGATCAATATCTAAGCCACTAATCATTGAGGCTGAGGTACCAAAGTACCAAGAGGAACAAAATATGAGACTTTTAATTATGTCTTGTTCCTATCAGGTAGATGATGAAGATATTATTTCAGAAACTCTGTGAAAATATTATTGCCTCTGCAATGAAATTATATATATATTTTAAATCCACTATTTGAGGTTTTGACTTAAATTGAAATAAAAATGCCAGCTGATTGATAGATGCTTAATAAAACCTGTGCTGTGCACTGTGTGAAGAGATTAGAGAGGTATTAGACACAGTTTCTGTCCATAGAAATTTTACAATCTCTTTGGAGATATAGTATGCATATTCAGAAAAATGTACCAAGCAATGACTCCTTGGAAATACTGCTACTATTGGATGTGTAAGAGCCAAGAATATAAATGAATCTTTAGAAGTAAAAGTATATGTGTGCTCACTTATGTGTTCCATAGGGAATTAAATAAAAATTAACATGACCAATAATGTTTCCTTTTTCCAAGCCCTGAATCATCTAAGTTTCTCTTTTCCTGTCAGATTCAATCACCACATTTTGTTCATCTTAATTCCTAGACCTTTTTCCTGTATTTATATCCATCCACAATTCTCCACCCTCTACCACCACTCCCCTGGGTCAGGCTTCTCTCTCTCTTATCAATAACTACCAAAATGTGTGTTCGTTTATTCAACAAAAATCTATTGAGCACCTGCTCACTTTGCAGGTAATTGTGACAGTGGTGAATAGGAAAAACACTGTTTCTGCAGTTCTGAAGCCTAGAGTCTTTGCACCATCACTCCCCAAGGACAGCAGAACAATGCAGCCAGAGACATCAGTTTAAAATACAAATACAGTTATGCCTTGCCCCTACTGAAAACCACGTAATGCCTCCATTACCTGCAGTGTTAATTCCAAATTCCAGAAGGTGGCTATAAGCCCCCTTCTGACCTCACCAGTCCCTGTCCAGCTACATAGCTTCAACTTTTATCAACCTCCAACTTCAGCCTCACCCAATTATTTCACACTTGATACGCTAAGAATTACAAACTCTTTGTGCTCCTGCTAGCACCACAGAAATCCTGTCTTTTAGTTAGTCTCTATCTGCTGAAGGATATTCACTACTCATTCTTATAGACAGCTGAGCCCTACTTCCTCCAAGACGTCTTGCTCAATTCCTGGAAGGTCCTGCTCTGTGTTCCCAGACATCCTGCATGGGCTGCTCCGTTCTTACAATTTGCCACAATATTTTTGAATTATCTGTTTATTTGTCTACTTTGGAAGACTATGAAAGTCTCAAGGGCAAGGCGTGTGTCTTACCTATATGTGTACTCTGCCTTCCACCACTTACAAGGTATTTAATCCGTGTTTACTGAATCCATTTGAATCATGTTGTGTGCTCTCCCCCACATGCTGATTGCATAGCTTTTGCCAACGATTTAGTTGATTTAGATTATTACACGTATCTTTTATTTATACTGAATATAATACAAGAAAATAAGAGAACAAGGAATACAATGTTTTTACTTCTGAATGTTCAGTGCAACCAACATAAAAGCAGTGGTTTCTCTTTTCCTTTGAACTGTAATATCTATGCTTGAATGTTGGGAACCTCTGGAATAGTTGTTGCATTTAGTGGTATAATTTTGAAGGACACAAGACAATCATAATGAAGAACACAGTACTAGAGAAACTTCCTGGATTCTCTACCAATATTTTTAAAGTAAATAAACTAAGAAAAGCTCTTTGTGATCTAGCCCAAACCTGAGTCTTTTAATTACATCAAACTATTCTGTGCCCCATAAATATGTTAATCTCACTCCCTCCTTGGGACCTTGATTCCTACCCTCATCATCTGGGATGTCTCCCACATGCACCCTTTTGGTCAGCTTTCTACCTGGTGAACTTCTAATTATCTTCTAAGGCATATAGCTCAGATATTAAATTTGCTCCATTTTTAAAATTCTTGTACTGTGTTGTACACATTTCTACTATTCACAATTCCATTATATCTTCATTATGAATTTCATTGCATGTCTTTCACATTAGGTAGGAAACTCTTCATACATGTTTTTAGCCCACAGTCTTAACAGAAAGCTCATTCCCAAAAATGTTTGTTGAATCTAAGAATGAACAAATGTAGTGTCTTAATTTGTTAAAAGATCTACACTGACTTTTTATATCAAAATATATTTTATTTACCCCAAAGGAGAGGAGATTATCAAAATAAACCAATCAGTCATCTATCTAACAAAATACCCTTAATATGTATGATTATTTTTTATTCAAACCAAAGCATTAGCATTAATAAAATTAGTTTAATTTTCCAAGGATTCTAAAAAAATTATGTGATCATTTTTATTTGTATTTGATATGAGGATAGAGGTGAATGTGTCTGAACAATCACTGTTAGAGATGCAATTAAATATTTGAACAGTCTATTTTTTATTACAAATAAACTTTTTTATTTTTCTTCAACAGTATAGTAGAGTAGCTACATATGTTATATAAAGCTATTTATAAATTGTCGGTAATTAGAAATTGGCTGTTAGTAGAAATGAACAGAAACATGAGCTAAATGTAACTATGGTGTTCCTAATCTCAGCACCATATTTTCTTATTACTGTATAACTTTTTGTATATAATTAGCTATGATTAGAAGGAAATTTATTTTATATAACAATTTATTCCTCTGAAGATGGAAGGAGAATAACAGATTTATAAAGTCTAAAAAGTTTGATAATTGTTTCAAAATCTTATTTAACAATAAAATAAATGTTTCTAGTATAAGTTAAAATAAATTGAAATTTTTGTGAATTAAATAATTTTAGATTTTAAAATTCAAAAGATATAAATTAATAAGTAGTACACATCAGCAATGAAATGAGTTTTTAAAGATAAAAATCTTTAAATATGTACCTTATTAGGAAGGCTAATGTTTTGACAGACAAAACTGTGTTTGGGAATTGCTAGAAGATTATTCCTCAAGGGAAAGTCACTTGCACATCACAAGAAAAGGACATGGAATCTGTCAAAGAGATTAATTAATTTTTTAAAAAACAGTCACTGGACTCTAAAATAGTGATCTGGGTTATTCCACTGTCTATTAGATTTGTACGGCCAAATTCATACTCTATATACTCATACAACTCCCATGGAAGCCAGAAGGAGGACAGAGGTTGATGTATGCTGTCTGACATTCACCTCAGACACCATTTAATAAAAGCAAAGCCATCCTGCTCTAACTGGGTCACAATTAGTCTGGCTCCTCAAAGTCCACAAAACCAGCCTTTTCTGGTCACAATAAAACTAATTTAAAAATGGGATCTAGTTCATCAGAGTTGCTTGCAGTGAACACAGTACCAAATAGAAAGTTTTATTAAGAGTTATATTTTTAATTAGAATTCAAATATTTAAAAGAATATAGCCACAATAATCAAAATAACATCCTCTCTGTCTCTCTCTCTCTCTCTCTCTCCCTGGAAGTTGGAATGCATCCTAGACTAACAGAATCAAAGAAGATTTAGGGATCAATGAGACTCAAGAGAGGACTAAATCTACATGAAATTCAGATTTTTGTTTACCTGTTTTCAAAAGTCCTCCCTGAAGGAGATTATACTTTTTGCTAACTCACATCACTATGTTAGCAAGATGCAAACGTGAGAGATCTTGATCATAACTTTAATAATTAACACATATAAAAGCCTAAAAGAAAAGTGAAGAAAAACGTATTAAATTTGACTTATCTAATAGCACCAGAAATTTTTCATATGTAAACATCAACCTCAGGCAAATAAAGAGTGTGATCAAATATGAGCAAATCCTAAATAGAAATTCTCAGCTTTGATTCTTTAGGTCACATGAGGTTTAAAATTCCAAAACCACTGCCCTGCTCCCGTGGGGCCCTTCTTGTCCTCTGCTCCCAGTTGATTTTTCTTCATAGCACTTGTGCTTGTCGGACACACTCTATTTTGTATTTCCTCTCTCTGCAGTGAATTTCCTATAGGGTAGAATTCTTTTCCTAATTATTCATTGTTCTAGCTCCAATGCCTAGTGCCATGCCTATCATAATACAGGCACAAAAATCATTAATAAATAGATTAATTAATGTGTGAGACAATACATTGTGTATTGTTCATGAGACTGAAGTCATGGGACAGATGTATATTCAAAATATAAAAATTCATCCTATCTTTTGATTCCTAGCCTAGATTAAGATTTGGAAAATTTGAGAAAAAAATATGTGATACCTTATAAATTAACTGAACAAGAAGACCAAGAATATGCATATATCCCTCTTACAAATACGTATCGTTATTTTATTCTTTCCTTTAAACAAGGGCCAGTTTTGGCCTATTATAAAGTCTGTACTGGGCATACCAGTTAGAGGAGTGATAGAGCCAGAAAATGATAGATTCTGGCCTTTGGGCAGCCTACTTGGTGTTCTGTATAACTGTCCTTGTGATTACATGAATTACCTTCTATTTTTGTTAGTTGGTCTAATACCTGACCACTCACCACTCAGCTTTCAAGAAAAAAGGGAAAGAGTGTACATTTAGTCCTATTTAACTAATCAAAGATAGTTTAAAATTATTTATTGCATTTAATTTCATTTTTCCTGGAATAAAATATTTCTGTGCAAATCAAATCAGAGCATTCATGTGAGTATAGCCTGATTTAAGACTTACCTTTTATTTCTTTCTTTAGTAGAAAAGATTCAGTAGTTGCATAGGATTATTAGTAAATATGGCATATTAAATGGCACCAACCAATCAAAATGGATAGCAATGGATTATCTTAGTGAAAACAGCATAAAATGGTGGTTTTAGTGGCCTTTTGACAGGAATGCCAAAGGAAGCTTCTGACCACTTACAATAGAATGTTAATAGCTCATGCCACTTCAATACTGACAGCTCTGAAGTGAGAGGCCACTAATCTCTGTTTGTAATATCCACAATTGAAAAGAAAAAAATAAGTATTTCTTCTTAAGCATGGGATAAGCATTAACTGTCTAAAAATTTCGGGAATGTTCTACATGTCTGAAAGTCAGAGAAAAAAGAAGGCAACAATAGACAAGGATTCAGTTTTTTTCACTCCTGAACCAAAATATATGATTAAAATGGAATGCAGTTTTCAAGACCAATCAATTCATCATTCAGTTCGTATTAGAATAGCTGTATATGTGCTATAGCAATTTACACATAATTTTAATGAAAAATTTAGCATCTATATGAAGACAGAGGTTGTGCTGAGAAGAGTCTCTATATTTTTATTTTTACTTATGTATTTTTTTAGTAAGCCAAATCACACACACAGAAAAACCTTTGCTAGAGAGCTGATGCTTTCAGATCTAAAATGGAATCTGTTCATTAGCTCTACATTATTCAGGACTATAAAAAGGAGACATTTTAACAATCCCAGGCTCAATTAGGCATCAACTGTTATCCTGGCAGAAACCTGGCATGCATCTTGTTCTCAGGAATTTGGATGGCGTTATTTACAATTCGTTCCTTAGGGAATGCCCTAAAAAAGAAAAAAAAAAAAAAGGAGTCTGGTTGCCATCATAACTTATGTCTTAACCTCATAATTCTTTACCTGACAGCTCAATTGTACATCCTTCATTTAATTAGATGGGAATACACTCCCGCTTAAATGGCAGCCATTCACCACTCAGCTTTCAAGAAACAAGGGCAAGTGTGTACATTTATGAAATTATCTTACCTAAGCATCAACTTTTGTGAATTTCAGTTTTACCCAAAGGTAAGCACTGAAAGAGTCAGAGTCAATAGTTCCTATTAAATAAACTGATTTAAACTTCAAATTTTCCCAAGTGCTCAATATATAGTTAAAATCAACT
The DNA here is from genome assembly GCF_000001405.40 of Homo sapiens. NCBI lineage: Eukaryota > Metazoa > Chordata > Mammalia > Primates > Hominidae > Homo > Homo sapiens. Next base: position 51,582,811 of record NC_000005.10, on the reverse strand, counting down.
ATATCACTACATTGTTCTCTATATTCTTACCCACTATTTTATTTGAATGCTTGGAATCTGTACTTTTGTTTGCTGTAACAAACCCAGTGATCTGACTTGCCCTTTAAGTCAGATGAAATTTTTTTTAATATAGATATTGCATAAAATGGAAGTCAAGGGGTTTTTAAACAAAACTTAAATACAAAATAACAAAAAAATTGCTAATTGTGTTTAACAAATTATATTTTAGAAAATGTATAGTAATGCATTTTCATCCTTAGATTTATTTCATGGCAGAGTCATCTATGGGGTTAAATTTTAGAAACTAGTTAAATTCTTTTTATTTGTGTCAATTTTACTTATTATTCCTTTTCTTTTCCTTTTAGTCTTACTTTAGTTCATTAGATGCCATAATATCTCCCTTGTCTGTGACAATTTCCATTAATATCTCAAAAGCAGCTATTAAGTCTCATTACAAGAAAAGATTACAGAAGGATACTGCACACAATAACAGTGGAGATAAAGACAATAGTCACATTTTCATTTATTTCTTTGTTCTTAAGATGCAAATCAAATGACTCTTTTTCTAGCCTGCTTTTCTCAGCTTATACTTTCAAAGCTTTTGGAAAAGGAAAAACCTCCACAGCTAAATACATTCTAGTACTTGGATTATTTCTTTCTCAGAATGCAACAAAGAAATGTACCTGCTGTCAGAAATTTGCCACACTTATTACTCTCAAAGTCTCATTGTCAGGAAATTCAGAAAAACTAATAGAGTTTCATCATTTACATAAGTTATTCACAAGAATTAGCTGTGGGCTATAATGAAGCTAATTAGTGGTTGTTGCAGAGACACTTTATAAAGCATTCATTATTACCAACAATAGTCCATCATTTCATCAAAATACTTAAAACATCAATTCTTAGACAATTATCTAAACATATCCTTGTGAAAGTATGTCTGAGAAAAACTCAGTCAAACCCCCAAGAAATCAAATGTTCATCAGTTTTTAATCTAAATAGATTAATTTTAATAAATATATTAGTGGCTTTTAGGAAAGGTATGAAATCAAGCCCTGTGTTAATATTTTTTCTACTTAGAAGATATTAAAATATTGATCATAATTCTAAAACATCAATACCAAATGCATTAATTTTTCACTTACAGAACTACAAAGTTGCAGAATGAGGAATATATACAGGTCAGGGGCTTAACCCCTAATGTCTAGACAAAAGGACAATTATCTTGCCATGTTTTCCTTTTGAACTGTATTCTAGATTACAGGCTTAATAAAGATGAAGATATAATTGGTCATTGTATAAATCTCATTGCTCAATACATAGATGTGGAATTCAATTACTAAAATTAATAAATGGTGAAAAGAAAACTTTAAATAAAATATTATGCTTCGTATTCCATATTAGTGATAAGAAATTCTACAGTAGGTGCTACCTTACCTGTGAAATTAAACATTTATGAATTTCTATGCCACAAAAAGAGAAATGAAACTATACTAAAACACTTTGGCCTGTATTTGTTGCTTCCTTTGTCAGCAGAATGGCTCTCCTTCTTCCTGGACCCTCCACTTTCCTCTTCCATCTGCCTCTCTGTCTCCTTTCATCTCCTCTACTTCCCTGGTTCATTCTCCTACATTTGCAATAATGCTCACAACTTCCCTACTCTTATTTACCATCATCCTTCAGAGTGTAATTCCACTGAGAAAATAGTTGTAATTTGCTGCTTTTTCCTTCTTTCTTTGTTTCTTATTTTATTTTATTTATTTTATTTTTTTTGAGACAGGGTCTCACTCTGTCACCGAGGCTGGAGTGCAGTGTGCAATGGCGTGATCTTGGCTCACTGCAGCCTTGAATTCCTGGGCTCAAGTGATCTTTATGCCTCATCCTTCCAAGGAGCTGAGACTGCAGGCGTGGGCCACCACACCCAGCGATGCTTGTTTGTTTATTTATTTATTTACTTATTTAGTAGAGACAGGGTTTCCACATGTTGCCCAGGCTGATCTGGAACTTCTGGGCTCTAGCGATCTGCCGGCCCTATCCTCCTAAAGTGCTAAGATTACAGGCATGAGCCACTGCACCTGGCCACTGTCTCTTCTTTCTAACTACAAATCCACCATTTGCTGCCTGGTCTCTTGTTTTCATCATTTGTTCAAAAGTGCTCACTTGTGGATCAGCATTAGCATCCTCATTACCAAATTCAAGAGCGTCTGTTCAATATGTTCCCCTCTTACCTCCCATGGTATAAACAGAGTTGACTAGCCTGTCTCTCTCCTGTGTGACACCAGTGCACCCTTCTATTCCGATTCTTCAGTATCTCTCACTGCTCCTCTTAGTCCCTGCATAAATTTGTTTACAGTTTTGTTTTCAGAGGTTTCAATGTTTATACTTCTTTTCCTGGCAATTCAGTCCACACTCCTCACTGACTTTGAATATCCCCAGACATACTTCCGAACTGCCTGCCAAAAACACTGGTTTGAATACAACAAACTGTCGTTCATAGAACCCTCTTTCCCATAAGGGATTAATAGGTATTCAAGATTACAAATATATATATAATGTATAATTATTGAAATGTGTGTATATATTCATACATATATAGTATATCAATGTATCTATATATCTAGAAATATATAGATACCTATATCTATATTATAGAAAACATAGGTAAAATAACAGTTTCGTTTATTTTGATTTTGCAAGATCTCTACTCACTACCATTGGTAAAGACTTAATACTGGAAAATAGCATACAGAAGTCTACTTGGCCATGAACCAAGGCATCCTTTCTTTCTCTCTATCTCTCTGCCTTTCTTTGATATATATATGTATATACATATCTATAGATATTTGGATGTAGCTATAAATACACACACACACACACACACACACACACACACTCACACACATATATATATATAGAGAGAGAGAGAGAGAAATCGAGAAATAGCCAGATAGTTATATCTGGCTATCTAGCTATTTCTCTCTCTCTCTGTGTGTGTGTGTGTGTGTGTGTGTGTGTGTATTTATAGCTACATCCAAATATCTATCTCTCTCTATATATATACATATACATACCTATCTCTATAGCTATGTATATATCTATAGATAGAGATAGAGATGAAGATAGTATATATAGAGAGAAATTCTATCACTTGGTCGATGGTCAAGTAAAATTTTGCACACTATTTCCTACCCTTGTGTCTTTACAATGGGAATGAGCAGAAGTTTTACAAAATCAAAATCAACAAAACTTTTCTTTTACCCATATTTTCTATAATTTATTTAATCATAGGGTGACTGTTTTGAAGGGGGGATAGCTTAACATCTTATGGAACATAGTGTTCTAGAGAACACATTTTAAGATGGGCATTGCTATAAATCCTCAACTCTTATGCACTCTTTTTCCTTGTTTAATATGTATATATATTTAAACACCTCTTCTCCAAACATTCCAAGACCTCCATCTCATCTTATTCTTCCTAGTCTCTCATCCCCAAGTTCAATCATGTAATAAATATGGTCACTTCTACTTTTAAAGATTTACCCTGTCTCACTTAACCTTTGCTCTCTGTTTCTACATCTTAGCATGGGGCCTCTAATGATTTTGGAGAAATATTTCAAAACTTTAAAATCAAACACACTACAATAAAATGTTTTTGAATTATATAAATGTAATATTCTACTCATATGTTAAGTGTATTGTAATATATACATAATTAGAAATGTTTAAATATGAGATAAATAGGAGATTAATAAGTAGCTCATGACTTGTTAACCCTGATGAATTTTTAATATCAGTGTATTTACAAGTGTATACATTGAGGCCAAGGTTCGTTATTAACATTAGTGGTGGCAAATCTAATTTCAAGCTATCTTGATAATTTCATTTTTTTCCCTGACTTCTTATCACTCCAGTTAGGTCCTAAGTAAATCCATAATGTGGCTGAGAAGAAGTGTCAGTCTGCTATCCTGTGGATTTTTGCCTTGTACTTGCTTTGTCATAATGTCTTTAATCTTCAGTTTTATTGCAAACATCTATTTAAGCCCCTTGTACATGATGTGCTAGTTTAAAAAGTATGTATATAATCTACCCATGCACTTACTTAGCTTTCTATACATTGTAGTAGATTGCAGTAAGTTTTACTCTAACAAGGGCGGGTGACTTTTCCAAACCCGCTTGGTTTGTGGAAGACCCACCCTTCCCTAGTCAACAGCCAGCATAATAAGCCATCTCATAGAGAGTTACGCAGAGAAGACACCAGAGGCAGTCAACACATTAAATACTGAAAAGGCTAAGTTATTTCTTATATTTTAAATAAAAGTAAAATATAGAGACCAGTTCAAGTATTTCCTCTTGATCTCAACCCATCACTGTCTTCATCTTCTCCTAGACGACCACCAATTTACATTTCAGTATACCCTGATTAATTTATCTAATTCTTACCCTTCTCTAACCTGTTATATTAGAGTAAAAGCTCCCTGAAGACACGGATGATGTCTTCTTCATTTTTGTTTCGGATGACCATGGCAATATTTGGCACATAAAATTTTCTGAATAAATATTTGTTACATTATAGAATAAATGAGATAAGCCACTATGACTATTTTAAAAATATTTTATCGTTATATAATATTTGTATGTTTCTATGGGGTACATGTGTAATTTTATTACATTCATACAATATGTAATGATCAAAGTCAGTGTATTTAGGGTGTGCATCACCTCAAGTATTTATCATTTTTATGTGTTAGAAACATTTCAAGTCCTCTCTTCCAGCTACTTTGAAATGTACAACACATTGTTGTTAAAAATAGTCACCTACTCTGTTTGAACATTGGAACTTATTCTAACTGTATGTTTGCACCCATTAATCAACCTCTCTTCATCCCCCCAAAGAATCTTCCCAGTTTCTAGTATCTATCATTCTACTCTCAACCTCTATGAGATGAACTCTTTTAGCTCCCACATAGGAGTGAGAACATGCCAAATTTGTCTTTCTGTGCCTGACATATTTCACTTAACATAATGACATCCAGTTCCATTCACGTTGCTGCAAATGGTAGGATTTCATTATTTTTTATGGCTGAGTAGTATTCCTTTGTGTATGTATACCAGATTTTCTTTATCTATTCATTCATTGATGGACACTTAGGTTGATTCCATCTTTGCTATTGTCAATAGTGCTGGAGTAAATGTAGGGGTGCAGGCATCCCTTTGATATAATGGTTTCCTTTCTTTTGTATAAATACCAAATATTGGGACTGCTGGATCATACAATAGTTCTATTTTTAACCTTTTGAGAACCCTCCATACTGTTTTCCATAAAGGCTTTACTAATTTACATTCCTGACAAAGGTGTATAAGAGTTACCTCTTCTCCACATCCTCACCAACAGCTGTCATTTTATTGTCTTTTTAGTAATAGGCATTCTAACTAGGGTAAAATGATATTTCACTGTGGTTTTGATTTGCATTTTCCCTGATAATTAGTGACATGAAAATGGAACAGAATATTTTTTCATATACCTGTTGGTCATTTGTATGCCTTTTTTTAAAAGAAATGTCCATTCACACATTTTGTCTACATTTTTTTTTTTGAGACAGAGTCTTGCTGTGTTGCCCAGGCTGGAGTGCAGTGGCTCAGCTCACTGCAACCTCCACCTCCCAGGTTCAAGCAATTCTCCCACCTCAGCGTCCCAAGTAGCTGGGATTACAGGCACACGCCACCATGCCCAGCTAAATTTTGTATTTCTTTAGTAGACATGGGGTTTCACCATGTTGGCCAGGCTGGTCTTGAACTCCTGACCTTGTGATCCACCCACCTCGGCCTCCCAAAGTGCTGGGATTACAGGCATGAGCCACCTTGCCCGGCCTTGTCTGCTTTTTAATTGGATTATTAGGTTTTGTGGTTTTGTTTGGTGGGGGCAGGGGGAGTTTGTTGTTGTTTTGCTGTTGAGCTGAATTCCTTATATATTTTGGATATTAATTTCTTATTGGATAAATAATTTGCAAATATTTTCTCCCATTCAACAGGTTGTCTCTTCATTCTACTGATTATTTCCTTTGCTGTACAGAAGCTTTTTAGTTTAATATTGTTCCATTTGTCTATTTTTTGTTTCATTGCCTACACTTTTGAGGTGTTAGATGTAAAACCTTTGCCTAGACTAATGTCCTTTAATGTTTCCCCCATGTTTTCTTTTAATGGTTTTGTAATTTTGGTCTTACATTTAGGTCTTCAATCCATTTTGAGTTAATTTTTATATATGGTGACCAATATGGGCCTGGTTTCATTCTTCTGCAGATGGATATCCACTTTTCCTTGTGCCATGTAATTAAGAGGTGTCTAGAACAATGTATTTTCTTGGCAACTTTGCTGAAAATCAGTTGTCTATAAATATGTGGATTTATTTTGGGTCCTCTATTCTGTTCCACTGGTCTATGTGTCTGTTTTTATACCAACACCATTCTGTTTTGGTTACTATAGCTTGGTAATATATTTTGAAGTCAAGTAATGTGATGCCTCCAGCTTTGCTTTTTTTGCTCAGTATTGCTTTGGCTATTTCGGCTTTTACTGGTTCCATACCAGTTTTAAGACTTTTTTTTTCTGCTGCTGTGAAACATGATGTTGATATTTTGATAGAGATTGCATTCAATCTGTAAATTGTTTGGGGTAGTGGTATGGTCATTTTAACAGTATTAATTTTTCTGATACATGAGCATGAGATGTCTTTCCATGTGTTGGTGTCCTTTTCAATTTCTTTCTTCAGTGTTTTGTAGTTTTCATTTCAGAGGTCTTTCACCTCCTTGGTTAAATTTATTCCTAGGTATTTCAGTATTTTTTGTAGCTATTGTCAATGAGATTGCCTTATTGATTTCTTTTTTGGCTATTTTCTTACTGATGTATAGAAACACAACTGATTTTTTTCATGTTAGTTATGTATCCTGCAACTTTACTGGATTTGTTCATGATGTCTAAGAGTTGTTTTGATGGAGTCTTTAGGTTTTTCTAAATATAAGATCATGTCATCTGCAAAGAGAGACAATTGACTTCTTTTCTAATTTGGATGCCTTATATTTCTTTCTTTTGCCTGATTGCTCTGGCTAGGACTTACAGCATTATATTCAATAGGAATGGCAAAATTGGGCATCCTTGTCTTGTTCCAGTTCTTAGAACAAAGACTGTTGGCTTTTTTTCATTCAGTATGATGTTACCTGTGGTTTTGTCATATATGGCTTTTATTATGTTTAGGTATATTCCTTCTGTGCCTAGTTTGTTGAGAGTTTTTATCATGAAGCGTTGTTGGACTTTATCAAAAGCTTTTTCTTTGTCTATTGAGATGATCATATGATTTTTGTCTTTTATTCTGTTGATACAATCTATGATGTTTTTTGATTTGCATATGTTGAACCATCATTGCATTCCTGGACGAAATCTCATTTAATTTTATGTATTATCTTTTTGATGTGCTGTTGGATTCAGTTTGCTGGTATTTTGTTGAATATTTTTCTGTTTATCTTCATTAGTCTATAGTTTTCTTTTTTGTTGTTGCTGTCTGGTTTTTCTGTGTCAGTTGAGATTTGTTGATAGTCTTTTAATTCTAGACATTAATTTTTGGAGAATAGGAAACAGAGATTATGATATAAGGTCATGTCTACCACCAACTTGGGTCTAACAGGAGCAAATTGACATCTAAGTGCAAAGAGAGGAAAATTTCAGTGCTCAAAGTTGTAATATTTTAATAACATATATTTTAATTAAAGTATTTTATACCAGAAATAGAAATAATTAGTAGCTATTGATTATCATCTTCTCTAAAGGAGAGGCTATACTAATTTTGAGATGCCTACCTGAAATGTAGTAGTAAGAAAAGAATACACTAGCTCATCAGTATGAAATTGTTCATTAATATAACATAATATAAAATAAATCACATGTAAAATAAAATTATTATATTAGCCTAATTTTTTATCATCCTGAATTGCTTTTCAAATGTCCATCATTGCATCTCTGGACTAAATCCCATTTAATTTTGGATTACTCATGTAAATAACCGAATATTGCTATTTTTAATAACTGGCTTTCTCTATTTACACCTAGCTTTTAACCCAACCAATGTAGATCAGCTTCCAAGAATATTGTCTATAGGAATACCTATAAGAATCATATTTATAGCAATGACTACATTCATTCAAACATTTTAAAGCTACATTCATAGGCATTTTCTTTGATCAAATTCTTTCAAATTTCCATTGACTCTTTTCCCCAAAAGGATTTATTTTTATCAGAAATATTCAATCCTGATCCAAAGAGCTGAGTGCCCTCATGTACACATATTATTTCATGATGATTATAAACAAATATAGAATATACTTAACTCTGAAATTTCTGTGACAATTGGGTCAATAATGAAATGAAGTTTATCTAAGTCTTCTTTCTTTCTGTCCTCTCTTACTCTTTCTTATTCCTATTCTTCTACCTCCTATTTAAATTTCTAAAGGCAGCAAAAGTCACTTATCTCTCACTGATTGTCCTCCATTAGAGGACACTGAAAGAAAAAGAAGTAATGAGCATGAATATTTACAAGCACCTGGTTGGCACCGTTTAGTGAAAAATAATAAAACTCTTATTCAACATCTGGAACTAAGACACCTTTTGCATAAAATTAAGATCTCTTTGCACAATAAGACTGATCTCAGCGTAAAACTAAGGTCTCTTTGCACAATAAGACTAATCTCAAAAAACAGCAAACTCTCAAGAGAGCAACCAAAGACCCAACACGGATTACTTTAGGAACAGGGAGTCAGACGAATGGCCTAAGGATTAGTGCTTTCTGTAATACAATAAGAGCGTGACAGTATGAGAACTCTGTTTAATATAGTATGATCTTTTTCAAGAAAGATTGTATTCCATCAAGGAGAATTATGAAGCTGTAAATTACATTGTGTCACAGCTAGTAGTATTAAATACCAAGTGTTTAATTAGCAGTTTTAATTTTATATTCTTGCTTAGATATACCTCTACAATACTTGAAAGATGCTTTTTGCTGAAAACATTTTTAATCAGATAAAAATCAAAGAAGAAATGTCTAAGCACCACAAATATGATGTATGACTTGGCAGTGAAGAAAAACTAAATTATTAGTAAGATAAAGTAATCTATATTTATATTGTACTTGCTTACAATGTATTATATTAAACCTAAAAGTAATAGCAATCTAAGATACTTCTGACACTGAGAATTCTTTCCAGAAATCTTAGAAAAGGCATTAAGAAAAATTAATCCAACAAATGTATTATGAGAGCATGTGCCACTTGTATACACATCTCCAATCTTCTGCTTGTCATAATACTTTTGGGTTGCTTAAGTTCACTTAAATTAAAAGGAATTAATTGCCTTGGAATCAGCTGTCTTGGAACTGTCTTGAAATCAGCTCCACCATTTGATTGACAAAATAATTTTATCTCTTTGGTCTTGTGGTGCTACATAACTGAATTTATACATCAACCTACGCCCTTGTAGTTCTTGAGCAGGACACTACAAAGAGACAAAGGGGAAACTGTATAAAAACCACATAACAAACTTGGGGCAGTTCTTTCTTCATCTCCCTAGAATTAATCAGTCTTCTAACATTTGTAATTATGATATCCTTGCTTTTCATTTTAGTTTTGCAGCACACACATACACACATCTATGATATACATATACATATACATTATATATGTATATATGTAGGTATGTGTGTGTGCTACAAAAAGACTAGTACAAAAGGATTAAGCCCTTAATGGAATACAATCTTTCTTTGCTTTCTTCTACAGAAAAATCATAACGTATTAAACAGTTCTGATACTGTCATGCTCTTATATTACAGAAAGCACTAATCCGTCGGCCAAATAAGCACACACATGTGGACATATTACAAACACATATGTGTATATATGTGTGTGTATCATACATGTTTTGGTTTGAATGTTTCTGTTCCCTAAAAGTTAGTATGTTGAAATTCTAATCCCTGAAGTGATGACATTAGGAGGTAGGGCCCTTAGGAGGTGATTAGACCATGAGAGTAGAGGCCTCATGGGGAAATGTACTTATAAAAGAGGCTGGGCGCGGTGGCTCACACTTGTAATCTCAGCACTTTGGGAGGCCGAGGCGGGCGGATCACGAGGTCAGGAGATCGAGACCATCCTGGCTAACACGGTGAAACCTCGTCTCAACTAAAAATAGAAAAAAATTAGCCGGGCGTGGTGGCGGGCGCCTGTGGTCCCAGATACTCTGGAGGCTGAGGCAGGAGAATGGCGTGAACCTGGGAGGCGGAGCTTGCAGTGAGCCGAGATGGCACCACTGCACTCTAGCCTGGGCGACAGAGCGAGATTCCATCTCAATAAAAAATAAAAATTAAAAAAATTTAAAAAAATTTTTTAAAAAAGGCCCAAGGGAACTAGCTAGCCCCTTCCACCATCGGAGGACACAGTGAGAAAGCATAGTCTTTGAACAAGAAAGAGCTTTCACTACACACTAAATCTGTCAGTGTGTTGATCTTGGACTCCCCGCCTCCAGAATGGTGAGAAAATATATTGCTGTTGTTTATAAGCTACACAGTCTATGGTATTTTGTTAAATCAGCCCAAAGATTAAGGCAATTCGTGTGTGTGTTTGTTTCTGAATGATATAGAGTCGCTCTGTCTGATTTTGAACTATATGTAAATAATGTCATTTAATATGTTTGTACTTTGCTTCTTTCACATAACGTTTGTAGAATAGGAATTCACCTATGTTGTATGTACAGCTCTAGTTCTCACATTTAACATGTGCTACATAACATTAATTCCTCTGAATGTATCGTAAATTATACATCAATTCCACTTTTTTTTTCAATAAGTAGTTTTGTTGCCCAGGCTGGAGTGCAATGGCATGATCTCGGCTCACTGCAACCTTTGCCTCCCGGGTTCAAGCGATTCTCCTGCCTCAGCCTCCTGAGTAACTGGGATTACTGGGGACCACCACCATGCCCGGCTAATTTTTTTGTATTTTTGATAGAGACGGGGTTTCACCATGTTGGCCAGGCTCTTCTGGAACTCCTGACCTCAAGTGATCCACCCTCCTCGGCCTCCCAAAGCGCTGGGATTACAGGCTTCAGCCACTGCGCCCTGCCCCATTCCACTATTAACAGACATTTTAGTTTTTCTGGGTTGGGGCTATCGTGAACATTGCTGCTATAAAAATTCATGTGCATGTCACCTGGTTCACACTGACAAGAGTTTCTCTGGGGTATACAGCAAGAAGTAAAATTATTAAATATTAGCAAAGTTTTCTCTATTATGTTTAAGAAATCCTTTACTGGCATGAGATGAAGGACCTATTCTCCCAGGTTATTTCCTGAAGTCTGATAGCTTTGCCCTTCACATTTATGTTTTTCATTTATTAGCAATTGATTTTTTAGTATAGGGTGTGGTCAGGATATAATTTCATTTTTTAAGTTTGAATACTTATATGTTAGTAATTGTTGTATACATTAATTTTATATTAACCCTTTGATAAATTATTTATATTTTCAATTTTATTTATGTATGTTCCACTTATTTATTTCACTTGTTATTTCTTCCATATGACAACTTTATTTGGATTTCTGTTTCTTATCAATGGAGTACATTCATGAAAGTTTTCTTCAGCTGGGTACATTGGTGGACTGACTTTTATTTTGCCTGAATTCTTAAAATATATGTTTGTTTATTGTGGAATTTGAGGTTGGCATTTATTTGTAATTTTCAGTGACAGAGAAGTCAGTTGTCTGTCTAACTTTTGCTTCTTTGTAGTTAATTTATCATCTCTGACTGCGTCCAACATCTGTTTGTCTTTCATATTCTACGTTATATTTTTGATGTTTCTAAGTGTAGATGAATTTTTAAATTTCTTGCTTTGGATGTGCAAATTTTTGAGTTTATATAGGGTAGAATATTCTGAGTTATTTGCCCTTCAGGTATAAAAACTCTGTCACATTCTCTTTCTTCTCTCTGGAATTCTGATTAGATAAGTATTAGAATGTCTTGCTATATTTTCCTCATCTATTAACCTCTCTTTCATATTTTCTATTTTTCTGTGCTGCACTCTGATTGGTTTCCATTAACCCATCATCCAGGACACTCTAGTTGTATTTAATTTACTGTTAAATAGATCTTTATGCTTGTAATTTCAATTATCTCATTCTTATAATTTCTAGAATTCTGTTGGACAATTTTTCAAATTTCTCAGTCACTTTTATAGTTTACTGTTCTCTGGGTGTATTTTCTGGTTTGTCTTTAAATTTTTTTTAACAAAATAAACACAGTTATTTTATAATCTGTGTCCGGTAATTCCCATATCTGCAATCTTTGCAGGTTTGGCTTATGGCATTCTTTTTTCTACTAGATCTGAGTTTAATCTGAGTTTAGAGCTGTTCTTTTTTTCTTTTAGCTACTCAGTTACTTTAAAAAATTATTTGGGCCTTATATATAGCTTCTTTCCTCCAGAAGAGACTAGAATTTGCTTATGCTTGATTTTTGGAGCCACTACCAGCAAAGGTATTCTTTTAAATATATGACTTGATATATTTTTGCTCCATCCAGGTAATAGTAGTTTGTTGCATGTCTGTACAAAGATTGGCTAGTCATTACACCACCTTGTGAATTTTCCTTCTTTTCTGCTCTGCTCAGCATTAAATCAAATTTCCTGCAGAGTAAGGAGGAAGTGGAGAACTTTACCTCTCCTTCCCACTTAAACTGAGAAGGTAGGCTTTCAGGTCCTGCCTTAAGCAGGGAGACTTAAGGCCCCAACTTGAGTGGACCCAGGCTTTGGTTTTTGGTCATTTCCTCCCCACAGGACCTTGGAAAATGAATGCCAGTTTCTACTGGTTCTACGAATCCCCTCGGGACAGAAAAAGGTGCAGTGTTCTTCCTATCTTTCAGATTCTCTCCTCCATCAGGAGGAGAGATTTTGGCCTGATCATTTCTTACTGTTGTGTTTATTATTTGATGCTTTTAAGAATATTTTCAAGGTAATGGTTGCCAGGACATTTAATAGTTTTTAAAGAGAGAGTTTGCCCAGATACCTATAGAATTAAATATATATATATATATATGTTTATATATACAGACATCGATATATACACATACACACACGTACATGTATATGAAAAGCACTTATAAATTAATAAGGGCTTTATGAATAAAAGATAGTATCTGAAGTTTCACAAAAGAAGAAAGGAATAAAGAAAGAAAGGGAGACGAGGGAGAGAGAATGGAAATTGAGAGAGAGAAAAAGAAAGAGCAAAATGCTAAATAAAATGTAAAATAAATGCTTAGCTCTGCTCATTATTAAAGCAGCGCAATATAAAAAAATAAATAATAGATATGTGTCAGATGGGAAAATATAGAAAGTGGGGAAATAGGCACTTTTCTGCTTGTTTCAGAGGTGTACATTAATACAAAGTTTCAGGAACAAAATATAAAATAACTATCAAACTGTTAAATATACTTAAATGTCTATCTAGCTTCTTATATTTTTAGAAATTTATCTTGCACACACTGGTACCAGAGCAAAACATATATGCATTAGAATACATTTTGTAGCACTGTTTAATAGAAAAAAAAAACAGAAAGAACTTCAGTCATTATCTGAAATACAGATTGAGCATGACTAAACTAGAAATTCAACTAAAATGTGTTTGAAATGCTCTGAAATCCAAAATTTTTTGAGTTCCCACATGACTCCACAATAGAAAATTCCACACCTAACCTCATGTGATAGGTTACAGTCAAAATGTGGTTAAAACTTTGTTTCATGTACAATATTATATAAAATATTTTATAAAATTACTTTCAGGCTAAATATTTAAGGTGTATATAAAACATGAATAAATTTTGTGTTAAACTTGAGTCCCATCCCCAAGATACCTCATTATGATATGTAAATATTCCAAAACCCAAAAAAAAATCCAAAATCTGAAACACTTCTGGTCTCAAGTATTTCAGATTAGGGATATTCAATCTGTAATTAAATATATTATGGCATTGCTTGTGCATAAAATGCAATATTATGTAAACATTAGAAATAAGCTATTTATTTATATTCAAATGTGGAAAATTCCCAAGATAGACTGAGATTTTTTTTTAAACAGCAAGCTGCAACACATACAAAATGTTCTCATTTTTAAAATATTCTGAAAGGATACACAAAAAACTGTTAATGGTAGAAATGTCTGCAAGTCAGATCAGGCATCTGATGGGAAGAAAACACCTATTCATATTTAAACCTGTCTATACTTTATGAATTTTTCCCTATGAATATGTATTAATAAAAATCCATTAGAACAAAAATCAGCAATATATGCAATATTTTACAAACATGAACCCTCAGTATAATTGTAAAATAAAAATGTTGAAAAAGAGTCTAGTTTAAATAAATTATGATATTTCACCTCTTGTAATATCATGCTATCATTAGTGCATCTTCATTTTTTTCCGTAACATGGAAAATGCTCATGATGCAATGTGAAAACTGTAGGGTACACACACATATAATATGACTTCAATATTATGAAAATAAGAGAGAAAATGCAAACATGGACAACTTCATTGAAAAACTGTCCCAAAATACTAACTTTTTCTGGATGGAAACACTTGTTTATTTTAATTTCCTCTTTATTTTTTCTCTATTTTCAATGTTTTTATACTAAAATATCCATTATTTCAATAATGTGTAGAAAACGACACTGTTACAAATGTGATTGTTTATAAATGTTTAGAGCCATAATAGAGTGCCCAATGAAAAGTTACTTATCTTCCCTAGAAAGCATTATCTTTATATTTTAACCTTTATAAAAGCATACAAATAACAGTAAAACAAAAGGTGAAGTTACATAACAGGACAGTCATGTATTTACAGCTTCCAACAAGCAAACTCAAGTTGATGCAAAGGCCTGACCTAAGAACAGTGATGCTTATCTACTTGGAATTATGATTCACTTGCTGTTGTAACAGAAGCATCAGAAAGCTGTTCAGTGTCTGGAATGAACACACAGAAAGATATATGTGAGGTACTACTAAAGTGAGTGGAAGATAATACTGAGGGTCATTTAAAAAAATACTGGTGCATGTTTCTTTAAAACAGCAATAGGTTCTGGTGTATATAACTTTTTTCTCTCTGCTCAAGAAAAGGGATGATGGACTTGAAAACTATCAAATTAATACATTTGTTGTTTTTACCCAGATGAGTGTCATGATGCTATTTTTTTCAGCTATTAAAAATGAAGAAGGAAAGTGAAATTAAAAAGATATTGAAATATAAGCAACACACACACACACACACACACACACACACACACATATATATATATATATATACAGTCACAATTAGGAAAGTCTCTACCTGATTCTATGATACGGCAAGTTAAAGGTTCATATGTATGTTCTCATTCTATTTGGAAACATCACAGTTCTGGTTTCCTGGTTTGTAATTGTACAGTATGTTCTGTACAGAAGAAGCACAGCCAAGTCCCCTCGACATATGTCTCAGTTCTATCTCTCTCTCCCTCTCTCTGTGAGTGATAGAAATCTCCTAACAAAAATAAACCTCTTATTTATTATGGTTCATCACAAGGCCTAATAAGTACCCTCAGGCAAAATTAGATTTGTTAACCATAACTCATAACTCAACAAGTTGTCCAAAATATTTTATTTTAATCCTTGAGTAACAATAAACATATGTAATTCTTCAAGTGTTCAAGAAAGAATGCTCTCATCTTTAGTATTTTTAATTGCATCTAGTTATTTTCCATTAATTTTCATATGAAATATCATTAATCATAGCTTTTCTGACAGCTGAATTGCTTGCATGCAGAGAAATTCTTTGAAGCTTAATGTTAGTACTCATTTACCTGCTTCAGGGAAGCTTTAAGACAATAAATGTATATTCACCTGAGGAAAAAAAAAGTCTGTCTTCAATATGAAGAGGACTCAAGAAGTATTTGAGAGTAGGGGCTCCTGAGAAAAACAGACCCAAAAGCTTCCTGACCCAGGTTAAGTCTTTAGAGGTTGGTTTTGTTGCTCTCTGAGAAGGGAATTTTCTACTATCAGAAATGCCTGAATCCAAAATTCACAGTTCACAATTGAATATTAATTCTTTATATAACTTCCTTGACAACATAAAAATAGCTTATATTTCTTATGTATTTCTCATTACATACATTGTAATGAGTCCGTAGTTTTGAACAAATAACCTCCAGAGTTGAATTAATTATTTAATTTGCCTTTTTCCATTATGTAGTTTTTGCTACTCTCAAATATTTGGAATAATCTAAAGTTGTGTATATTTATTTTTATCATATTTCATAGTCGCATTCACCAATTTAATAGCTTCCCATTGCCTCATATACTCATTAAAAGTTTTGTAATAAGTGAATTCATTACTAAATAAAAGCTTGTGTGATTAATGAATGAATTAATAATAAATGGCTGAGATCTTTGAAATAATAGAAGACACCAATATTATCCTCCCTTCAGTGACTTTAAAAATAAGGAAAATACAGTAAGGCCTAGTTACTCTACTGTTTGAAAAAAAAAAAAATATATATATATATATATATATATATACTTTTAGACTCTTATACTTGAAATAAGAAAACAATATTATTATATTTATAAGAGTGAACTTTTGCAAATGATCCACTATTATATGTCTGTATTTGATTTGAGGGGTTAGGGGAAGGAATGAGATGAGTTTTAGGAAAATTTTGAAACTGGTAAAAAAATCTTTATTAATATTTATATACCACTTAACTATTTAGCTGAACACTCTTAACCTAACTTAAAAGCCATTTGTCTATAGATGTATATATATGATTCTCCAAAAAAGTTTACTTTTAGATGAGGAAAACATGAAGAAAAATACTTGAACATGTTAATCAAAATATCATTTTAGAATCATGACACCTTCACCATAGGATAACTTAAAACAAATAGTTTGCATATATTCCCTCTTGCTCCTATTGTAGTTATTATATTTGGTTATTAAAAGCGTTTATTTAGAAATATTTCTATATCTAAAACTGACTTGCTGAAAACATATAAAATAAAATGTAGTAAACATTGGATATCTAAGATTTATGTTGTCCTACATTGTAGGCAAAGATAAGGATGACATATAAGAAGATCTCCATAATTAAGTATAAAGGAGCATAATTATCCTTAGAAGAGAAGGAAATGTAACAAGTTAAAATAATTTAAAAGTGTTTACTAAGAAAACCTACCTATGATAATAATTTTTGAATTTTTAAAAGTCTTACCTTTCTCTATAAAGCATATTCAATTAAGATCAAAGTTTAGAATTTTGTTTTAGGATTTAAAAACATTAGTATTTACAACTATTTTAGTCAACTAGTAGAAAAGAGGTAAGCTTATTTGGTAATTTGATGCCAGAGCAGATTGATTTTTATTTTTGAAAAGAGCTTCTTAATCAAATAGTTTTAAATTGTCACAAGTTGGGGAGGGGGAGATTATTTTTCTCATCTTGGTATTATTGGACTGCTTTTCTTTTTGACATTCAGCAAAATTTCCCCATACACAAGAAAGGAAAATAGAGTTGCTAGCGTTCTGCAGCAAGATCCAATATTTTTCTTCCTTTGCAGAGAAACCACACTGGGACCCAGATGGTCAAATGGTCATTCTGCACATTGTACCTATTTTCTCAGGTATCTAAAATATATTCACAGCTGGTAATGCTAGACTTCTAGTATCTTGATAAACTAAGAATGTTTCACATATGTGTAACCAATACTTTAGAGAATATTAGGAAATAAAAGAAGCCAGTACCTTATCAGTCATGGAGACTTTTCAACATTTTTAGAAGTGAACAATTGATCAAGTTATAGCAGGTTCATTGTAAATAAAATAGTATTCTCATATATTCCCATCCGTAGTTTACTTTTAAAGTAAAGACAGAGACGATTTGCAGTTTTATTGTGAATATTTTGGTTTTATAGAAGGGTCTTTCTATAGAAGCACATTCAGATGATTCTTTTCTTGACTATTACCTTTGAGAAAGAAGGCTGCTTTCTCAAGGCAGTGAAAGATCATGCTGATTAATGCATGCCCTATATGATAACAGTAAACCTAGCTAGATTTCATTTGAGAATTTCAGTACAGGTGGGCCTTTGTTAATGTGACTTGTACCAACTGTTTTTAAACTCTTGGAAGAAACAAAGACAAAATCAGCTCCAATGCAGCAAAAACCTCGTGGGAATCTTTAACTCATTAAAACTCAAAGGTAGATGGATCTGTAGAAAGAAAAAAGTCTTTCAAATGAACAATCAGTGTTGTTTAATCTTAGGCAATAATTTCTTCAGCATCAGGGAAAAAAAAGAAGACAATTACTATTGAAAAATTACTGTTGAAAAATGCGAGAGGAAACGACAGGAAAGGATATCTTTGGCAACAAAAATTTTCCTGCATTTACAGTTTTAATAAAGCACTATACTTTGGTTTTTGCCCTTCCAAAATCACAATTTTTATTCATTTGATCATATCAGGAGTTAATATTTAGTAATAATTATGTTAGTTTAGTACTATATAGCCAAAAGTTTAATCATACTTTTGCAAAGTGCTTTAGCTTCTCAGGGCACTGTACACAATACCTAACACAAGTCTAAACCATGATTATTGTTACCAAGATGATAACTAGTAAAGCAAAAATATGCCAAAACTTGGACAATCCAGTTTAACAGCTTCTGTTCTTGATATCTAAGTCACTCTCAACTATTTAAAAATAAATGGGCTTAACAGCTAAGGCAAGAGAAGGAACGGTTATTACTCAGTACCAGATATATTAAGTGTTACACAGTAGTTTCAGATACTTTCAGAAAGTGGCTTAATATATGGGAGATAAAAATCCTCTGGGTTCAAAATACAAACATACGGATCTATTGATCATTCCAACAGCAAGTAAGTCAGCCTCAGAATTTTTTTCTAAAACCACAATTTATTAGGATCAAATTTTTCAGAAATTCAATGATTATTATTATAGCCATGATTATAAATACCAAATTGCAAAGCCTCCACAGATACTAATATCCTGAGCATAGCTATTGCCTAATAAAGAACTCTAGGGTATCATATAGTTTTTATTATACAAAGTTTAGTGTTTTATTAAGCTCTTAAATCAGATGGTTAAAATGAAGTTCCATGATACAGAAAACTGCTTTTAAACCAACTAGTCAAAAAATCCAAGACCTAATTGTCCTTGTTTCTATGCTTTATTCAGTGCTCATTTGAATGCTGTCCAACATACTTACACCTGCAAATAAATTGTGTAATTTTGCTCAAATGTTAAGGGAAAGATCATCCTTTCTCATGCAATGGACTATGAATTCTCCTGCAAATAAATAACATTCTTGCTAACTTTACATTTATGACAAGAAGTGAAAATCTGAATCTTAATAATGCAAACATTTGAACATCTAAACAGAAATGGAACTGCAATAATTATTAATGTATTTTTTAGTTTTTTTAATCAGAGTAGCTTCTTTAGTTCATTATAGATTGAAAATCCAGATAAATTTCTCATCAATTTACTATCTTTTTTCTGATGCTTAAGATTTACTTTCATCTGGTAAAGTCATTTTTCTTTAGGTTTATGAATTTAAGTATCAGGAAAAATTCCCTGATTATGAAATAACCAAGGAAGATTGTGCAGTTTTTTTTTCTGGTTTATTCTCAACTCAATAAGTCCAGGCGTCTATTACTGCACTAAGTACCAGCTTTTATGTTTATATTTTGCATCGTAAGTGACATATTAACAGGAAACTATAGGTCATAGGCCAATCGTTTTCTTAGTAACCACAGAAAAGAACCAATGAACAAATGGCCACTTTGTTATGAGGGAAGTTTCCAGACTTGGGAAAGAAGTGTTCCCTGGCCCTAGCAAATGGTAAAGTTTATACTCAGCAAGACTCTTCTCATTATAATTTGAGAGCTCTATATAACAGGGTGTTTATTTTCTTTGACAAAACCAAGAAACTTGAAGAATAAAACTAGACCAGAAAATGATTTGATCCAAACACTAAATACTTTTTTAAATTCTAAAACTCTTCAAGATTCTTCTCCTCTAAGTTTCAACTTAAATTGAGATATGTTTTTTCTCAGTATGGACATATGAATGTAATACTTTCATACCTAGAAAAAAAATTCCTTCACTATGCTTTATAACTTATTATAATGATTGAATTATCACCATGCATTTTACAGTGCAGTGACTTTTAAAATATAGTGAATTAATGGTTGTAATTCTGTATATATTTTAAAGTTGCCTATGTTATCTGTCAGTTCAAAATCTGAAAAATTATTTTCAAATTAGAATCTTATTGGGAATTCATACCATTAATTCAAATCTACTTCAAAATGTTTGGTATTTCAGTATAAAAATTATTTATTGTCTATCAAGTTTTTGAAACAAAATATTCAGGAATGTCAGTAACATGAAAAGTCACACAAATGACTAATTATTCTTTACTACTTTTAGATATGTATGTGTCTTACACAAGCCTTCTTAAATTTAACCTAAAATGTTAATGGGGAAAAAAAATCTCATCCTAGCTGGAAACCAAGTTATTTTTCTTAATTAACAAAATGATAATAAAGCCTTTCAACAGGCTGAAGCTGGTTTTAAGCTCATGTCTTATGAACTGGTGTATTTCTCCCCAACACACTTGTCATATAGATGGAAACTTTGCTTTTTCTAATCCAATTCCATACTTATTTTGCATTCCTTTTGATGTCTCCAGTTTGGCAAAGAATCTGATTCTGCCTATACAACTTTAAAGGATGTGATGTTTCCAAAGGTTTTTGTCAGCCTGAATCACCACAGTTCATGAACTATTGAAATCTGTGGGCTTTGAATCTCTTTACTTCCATCATCAAATTGTTCATATATATGATTGAATTATAGAGTTTAAAAATATATCAATGGCCATGTTTGATTATATTTCATAAAAACCCTTTCTCTGTTATTAGAATAGAAAGATAGAAAATGGACCATATATCATAAGTGTGTAATATACAAATCACAATTAGTGGTTTAAATCTCAATTATATACAATCACAGTGGCAACTCTCGAATAGATACAAACACACCACTGTGTATCATGTATGCATACATACATAAAATCATATTTAAAAATACGTATCCAAAAATTATTCACGGCATTGGGAAGAACATATTACAATTCAGCCAGGCTATGGTTCAAACCTATATTGATTCATTACTCATTTTTTGGTCTTGAATTCTTTACTTAAACTAACTCACCTCAATCTTATACTTTATAAAATGGAAACAATAATACTTATATCTTTAGTTGTGTAGAAGAATTGAATAAAATATATGTAAACACCAAACCCTGCATCTTCACGTAGTAGGGGCTCAATAAAAGGGAGCTACTGTTATTTTACATGCATGTAATTTGTTCTAGGTAACACATAAAAATAATAATCAAGATTATTGTTTTATCGGCAATTAATACAGCAGCTGCCATTGGACACTCAAGTATAACATTTAATATTAACACATAAGAAGCACCTTAATATGTTTGCAAGCCAATAATTTCACTGTTTTATACACATACCCTTATCAAAATGTCCCAGGTTTCAATTATTTAATAGACTGCATCTGTTAAATTTTTTAAAATACTAGTCAGTTTATCAAATTAAAAATAAATGACAGGGGAGGGAGACAATCAATCAATACATTAAAGAAGAAAACCTCAAGCGATTGGCATTATTCTTATATTAAAATATAATACTTTGTTACTAAATTTTGCAGTTTCTGTGTTTATAGAATCTATGTGTATGACATCCTCAATGTCTTCAAATGTAATGTCAGCAATATGGCCAAATGTTTGCTCAGGAGGCCACGACTTTATCCCAGGACTTTATATAAGTAAAATTGTCTACATAATCCACATCCTATCATAATCTCCACAAATTTTTAGTCTATTTTTGGCAATGATTGTAAATCTAAAAAGAGTAAAAGAGGTAAGTTAAGATAAAATGGCAGTAATGATAAGGGTGTTACATAAAATCCTAAGTGCATCTGCACTGTCCAGTGTAACTATATCTGAGTTCTAAACTAACAGAGCAGATTCTAATTGTAAAAACAATAATGCAGCCTGCATAAATGATTGTTCGCAAATAGTTCTTGCAGTTCATACTTTCATAAGATGTTGCTTTAGAACAGGTTAAATATAGTATCTAATTACTAACTGCAAAACCTGTTTATAAAATATGATACTTAGTTTTTCCACTTGGACAGGCAAAGTGGTTATCTCTTTGTAAAATCACAGGGCTTGAGTTAGAACAGGCTCACTAGTTCTGTTGAAAATCAATGAAAACCAAATAAAATATCTGAAAAAATTGTGGAAGTCTCCAAATAATACTGTGATTATATGAAATCTATCTTATTCTCTTGAATATTGATATAAACATCATTTTTCTAAAGAAATTATTTCCCTTTGAATAGCTTTTGAAAAAATAAATTTTGTTTTATGAAATGTCAGTAACTCTAATTGTAAATTAATAGCTTTACATTTAGAATGTATCACAAGGAGACAATTTTCTCTACTCCATTTTAACATTGGCCTCATTCAACCATGGATTGGCTGACTGGTGCATTCTGTGATGACAAACTTTAGCATGTCACTACTGCTTCATTTAATAGTTAACAAACAAACTCTTCTGGGAGGTAGGAATGTCACAAACGTCTATTTTCTATATCATGCACAATATTTTCTTTCTTAAGAACTGACTGCTTTGTAATAATCTGTTTTGACAATAGGTACACATACATAAATGTTGTGTTAAATGTTTTTAGCTATGATAGAGTATGGACATATGGCTAGAGTGTGGGCCTTGTCTAATTATATGCATTATATGATTTGCTATTATTGGGGACCATCTTCCATTCATTTAATAAGGCTTTTGCAAATTGGCAGATAGCATTTGGGCTAAAATACACACAGGATATTTGCAATGAAAAAAGAAAAAAAAAACCCTCTGCCTTTTCTCTCGTGTAGAGCAATTTGTCAAGTAATTAGCCAACCTAATTAAATTTTTGTAGCACTAATCAAACGAATATGCTAAAATTTTCTTTGCACAGCCAGTTTGCTGTCTGCTTGCATTTAACTTGATGGTTTGAAAGGGGCCCTACTCTGTCTGCCACTCCACTTAATAACCTAATTTGCATTTTATATTGGTAAATCAAATTAAGCACCAGTGGCTTTTAGTATGATTGACTGTGGTCAGGCCTGTTCAGATGGGACTTTTTCACAGAAAATTAGGCACATTTTAATATGACTAAGGCTGTGCTTTCTGTGTTCAACAAACTGCATTCACTCAGCTAATTAAAAGTGCTTGCTTCCCCTACTCCCCCCTGCACATGATAGATTTATCCAGCTGGTGTGTCCATTTTCTTTGTACAATTTCTTGATGGAAGTTTTTATTCTTAAATATAATAAGATTGTCTAAGCAACACTTCAGACCAATTTGCATGAAACATATAAACAATACTTTGTTAGAAACTGATTACTTTAAGAGGTAGGTGCATCTGTTTGTAAATACAGGTTCTTGTGAGGGCTTATAGGTTTTAGCTTATCTGTTGAGCAACATCAAACTTGGAACATTTTCACTGATCAGTATATTAATAGCAGCCAATGTTGATGAATCATATATTATGCCAAATTAAAGAAGACTTCCTACTTTTTTATTGTTGTTTTTGTAAAAAGCTATTTATATTTTTAATGAGAAATGATAAAATAAATACAAGCTTAAAAACATCCCTCTTACCCAACAAAAGCAAGATTCATTCCTAGTGAGACTTAACAATACATTTCATCATAAATAGATATTATCTCCAGTCTGCAAATGAAACATAGAGGAAAATGAGACACAGAGAGATTAAGTGACTTGTCCATTAAAATGGGAAGAACTGAGATTTGATTATAGCTTTCTTGACTTTCAATCTGTGTTCTTCCCAATATCCCGCCATCCCTTTACCTGAACCCAAATACCAGCCACTTTGTTACCTAAATATTTGCAATATCTCACTGAGAAAAATTACAAATTCCCTTAGAATTTTAGACTCTATAATACTGAATACAATTATTCTTTCCATGTACTTCTCACAACACAGTTTTTATGTGCAGTAGTAGAATTGTCAAGAGCTAGTTTTATATTTCTTTAGGAATACTCTATATACCCCATCATACTTTTAACAACAGCAACAACAAAATGTCCTTATCTGCTAAACTTATGCTTGTCTTAAAAATAACATTTTAAAAATTGAGAAAACTAATGATCTAAATACCAAATTGACCTGAATCATCAGCAAGTGAGTCAGAAACATCCTTCTCACACTGGTAGAACAACATCTTTAGCTTGGGACTACTTTATAATCAATTATGCAGCCCTAGGTAGCTTTGGAGAGGGATGGAAGAATGTACACCTTAAATGTCCTAAGAGTAAACAACAAAAATTATCCCTGGGAACATAAAAGAAAATATGCTGTGTTGCCTAACCATTATCTTATACTCTGACTTTCTCTAACAGAAGTTTGAGATAAATGCACTAATACCATGCTCCAACTATCTTAAAACTGATCATTAAGATCAACCTTTAATTAAAAAGAGAACTAAGATTATGGAAGAAATGGAGCCAAACATGGCAATCATCAGAAGCCCTCTTGGATTTTCTGTTTTATTTTAACTAAGGTAATGATGCACATGTTCTGAAACCTCAGTTCAGTTCATTTTTTTTAAAAGCAGGGGTCATAATTCTGAAAGAAAACTCAAGAAATTGTCTGATGACAGTGCTTGTCCTAAAGAAAGGCCAAATTTCAAACTCCGAAGTCTCTCAGACCTCCAGAAATTGACACTGGTAAAATGTGTATGTATAGGTTTATCCCATTTTATCACATGCTTAGATTCTTGTAACCGCAGCTATAATCAAGACACCGGACAATTTGATCACCATGAGCTTCCTCTTGATACCTTTTACATTCACAGCCAGTCCTATGTGTTCATTTCCTTCCATCTCTACACCTTGAAACCACTAATCTGTTCATCTCTATAATTTTGTCATTTCAAGAATGTTATGTAAATGGAATTATGCAACCTGTAACTTATCGAGATTGGCATTTTTTGCAATCAGATTAATGCTCTTGAGATCCAAGTTGCTGTACAGTAAGGATATACCACATTTTGTTTAAGCAATTAACCAGGGGAAACCATTTGGCTTTTTCTAATTTGGGGCAATTATGAATATAGCTTCAGTGAATATTCATGTACAAGTTGTTGTGTATTCATAAATTTTCCTTTCTCTGGAAAAGAAAGTGTGTTGGTAAATGTATGTTTACATTTTAAGAAACTGCCATACTGTTTTCCAGAGTTTTGGTACCATTTTGCCTTCCCATCATTAATGTCTGAGAGATTCAGTTTCTCCACATCCTCATCAACATTTGATATTGTCACTTTTTAAAAATGTTTATCTGTTTTAACAGACATATAGTTCAGTAGTCCCGCTTATCCATGGTTTTGCTTTCCCTGGTTACAGTTAACCACGGTAACTAAAACTATGGGGAACTGAAACTGTCAATGGCGTTCCAAAAATATTACATGGACAATTCCAGAAATAAACAATTCATAAATTTTAAGTTGCATATCATTCTGAGATGTGTGATGAAATCTCAGTCCATCTTACTCATCTCTTCCCAGGACATTAATCATCCCTTTCTCCAGCGTATCCACACTATATATGCTATCAGCCCATTAGCTATCTAAGTTATCAGCTAGCCTGTTCTGATTATTGCATTGCTTGTGTTCAAGTAACCCTTATTTTACTTAAAATACTCCCAAAGTGCAAATGGTGATGCATACTGTTATACTTGTTCTATTTTTTATTAGTTATTGTTAATCTCTTACTGTGTTAAATTTATACATTAAACTTTATCATAGGTACATATATATATATGTACTATGATATATGTACCTATATAAACATTGTATATATACATATACACACACACACACACACACACACATATATATGGTTTGGTACTATCTCTAGTTTCAGGCATCCACTGGGGATCCTGGAACATATCCCTCCAAATATAAGGGGAAAGTACTGTCTATCTCATTGTGTCATTATTACACATTTTCCTAGATTTATTGTTAAACATATTTTCTCATGCTTATTTGCCATTCATATATTACCTCTTTGGTGAAATGACTCTTTATGTCTCTTGAATATTTTCTAATTACATTTTTTGCTTTTACTTTAAATTTTTGAGAATTTTTCATATATTCTAGATATGAGTCCATGTTTCATATAAGGTTTTCAAAATTTTTCCCACCCTGGAATTTATCTTTTCATCCTCTTAAGAGGATCTTGAAGAGCAAAAGTTTTAAATTTTGATGAAGTCGTATTTGTTGACTATTTGTTCTTTATGAATAGTGCTTTTGATGTTATATCTGAGAAGTCTTCTCCATTAATAGTGGCAGAAACCTCAATTACTTTTGCACCAACCTATTATTTATTTATTCCTACACACAGAATCTTGATTACTGTAATATATGATATCTTGAAATCAGAGTGATCCTTCCCACTTTATTCTGTTTTTACAATACTATTTTCACTACTCTAGATACTTTGGGTTCATTTTTTAAATTTAGAAAAATATTGTTCATTTCTACAACAAATCATGCTGGGATTGTGATATGAATTTTGTTGAATCTGTATATTAATTTGTGGAGAATTGACATAATTACTATATTGAGCTTTGCAATCCACAAACACATTATATTCCTCCACTTATTTTGATCTTCTTTGATTTCTTTTATCAGCTTTTTATAGTTTCCAGCATGTGACTCCTATATGTGCTTTGACATATTTTGAGATAGTTATCCCTAAGCAGTTTTTTAGTGCTTATAAGTGCATTGTATTTTTAATTTTGGTTTCCACATGTTCATTATTAGTGTGTAAAAACACAGTTGATTTTTAAGCATAGATCTTATATCACATGACCTTGCTAAACTCACTTATTAATTCTACGAGGTTTTTGGGAATTCCTTGGAAATTTTTATAGACCACCATGGCATATATAAATAGGAATGGTTTTATTTCTTCTTTTCTGTTTTATATGCCTTTTATTTCCTTTCAATGCCTTATTGCATTGGCTAGAACTTCCAGTATAACGCTAAATATCAGCAATACAAGTGAACATCCTTGCCTTGCTCTGAATCTTAGAGGGAAAGCATTCAGGCTTTTAGCATTGAATACCACAATAGCTGTAGGGTTTTTATAGATGTTCTTCATCAAGTTGAGACAGTTCCACATTACACCTAGCTTTCTGAGAGATTTTATCATGAATGGATGTTAAATTCTTTAAATAATTTTTCTGCATCAATTTATATCATCATGTGATTTTTCTTATTTGGCATGTTAATATAATAGATTACATTGATTGATTTTCAAATATTGAACCAGCTTTGCACCCTGGTATCGAACCCAATTGGTTAGGGTATGTAATTCTTTCTATATATTACAGGATTCTAATTGCTAATATTTTGTGATGGATTATTACTCTATAAATTGGCAGTAATAATATTCCAAGAATTTGTAAGTTGTTTTTAATTTTTCTTTTCTTTTCTTCTTTATTTTTTAGTACTATCTTTGGTTTGGGTATTAAGGTAATATTGGCTTTATAAAATACATTTGTAGTGTTATCTCTCACTTACATCTTTTGGAAGAGAATGTGTAGGATTGATGTTAATTCTTTAAATGTTTGGCAGAATTCTCCAGTAAAACGATCTAGGCTTAGAGATTTCTTTTTTTATGAATTTTTTAAATTAAGAAGTCAATAACCTTAATAGTTATAGGATTATTCAAATATAAATTATCTAATTCTCACTGGATAAGTTATGATAGTTTGTATGTTTTTAGGAATTATTTCATGTCATCTAATTTGTGAAATGTATATGTAGAGTTGTTCATAGTATTCTCTTGTCTTTTTGATGTAAAACAGTTCATAGCAACAGCCCTTGGTTATTTTTTGTTTGTTTATTTTTCCTGATATTGATAATTTGTGCCTTCTCCTTCTCTCTTTACCAGTTTTGCTAGATGTACACACGGTCAGGATTCTCCAGAGAAACAGAACAAACAGGGTGTGTAAATATATACAGAAAAACATTTGCTCGAAGGAATTGTTGCACACAATAGTGGAGGCTGGTAAATCCAAAATCTGCAGGGCAGGCCAGCAGGCTAGAGACCCAGGCAAGAGTCCACATCGCCATCTCAAATTCAGAGGTAGCCTGGAGGCAGAATTCTTTCTCCTTGGGGACCTCAGTCTTTTCTCTAAAGACTTGCAACTGATTGAATGAGGCCCCGCCATATTATGGAGAGTAATCTGCTTTACTCAAAGTCTACTGATTAAAAAGGTAATTACTTCTAAAAAATACCTTCATAGCAATAT
Organism: Homo sapiens; assembly: GCF_000001405.40. Taxonomy (NCBI): domain Eukaryota; kingdom Metazoa; phylum Chordata; class Mammalia; order Primates; family Hominidae; genus Homo; species Homo sapiens. The sequence goes on along the minus strand of NC_000005.10, from coordinate 51,554,273 downwards.
CTAGACTGGTGTTTTACTGAAAACTGGGTACCATGTCTTAGCCAAGTTGACACATAAAATTAACTATTACAGGAAAGATTTGCCAATTTCATTAATCTTTTTAAAGAATCAGTTTGGTTTTATTAATTTTCTCTCTTGTTTTCAACTTCACTGATTTCTGTTTGTGTCTTAACAATCTGATTCCTTCTTGTTTTGATTTATTTTGCTCTGATTTTTCTACTTTCTTGAGATGAGAGATTAGGTTATTTATTTGAGACTTTTCTTTTATCTAATATAAACATTTAGTGCTATAAATTTTCCTCTCAACACTCTTTAACTGGATCCAACAAATTTTGATATATTACATTTCACTGTCATTCACTTCAATGTGTTTTTGTTTAATTTCCCTTTAAACTTTCTCTTTGACCCATGGATTATTTCGAAGTTTGTTGTTTACAAGCATTATTGTATTGGATTTGTAGATTGGTGACTCAGCTTATTGGATTTGTAGATTGGTGACTTTTGAAAAATTTGGTAAGTTTTAACCTATTATTTATTTGAATACTTTTCAGACCCACCCTCTTTTCTTCTCTCTCAGGACTCCAATAGCAAAAATATTAATCTTGTAGAATAGTTCCACGGGTTCTCTTTTTTTTTTTCAGCATATTTTCTCTCTGTTGTTTAGATTGAGTAATTCTATTATCCTATCTTCAGGCTCATTGGTTCTTTCCTCTGCACTTTCCATTCTGTTGTTGAGTTTTTTATTTTATTCATTATACTTTTTAGTTCTGCAATTTTATTTTGGTTCTTCTTCAGATTTTCAATTTTTATTTGCTGAGACTTTCTATTTTTGTATGTGTGTTTATTTCAGGTACATGCCTAAATACTTGATGAACATTTTCATGATAGATGCTTTAAAATGCTTGTCAGAGAAGTCTGCCATTTGTTTTGTCTCAGTGTTGACATCTGTTGATTGTTTTTTCTCTTTTCATTTGAGATTTTCCCTGCTCATAGTATGATGGGTAATTTTTAACTGAAACTTGGACATATTGGAGTGTCATGAATCTCTGGATCTTATTTAAATATTTTGCTTTAACCGATCTTTTTTTGACAATAATCTGAACATGGGAAGTGAGAAGTGACTGAGTTATTGCCACTTGGGTATGGAAGTTCAAGTTCCCATCTCGGCTTCCTTCTATAACCAGAGAAAGGCTGCTAATTATTGCTGGTGAGGAGTGAGCGTTCTGGCTCCCCACTAGGCCTCCACTGATACCACCCTCTGAGAATGAGAGCAGCTCCTTCTTACTCTTCTCCATGTGGCCTCCACTGACACCATGGAAAAATGCCCTCATTACTGTGGGATGGTGATGAAAGTCCTGACTCTCCACTAGGCCTCATCTAACATGACATCAGCAAGGCAGGAGTGTGGTGCCCTGTTATCTTCTGTTGGGAGCAGAAGTCCAGAATCAATATGCAGTCTCCACTGACACTATCTCTCTCTCTCTCTCTCTCACACACACACACACACACACACACACACACATGCTTTTTTCAAGTTAAAGAGAAAGATCTAGCTTTACACTAAAGAATTCTTCACACTGTGATATGATAACAGCCCATCTTATACAAAAAATAATTGAAAATTTTATCTTTTTGCTCTGTTCTGTATTCCCTAATGCTCTTACTTGTTTTCTTGAGGCCCGTTGCTCTCAACAGAGGTGAACTATATGACTAACGGTGGAATGAAAAGCTAAATCCCATGTAAATAAACTGTAGGTAATACTGGGCACATGGGGAAAATATTTTGAAAGGAAGTGTCTTCCTGGGTCCCCCCATGTCATCTTCTGTAGACAGTAAACAATTCAAGTAATGAACCATTCCAGTTAGATATAATTCATGAATGATAATGGACTCACTGTGTATTGTTGAGTTAAAACATCTTTTTTTTAAAATCTGAAAACCTTATGGGAATATTCCAAAGCTGTGAAATTACAAATGTGTTTGTTACATTCAGTTTACTATATAAATATAAACAACAAAATAAGTTGATTTTAAAGTGGTACAACAAAACAATAGACATTGAGTCAACAAGAGCCAGATAATACAAAGAAACAAACTGTAAGATAGATGAAGCAGAGGTTTGTTGGAGAAATGACAGAACTGAGAAGCATAAATGTCACTGGGTGAACTAACAAAATGACAGCACCATAGAGGAGAAGGCAAGAGTCTCTGATCTCACTAGGGATGAAGTACGAAGGCTTATTTTTGTTGTTGTTATTTACTTGAAACACAGAAACACAATCATCTTTAATCTATGTGAGATTTCTCTTTTTTATGATTTTTTTTCATTACCAAAAATCACTTCCATTCTACACATATTTCATTCTCATGTAATATAGTACTTGGAAATATTTATATTCCTGAATAATGTAATGCTGTTTTATATATGGATGTATTTTGATTCTAGATGTTATATCAGTCTGTAAATGTTCTATTTCTTGTATTTTTTTAACCCGCCACTTTAAGATCCATTTTGCTGTATATTTATCTTTTTTATTGATTGTAGCTCCTTCATGACATCATATTGTTTGTATGTATATCTTTTTCACTTGTTTATTCCCACAGTGATGGAAACCTAGTTTATTTCTATATCTTTGCTATCACAAAACGTATAACAATTAGCTATGCAAAGATTTATTTCAAGTAAATACCCAGCAGTGTAATATGACTGGATCATAGATTGGATCATAGATTACATGTATACTTAATTTCATCAAAACCTTTAAAATGTATCTCATAAAGAATCATATCATCTTCTCTTGCCTCAGGCAGTACATAAAAAATTGTCTTTTCCAATATCCTGAACTGACTTTCTTGATACTGACTTTCTAATTTTCAATAATTGGATCCTTATAAGTGTCTATTTATTATTAACTTACATTTATCTGATTAGCTGTGTGATTAATCGTTTTTCATATATTTGTGAACCATTTGGATTTTGCTTCTCTTTTTTTGACAATTTTTCTACTCATTTTCTTTTTTTTTTCTTATTGATTTGTATGAGTCATATTTAGGTATTAAATCTTTGTCAGTTTTAGAAGAATGCAAATATATTCTCACCACCTGCTAGTGGTATTCTCGATTCTGCTCTTTTTTGAAAAAAAGTCCTTAATTTTGATGTGGTCAGTCTCTTATATTTTCCTTATGGTATTTCTTTGGGTGTCTCATTTAAGAAATTCTTTACCACAAAACTGTAATTATTTATTGTTTTATTCATCACATTATATTTTTTATTTACCCTAAATATTCCTTTTTATTTATTAAAAATTTAGTTTTCTTTTATAATAAGGTAGCTGTCCCGAAATCATCATATCTGCAGACTTAATATTTTAGTGGCACAATAGAAAAATAGAAAAATATGGAATTATGGGAATTTTTAAGCAAAAAGGAAACTAACATAATTGGAAAATTATAGCAAATAAAGAGATGGAATATAATTGATAATTTTCTGGATTATTAGCAGATAATTTCTGTTCCAGAAAGCAAATATTTGTTGCTTCCCTACTCTATACCACTCTAGAAAAAATCATTGCACCTTAAAGTTTTAAATAGTAAAAATTAGTGTCAAAATGAGGGACAAATTTGAATGATTAAAGTAAAAAGTTTTTTTTTAAAAAAATATTATCTGTATATTTTGCATTTAAGAGAGAAATGCGGGATTTCATTTATTGAGACAATTACTTTGGTTCATTATTTTCTTTTTCATATGTGAATCCGGGCTCCAAGGAAGAGATTTTTATATGTCTATTTGAGTAAACTTTCTAATGCCTTAAATTAATCAACTGAAGCCTAACATTTTACTTCTGACTCAATTCCCCAGACATATTTTAGCCCTGCTAATGGAGTTATTTACCTATGTGGACCAAGTCTCAAAGTCAGAAAGTTCACAAGAATTAGAAACTTTAAATAATATGATCTAACTATATACATTATTTGAGAGGGAACTGGGGTAATTCTACATACTCAGGTTTAGAAAAAGAAGATTGTATCTGAAATATACAGTAATGAGAAAAAAAGTATTTTACTTCAATTATCTGAATAATTGGCTCCATTTTCCACGTCACTTTGCTAGTTTAGACTTGTCCTAACACAAGAGAATAAATTTATGATAATAGAAAGAATTTTGAGCAAAGAGGTAGGATTTAAGAGATTTGAAAGAGTGTCATTAATTGAAATACTGCAATCCCCAAAGAGCTAAATCTTTTCACAGTCTGCATTTATTCTTCTTCCAAGACATAAGTATAACAAATTTATTTCACTGCTTCAGGTAAGAGAAAATCCTTTCTAAATTTCAAAGTAAACTCAACTTGGTACTTAATAAAGTCAAGGGGAGAGCTGTCAATTAATAAATGTATTTCCTTCACCAGACATATGGGAGAAGTCATAATATAAAATTTACCCTAGACACAAATAATTCACTTTCTTGACTTTGGCATTCACTAGGTGATTAATAACAATTTAAATGTATTAAGTAGCCTTATCTTAAAACTGCATTTTGTTGCTGCTTTACACTAATGGTTTTATGGTGATTAAATTGTATTATTTTTATTTACAGAGGAGTATTTTAAAGCTATCCCAGTATTTACTAAGTGAATATAATGTACAAAGCACACCAAGGTGAGAGGGAAGGAGAGGAAAAGGATTCATTGCCCTGAAGAGAATTTACCATATAATGATGGACACAAAATTAATATAAGAAAATGAGTAAAGATGATAGAGAAGGTAATTCCTAAAATTAATTGTGGAATTTGTCAACTTGGGAGTTATAAATTGAAACATTTGCGTTACAGTGTAATTAATAAATCCTGTGACAGTTGGACTGTAGATATTAGAAAGTCTATCTTTGGTTGAGGAATGAAAGAACAAAATTCCACTAAAAAGACCATCTTTAAATTTTGTTCCAGCAGTAAAGTTCATAGTTCACTGCCTCACTGCTTCTGGAAACAAACAAACAAACAAAATGATTGAGATAATGTATAAATTATCTGTGCCAAGGAAAAATGATCTACCCAATTCTGAAGGAAAACTTAGTAGAGATGAGAAATATAAGGCCTTACGAAATGTATACTCATCAACGAGGCAGCTATTCATAATTGAATCCTAGAAGAGATGGTTGGATTGAATCTCCTTCATTTAATCCCTGGTAGCATTACAGGCCTCAGACATGAACTCTGATTTCACTTGCAATCTCTCTAGATTTCAAGTTCTGTCTCTCACTACCAGTGGAAAATATAGTTTCATAACTGCATAATGTCTTTAAGTTATAGTTAAGGAAGTATCCCCTAAGATAGGTAATTTCTTGAGATAAATAATTTCTACCTTGAGGGAAATATCCCTCAAGATAGAAATTTCCACACTGGGAACTACCAAATTGCATTTTTAAGATCAAGGGATGCATTTTAGATTTCACTCTAGTAATTCTAAGTCTAAACAGACTACAGTCCCATTTCATGTCTTTGGAGATTGCTTGTTCAAATAAGATTCATTGCATAGAAGCCACCTTGTCAAGCTGATAAATGTGAGCCTAGGGAAAGAGATGAAACCAACAACTATGGATTAAGGCACATGTACATGCAAACTTGCTGAGAAAACTTGATCAGAATGTTACGTCTGTCACAAGAATCCATGCTAACTACATCTTTTAGATGTAATTTTTAATTATGACCCCAGATGCTTATCACAGGGCTGTCTGATATTCCAAAGTCAAAGTATCTCTGACAATCTTGACATTCTCTCGAATATTTCTTCTACTATAGGTAGGAAGTACTCCCTAAAAGTTTTCTAAAGCCATGTTGAACTACATCCTCCGCACTCACACCTGACCCCCTCTGTTAGTTTCTAGTAATAAACTACCCTCCTCAAGGCAAATCCTTTCCTGAAAGCGAAGTATGCAAACTGACAACAATCTGCTAAGCTAAGTCATAGCTAAACCCATTAGAGTCAACATCTTCCCAGGAGTTTTCCGCTTTCCCCATTATTGTAAGACAAATTGTGTCCCCGACAAAAATATGTTCAAGTCCTAACTGCCAGTACTTGTGAATGTGACCTCATTTGAAAATACGGTATTTGCAGATGTAAATTGTTAGGCAATGAAAATACAAAAGAGGTGTACACTGAGGTCACACTGAATTAGAGTAGGCTTTAAGTTTAATTACTGGTGTCCTCAAAAGGAGACAGACATTTGAAGACATAGACACACACAAAGGGAAAAAGGCAATGTGACCATAGAGGCAGAGATTGAAGAGATACAGCTGTAAGTCAAGGAGCACCAAGGATTGCCAACACCAAGAAGCTATGAAACAGCAAGGAATCCTTTCCTAGAATCTTCAATGGGGACATGGCCCTGCTGACACCTTGATTTCAGACTTTCTGCCTGCAAAACTGTGAGAGAATACATTTCTGTTGTGTTAATCCACCCAGTTTGTAGTAATTTGTTATGGTAGCCCCGGGAAGTTAAAACACCCACCATGCTTCAGACATCTACATTATTACCCTGACTTCTGTAAGTATGTGAGTTTGTGAGCTATGATTTAAAGCAACAAAGACAGAATTTTATCTTGTTTGTTAAGAACTTATTTCCTAACTCCAAAGGGATCCTGCTTCCTATGCATTCCCTGCATTTTAGATTTCACTCTAGTGAAATCTAAAGGCCCTGTTTGCCTCAGGGCCTTTGCATTATCAATTGCTGCCTGTCTTTCAGATCTCTTGCCCCAGATAGCTGATGAATTTTCCCCTCACTTCCTTCATATCTTTATTCAATCTCATCTGCTTCTCTGGCCACTCTACCTAAAATGTCAACCCCTCCAACACTTAGCCTACTGCTCTTTCTGCCTTATTTTTCTTCTTAGCATTCATCACTATTTAACATTCTGTGTAATTTATTTATTTAATTTTGTTTAATGATTGACATTGAGTAATCTTCATTGGGACATTTATTCAAAGATCATCTCTAATATGGATCTTGAAACAACCCAGAATTTTCAATTAAAAACATGCTTTTTCTTTTTTAGAAAATAAAAAACTTGTGCAAGTAATTATTTATTTAGCTCCCTTTTCAGCTTGGTGCTTAGATTCTCACATGTGATTCAGATGAAAATTAGCCCCTGCTCTCCAAGCAACAACATAGATTAATTACAGTTTTATTTGATAACCATTAAGTTGGATCTGAACTTCTTAGACCTAATTTGTTTCAACACAGGAAAGCTAGGTAATGTACTCGAGCATTTTCTAATATGGCTTCTGCTTACATTTCAGTCTATTATGCCCTTTGTGAAGCCATTTGGGGCTTCCCCTTCTTCTTTGGCACTCCTGCAAAATTTCCTAATTGACTACAACCACACCAAACACTCATATATTTCTCCTCCCACCTGTCTATAGACACTTAGAATGAGGCTCCTTTATCTGCATTGGTTTATTTTACTTCATTATCTTCTTTGATTCATGAAGATATCTTTTGTTTACCTCAGTATTTCTTCCCTAAAACTATTTCCATGCCTACCCATTTGGCCACTATTTTGAAATTTCTTATAAGAATCATCATTATAAGTATCTCCAAAACCCATAACTTACATATAGAAGTTGTATCTACTACAAAAGCAGGTGTGAACATTAAAATAGGCCTGTGAATGGAGGAAGATAATATTTACACATCCAATCTTTAGCATAGATACTAGAGTCCAGAAAAAGATATCTTCTAATTAATGCTTATTCAAAATAATGAGCTTATTAGTAATTTTAACTTGACTTTAAATGATTCTTTTAAGGAATCATTACTGTGTATTTATCTGCTTCTGTTAGTCCTTTGAATATAGATTTGATATTCAAAGAAACATGATTTGATATTCAAAGAAACATGCAGGTAAAATTGGAAGAGAGTATGAAGATTAAGGCAAGTTTAACCTCTATATATTTTCACACGTACATATATGAGTTTAGTATACTCTACAGAGGCATTACTAAATGTCAGGCACTGTATCAGGCAAGATGAAAATGATATCAACTTTGTCTTCCAGCTGCTCCATATATATTTGAAGAAAAACCTACAAAAATCATGTGTGTACAAATACTGAGGTACAGATGAATTTGGAAACATGTAAAACACCACCAAACAGCCTGTAGGGATAGCATAGGAGGGCACCAGAATGGGGTCTTAGACAAAGAGTTAGCCTAAGCCAAGTTAAAATCTATTTACTTATAATTACACAAAGATATTTATTATAAGGATTCTGTTCCATATGATTTGGGAAGGTAAGGAGTCCTAACATGTAATAGTTGACAAGCTGGAGATCCAGGAGAGGTAACAGTATAATTGCTGTCTGAGTCCAGAGTCCTGGGAATCAGGAGAGTTGACAGTATAAGTTCCAGTCTGTGTCAAAGTCCAAAGCCAAGAGAAGACTGATACCCCAGCTCAAAGGCAATTGAAAAGAGAGGAAACTCTGCCTTACTCAGACTTTTTCTTTCTATCCAGGTGTTCAGTAGATTGGATGAGGACCACCTACACTGGGGAGGGCCCTCTGCTCTACTCCGTCTACTGATGCAAATGTTAATCTCATCCAGAAACATCCTCACAGACACACACAGAATAATGTTTAATGAAATATCTGGGCACCCCATGGACCAGTCAAGTTGATACCTAAAATTAACCATCACATCTATGTTTTTCAAAGATCTCATTTCCAGCAATAACTTTATGGGCTACTTAGAGAGTAAGTCAACATAAGCTTCTATTTACAGAAAATATAAAATGTGTCTGACTTTTGCTATGTTAGTCATTACTGTAACAATAAGAATTCACAACAGACAAACTCAGCATTCATAATATATGCACCAAAAGTACAGAAAAATAATCTCACCGAAACTTAAAACAAGTTAAGCATTGCTTAAGGGGAACAAAGGGCAATAAAGCATTCTCCTTTCAACCAAAGAAAAAAAGTACGTTATCCAGTGAAAAAGAGCTTTAGGTGAATTTTTACCTATATGTTGTTTTAAATCACATTTTATAAACTTCAGTATCAGTTAGTTTGATAAATATCAGTTATTTTGATAAATTTCTAGCAACAAGGTCAAATACTGTTAAAATTTTATTAACTTTATAATTGTTATGGCAATTAATAAACTATTTTATATGTACAGTACTGAACATTCTTTAAGGTAATCAGAAAGTAAATAATATGCTTTAATAGTATCCATTTTATGAAAAATTATTCATTTGTCCAATGAAAATTTTTTCTGTGAGGGAGAAAAACTTTACCAACTATCAGTTGCAATCTACTGTGTCATGTTGAGAAACTTCAATGAATATGCTATTGAGAAGAGTTGGTTCTTCAGAGTAATAGCCACCAAGTCAAACAGTGATGAGCCTCTATTATTCGTTAATTGCTATGCTAGATGCAATGAGGAAGTTTTATAAGTGTAATACATTTATTTTCCTCAAGAAATTTTATTGTAATTAGAAACATAACATTATAAACAAAAATTAATATGATGATTTAAATTAAAAAATTGCTTAACAAAAAGATGTAAAATATACAGGCAATGATAGAAGGTTTAAAAATTACTCAAATAACCACAGCTAAGCCACTTCCTGCTAAGTGGTCAGGGAGACTAGCTTTTGTAAGTTTGATAGGGGAAATTGTTCTTGAATAAATAAACAAGGGGCAGTTTAGTAACAATAGAATGGGGTGTAGATAAATATAATGTGCTGGGAAGACTCAAAGTATCTCTGAACTCTGTGGAACAAGCAAGTGTAGTTGAAGTAGCAGATCTTTAGGAATGTTAGAAATCAGGTTATTTAAAACCAGGCTGAGAATGTAATTAATGTGACTGAAGATTTATCAGCAATAATGTAGCATCATCTTCAGAACATTCTGTCTCTTGCTGATTAAAATACATACCTGGCAAATTGGTAAGTGAGGAAAAAAATGGACTAGAGCATGGATCTGCAAACTATAACCCATGACCAAATCCAGCGTATGCCTGGGTTTCATAAATAAAGTTTTCTTGGAACCCAGCCAAAGTTATTTGCTTACGAATTGTTTTGGCTGCTTTTGTGCTATAATGGCAGAGTTGAGTAATTGCTACAGAGATGATATGGGCCAGAAAGCCTACAATTTTACTTTCTGGACCTTTAAAGAAAAGTATCCCAAGCCCTGGACTAAAGAGAAAAAAAGCCAGTGTGGATATGGATTGCTGAATAGAGGGATGGATGTATAAATGAACAAGGAGAAGACATTATGTGGTGATATGGTACGGTATTGCTTAAATGCATAGGTAATGGGGGGAAGTTCTGAATCTGAGTTCAGTAAAACTGAGGTTTAGATAAGGACTAACACAATAAAATGAGATTATGTATTTCTTAAGCATTGCCCCACACAGTCCTGGATCCTTGGGAAAAATATATTTAAAAAAATGAAACACACACAATTCTTTCCTTGGAGGAACTTCATTTCAAACAAGAAACACATCTTGATTTAATTAAAGAGAATTGTATATAATAAAATATAATAAAATTTTAAATGAAAACCTAAGTGCTGTTGAACGTTTGAAAAAGCATGTCATTAGGACTTAGGTCATCAAAGGAAACAAAATAGGAAGCCAGAAAAACCAACTGCTTTTAGCCTCTGATCCAGCATGGATATCATGTACCATGCAACCTAAACTGCTTGCTTGGACCTATTAGTATAATGCGAACTGCTTTTAGGTAGAGTAGCAAAGTCTAAATAACTTTTGAGGAAACTGCTCCAGGTGGGATATTTTGTTTCTTAAGTTTATATCATCAACATTTTTTAGTCTTTTATGTGTCCACAGGGGAAGAAGGCTTCTAGATACAGTAGTTTGCCAGTCTACATTGTTTCATGCTTTATTTAATGCTTCTTTTAATAAGTCCAGTTTCTTCCTGTTCTGGTTTTTGAGTAATCATTACAAGGAATGGGTAAAATTATGAACTTTATTCAGAATTTCCCATAAATTTTCAACTCTATTCTATTTTCTTAAATTAAATTTTTCCCTACTGCCTCTATCTTTTGGTTAGTTACTAAAGGGACATTTGCAAATGCAATTTTTACAATTATAGAATGCATTTCACAGAACTCTGTAAAGATTGCCTCATAATGATGATACAATTAAGTTTAATTCCAAGGGTGTGCTATAAATAGCCTTGCCTTACCATATAGTACATTGCTTAATCCTCATCTTAAAATGGCTTTTCATGAGGCAGACTGACAGAGCAGTGTCATTGTGTCCATTTGCTTGAAGATCACAATGGCATTGGCAAAACCAATGAATGGGATAAAGAGAGTGAGAACTCAATGATAGGTATTGATTAATCAGTTATTGTTGTTATTATAATTATTACTCAAATAATTAAGTTATATACTGGAGCCTCACCTCACACTGTATACTATGTATTTAAGAATCACAAGTAAAAAGATAATGTATCTTTTAGTGATGTATTTTTATGATTGTAAATATAATGCATACTCTTTATATAGAATTTTAAAAGTTTTTATGATTTTAAAGGATACCATCACCCATAATATTAATATTCATAAATACTGTTGACATTAACATGAATTTTCTTATGCTATTTTCATTTTAAAATACGTAATTTTAAAGCTAGATTTGGAAATATATACACATAGAGATAAAAGCATTTTATTTTATAATGTTCAAATTATGCTGTGCATGTAATTTTACCCTGAGTTTTTACTTACCTTGTAACATCTTTGGTAATGTAATTTTTAATGACTCCCTAAAACTTTGTAGTTTGGTTATAATGCAATTTAGGATATTCCAATTTCCCCAAAGTACACCTTATATAAAAATTCTGAATTTTCCCCACCGCCAATATAATGTGTTCACCTATGTTTTGTTTTTTTACATACCAGCTTTGTTGAGATATAATTCACATACCAAAAAAAATTCATACCCTCTTAAAGGGTACAATTTACTGATTATTAGCACGTTCACAGAGTTGTGCAATCACTGCTATCTAATTTCAGGACATTTTAATCACCTCCCAAAAAGTCTTAAACTCATTAGCCATCACTCCTCTTCATTCTCATCCCAGAACCTGGCAATACCAATCTAGTTTCTCTTTCTGTGAATTTGACCTCATCAATAAGGTTCTTGTGTAATAAGAGGGATGACAGCTGAACAAATTGCAAGCTTCTGACACTATTGAAGGAGTTTCTAGAGAAACCAAAAACAAAAAGGAGACAAAAACAAGAAAAGTAATGGAAATTTTAACCTCTGATACCACAGCAATAGTGAATAGTGAACACATCCTAACTTTTAGCCAGATAAATGTATAACTTCACATTAAAGACCCATCTACCTCAGTTCCTTTTACCCAGTACATTATGTCTGGCTTCTAACAAAAAATTACAAGGTATCATAAGAGACAAAAAATAATCAATTGGAAGATACAAAGAAAGCATCAGAACCAGACCCAGCTACAACAGAGGTTTTGGAATTATCAGATATTTGGGAATTTAAAAAAAAATAAGTATGAATTTTATGCCAAGGACTTTAATAGAAAAGATAGACAACATGCAAGAATAAATTGGTTATAGCAGAGAGAAGGAAACTCTAAGAAAAAAAATAAAGAGGAAATATAAACCAAAAGCATTGTGTATAAATAAATAATGTCTTTAATGGACTCATTAGTGGACTGGACATAGTCAAGGAAAAAAATCAGTAAGCTTGAAGATATGTCAATAGGTATTCCCAAAGTGAAAAAAGGGAAACATAATTTTTAAAAACAACAGAATATCCAATTACACAGGTGTAAAATACACATAGTGGGAATACCAGAAAAATAAAAAGAGAAAGGAACAAACATTTTTGAAGTAACAATAGCTGAGTATTTTTCAAAATTAATGGCAGACATCAAAACAAAAATCCAGGAAGCTCAGAGGACACCAAGCAAGGTAAATACCGAAAATTCTATGCTTATGCATACCATTACAGTGTATTCAAATTGCAGAATGTCAAAGACAAAGAAAAATCTTGAAATAAACTACTGGGAACAAAAACTTTACTCATAGAGTAATAAGAATTACATTTGGATATCTCTTTAGAAACCACACAAGCAATAGGAAGTTGGATAGAAATTTTTAAAGTCTTGAAAGTAGAAGCTACCAACTAGACCTAGAATTATGCATCCAGGGAAGTTATCCATCAGGAATAAAGGAGAAATAAAAACTTTCTCAGAAAAATAAAAATTGAGGGAATTTGTCACCAAAGAACCTGACTTGCAAGAAATGTTAGAAAGTGCTTCAGAGAGAACAACAACGATAGAGATTCAGACCTAGAGAAGAGAAGAGCATAGCAGAAAGAATAAATAAAGGTGATGTAATATTTCTGATAGCACTGACTTTAATTAATCTGATAGATTTTACTGAAATAATTATAACAATAATATATTCATTTATACACTTGATGGGTAATTGAAATGAATGACCACATTGCAGTAAAGAATGGGAGGGAAGAATTGGGAATACTCTACTATAAGGTACCTACACTATCCATGAAGTGGTATATTTTTTGAGAGTGAACTTAAATTAGTTGTAAATGTATACTGCAAACTCTAGAGTAACCACTGAAAAAAAATCTTTTAAAAAACATTACTGACTTGGTATAAAAGACATAAAATAAAATTATATAAAATGCTCAAATAAATCCAGAGTATAGAAAAAAGGTGGAAGACAAAAATGAAATGAAGAGCATGGAAAGTAAATAGGAAACAATTAAAAATATAATAGATATGAATCCAAATATATCAATCATCATTTTGCATATGAGTTATCTAAATATACTAGTTAAAAGAGAGAGATGGCCAGAGTGCATAATAAAACAAAACCCAACTATGCATTGTCTACAAGAAACTCACCTTAAATAAATAATCAGGTAGATTCAAATGTAAATGATAAAGATATATCATATTAACACTAATCAAAAGAAAGCTGAAGTACCTATAATATTTCTGACAAAGCAGACTTCAGAGAAGGGAAAATTACCAGGAATAAAGAAGACAATGGTTCAAGAACTGAAAAAAGAAAGACACATATCCTAATTTAGTTGGAGATTTCAAGACACTCAATCAGTAATTGACAGACCCTGCAGACAGAAAATCAGTAGGTTATAGTTAAGTGAAATAGCACCATCAACTAACTGGATCTACTTGACAATTGTAAAGTCAGACAGAACAGTAGGATACACATATTCTTCTAAAGCTCACATGGAATATACACTAAGACAAAGTATATTCTAGATAATAAAACACCTTAACAGATATAAAAGAATAGAAATAACACAGTATATACTCTCAGACCACAATGGAATTAAACCAGAAATCAGTAACAGAGAATTGGAAAATCCCAAAATGTTTTGGGATTAAACAACACACTTCTAAATAGTGAATGGGGTAAAAGAAGTCTCAAGCAAAAATTTTAAATATCTTGGAATATTTTGAAATTTTTTCAAATGAAAATACAACTTATCAAAACTTATGGGATGGAGTTAAAGCTGTGCTTAAAGATAAATTTACAGCATTAGATATGTCTAAAAATGATAATATTAGCTTCCATCTTAGTAAATTAGAAGAGCAAATTAAATCTAAATTGAGCAGAAGAGATGAGATAATAAAAATTCAAGCAGAATTCAATGAAATTGGAGAAAATAATTAGAGAAAAATAAGTAAAATCAAGAACTGATTCTTTGGAAAGAGAAAAAAATTGATAAAGTTAAAATGTTAATCAGTCTAGCCAAGGAAAAAAAGAAAGAAGAAACAAATTACAGACATAAGAAATGATGTCATCGTTATTGATCCTCGGACATTAAAAGAATAATAAAGAAATATTATTAACAATTCTATGCCCAGAGATTTGATAACCTAGATGAAAGAACCAGTTCCTTGAAAGACATAATCTACCAAAATTCATTCAAGGAGAAATAGACAACATGTATAGGTCTATATCTATTAAGAAATTAAATAATTAATAAGCTTCCAAAATAGAAAAAAAAGTCCAGATAGTTTCCTAGTGAATTCTACCAACTATTTATGGAAAATCACACTAATTCCCTACAAAATATTTCAAAAAATAGAAGCAGAGGCATGACTACTTAACTTATTCTATGAGGTAAATATTATCTTAATACCAAAACCAGACAAAGAACATGGGATAATTTTAAAATAGGAAAACTAAAGACCAATATGCCTTTTAACTATGGATGCAAAACCTCAACAAAATATTAGCAAATTGAATCCAACAATGTATAAAATTAATTGTATTCCATGACCAAGTGGGATGTATTACAGGTATTTGAAGACTATTTCAACATTTGAAAGCAATTAATGTAATACCTGACATCAACATTCCAAGAAAGAAAAATAATATGATTATAACAATATATGTATAGAAAACATTTGACAAATTCCAACACTCATTCATGATTAAACATCTCTCTGTAAGCTAGAAATAGAAAGCAACTTCCTTAACTTGATAAATAACACATACAGAGTGACACCAGCAAGATGGCCAAATAGGCGCATGCTCCCATCGAAGGTTCTAGGAAAGGATCCCTTGCTGGTTCATAGCTTCTGCGTGTTGGCAATCCTTGGTGCTCCTTGACTTACAGCTGCATCTCTCCAATCTCTGCCTCTGTGGTCACATTGCCTTTTTCCCTTTGTGTGTGTCTATGTCTTCAAATGTTTTTCTCCTCTTGAGGACACCAGTAATTAAACTTAAAGCCCACTCTAATTCAGTGTGACCTCAGTGTACACCTCTTTTGTATTTTCATTGCCTAACCATTTACATCTGCAAATACCCTATTTTCTAATAAGGCACAGCTTATCCCCCATGTTGTTCAACTGTATTTGATTGAGATTCTGTAAAGGCAGACTTAGCATACCATCTCTTCTGTACTCATCTTTTCCCACCACCCCGGTCTTTGGCATTTTGTGTGGAAATAGATACAGTAAATAAAGACACATGCACACATATGTTTATTGCACCACTGTTCACAATAGCAAAGACTTGGAACCAACCCAAATGCCCATCAATGATAGACTGGATAAAGAAAATGTGGCACATATACACATGGAATACTATGCAGCCATAAAAAAGATGAGTTCATGTTCTTTGCAGGGACATGGATGACGCTGGAAACCATCATTCTCAGCAAACTAATGCAAGAACAGAAAACCAAACACCGCGTATTCTCACTCATAAGTGGGAGTTGAACAATGGGAACACACGGACACAGGGAGGGGAACATCACACACTGGGGTCCGTCAGGGGATTGGGGGCTAGGGGAGGGATAGCATTATGAGAAATACTTAATGTAGATGACAGGTTGATGGGTGCAGCAAGCCACCATGGCACGTGTATACCTATGTAACAAACATTCACATTCTGCACATGTACTCCAGAACTTAAAGTATAATAATAAAAAAAAAAATGAAGAAAGACTAAAGACTTCTGGAACTATTGGATACCATAAAGAGACCGAACATTTTGCATAATAGGATTTCCCAAAGAAAAAAAAAAGAGGAAAAAATCCAGAAAATGTATTTAAAGAAGTAATGACTGAAGATTTCCAAAATCTGGGGAAAGGTGCTGACCCAGGTTCAGGAACCACAGAGTTCTCCAATTAAATTCAACCAAAAGAAGAGTTCACCAAGATACATTAATGATCACACTATAAAAAATCAAAGACAAAAAAAATTCTAAAAGTAGCAAGAGTTAAGAAACATATCACACACAAAGGAGTCCCTGCAGGTTTAGCAAAAAACCTGCAGGCCAAGGCAGAAATAATGATATATTCAAAGTGCTGAAGGAAAATAAGACCGAAAAAGACAAAAAACTCACCAACCAGGAATACTTTACCCAGCAAAACTATTCCTCAAAAGTGAGAAATGAAAAATTTCCCAGAAAAACAAAGCTAAGAGTTCCTCATCCCTAGGCCTACCTTAGAGGAATTACTAAAGGGAGTTGTCTACGCTAAAACAAAAACCTGTTAATTAATTA
The DNA here is from genome assembly GCF_000001405.40 of Homo sapiens. Classification (NCBI taxonomy): domain Eukaryota; kingdom Metazoa; phylum Chordata; class Mammalia; order Primates; family Hominidae; genus Homo; species Homo sapiens. Next base: position 51,537,204 of record NC_000005.10, on the reverse strand, counting down.
CATAAAATATACAAAAATACAAATCTCAATTGTCTAAGTAACATAGAGTCATATTCAGAATACTTTAGGATTGTAATTTTAGGGCTAAAAGCAATTTTAACTCTAGTATGATGATTAAAGGACACAACTATTAAAAAACTACAGCTAAAATAAATTGTAAAGGGACATAAATTACAAAATAATGTAAATTTTAATACCACAAACATAGAATGTGGGGGATGAGTAAAATTATAGAGCTGTATGCAATCAAAGTTAAGTTATTATCTGTTTGAAATAGCCTGTTATAAGTATAAGATATTTTATGTAAGCCTCGTGGTAACCAGAAAGCAAAAATCTATAGTAGATCAACAAAAACAAAAATACAAAGGATTCAAGGCACATCACTACAGAAAACCATCAAGCCACAAAGGAAGGGAGCAAGAGAGAAAGAAACAAAGCATATCTTTAAAAAACAGACAAAAATTACAAAATGGCAATAATAAGTCTTTACCTATCAATAATTACATTGCATGTAAAAGGATTATGGATTAAACTTTTCAATAATTAGATATATGGTGGCTGAATAGTTTTTTTTAAAAAAAGGCCCAACCACATGCTACCTGCAATAGGCTCACCTCACCTTTAAGGATGCATATAGACTGAAAGCGAAGGAATGAAAAAAAAGATAGTCTATACAAATGGAAAATAAAAGACAGCAGATGTAGCTATACTTATATCAGACAATATAAACTTTAAGTCAAAAATTGTAAAATGAAACAAAGAAGGTCATTACATATTGATAAAGAAGGTCATTATATATTGATATGATATATCTCATATATATGATATATTGATATGATATATCTCATACATCTGATATATTGATATGATATATCATACATCTGATATATTGATATGAAATATCTCATACATATGATATATTGATATGAAATATCTCATACATATGATATATTAATATGATATATCTCATACATATGATATATTGATATGATATATCTCATACATATGATATATTAATATGATATATCTCATACATATGATATATTGATATATCTCATACATATGATATATTGATATGATATATCTCATACATATGATATATTGACATGATATATCTCATACATATGATATATTGTCATGATATATCTCATATATGATATATTGACATGATATATTGATATGATATATATCATATATGATATATTGATATGATATATATCATATGTGATATATTGATATGATATATATCATATGTGATATATTGATGTGATATGCATGTCACATATGTGATATATTGATGTGATATGCATGTCACATATGTGATATATTGATGTGATATGCATGTCACATATGTGATATATTGATGGGATATGCATGTCACATATGTGATATATTGATGGGATATGCATGTCACATATGTGATATATTGATGGGATATGCATGTCACATATGTGATATATTGATGGGATATGCATGTCACATATGTGATATATTGATGGGATATGCATGTCACATATGTGATATATTGATGGGATATGCATGTCACATATGTGATATATTGATGGGATATGCATGTCACATATGTGATATATTGATGTGATAAGTATGTCATTGATATGACATATTGATGTGATATGTATGTCATTGATATGATATATTGATGTGATATGTATGTCATTGATATGATATATTCATGTGATATATATGTCATTGATATGATATATTGATAAAACTCAATTTGTTGAGTATAATAATTGTAAATACAGAGGCACTACAAGTCAGAGAACCTAAGTATATAAAGCAAACATTAATAGATCTGAAGAAGGAGATAGACTGTAATAAAATAATAGTAGGGGACATCAATACCCCCACTTTCAACAATAAACAGATCATCCAAACAGAAAATCTTTCTGGAAACATTAGACTTGAACTATACTTTAAACTAAAGGACCTAACAGACATACACACACACACACACATATATACATATATATGACAGACATATATATACATATGTATGTCAGACAGATATATACATATATACATATATATGTATATGTATATATATGACATATATACATATATATGTATATGTATATATATGACATATATATACACGTCTGTTAGGTCCTTTAAAGTACATATATATATAACATGTTATCCAGCAGCAACAGAGTTCATATTCTTCTCAAGCACATACAGAAATTTCTTCAAAGATAGATAATAGTTTGGGCCACAAAACAAGTCTGAACAAATTTCAGAGGGTTGAAATCATATCATGCATTTTTTATGATCTCAGTGATATAAAACTAGAAATCAATAAAAGGAGAAATGTTGGAAAATTCACAAATATGTAAAAATTGAACAACCAACGGGTCAAAAGAAATCAAAAGGGAAATTTAGAATTACACTGACACAAATGAAAATGGAAACACAACATACCAAAACCTATGGCATGCACCAAAAGCCATTCTAAGAGGAAAATTTATAGCAATAAATGCCTATATCAAAATAAAAAGAAATATCTCCAATAAACAACCTAACATTATATCTCAACGAGCTAGAAAAAGAAAAACAAAACAAAACTATGCCCAAAGTTAGTAGAAGGAAGAAAATATCAAAGATCAGAACAAAAATAAATACAGTAGAGACTTACAAAACAATTAAATCAACAAAATCAAGAGTAAGTTTTCTGAAAAGATAAACAAAATTGACAAACCCTTAGCTGGACTAAGAAAAAAGAGAGAAGACTAATAAATAAGGTCATAAATGAAAGGGAAGACATTACCACTGATACCACAGAAATAAGAAGGATTATAAGAGATTGTTATGTAGAATTATATGCCAAACAAATAAGACAAGCTAGAAGAAATAAATAAATCCCTAGGTACGTATAACCTACTAAAACTGAATCAATAAGAAATAGAAAATCTGAACCAATCAATATTGAGGAAGGAGATTGAATCAGTAATAAAATGTTTTTCATCAATAAATGGAATCCTATGGCTTCACAGGTGAATTCCACCAAACACTTAAAGTGGAACTAATACTAACCCTTCTCAACCTCATCCAAAATCTCAAAGTGGAAGGAATACCTTCAAACCATTTTTTTGAGGCCATTATTACCTCGATACCAACAACAGATGATGACATTACAAAAAAAGAAAATTACAGGCCAATATTTCTGATGCGTATAGATGGAAAAATCCTCACCAAAATACCAGCAAACCAGATTAAACAGTACATTGAAAAAATAATTCAGCAGCCATAAAAAATGATGAGTTCATGTCCTTTGCAGGGACATGGATGAAGCTAGAAACCATCATTCTCATCAAACTAACACAAGAACAGAAAACCAAACACTGCATGTACTCACTCATAAGTGGGAATTGAACAATGAGAACACGTGGACAGAGGGAGGGGAACATCACACACCAGGTGGGGAACTAGGGGAGGGATAGCATTAGGAGAAATACCTAGGGTAGGAGACCGGTTGATGGGTGTAGCAAACCACCAATGCAGGTGTATACCTATGTAACAAAACTGCACGTTCTGCACATGTATCCCAGAATGTAAAGTAGAATAATAATAATAAATAAAAAACTAAGACATAAACACACACATTAGCCTAGGCCTACACAGGATCAGATTCATCAATATCCCTGTCTTCCACTTCCACATCTTGCCCCACTGAAAGGTCTTCAGGGCAATAACATGCATGGAGTTTTCATCTCCTGTGAAAACTATGCCTTCTTCTGGAATAGTTCCAGAAGTATTCTTGGGAAGGACCTTCCTTACGCTGCTTTACAATAACCTTTAAAAAAATAAGTAAGAGGACACTCTAAGATAACAACAGAAAGTATAATATAATACACACATAGATGTTTAACAGATTTGTTTATTATCATTATCAAGTCTTATATACTGTATAATTGCATATGCTATACTCTTCATATGACTGGCAATGCAGTACGTCTGCTTACATACACCAGCATCACCACAAGCATGTGGGTCATGCATTGCATTACAACTGTATACATAGCTGCAATGTCACTAGGCAATAAAAATCTTTCAGCTCCATTATAATCTTATGGGACCACTGTTGTATATGTCATCTGTCCTTGACTGAAACCTTGTGATGTGACACATGATTATGTGTTATAGGTCAAATAATACATTATATGCATATTATTTTATACAAATCATTTTAAAAGGGAGATAAACATGCATTCCTACTGTTTTATAATTACATAATTATCTTTACTGGTGCTTTTTATTTTGTAGGTGTGTCGATTTGAATTACCTTCTGGGATCACTTGCTTTCAGCCTAAAGAATTTCCTTTAGTATTTCTTATATTGTGTTTCTGCTGAAAATAAGTTTTTTCATTTTTTGTTGAAATATTCATTTTGTCATTGCTTTTGAAAGATAGCTTTGATAGAGGATTCTTGGTTGACAGCTTTTGGGGTGTGTGTGTGTGTGTGTGTGTGTTTGTGTGTGTGTGTGTTTTCCTTAGAGCACTTGCAATATGTTATCTCGCTGTTTTCCCGCCCTCATTGTTTCTGCAGAGAAGTCAGCTTGTATTATTATTGGGGTTCTCTTTTAAAGGTTTGGCTCCATTTGACATTTACTTTTTGTCTTTTGACTTTCAGAATTTTTACTATAATGTCTCTATTTGTACACCTCTTTGCATTTACCCTTTTGGAGTTTGTTGAGATTTGTGGATGTATATTTCAATGTTTTTCAATTGATTGGAAAGATTTTTGCCATTAGTGTTTTGAACATTTTTATGCTCCTTTTCTCTTTCTCCTCTTTTGATAGTCACATGCACATGTGTGATTAATAGTATCCCATGTTTCTCTAAGGCTCTGTTCATTTTTCTTAATTATTTTTATCTTTGTTCTTTGTATTGCATAATTTCTATAAATCTATCTTCAAGTTTAGTTCTTTCTTCTGCCAGTTTAAAACTGTTTAGCTCCCATAATAAATGTTTCATTTTAGTTTTGCATTTCTCAAATTTAAAATTTCCATTTGGTTATTATAATTTCTCATCACTGATATTTTCTTTTTTATGTGACACTGACATCATACCTTCTTTTATTTAATCAAGAGCTAATTTATTTGAACATATTTATAATGGCTACTTTGAATATTTTTTTCTTTTAAATATAACATCTGATTACTCTCAGAGATAGTTTCTATTACCTGGTTTTTTTCTGGTATATGGTCATACTTTTCTGTTTCTTTGCATATCTCATGATTTTTTGGAGAATAGATATTTTAAATAATATATTGTTGTAATACTGAGTGCTGGTAACCACCACATCCCCAAGGTCATTATGGTTATTTATTTCTTTAGTTTATAATTAACTGTAATTTAGTTAATTGTTTTAGTGGTGTCTACTTATCTTTGCAGTAGTAAGCCTCTGATATTCCTCAAAAGCTGCAGTCTTGTATATGCCCACAGTCATCCCCAATGAAAGTGACTTTATCAGGCCTCTCATTGATTCTTTCTTTCCCTGTTCAATCCCAACTGTTAATATCTGCTAATCACTGGTCGGTTGCACTCTATTGTTTTCAACAATGTATTGGTACATAAATTGCCCCACAAACTAAACCAATAAAATTCAGACTGCAGGTTGGTGTTTTAGATTTCTTATGACCCCAAGTGGGTTCTTGCTGTGGTTCTCTCATATAAACCAACCAGCTGCAGTTTAGCCTACTTGTCCAATGAGACTACCAATTTCCTTTCAATTACCTTTCCCCATAATCGCCTGCATTGTTTTTGAGAGTGTCCTTAGGCTTGAACTTCTTCATGCTATATTGTAAGTGAAATAAGATTGGGAGAAGAGTGATTTGGAGCTCTCTGTTCTCCAACCTGCTTCTTCTCCTGAGCAAAATTTCTGAGCTATGGCTCTGGTATTAGGATAGAAACAATAGCAGGCTTCTCTAAGACAGACATCCTTGCTTTAGGAGCCGTGTGCTAACAGGACAGGGGTGCAGTAGCCTCCGATCTTCTCAACTTCTCTCTCCCAGTGTGAAATCACTACCTTGAGCCAGGGCAAAGGCAAATGTTTCACAGTAGTCTCAGTGTTGCTGTGTCCAAGAAAGAGTCTGTGTCTTATCAGTTGGGGTTGGGTGGGAGAAAAGAGCCCTTACCTCTTTACCACACTTGCCTGAAACTTAGCTTCAGCAAAGGGTAGCTGGAGGCAAGATAAGAAGTACTGATGTCCTGCCCAGCATAGTTGATATCTTGAATAGTTTTTTTTTTTATTTTTTTACTTTTATTTTAGGTTCAGGGATACATGTGCAGGTTTGTTATATAGGTAAATTGCATGTCATGGGGGTTTGGTGTACAAATTATTTCGTTGCCAAGGTAATAAGCACAGTACCTGATAGGTAGTTTGTTGATCCTCTCTCTCCTCCCATTTACCACCCTCAAGTAGGCCCTAGTGACTATTGTTCCCTCCTTTGTGTCCATGTGTTCTCACTGTTTAGCTCCCACTTATAAATGAGAACATGCAGGATTTGGTGTTCTGTTCTTGCATTACTTTGCTTAGGATAATGGCTTCCAGCTCCATCCACTGCACAGTTATTTTTAACATCCAAGAATCACAATCTTACAGTTGAGAGATTTTTCCATTCATACTATAGTCACAATAATTCATATTTGGGAATGTGTATTCAGTTCTGCTGCATGCCAGAATATGTGCTGAAGATACAAAAGTGAGTAGGGCATAGTTGGTGCCCTCAAGGAGTTCTAAGTCAACTATAATAGTTCTCAAACTATAGGAGGCAAAGTTGTCTCCTGGGCATCTTGTTAAAAAAGGAGATGTCCGGATCCCATAAATAGCAACTTTGACGCTATAGGGTCAGTTAAGGCACTCTGAAGTTTTTATAAGCACTATTATGTGGCTCTGATGCCTGGCATCTTCACAACACAATTCTAGAAACACTGATCCCAGGGAAGAGGAAGTGAAAATAAGTGAAAAGACAATAACAAAGTATGTAGTAAGTTAAAATTATGACACAGATAGGGCCTCAGAGTGGTAGAAAATTCACACTTTATTCTACATAAATGGCTTTTCACAGTGCAATACGAATAGACTAAAATGTAAACAGTGGCCCTGGCGTTGAGCAGCTAAGCAGTACTATGCATGCCTTTGCCTAAGGTGCTATGGAAAAAGAAAGGGACACTAACAGCAGGGAAGGGAAGTTTTCACAAAAGAGGTAATATTGGAGAGACCTAAGGAATTATTTGTCCAAGAAAAAAGAAGGAGGAATATTATACCAAAAGAAAACTATCACTTACAAAGGTTGAGAGGAAGAGATGCTCTTATAGGGAGTCAGGAATTCAACTTGACAATCAAACAGAATGGAGATCATGAGAAACAATACTGACCATGAAACCAAAGAGTTAGTCAGGAGCCAATCATGAGAAGACTTGTACATGGTTATGTTAAGGAGTTTGTACTTCATAATGAAGGGGTAACTGAAGGAATTTTAAATAGAAGGATGTGAGTCTCAGATTTCTGAATTAAAGAGGTTGTCCTTTGGAAAACAGATTGGATAGATAGGTTGCAATTATGGCATGATGGATTTCTTAAGCCTTCCTAAATTTTTGTAGGAAGAAAACAGTTTCTTACTTGGATGCCCATTAAAATTCCTTCCTATAGGGAAATTCATTACTTTAGTCCAGGTATCATCCTTTCAATGACCACTGTGGAGGTTGAACCTATCAATATTTGTGTCACTTGAGGCTTGATGAGACTTAGGTCATTTCATTCCCTCTTATGGTCATGTGTATTACTCAATAGGATACAAGAATATGTTACCAACCAGTAAAAAATTAGGTGCTGTATTTGTTACATCTAATAGAAGATATCATCACAACCACGTCAAGAGTATCAGGTTTGAATAAACCACCTCACTGGGGATATGAAACCCCAGAAGATATGGATCCTTCATTGCAGGATTTAAATCCTGATTGCAAATTTAGGGCAAACATTAAATAAAGATAAATTATTCATGGCAGCATGTTCTAATATTAATTGAGTGTACCATCAATAAGGATCTTGCAAAGTGCCACATGCTCATTAAAGACTAGAGAAGAGGATGGCTGCGTGGAACAGGTTGTATGACCTGAACCTTGAAAGGAAGACAAGTAAAGAAAAGAAAGGGAGTTTCTATTAAGGGTGACAGTGAGGAGAGGCAGTCTGGAGACCAGTGATGCCTTTAAAATTATTTCTGCTAAAAACTACTTAATAGGCCTATTTTATTCTCTTCCCCATCTCCCCACCTCCTGCTGCAAAGGATGCATGTTTTAAAGAATGCATTTTGTGAATCCACCAATTATTTTAGCGTGATGTAGCTGAACTAGAGAGGAGAAGCACAATTCAACAAGATTTGCTGTTTCTGAGCATTGTCTTAGTTTTATTCATTTTTGTCACCCAAGTCTTAGTACAAAGCCCAGAATAGCTGACATTTAGTAGAATGACCATTGAATAAATGAATGAAGCTAAGAGTTATTTATAAGAACTCTTATAATAAAAGTGACTACATACTTAAATCTAAGTTTTAATCAAAGAAAATATCAGAATAAGAACATGTTGCTTTCAAAATGAATTTAAATACAAATGTTCAAGAGAATTGAATGATGATTCCACTATTTAAAAGTATTTTGCTACAGACTTTGAGATTGTTTGTGTTAAAAATAAAAAAGACTGAGCTTAAAAATATATGCTAAAAGATTACAGCAAAATTAACCAACAGAAAAGTGATCACAGGTGTCTATCAGATAACAAAATAACATCATGAAAATAATTACTGAAACCGTATTTGAAGAGCTAAACTCATTGTTCTTTAGCAGGTCAAATTCTCACACAAACCCAGCTGCCTTTGATGAAATTATCTCCCTCCCTACTCCTCACCCCCTACTCCTTCTCCCCGCAACAACTTCACTAGAAGCTGGAGCCTCATGGTTACCAGAATCCCAATTTGCTCACACTGGAATGTACTGAAGTAGTTCCGGTCTTTCATCTTATTTAACTACGGAGCTTGGGTTTATATAAATTCATAATTGTGATTCCACACTTCATGAAAAACATAAACAAAATTATACACTCTGGACAGCAAAGATAATAAATGTTCAAATGGTGCCCTATAGATAAATCATACAGATACAGATTTCAAACATCAGCCCAGTGTGTTGTTCCAAGCTCTTTGAAAAGAAATGGTTTCTCTGTGACAAGCTGATGTTAACATTTTAATTGATGAGAGGAAGTCAAATATAAAACTATCATTCTCTATTACATCTTTCTAAATTAAGCTACACTACTCTTGTGTTTAAATTATATTTTCCATTAATAAATTTACTTTAAGCTAGATAGGTAGCTTTCAAAATGTTGATATTTACATCACTCACTAAGTATATTCTGAAAATTGCACTTTCTCTAAAGTGCACACTGCTGTAAGCTTTATGTTAACTGAAATATTTAAATACCACTTCAAGGACATGAAGTTGATTCTCATAATAGAACAGTCTTTTTGTTCATTTTTACTTACAACTTTAGTTGAGCAAGTTGCTTATAGCATCCTGGTTCATTCCCTGAGAATCCCAGTGGCAAGAAGTAACTCTTGCTTGACGTATCTTTATTGTTTCTCTGCCACTGTTATGGCTACTAAAAGGTCAGCGAGAGCTTACGGCACCAAAAGGTCATTTTTGTTATTCCAAAGACAGAAGTTTTGACATATGATATATTATAAGAGAACAGAGGCACTAATTGATGTACCGTAATGCTAATCATCTACATCTTTTCTTTCTTTAAAAGAAAGAAGAGGGAAATTTTTTTGTGTTCATCTCTGAAAATCTTCTAAAACGTTTAAAAAAGGAATGAGTGACATACTCTGTGGTGCACTTAACAAAATTTATAATTTTGGTACATATAAATTACTAATCTAAGCTACAGTATTTCAGCTCATTTGCAATCCTCATTTATTTTTCACACATCCATGATACACACTTTTCTAATTTTTGTATCAGATCATAACTGAGGAAAGAAGTTTTGAAAAAGTACAAGTTTATTGCTGAAAGAAAGAGAGCCAGTTTCCATGTTCTTTTTTCACAGCCATCTTCTCTATTTTAAGACAAGAAACAAAACTGACAGATATCTGAACTTGGAGCTCTGAATAGCCAATTTAATGGCCGTAAGAATGTTCTTTACAAACAACAAAACAAAAAAGCCAATGAGCTGAGTTCTAAAATCTTGTGTAGTTGTGGTGATGGTTAAGTATGTATTGGAAATTTTAAAAGTCTAGGCTTATTTTATTGAATAACTGGTTGCATTACTGATATCTCTAAAGAACAAACTTGAGGTAGGGATCTTAATCTGGAGTTTCTGGATAGACTCAACCCCTAGAAAACTGTGAACATCGTGGAAAAATACAAAAAGTGACATGAGTGGAAGCAGGTCCATAGTTTCTGTCATATTCTCAAATGGAACTGTAACAAATTATATTAAGAAATTTTAGTGGCTGAGCTATGATATCAAGATCAGAAAAGCCAGAACTGTCCAGTGTGTTCTCAGTGAATTTTTTTTCATTCATTCACAAGGCAGATACTTCCTAGAGTAATAATAATAACAGAATTTATGACATGATTATTTGAGGACACTTTGCTAAGTGCTTCAATATTGCCTCATAAATTCTCTGTAAACATTTCACATATTATCTTTAATTCTTACAACAATCCTGGAGATTAGCTATTACAGTCATCATATTTTAAAGGAGAAATTAGAGGTGTGTCTTGATACTTAATACTTGAATAGGACATCTAGAACATTATTTTCCAACACTTTTAGCAGATAACCCTCCTTTGCCAAATGAAAATTAACATACAACCACAAACAGTAAATAAAGTGCTAATTTATTTGTATGCATTTATTTCTTATTTATTAATATATAATAGCAGTGGCAATCAATGATAACCCAAAGGTTATTTTCAAAACAAAACCTTCTATGTAGAAATGGTAAATGCAAGTTAGTGTCTTATATCAGCTTCAACATCCAAATTATTTCTGTTTTATTTTGGGTTGCATCACATAAAAACAATTCTGTATTACATAGAACAATTGCAAATGATAACAGTTTTTTAACAGCTCATCCTGCAATTTCATGATGCTCTTCAATTTAACTCATCTGAAAGACTAAAGGAGAAGCAGCAGAAAATTGTTTCAAGGTTGAATTACTAACATTATCTAACATCTGCTCTCAAACCTTAATTGTTAAATTTTCAACTTGGAATTGGTTGATGAACAGTTCCTCAGCCATTTTAAATGATCATTCTTGGGAAAATAATTTTTGAATGTATCGTTTAGTCATTCTGTGTTCAACAATGTCAGTGTCTAAAATTAGCTAAATCACCCTATCTCTATCAAAGTTTCAAAACAGTAAATATATGTTACTTGCATTTCAAATCAAAACTTTAAAGCTCTGTTTTGATTGCTGACACTTCATCTGCAGTTTTAAGTAAGTCAAATGACATTGCGATAATACCTGACTACAAGGAGCTTCTTTGGCTTACTCCGAATATTAGCAAGATATGTATGGGGGAAAGCCATGTAATATCTGAGCCAATTTTAGTTAATGGAGTCTCTTTATTAAAACACAGGAGTATTTATTGTCTCATTTGAAATATCTGTACTTACACCTTGCCTTGGAGCAGTCACCAAATTCTACCATAAAAACAATGGAAGTTTTAAAATTCATTGCTGCATCATTTCAAAAAGCTCTGAAAAATCTGCAATTGAAAGATCAGACCCTAACAAAATATATAATTTGTATGACATTTATCTAACACTGTGGTGAAAGTTGATGCATCGTAAAACTGCTACATTTATCTATGCAACATACAATAACAGAAAACTTGAACATATTTTTCTGCAACAGCTTTTGGAAAAACCCCTACTTCTACATTCTTTACCATTGCTCTCAGTTGTTACAACCATCACTAGATATTGACCGACTTATTTAATGATGTAATAAAATCTTTAAATATTGTTTTAATGTTATATATTTTTCCAATGATTTACAAGTGCTAGACCTTCTTTTAATTGGACTGTAGAATGTATTGTACAAAAAATGTGAGAATATCTGTAACACCCTCCTCTAGCCTAGCTGAATTGTTAGACTTCACATGAGAAAAGACTTTAATTTAATAACATCTAGGATGTGCATGCTCAGACTATCTCTAGATTATATCATGAGACAATAGGAATAATTATATTTTCATCACTGCCCATCCTTTTCACATTCTTGTTGCAATATCTATAGAGGAAGGTTTAAAGCATTTTCCCTAATATTATGCAATTCTTCCTCACATTTAATGCATTTAGTTATTTTTTTAAAAAAATCTATAAATGCATTTCAATTGTCATATTTAAATTTTGTTGCATACATTTTTATGACCCTATGTTGTTCCATTTATGCTGAAATAAATTGAGAATCTCATTTTTATTCTTGTTTATTTGTGCTCAAAAATGATTTGGCAAGAAACATAGAACAATTTTGAAAATTGTATTATGTAAGACTTATTGAGAAACTGCAGAAATTATATCCTCTAAAAAGTGAACCCAGATGACCAATGGCTTCTGTTTGAGTTTTTGGAATATTACTTTCATTGGATATATGCTTATCAGTATGGATAATAATAGCTGCACTTAATTGATGAGTGTGAATATGATTCCACCAGTCACTTCACTTTGAGCCTGAACAGTCTCAGTTTTATTGTTAAATTTATCCTTTTAAATGTTCCCTCTTTAAATATGCAGTTTCAAGAAATACTGTTTCAATTTACCTTGAACCCATGTAAAAATTTAAAAATTTTAAAGTGAGCACAGAAGTGCACCAAACTTAATCATGAGCACAGAAAGAGAATAAGCAATTATAAGTAAATCTTGTGCTATTGCTTACTGAGCTTATTGAAATTAAATATCATGGCATATAACCAGAATGTTAACCAACTTGTCATTGTAATGGCTTATAAAAATAAATATTTATTGGATGGCTGTAATGTGCAAGGACTATGCTTCATACTGGAGATACAATAGGGTACAAAAACAGTCCAAGCTCTCATCATGATAAAATCAAACATTTGTTTTACCTCCAAACTATCTCTACAGATTATTAAACAGGATTTTCATATCACTCTCTAAAAGCACAGCTCTTTCTTCAAAGAAGGTATTATTAACGCCAATATGTAAATTATATTCACTACCTAATATCTCTCCTTTTACCTCTTCACCTTTCAAGCAACATTCTAAAACCCACTAGGAATTCAGGGAACACCTTTTGAAAAATCACTGCTTTGATTAATGGATAAAAAAATACAGTTAACTAGAAGGAATAAGTTATACTGTTAAGTAGCACAATAGGGTGACTATAGTTAACAATAATTTATTGTATATTGTTAAATAAATAAAAGAGTGAAATTGGAATCTTCTTAACACAAAGAAATGATCAGTGTTTAAGGTGATAGATATCCCAATTAATCTGATTTGATCATTACACACTGTATGCTTGTATCAGAATATAATAGGTACCCAATAAATAGGTACAACTATTATGTACCCATAAAAATTAAAACTAAAAAAATTTAAATTAAATGTAAAAAAAGAAAGCAAAATTACCACTTTGGATATCTTGTCTTATCTACACTTGATTTGGACTTTCTCATCTACTTTAGAAAACAGTATATCAAACTACATTCCAAGGAAGATACTCAATGTCTCTTTGATACAAATGCTTCTGCAGCACAATACATTTATTCATTTGTTCATTTTAAAATTATTTATTGAATACTTACTCTAGTACAACTACTAGGCTAACCAAAAGCAGATAAGCAATAATCTCTGACCTCAACTTGCCTAGAAGATGCAGAGAGAAAATAAAAGTAATGTGCAATAATAAAGATATAGTAAAATTTAGTATTCCAATCTGAACTGGACAAATAGTTTCAGTGCCATTTTAGAAAATGATAACAGGAATACAGATGTTATCGACATTCTCTGGTGAAAACTTTGGATCTTACCAGCATCAAATGTGGTCAGAAGAAGTTACAAGGGTAGTGGTTGAAGGAATTACTAGAGAAAGAAATAAATTTTGATAAGTAATGTATTTCATTCATGTTGGAGCCACACATTTGTCTTAACTTCATAAGATGCAGTTCAAATTTTATGTTACACAGACTCCCATTTTCATCATCATTTTTAAGGAACATAAATGGGGCTTTGGCTAGGCTTAGACCACAATTAGTTAAATACAGTGAATTAATCTTGTCCTATAGAGGAGACAATACTTTGAAGGTTGTATCAGAGATCATTTTAATTTTATTAATCAATTATCTGCAATGAAGTGTATTTCTTTGCAAAACATTTGCAGTTTGAGCTGCTAGTAAGATCGACATATTCACTTTATATATTATTTATTAACGTTCCTTTCATAAAACATTTTAATTTGGAAAGTTACATATGTCAACTTCACTTCCTTTTGCTGACCATATAAGATATAATTTTTAAACTTCCATAACAAGTATATGTGGCAAATCTCCATTTAATATTTGTTGGATATTTCTTACATCAGGGAATAATTTAAAATGGAATTTAGAACTTTCAACCAAAACATATTTTAGATAATAATAATTTGAAAATATTAAATAATGAAACATCAATGCTTTTATATATTGCTCATATTTATATTGATTATTTATGAATAATATTCTGGAAGACTGTTTTAAGAATACTATTACAATTTATACTCTTAAAATCATTGGATATTGAACATTAAATAATAAAATATTTTCACAGTCAATAACGTGTAATTAGCCACCATTTGTTACAGCTGCAGTAGTCTTATTAGAATATAATGCATATTTTAAAGACTAAAAAAGAGAATAAATATATATATAAATGAATGATATTAATATAAAACAAGCTTTATGACCTAATATTTTTCAAGCACATAAAATAGAGCAGAGAAAATGATATGTTTACCTCCATGTTAACGTTTTCCTTTTTTAGAGTACAGGCAATTAAAGCTTTTCCTTAAACATGAAAGTGGCTTCCTCCTCCGCACTAAACTGATATTGAGAAAAAAATAAGTCATATTAATTTGAGTGATAAGGAAGACAATAGAGATAATTAAATGATGACACTTGTAGAGACTTGACTATACCATTACACTGCATTATTTAACCTACACATATCAGTAGGACGGTATTAGGTAAATTCGCAAATGCAAAATCGTCCAAAAACAAAAGTTCTCTAACTAACGTATTAAGTTTCGCTGATCCAGAAAGAACAACAGGTTTCTTTCCAGTGTTGTTCATTATAGAAGGGGAGAGGTGGTCAGACCTGTCAGGGGAGGACTTGTTTGGTCTCTTTGTGTGGTATTTATAGCCTGGTCTGGTTAATGTCAATCTTCACTTTATTGGTATTCTCTTAAATCCTGAAATTTTACCCAGACTTTTCCTTATAAGCCCAATCTTCATGTGGACAATTCTATGTATATTTTCAGCAATATAAAAATCCTCTGCTTTTTCTTCACAAAATATTTTTCCTATCTGTCCCTGCATTTTGATATCTAGTGTAAATTTCATCTAAGACCTCAAGTTCAACTGAAGTATTTGCTGTTTATATACATGCGTGCTTTTTTCTACTCTTCAGTAATGAAAACAAACAAAAATCCTTTCGCTGGGTCTCAAAGACTGATTTTTTTTTTCCTGACGTCCATTGTTCGTAATGGCAGTGGAAAAACCCAATCCATCAGCTGCTAGGGAGAAGAGAGCTTGTGAGCAACAGCTTCTATATTAAAGAAAGTTATTCCATTCTCCCTTTGGATTTATGAAAATAAAATAATTCATAATATACAACATAGACAATATCACATTTTCTCTTTGCCTATGCTTCTTTATTTAAAAATGAATCTTCATTTTTAAAAATTTAAGTACCTAGAATACTCTTAACACCTAATGGGTTCCTTAACTCTAATTCCATAGTATTTTATCTTTTTCTTCTAATGGTCTTAATTTGGATTGCAACAGGATAAATTGAATAAATGAAGAAATCTAAACAGAGATTGTATCAATTTTAGGAAGAGAAAAAAGGCAAATAAGCAATTTAACATAGAAACAGAACATACTATATTCTCTCATTGTCATTTATTTAATATAAACAATATATTGATATCTTTTTCCCGAAAACACAGAGACAGTGTTTTTTAGGAATACGGTAAATATAAATGGAGGGCGATTTCTTCAAGTAATGCTGCTTCAGCCATCAAAGATAAACCTACATTAAGAGCAGCAGGGTTCTGCGGAGTTGCTTTATCTTGGTTATCAACTGTAACGACAATACAAAAGACTGTTCTTTAATTTGCTGGCCAAGTGGTGGATGGAGGTTAAGAAGAGTGTTAATTTTAAAATGTCTCTTCATTAAATTCACTGTCATAATTAATAATGATAGGATGCTTAGAGGTATTTTTTACTTCAACTCTTGAGCATCTAAGAACTGTAATAACATTTTAAAAAATTAACACCAAGAAAGAAGGTCTTCAGACTCTGAGCATGTATACATTTGGTTTAAAAAACAAATTATTATATATTGAAAAATTATAGTTGTATATATTTAAGGGCTACAAAGTGATGTTATGATTTTTAAAAACAACATGGAATGATTAAATCAAGCTAATTATCCATCACCTCAAATATTTGGCATTTTTTGGCATGTAACACACAACATTTTTTCTTCTCTCTGAGGTTTAAAGTCAATTATCTGTTAATTCTTAGTTTCTGTGGCTGAGTTTTGATAGCTACTTTGATAGCTGTTTACATTTCTTTTGATGAATCTAATTTTTTTCTAGAATAATTTTGAATAATTAAATTTTTATATGTTATATCATTTAATTTTTGTCAGACTTATTATATAATGTCATTGACTTAAGTAAAGAAATTTCCCATTGATAGATTCGTAGCCTTTCTTAGATTTTAGGAGGAAAGACCACGATTCATCATTTTTATTCGTACATTGGATAGTATGGATCAATTTTACTGTAAATATCTTCAATACCCCAAAAATATTTATCTTCCCACTGAATAATTTTAAAACTGAACCCTATGTACCCCCTTGTAAGTGACTCAGATATACAAATGCAATGTCTGCCTCTCTTTTCCCATCCACCTTTTTAAGTTGTCAATATATTTCATAATTTACTCTCTTCTGATTGAATCAGTTCTGTGATCTATTTTCTACTTCTGATTCCCAGTCCTTTCTATTCCAAATACTAGGGTTTTTTTTTTTCAAACTGGTACTTAGAAGTGTGGTGAGAATATCTAAACTGGCATTTAATCTTTGATCATATTATCCTAAATCTATTACATTTACTCTCCTACTAGCCAGATGGTAAGTTATTGCAGTACTGATATTAAAGACCTTTCTCTCATATTCTAAGTGTCTATCTTTGTATGTAAACAAGTTCTTAAATAGGTACACAATATGGGAGATGCCAACCATGGGAAATATACATTATTCACTTTATAAAATATTTCTATATTTTCCAAAGATTTTACCAAAAAATTTCTTTAAAGTAAACTATTGAATGCATTTAAACATAACTTGCTTTATAAAACCTTTTGTCAGAGACTTGTAAATGGAACCATATCCATAGTTGAAAATTCCAAATTCCAAATAGATAAGATTAAATGTAAAAGCCAAAAAGAAAATTCTAGGAAACAAAGAGTAGGGTATTTTTTCCCATAATCTGGACCTCAAGGCTATTTCAAGAT
This sequence comes from Homo sapiens, assembly GCF_000001405.40. Classification (NCBI taxonomy): domain Eukaryota; kingdom Metazoa; phylum Chordata; class Mammalia; order Primates; family Hominidae; genus Homo; species Homo sapiens. Next base: position 51,519,370 of record NC_000005.10, on the reverse strand, counting down.
GTCCAAAGCTATAAGAAATGTTTAAATAAACTATATTATCAACATGTACGTACCAAGTTCAAAGGACCATAAATATTCTCATGATTAATAAAATTGAAATTTATTGAAGGTATTATACTTTTTAATAGCTTTAGTTTTTAAATAAATACTTTACCAATCAATATGCATTGAGAGCTTCTTAGGATCAAATGGGATTTCTAAAAACATTTTTTAAGAGGTTTTTTTATTTGGGAAGTATCAGAATGATTCATTTTAGTTCATATTGTTAATACTGCAAATTTACCTAAAAATATATTTTAACTGATAAGTAGAGCTATTATTGCTAATCTCCAAGTTCAAAGACGCTGCTGCAAGAAATCATATTCTGTTTGGAGAATCTGGTTAGCTACAGAAAACATTGGATCTAGCAGCGTATTTCATAATATCCATAGCACCTTCCTGGGCCTATAGGCTCTGGTTACAGAACCTGGTGTACTTGGTGAGTGACTTTTCACCTCCAGTCTGAGAGACTCCTGAGATTTTTTTTTTTCTAAGTCCCTCTCCCCGTGATTGCAGCTTGTCTGTCTCAAGACTGTCCTGTCTGTTGTGGCTGCCTGCCTGTCTACAGCTCTGCCGTAACGTTTGAAGTGGTGTCTTGGTGTGTCAATGAGCAGAGCAGTCTGTAAAAAACAAATTTGTTTGTGAAAGACGTTTTTAAAATATTTCAAAGCACTTCAAAGAACACTTCAGTTTTCCAAAACCTTTGAACTAGCAACATTTCAGAGGAAGAATGAATTCTACATTATTAAAATTTCATATGAAAAATCAAGCCTTTAAAGAAAATGCCCACTTTAAAAATATGCTCAAATGTCTATTGAAATATTTTGTCATGTAAATTTCACATCTAGTAACATCTAAGTACTTATGGGGAGAGCTGAATAAATGTATTGATAACATAATACACATATAAAGGAAATATTCTAAAATATTAGCTCTGTGTATGTTGACTCATACTCTAAGTATCACTGATTTTGATGACAAAAGAATTTCAAAATATCAAGTGTGATATTTTTAGATTAAATTTAACCTTTAGAAAAACAATGTGACAAAACGTGTCATAATTAATTGCATTTTATCATTGTTTCCAAGTCTGTCTTTCTTTAAAGTTAAGCTTCCCACATATAATTGTCTACATAAAAGCCTCTTATAAAATATATCTTAATATAATTGGAAGACTACCATCGTCCTTTTGACCTGAGATCTCTTGCCCTGTATCTCTTTGCCTGAGGTCTACTTTTCCCAAGAAACCAGCTGCTACCTTCAAATCTTTATTACATCTCTCTATCAGTGAAACTGCAAACTTCACTGCACCCATCTAAATCCAGGCTCTGGAATATCTCTAAATTAAGGACATCTATGAGTTCTGTTTCTGCCAAGTACCAAAATTTAAGAGGAGAAATTATCAAATGTCATAACTTTTTAAAAAAGTAAAATGTAGCCTGGAATTTAAGCTTAAAAGTTATTCTTGATATTTTCCAACCACTTTGTCCATTGAAAACATTTACTTTTTTCTAACTTTTATGGGCACTGAACCTCTTTTCTCTCTGAAAAGTATGACCTGATACTTCTGCCTGAAGTTTGTAATATTTTCTGGAACTTCCTAAATGCTCCTGGAAACCTTTGTCATTCATTCCGACTCTCATAGGCTGGATGCATTTTAATTTTTAAAAGGTCTTTAAAATTGATTTATGTTTTCATTATGGAAATATTTCTTGTGGTTTGAATAGAAAATATAATAACTGGGATATGGAAAAGGGATAAGGAGTCCAAGAAAGGAGAATAAAAATTAGTTTAATGTAACATCTTTCATTTCTACAGCCATTTATTTTGTGGTGTATGTTATTTGCATATACTTCCCAGAAAACAAGGTTCCATCCTCTACTGCTTTTATTTCTTAATTTCTATGGCCACCTGAGATAGGCGTGAGGGGTGGGATTCCCAGTAGAGGCAGCAAAAATAAGCCTAAATTTTTTTAAAAATATATCATTGTTGTCTAGCTTTAATTTTTGAAATCCAAATTTTTATTGTCTAAATCCTTGTTAATATCTTAGATAAGAATAAAACTTTTTTGGAATCCAAATGTAAAAATTCTTATATAAATATACTATTTCTAGCCATACCTTCTCTGTATTATGTTAAACTCCTTGACCAGGTGGATCATAAACAGCTTTCTGGTTATTCATCAGTTTGACTGCTTGAAGTTGACTGAAGTGAAGGTAATAACTGAAGTCTTTGACGTCTTGTTAATAAACACTAAGACCTATCCCAAAGGTCTATCCCAAACTCTGAGAGGACAAAAACACTAAAAGCGATTGTTTCCCTTAGTTGCTTTCCAGTGTAGGATGAGGAGGAAAATTACAAGTTGAATCATAGTATCACCATGTTTTAGACATGGAAAGAGTTTCTAAATAATCCAAACTCTACATCATATAAATGGTGAAACAGTAGACATTATAGAACTTTTTAAATATTCTGATGCAACAAAACAGTGATATTCTTCTCCAACACAAGGCTTCTGTATTTGAGGCATTTCACCATTGCTCCAGATTATTAAAGTAGCTTCTCAACTAGTTTGCCTTTCCCTGGTCTTTCCTTTTCTATACTTCATTTTTACACATGACTTTCAGATCCATGACTTTTAGATCCTAAGCATTCATTTTATCTGACACTCTTTTATCCCACATCTTTCAATGATACACTAGTGCCAAAGAAGACAATCCTTCCAAGTAGGATGGTTTATCTCAAAGGCTTATTTACATTCTTCTTCCTCTGTGATGCCTTCCTTGGCCTCAGCAGCTGAAAATGGCATGTCCTTAAGACTTATTGTTCAATCCAAACCCTTGATAAATAGTTATACTATATCCTCAAATTATAAGTCAGTAATGAATGAAAAAGAATGTTGTGTAAAGTATAATATACTCTATATATTATTGTGATTATCATTTTCCTTGGTATTCTTCATGTCTTATATAGAAATGTAAGCAGAGTAATAGTCATTAAATATATGAAACATTAATCAACATACAGGATCTGTAATACTACATAGATTGTCCCTACAACATCATGATTATGATAATAATAATGATGACAATGATGATAAAGTAGAGGAGAGGGCACAAAACAAATATGAATTAACTATTGGATATAACACAAATACAACTCGAAAGTTGTTCTTGGTCATACCCCACTTGCCGTTTTGGTGCTGCTTCTCATTTTCCTCAGTTACTCTATGGTTCTCACTCTATTTTAGTAGCTCTCACAAGTTAGCTCTGCAAACTCCCTAAACTAGACTGTTCACAGGAAAAGCATGGCTTCATGTTCCCACTGCTTATAATCCCTATCAAAATCAATTCAACCTTTCCTTTAGTTCTTGTCAGTGTGAGTTAATTGCTGTATTTTTCCTTGCTTACCTGTACAAGATGTATAGAAAAAGTTCTGAAAGAAATTACCTAACCCAACTATTCATAATTTTAGCTGTAACTACTGAAATGTTCTTCCAGAGAAGAGCTTCCTATATTTATTGCTTTCACTTATCTTCTGAGTCTGTTCTCATTGATTTTCATCCAAAAGTACTTGCTAAAGTAAAACAAAACTAGAAAAAAATGGAAAAAGTGCTGAAGAATTATCTTCCTAATAAGACACTTTTGCTAAAATAGTTTCACAGGGGAATTCTTTCCAAATTTCTGCAATTGAGCATATTTTGTGCTACAGTAATAATTCTAGAGTACACACATACACACGCAATTAAAAGCTTTCAAGTTAATCATAGTTATAGATCCAAAATATTACACAGATAGAAAAATAATTAATACTATAGATCACTCTCACTTCTTGCCTATATATACAAACATTTCTAAAGTTAATGTAGGAGTGAATTTCTAAAGTTATTCAGAATAATGAGGTAGAATTTGTAAAAAGAATAGAAGAAACTTATATATAACATCAATAAGTTAAGGGGACAAAACTCAATAGAGGTTAAAAGAAAAAAGCTATCACTTTACCATAAATTTCTGCCCAAGAACAAAACCAAAACACAGGAACTTTCAGTAACCTTGGGAAAAATAACCATTTCTTCACCATGATCAAGAATACCAAACCTAATCTGAAAGCCAACTTCATGTTTAATGGAAAAACATTCAAGGTTTTTAAGAATAAATTTAGAAATAAGATTAGATATTACAAGTTTGGATATTTTAGTCAATTATTAAACATAAAACATAAAGAAGGAATATAGTTACTGGAAAAAAGAAACAAAAATTACAATTATTGCTGATATAAAATTGTCTAGAAAATCCTACTAATTGAACTGAAAAACTTAGAATTAATAAGGTTGACTAGCAAATTGACAAGACACAATGAAAAAGTATAGATACCATTTCTTGTATAGTAACAATTGTTAAATGTATGAAAATATTCTATTCATAAGAGCAATTAAAATATAAAGCAAAACTTTAACAGGAAATATATAAAACCTAAAAGAAGAAAATTTGTTGAAACTTTACTAACAGATATAAATGGAGATGTCAATAAAAGAAAAACTTCCCAAGTTTCTGGATGACTAATGTAAAGATCCCTCATCTTTTGGAAATAATTTGAATTCGAATCCAAATTTCAGCACTAGCATTTTAGTATGCTATCAGTGATTCTAAATTTTATTAGGTGAAAACAAATGGCTATAAATAGGCCAGGATTTTTTTTTTAAAAAAGAAAGATTGCAGAAGGGAATATATACCATGTCAGAAATTAGATTGTACTATAAATGTGCAATTGTATTTATGTAAGTATCAGTAGTCTAATCAATAAAAGAAAAACATTACCCAGAAGCAGATCTTACTTTCTATAATAATTGAGAAAAATCTTTAGAAATGAATGGAGAAAGAAAGGCATAGTAAAGAAATGATGTTGGAAAATTGGTGAAACACTCCATTAAAAAAATTAGGTATTAGTAAAATATATACACCACCAGTGTGCAATTTTTGTCTATTTTAGTCCCAGCTCTGTTCTCAGCACTTAAAGTAGTGCCTGGTATTAAAGAGTCACTGAATGAGTGAATAGATTAAACTAGATTCCCCCACATCATATAATATATTTAAATAAATTCCAAATGTATTAAATACTGTATAATATAAAGATAGCATTATTTTAGTTATAATTATTTTAGTTATATTATTATCTTAAATGCATTATTAAAAGTTTACTTTAATCTCTGATATGGCACATATTTCCATTTTCAATCTTCCTTACTTCTAAATATTTTCCTGTCTTATTCATAGCTATATTAAATATATATTGCATTTACATTAGGGAAAGAGTTTCTAGATATAAATCAATGGAAAAATTACAAAGACAAAAATCTATTTAAATGTGATATAATTTTTAGGTTTATGTTTAAAAACCTCCACTATGAAAGACATTAAAATCAAACCACAAACTCAGTTTTTTTTCTATTATCTATTATTATTTTTTCATTATACTTTAAGTTCTAGGGTACGTGTGCACAATGTGCAGGTTTGTTACATATGTATACATGTGCCATGTTGGTGTGCTGCACCCAGTAACTCGTCATTTACATTAGGTATATCTCCCAATGCTATCCCTCCCCACTTCCCCCACCCCTTGACAGGCCCCAGTGTATGATGTTCCCTTCCTGTGTCCAAGTGTTCTCATTGTTCAGTTCCCACCTATGAGTGAGAACATGCGGTGTTTGGTTTTTTGTCCTTGCGATAGTTTGCTCAGAATGATGATTTCCAGCTTCATCCATGTCCCTACAAAGGACATGAACTCATTCTTTTTTATGGCTGCATAGTATTCCATGGTGTAAATGTGCCACATTTTCTTAATCTAGTCTATCATTGATGGACATTTGTGTTGGTTTCCAACTCTTTGCTATTGTGAATAGTGCTGCAATAAACATACGTGTGCATGTGTCTTTATAGCAGCATGATTTATCATCCTTTGGGTATATACCCAGTAATGGGATGGCTGGGTCAAATGGTATTTCTAGTTCTAGATCCCTGAGGAATTGCCACACTGACTTCCACAATGGTTGAACTAGTTGACAGTCCCACCAACAGTGTAAAAGTGTTCCTATTTCTCCACATCCTCTCCAGCACCTGTTGTTTCCTGACTTTTAATGATCACCATTCTAACTGGTGTGCGATGGTATATCATTGTGGTTTTGATTTGCATTTCTCTGATGGCCAGTGACGATGAGCATTTTTTCACGTGTCTGTTGGCTGCATAAATGTCTTCTTTTGAGAAGTGTCTGTTCATATACTTCACCCACTTTTTGATGGGGTTGTTTGTTTTCTTCTTGTAAATTTGTTTTAGTTCTTTGTAGGTTCTGGATATTAGCCCTTTGTCAGATGAGTAGATTGCAAAAATTTTCTCCCATTCTGTAGGTTGCCTGTTCACTCTGATGGTAGTTTCTTTTGTGGTGCAGAAGCTCTTTAGTTTAATTAGATCCCATTTGTATATTTTGGCTATTGTTGCCATGGCTTTTGGTGTTTTAGACATGAAGTCCTTGCCCATGTCTATGTCCTGAATGGTATTGCCTAGGTTTTCTCCTAGAGTTTTTATGGTTTTAGGTCTAACATATAAGTCTTTAATCCATCTTGAATTAATTTTTGTATAAGGTGTAAGGAAGGGATCAATTTTCAGCTTTATACATATGGCTAGCCAGTTTTCCCAGCACCATTTATTAAATAGGGAATCCTTTCCCCACTTCTTGTTTTTGTCAGGCACAAACTCAGTTTTAATGCTGCTCCAAATATAACAAAGTTTGAACAGTCTAGAAGTGTAAAGAGATCTTATAAGTCCATTAAAAGACCAACAATTCTGTAAAAAAATATAGCAAAGACAAGAACATTTAAACAATTCACAGAGGTGACTATTAAATATATGTAAAAATAGTAAAGTAATAATTATTTTATTGACTTTTTAAAAGGCAAATACTAAGTTGATAATATTCAACTCTGGTAAAAGTAAGATGAAATGAACACTTTCATACACTCTGGAGATGTTTTAAATGCAGCAGTTTCTGGGAAACAATTGGGAAACACAGATCAAGACAGTTCAAATAGTGCACTATTGGATACACTAACTCATAGAAATTTTTCTCATGAACTTTCCCAAAAGTTTCATCAGGAATTTATGTTTAAGAATGCTTAATTTTGTGTAGAGCTATTCATAAGAGTAAGATAATGGAAGCAACCTTAATGTTCATGAATAGGGAAACGAATAAAATTTATCTACAAATTTGAAATATTATGGGGCCATTAATTGTTTAATATTTAATTATATTAGACAATTGTCAACAATACTGTATATGTAGTATGATCTCAGCCATTAAATAATTAACATATAGGCTTTATATTTCCATGAATATATATTTTTAAATAATGAGAAGGAATAGACTAAACTACGAACAAGCTTCTTTCTGGGTGCTGAAATTGCAAGTCTTCTTAAATTTTTTATATATTTGTATATTTTTCCATTTCTTTACTACAGTTAATTCATATTACTGTTTTTGGAAAACTATAAATAAAAGGTAAGTTGAACCCCAGGCTGCCAATATTTTAAGTGAATCCTCTGACTATCTTTATTTATACTGGCTGAAGCTTGTTATGCCTGGCCTTAATTTAAACACATTTAGGGAAACAGGAATTCCACAAGGAAATATTGCCTATTATAAGTTAAGTAAATGTTGAAATGTTATTAACCAAATTTAAATATACTGAAAAACATAAGCAGAATTTTAGCTTTCTCAGCAAAGAATCTCCCCTTTACCATCTTCCCTAAGATAATTATTTTAATAAACATTTAGTGTATTTTCTCTCTTGTTGCTATAGCCTAGATCAGGGGTGTCCAGTCTTTTGGCTTCCCTGGGAAACAGTGGTAGAAGAATTGTCTTGGGCCACACATAAAATACACTAGCACTAATGAAAACTGATGAGCTAAAAATATAATAATAATAATAATAATAAGGTGCACACATAATATAAATCTCATAATGTTTTAAGAAAGTTCACAAATTTGTGTTTGGCTCCATTCAAAGCCATACTGGGCTGCGTGCAGTCCATAGGCCAGGAGTTGGACAAGCTTGGTCTAGATCAAGAACTTAATACGAATTTGGTAATAATTCCAATTATATAGTTTTTCAGTAACAACTCTTTAGGGTCAGCTTTAACAAACTTATTGGTATGATTTTCATTTGGTAAAATCTTACTTTATATGTATCAATACACCTATACTTCAGAACTCATTTTCTCTGGGTAGATCATTCTGATTCTATTTCTTTTTACTCCCTTCTGGGAAGAGTGATTGTTCAGAATTTCTTCATAGAAGAAACTGCAGAATGTATTTTGAAAAAAGAATATTTTTAAGATTTCATGTTTATTTGATCAGCTAGTACAAAGAGGGACTCTGTCCCACTTTATGTGTCTTTGGCCTGTGGAAGTTACAAAGAGGGCAGAATTCTGATGTGTTTAATTTATTTACCATTTCCTCAAGCTAGGAGAAATGAAAGTTATTGCCTGCTTCACTAGTCTGCAACCATTGATACTGGACAGCAGTTACAAATGCCAATTCTTTTCACTATAGTTCCATGGGACAGAATGAGCTGGTAAAATGTTTATATGGGCTAGTAAATATCCCTTATAGTGTTCCTGCTTTAATCACAAAGTTCTTGTTGTTCTGGTGGTTCTGGATACTACCTCACATAAAGTGAGCATTTATTAATGATACTGGTATTTTAATACACATGAAATTTGAAATACTCATAAATATCCAGAGAGCACTTTTGTATTGCATTTCCTAAATAGCACAGAAAAATGCAATGACAGATTTAAAAAAAAAAAACACAAATGATTTACTTTGTATTTTCCTCCTCTTTGAGTTGTAAAATCAAACCAATGAAACATATGCTAGGTGAGCCACAAGGGTGTAATCCCATGTCATAAGAATTGTAAAATGTTCAGTATTTGAACTGGCTTTCAGTATTGTGGCCGTGTTCATACAAAAGCTACATTCTTTATGTTGATATTTTACAGACTTATTCATAAAAAGCAAAATTGTATCCAGAATGGATTACCGTTGCTGGCTGTTTTTCTATTCAACCTTTTTTTTAAAAATCATCTTTTCATTGCTCATTGAAGGATTTTGCCTATAAAATTGTAAGAAGTTACATTTAAAATAGGTGTATACAGCCAGGCGCAGTGGCTCATGCCTGTAATCCCAACACTTTGGGAGGCCAAGATGGGTGGATCACCTGAGATCAGGAGTTCGAGACCAGCCTGGCCAACGTGGTGAAACCCCGTCTCTACTAAAAATACAAAAACTAGCTGGGCATGGTGGCAGCCACCTGTAATCCCAGATACTTGGGAGGCTGGGGCAAGAGAATTGCTTGAACCCGGGAGGTTGCAGTGAGCTGATATCACACCATTGCACTCCAGCCTGGGCTACAAGAGTGAAACTCTGTCTCAAAAAATAAAAACAAAAAAAACCAAATAGGTGTATACACCAGAACTAGCTTCTTAAATAGGATTTAATGTAACTATTGATAGAATAATATAAAAAGTACAATTCTTATTGCAGCACAACCATATCTGTATCATTTGGTAGCCTATATATACGTTGTGTAAAATTTACTTACAAAAGCCACGAGTCAGTTCTTTTTTACATAACTTAAGAATTACATTACAGTTAAAATATTATTCCAGATTTTCATCAATATTTTCAAATATCTATATTTAGTGTGTACTTTATCTGTTACTGAAAAATCTATTTTTCTTAGAAGATATATGAATACCACAAATAAAATATCTATTTAGAACTATAGTGACGTAACATGTTTTGAGCCAAGAGTATAAAATTGATATTATGTTCACAATTAATCCAGATGTCAAGTGAATGAACAAAGAATAGTACATGATATTATAGAATGTTTCCATTTAAAACATAGCAAGGTAGATACACGTTACCATATTGTGTTTTTTTTTTTCCAAAAAAACTTTTATTCACAATGATACTGTTTTGGTTTTAAGGCCTTCATCTAAATACATTTTTTAGGACATTTTTTTAAATGTGCAAATCAGTATGCTTAATTGGCAACCCAATCCCAAAGCCAGATGTTTTTGTATTCAATCTATAATTTTTAGCTCATTTTTCACATTCACATGCATGAAGTTATTTGATAGCACACCTAAGTATATTTCTCTTCTATTGAATCGTTGTAAGCCAAATTCTGCCAGTTTGATCTATGTAACTAGGGATAGATCTAACTTTTCAGCCTAGTTCTTTTTTTCTTTTCAAACTTTCTCTGAGCTTTTATTGATTCATGATGTAACAGTTATATATATGTATATATGTATATATATAGCTCCTCTTGACAATGTAGCTGCTGCCCTTCCCCCTTTGAGAACATAGGATCTCTTCTTTTTAAAAAAAAAATCTCACCAGTCTTTAGAAAATTAGATCAAAATACACCACTAAAAGTTCAACAACTTTTTATGTAACCCAATTTGTCCTTGTCCTGAATTTCCATACTATGTTTAAAAATTAAGGGTTCAATTTAAGTAACGGGAAAGAATGAATAGGAACAATAAAAAAAAAATTAGAGTGGAAGTTGCAAACTCAAATTCCCAGAGAGAACGAGCAAGCAATAAAAATGAATAAAGCAGGCTCTGTGTAGAACATTAGGGAGTGGTAGGGACTGTGGCTTACTGGAGAGCATATGTTCTATCCAGAGTCCTGAAACAACTAATTTTGGCAATATCACTTCCAGACCACTATGTGTACAGTCCTTACATGCTGAAACTAATTTTAATTAGAAGAAAAATCTGTGCTGGCAACACAAAACATTTCTGAGACCTCTGAATCAGAAGAACTTTATATTTTAAGGAAATTCATAGCCTAGTCAATGATCTTACGAGTCTCTGAATGCTACTTGAAAATTTCAAATCAATTAATAATCCCCGAAAGGCATAATAGGTACTAATAACTTTAATGAGGTAAGAAAACAATTCTTGAAGCCAGTAATTAAATCTGACATCTCAAATATAAACAGAACTCTAATGATGGCATTTTCTAATTAAATCAGACACTCAGAGTTGTATGGGCTCTTACAGGTCATCTAGTTAACTCTTACCCAAAGCAAAATCTCCTTTCCTACATCCTCAGAGGAGAATATTCTTCCTTAAATACTTCCAGGAGCTGAGAGGTGGTTTGTCCTTAAATATGCCCATGCCACACTACAGATTGTCAACGTGAAATAATCTTTCTTACCCTGTTCTGAGATCCATTTCAGATCCACGCGGAAAAACAATGATAATTTGGGGCACTCTGTGTGCTGGACATTGTACTTAGCCCTTTACATATCATCTTATTTAATCTTCAAAATAACTCTCTGAGTTAGATATTATTATCCCCATTTCCCTGGTGAGAAAGTGAAGCTGAGAGAAGTTAAGTCACCAACAACAGGATATACAGTGAAATTAAAGCACGAGTCAATTTTATTGCAAATCTTAGCACTTTAAAAAGTATGGGGCCCAAACCACTGTACTTTTGATTCTGAATTTCTACCTAACTGCACATATGTTGCAGATCTGCAACCAAAACAAAATTAGTGCCGACAAATTTGAAGCAAACTCATTTTTGCAACATCTGCATACACACCATGTATACTGGTGAAGTTTGCTAGTTGGAATACTGAATTCACTAAAGTCATAAAGTACAGTAAAGACTGTGGTAGCATGTACTTCAAGTGAAGGTATAAGACAGCTTTATGTCAAGTTAATAATAAGGAAAGACGTGTTTACCAAAACTAAAGAAAATGTTTCCTTTTGATTATAAAAGAGATCAACATCAGAATCACTTGCTAGTTATTTATCTTTTGCAAAATTACTTAGATTTCCAGTTTCCTGTCCAGCTTATAAGGCGCATAGAAGTTATAACTCTCATCCTTACAACAAGAAAAAACTTGAACAAACTGAAAATCAACAACTTTTCTTAGGTCCATCAGATAATTGAGGTCACAGGGCAAACCACTGCCCTCAAAATTCATGAGACAGGTGGATACAAAGAATCATGATTTACTGGAGCAGAAGTCTGGAGAAAAACTTCTGCTAGAGCTGGTACAGGGGGCTGGGCGGGGGCAGTGGGGACTTAAACTATATAATTTGTAAATTACTGGGAGTTCAGTATAGGCAAGTTTGAGAGTTTGAAATTCTTGTGGGGAAGGGGGTTGGAGGGTTAATGTTAGAAGCTGCTACAGTTTGAATGTTTTTGTCTCTTCCAAAATTCATGCTGAAACTTTATCGAAGCTGCTGTCATTTGAATGTCTTTGTGTCTTCTAAAATTCATGCTGAAACTTTATCTCCAGTACAATAAATATTGGGAGATTTGGCCTTTGAGAGGTGGTTGAATCATGAGGGTTCTGTCCTCAAGAATGGGATTAAGTGCCCTCAAATTTGCCTCACGGAGTTATAGTCCCTTTTGCCCTTCTGCTTTCTGGCATGTCAACACACAGTGTTCCTCTCTTCCAGAAGATGCAGCCCTCACTAGACAACTAAACCGGCCACTGCCTTGATCTTGGACTTCTCAGGAATCCTACCAGGTTCTCAGGGGAAGATGAGAGAAAAATATCCTCATATTTCTGGCAGGGGAAGGGGAAAAGTAACCATTGTGAAATAAGCTGAGAGCATTCTGTTTTTAATGTGTCCTGTTCTCAAGGAAAACTATTTTATCAGAGCCTAACTGACAGTTTTTGCCAGTGCTTCACCAACCTAAGGGACAAGAAATACTCAACTCCAGCCCCTGCTGGCCTTCTTATCTCACCTAAGGGTGAACAAAATAGGTGGCAAAAAAAAAAATCTACTTTCATAATGTATAAAGATCAGTATAGAATCATGTATTTAACCACACTTGGAAAGCAAATAAAACTAAAAGTAGTCACATTATTACATATTATCATCATTAATATTATTATGGAATTTAGGTGTTGATATGGTTTGGCTGTGTCCCCACCCAAATCTCGCCTTGAATTGTAATAATTCCCACATGTCAAGATCTGATGGATTTATAAATGGGAGTTCCTCTGCATGAGCTCTCTTGCCTGCTGTCATGTAAGATGTGCCTTTGCTTCTGCTTTACCTTCCACCATGATTGTGAAGCCTCCCCAGCCATGTGGAACTGTGAGTCCATTAAACTTCTTTCCCTAAATTACCCAGTCTCAGGTATGTCTCTATTAGCAGCATGAGAACAGACCAATATGGGTGTATTCAGTGAGGCTTGATGAGTATTTTTTCTTAAGGGAGAATCAGTTCTTCTCTACCACATGTTCTACCAAAATATGCACACACACACACACACACACACACACACCCCACATATATAGGCTACCTAATTCTTAGAAATGAAAAACTGAAACATCAGTAATGTTAAATGAAGGAAAAGAAATAGCTGAAAGCAAATGAAGAAGCCCTACTGCTCATGATGAAAAAATTAGGAAGAACAACAATGGGTGTCTCCACAGCATTGATTCTACTCCTTCCCAATGGGACAACAACCATGCATTTTTATGACAGACTGACCTTTTTCCTCTACCACAGTGATTGTTTCAGAGACGGTCCAATCAAAACAAACCTTAGTTCTTTTCTTAGACGATTGAGGGAAGAGTCCATCCCTCTCTCTCCTCTGATATGGGCAAGGAAGGATATATTCCCAGTGCTAGTAAAGATCTTGCAAAAGTACTTACTGTCTCATTTGAATAAAAACTTTAAAATGTAAACTAATTTTCTAAGCTCACCTAGCTAGAAAATAACAAAATAGGAATTTGAACAACTCTTCGTGTGGCCCCAAAATCTATGCTCTTCTTCTCAACATCAGATACTGATATGGTTAGGATTTGTGTCCCCACCCAAATCTCATATTGAAGTGTAACCCCCAGGAACCTGGTGGGAGGTGATTGGATTGTGGGGGTGTTTCCCCCAGGCTGGTCTCATAATAGTGAGTTCTCACGAGATCTGATGATTTTACAAGTGTTTGGCAAGTTACTCTTCACTCACCTCCCCTCTCTCCTGCCACCTTGTCAAGAAGGTGGCTGCTTCCCTTCCACCATGATTGTAAGTTTCTCTCCAGCCATACAAAACTGTGAGTCAATTAAATCTCCTTTCTTTATAAATTACCCAGTCTTGGGAAGTTGTTTATAGCCGTGTGAAAATGAACTAATACAGATACCATTACAATATTTTACTTGTCATGTTTTTTTTTTTCACCATGTTATAAATTCCAGGAATCTTAAGACTGGATTCTAATTTTAGTTCCCAGTCTAAGTATATGCCATAAACAGAGAAGTTCTCTAATAAATGTGTGTTGAATTAATGAACAAGTGAATGAATTATATGAGAACTTTACTATGCAACTTAGAGAAACAAAATGGAAGCTGCAAGTCTGGGGTTCAGTTCTACTTGATACTTGCTTATGACCATAGGTAGGTCCCCTCATATAATCTTTAGTTCCTTGATCAGTAAAAGAGAGACAATAATAATAACAGTAATGCCTAAATTTTCAGATCTGTTATTATCAATGAGTTCTATATCTAAAAAGAACTGGTAAATGTGTGAAGTGTTACACAGGCACTGCTAATAGGATTATACTACATAAAGACACAGAAACACCTGTATAGCCACAGAGGACAGTGTTTAAGGAGCAGCAAGGATTCTCCACTGAGAGAATTGATTTATATAGCACATTAATGCTGTTGTGGGAAAACAAGATACTGATACCATCGAATTTCTGCTGCTTGAACCCTAAATGGTTGTTGGTCGGCAAAGTAAACTCTTTGTCAATTCAAATATCAGCCCATACTCAAAGTACAAAGTGAAATTCATGGCTATTGGAAATAGATTTAGGAAAGTTAGGAGGCAATCTTTAATCATATTTATACTGTGGACTTTGAACCTCTCATTTTCAAAATCATTAACAATTAATTGTTCTGGTTCTAGCACAGTGATTTAGAGCTGGCAAGAGCATTGCTCCTACCTTTCCAACAAAGAAAGTGCTACGCAAACTGCACATTAATAATTTCTTGAAACCACCAGAAAATTGAGGCTGCCCAGCAAAAATGTAGCCCCAAATCTGGGGAGAGATAGGTCTGTATAGGTGAAGACAGGATCTGACTACTTCCATATCTGAGGAAGATGCTAACTTATGCTTTATATGGTAAGAACATACAGTTAAATTTTCTAATGCTAAATACCAATTGTAGGCTATTGATAGATATACTGCACCTGGGGACCACAGATATAGGGTAATTTGCACCCTTTGTAAGCTTTTCTCCATAAACCTTACCAGGCACTCACAGGGAGGATCATGGAGAATCCTGAAAAATATATTCTCTTGGTACTGACTAGGGGAGAGGACCAGTAACCACTGCAGAAACTAGAACTAGAACCCTGTCCTTTATCTCCCCTAGGGAAGGAAAGCCTTGATGTGAGGGAGGAAGAGCAACAAAATTGTTGCTTTAAGGTACTAGAAAAAGCAGCTAGGGAAGGAAGCAAAGAGAAAATGCATTATGTATGGAGTAGAGGCAGGAATATATCATAGGCCCAGCACTATAGGTGGAGGAGTGGCAAGAATACTTGTAACGGCCATACTCTGAAACAGGGTACAGCACCTACGAAAGACTGAGGCTTCACCAGAACATCTGAGATGTTCTCCTTCCTTTCCTGCCTTGTATCATCAGGCTAATCAGCATCAAGTGAAAATACTAATGGGAAGTAGCTGGGAGGGCTACAAAAGACAGATTCTCTCTCTAGAGCAACAGTAAAAGAACATCCAAAGAGAAGGAGGAGATGACAACAAGAAAATAGCAGCTAATAAACCAGTCGACACCTTAAACACACATTACCACTAGAAGAATGTAGACTGTGGTGTGCTAAGAGAAACCATAGCAACAGCAAATATTAAAGTCAGCCCAACTCCTGTCTAGATTAATAAAACTCCCACACTCATCCATGGCAGGGAAAAAAAGACGTGTGCTCATCTTTAAGCATCAAAAACATATTTACCTCAGTATCTACTGTTTTGAGCAAGAAGCCCAGATTTCAACAATAAAAGCACAAGGTATTGAAAAAGTCAACGGAAAAAAAACTCTGAAGAGAAAATGCAACCATCAGAATCAGACTCAGATACAGTATGGGTGACAAGGAACTTAAAATACTTATTATACATGTGTTAAAGTCTCTGATGGGAAAGATAAAAAACATAAACTATCAGACAGGTAATATAAAAAATACTGACTCTGTAAGAAATAATCAAATAGCAATGCTATAAACTAAAAATATAGTAATAGAAATGAAGAATCCTTTTGATAGATTCATTAGTAAGTAGACGCAATGCAGTCAAGGAAAGACTAAGTGAACACAAAGAAAGTTGATAGAAATCTCTCAAAATAAAATGCAAAGAGAAAAAAAAATTGAGCAGTAAAAAGAACAGAGTACCTAAGAGCTCTGGAAAAGACTAACATGGATCTTTGGAATTCTAGCAGAAGAAAGAAAAAAATGGGCAGAGAAATATATACATACATACATATATATATATATATATATATATATATATATATATATATATATGTATAATATATAGGTTTTTTTGAGACGGAGTTGCTGTGTTGTCCAGGCTGGAGTACAGTGGTGCCATCTCAGCTGTTTGCAAACTCCACCTCTGGTATTCAAGCTATTCTTCTGCCTTTAGCCTCCTGAGTAGCTGGGATTATAGGCATGCACCACCACACCCAACTAATTTTTGTATTTTTAGTAGAGATGGGGTTTCACCATGTTGACCAGGCTGGTCTCAAACTCCTGGCCTCAAGTGATCCACCTGCCTTGGCCTCCCAGAGTACTAGGATTACTGGTGTGAGGCACCATGCCTGGCTGGACAGAGAAATATTTGAAGAAATCATTTCCAAGAATTTCTCATAATTAGTGACAGACACCAAACTGCAGATACAAGAGCTTAGAAAAAAGCATGTAGGATAAATATAGAAAAAAAAAATGAACACCTAGGCATAATATTCAAACTGCTAAAAACCAAGGAGAAAGAGAATATCTTGAAGATAGCCAGAGGAGAAAAACACATTACCTGCAGAGGAACAAATGTCAGGATGATAGCAGAATTCCTTGTAAGAAACCTAGGCATAATAGAAGACAATTGAGTGATATTCTTAAAGTGTTAAAAGAAAAAAAAAAACCTGGCAATCTTCGATTCTGTATCTGGCAAAAATAACATTTTTAAATTAATGAAATTTTTTCACACAATGAAAAGTGGAGGGACTGCTTTGAGAACACACTTACATTGGTAAGTCTTCAGGAAGTTCTTCAGGCAAAGATGCATGGTATCAATCAGAAACTTGGATCTACACAAACATAAAGTGTGTCAGGAATGGAATAAATCCTGGTAGTGTAAAATCTGTATCTTTCCTTCTGTTTAATTTGTTTTAACCTCTGACTGCCTAAAACAAAATTAGGACCAATGTTCTATGTGTTTATAGCACGAGTAAAAAGAGAATTATGACAATAGCATAGACCATGGGAGCAAAAAATTGGAAATATACTATTGTAAGGTCTGTACATTATACTTGATTCAGTACAATTAAGTTAAAATGTAAACTCAGATTAAATAAAACTTTATATTGCAAACCCTGAAAATCAATAATTCTTTTAAAATGAAGTATAATTGAAGTATAAATGAAGTCAATAGAGGAGATAAAACTAGTTTATAACATATACTCAGATCAAAAGAAGGCAGAAAAATAAAATAGAACAAATAAAAAAACTGCCAGAAAGATGGTAGAATTTGTTGTATTTATATCAGTGATAATTTTAAATGTGAATGGTCCAAACACACCAGTTAAAAAGAGAGATTTTTAAATTGTATATAAAAGTAAGACCCAATCATATGCTGTCTTCAAGAAATCTAATTTAATATGAAGGTAAAGTAAAAGAATGGCAAGAGATATATCATACAAACACTAAGCAAAAGAAAGCTGGATTCGCTATATTAATACCAAACAATGCAGATTTCAGAAGAAAGAGTACTTAGGTGATAAAATGAGACATTATCTATTGATAAGGAGGTTAATTTTCCAAGAAGATATAAAACTGCTAACTGTAAATTTACCTAAAATAAAACTTCAAAATATATGAGACAATACCCGATAGAATTAAAGAAAAATTTTAAAATAGATATTTAAAGTAAAAAGCAAATAGATACACAAGGACTAAATAATACCATTTCTAAGCAATCTCTTCCAAATAAATAGAAGATGAGGGAACACTTCTCAATGGCTTTTATGAAGCCAGTATTACCCTTATACTAAAATCATGCAAAGCCATTATAAGAAAACTACCAGACAATATACTTCATGAACATAATACAAAAATTCACAACAAACTATTATTCAACCAAATTCTGCAATATACTAATATATACATATATTAGTATATTATGGGCTTATATATCATATATATTACATATATTATAGTTATATATATACATACATACATATATATATATATATAGAGAGAGAGAGAGAGAGAGAGAGAGAGAGAGAGAGAGAGAGGCTGGATGTGGTGGCTTACAGGCTTACACCTGTAATCCCAACACTTTAGGAGGCCAAGGCTGGAGGATTGCTTAAGGCCAGGAGTTTGAGACCAGCTTGGGCAAGATAGGAAGACCCCATTTCTAAACATATTAGCTGAGCATAGTGGCATGCACCTGTAGTCCCAGCTACTCAGGAGGATGAGGCAAGAACATCTCTACAGCCCAAGAACTTAAGGCTGCAGTGAACTGTGATTATGCCACTGCACTCCAGCCCAGGTGACAGAGACTCTGTCAAAAAAAAAAAAAAAAAAAAACCAAGAAAAAGAAAAGAAAGAAAAGTGTGCCATGAACAATTGATTGGAGGTTTTCTCAGGAATATACAGTCAATTAATGTTAAAAAAACAATGTAATTCACAATATTTACAAACAAAAGAAAAGCCATATGATTTTCTCCATAGTTGCAGAAAATTTGTTTAAAAAATTTAGTACACATTTATGATAAATACTCAGCAAATTTAGAACTGGAAGAAAGTTTCTTAACCTAATGAAGAGCATATACATAAACCTATGATGAACATCATACAGAACGGTGAGAAACTGAATAAAGGTCAGGAGCAGGAGCAAGGTAAAGTTGAACTCTCTCAACACTACAATTCAACATACTTAAAGTTCTAGGTAGTTCAGTAAGGCAAGAAAAGAAAAAAGTCATATATATAAAAAAGGAAGCCATAAAACTGTCTCTTTTTACAGACAGCATAACTGTTCATTTAGAAAATTCATAAGAAAATTAGATTTTGTTTTAGATTTTACTAAAATTTTTTTTTTATTTTACTAAGAATCTTTTAAACTGTAAGTGTCTTTAGCAAGGTTACAGAATGCAAAATAAATAAGTATATAAATGTCAATTTTATTCTTACAATGCCAGCAATGAATAATGTTTTAAATTTTAAAAAATTATAATATCACCCCCTCCAAAAAAAAATACTAAGGTACAAATCTAACAAAATATATGTCTCAAATGAAATACCAGCAGGTATTTTTGCAGATACAGAATAGCTGGTTTAAAATTTTATGGAGCAATGGGAAGGATCTAAAACAAAGAAAATAATTCTGAAAAAGATAAGTAAAATTGGAGAACTCACATTACACAATTTCAAGATGTAGTATGAAACTTTGGTAATCAAGAGAGTGTGGAACTGGTGAAAGGATAGACTCATATATCAATGGGATATTATTGGGAACTTGAAAATGGACACATATAAATATAGTTAAGTAATTTTTGACAAAAGTAAAAAGGCAACGTATGGGGAAAGGACAATCAAAAAGTTCTAGGACAATTGGACATGCATATGAAAAAAACGATACCTACTACCTTGTTTTTAAAATAACTCAAAATAAATTATAAACCTAAATGTAAAATGTAAAGCTATAAAAATTTGAAAAGAAATCATAGATGTTTGGCATGACCTTGGTTTTTGTAAAATTGTAGCTATAACACCAAAAACACAATTCATAAAAGAAGAAATTGGTAAATCAGACTCTTTTGAAATTATTTCAATTATTTTTCTCTGCAAAAGACAGAATAAGAAGACAAGACAAAATTCTGAAAAAAATATCAACTATCTGGTAAAGTAACTTGTACTCTGAATATATAAACACTTTAAAAATAAATAACAAAAACAATCAATCTGATTTTTTAAATAGGCAAAAGATCTGAAAATACACTTCACCAAAGAAGATATATAAATGAGAAATAAGTTCAAGTAAGAGAGAAATGAATGAATTAGTCCTGAGGGAAATGAATGAATTAAAAGCACAATGATATACTACTCTATATCTATTGTAATACATATGTATTAGAATGGCTAAAATTCAAACAAAAAAACTGACATGCAAAGCGCTAACAAGGATTAAGAGCAACTATAATTCTTATACAGTTGGTCCCCAAGTTATGATGGTTTGAGTTACCATTTTTCAACTTTACAGTGTGTTTTCATGGTATTAAATACATTTTTGACTTACAATATTTTTGACTTATGAGAGATTTTTGGGGATGTAACCCCACCGTAAGTCAAGAAGAATCTGAACATGCCTGGTAGAATTTGAAATAGAATAGCAACTTTAGAAAACAGCTTTGCAATTTATTTTAAAATGAAATATACATTTATCATATGACCTAGTGTTCTCATTTTTAGATATTTATGCAAGCACATTGAAAACTTATGTTTACATACAAATCTAAACATTCATGTTTATAGCAGTTTTATTCATGTTTAACAAAAACTGGATACAAGCCACATTTCCTTTAACCAGTGATTGAATACAAAAACTGTGGTGCAACCATACAATGGAATACTACTCAGCCATAAAAAGGAATAAATTATTAATTTATGCAATATAAATGCATTATAAACCTATGTTACATATTATATGATCCCATTTATATGACCTTCTGGAAATGATGAAACTGTAGACAAAAGACTTGAGTGATTACTGGGTATTTGGAGTGGGGATGCAGCATGAGGAAATATTTGGGGAGATGGAATTGTTCTGTATGATTCTGTGATCATTCTGATGACACATGACTTTATTCATTTGTCAAAACCCATAGAACTGTACACCACAAAAAACAAACATTATTGTAAAAAAAATTAAACATAAAATCAATAAAATGAGAAAGCCAAATTTGATTATAGACTATGACAAGTGAATCTAAGTGTATTATACATGTATGATATCACCACAATAAGGGGAAAAGTAAAGGAAAGAGCTGATCTAAGTAACTGTTAAACAGTGTTTTGTTGTAAGGCTAGAAACAAAAAGATCTGCATACAAACACTGTACTCTAGTTGGTCAATTTGTGTCTTGTAAGGGTGGGATACTGTTAGCAATTCTGAAACTGCTTGAGATTTATACTACAGGTGAACTTATAACAAAGTGTATTGTAGGGAAGAAATGCCAGAATGCTCAGTGTAAGAAAAGACATTACAAATAAGCAAAGGAGGAATGGCTAGAATGAACCACACAGTGATGGATTGAAGTTGGAAATATTAGTGGGGTGTGTGTGTTTGTGTGTGTGTGTGTGTGTGTGTGTGTGTGTGTGTGTATTCAGATAGATAAATACAGCTGTGTGTGTTGACACCCCAGGAGCAGCAAATCTCACTGACACCCAGATCTTGGTTTCTAATGTTATACTCCAATTAAAGGAGCCAGGACTTCCTGGAGAAATGACTGGTTCTAGGGCTAGGGCACAAAAAGTACATGCTGAATGAGTTTGGAGTATCTTGGGATACCAGAAAGTTAAAAAGTGCTCAGAAAAAGTGTGGAGAGGGATGGGCAGGAAGGTGGCTTTTCAAAAATAAGTAGTGCCTAACCTGAAAGAAAGGGCTGTCAGTAGCAAAAACTGGGACAGTTTGAACAACAAAATAAGTAATAATCCTATTGGATTATCACTTCTGCTCCAAAGAATAAAACAAATATTTATAAGTCCATACTGATATATATATATATATATATATATCTGATTGATTATATAGATAAAATATAACTCATATAGAAGGCATGAGAGAATTACAAAATTTCACTCTCTCCTAAAATATTTACTAATTACTGTGATGGTTTTTAATGTATGACACTTAAGAAAGTGAAGCTTCATTCTTTGATATACCTACCTTGAGGAAAAGGAGCTTAATCACCTCCTATTGAATGTGGGGAAACTTATTAGAAGAGTAGAGTATAGAAAGGGAAATGTAATAATGTGGCGGAGAAATCTGGCAGACACCTTCCTCAATAAATGATCAAGATTAGTATCACTAGTAATAAGACATACTGACATATTGTACCCCCAATATGCAATGAAATAAAGCATGCTACCTCTATGGTTTCTTATAGAAAATACAAAACCTCATCAGAAATCACCAGACAAATCTAAAATGAGGAATATTCTGCAAAGTACCTGGCTCTTCAAAGGAGTCAAAGTCTTAAAAGACAAGGATGGACTGAGTAACTTGCACAGATTGGAGATCAAGGAGACAAGACAACTAAATTCACTGTGGACTGAATACTGAAACTGAAAAGGAGCATAGTGGAAAAACTGATGACATCCAAACAAGATCTGTAGTTTAGTTTATAGTATTTTCCCAATGATAATGTCTTAGTTTTGATAAATGTTCCATAGCATAAGATGAATACCAGGGGCAGCTAAGAGAAGGGTATAGACAATAAGGTATGGGATATATTAAGTAATGTTGAGTAAATGGGGTCAGGATATTAAGGACATTCTCATCTGTGTGAAAATATCTAAAATCAGACAGAATAAAATTTCTCTTGAAGGCAGCAATAACACCTTACTGATTCAAATATGATACATGAAATTAATTTGTAAATACTAACACAACCTTTTTCTGAACAATTTAATACTTTTCTGGCATATAATATAAAATTATTCAAATAAGGAAGTTTATGGATCCATAAATACAAACATAGTAGTTGTGTTTTTAAAATGTCTTAGTTTTAATAAACTAAAATAAAGCTCACCAAAACCCATTATTCAATAATTACATAGATTGTCAGAAAGAGCTTTTTCTCCTTTGCAGAATAAATTAAAATAATAATTTGTTTAAAATAATCTCAATGCACACCTTAAGAAAGAATGCTTTCCTAATTTTTTTTTATTCTAGTAGGTAGGAACATAATTAGTGACTGAAGCTGTAGACACTCTTCAGATTGAAGGAATCTTCAACAGGAAGAGGGGTTAAGAAGTTAAACCACAGTAACAATGATGCATCAGTGAAAGGCATGTTCCTTTTCATTCGTATGGTTTAAACTAGAAAACCTGTCATTTGAAAGAATAGTTGTTCTTTGAGTCATGGGTGGCAATGTAAGTCACAAGCTAATCCTGACTTTTTTAGCCTGAAGCTGAAGTCCTTGATTCTCATTCTGACAATTTCCCTGCAGCATTCTGGCGTGCTCCAGTTATACATGCCATGGGGATTATCAGGCAGCAATTACAAACTTTCTTCTGTGTAGGTTCCTGATTATTAAGTTGACTGACTTATTTTAACTTTTTCCTATTGCTAGCCTATCTTTAATCTTAGTTAAGACGGAATTCACAGTAGTCAAAATTGAAAACAAAACAAGGCAGGTTTTGAACTATATTTGAAAAACATGTAGACTTGTTAAACACAAGGATTTTGGAGATTGTGAGGGTAAATAAATATGCAGACATACAGAAAGTCTAACATTGTTCTTTGCTTTTCCACAACAACTACAATGTTGCAATGAATAGACAGCAACTTAGTGGAGGCATGGGAAGACTTGTTGGAGGAGGATGGAGTCAAAGTGAAGTAATTTAGATTAGGTTCAAATATATTTGAAACTCTGCCTAAGTACCTGGAGACCCAGAGTAAAGGGTGCATAATTAGGTTCATTATATGGCCAAATGCAAACATGATAGAGCGAGAGCGTGTAATCGGGCCAATATCACTGTTGAGATACTAGCCAAAGTCAGCTTGCGTTCTGGGATTTACTCTTGTCTTCTTGGGAAATGTTTGCGAGCTGAAATATACCTCAGAGGAAAAGTACTTTGAAGTTGGGACCCTATGTCCTCTGCTCAGGCCACCTGCCAAGTTCAGTGCTTCGACCTCCTCTTCCGAGTTCTGTGGCTTTCCCAGCGCCTAGCTGCCTGCCTAGTGCAGGCCCAACGGTGTGGCTTGGCTCCACCTGAGACAGCTTACCTAACCCTGCCATGGAAACCAAATGCCTGGAACTCCACCAGGCCATACCCTCGGTGGCCTCTCCGTGAATCCCACGTGTTGCTTGGATCCCCCCACCCCAGCTTTTGCCCATGGTTCTGATTTTCAGGCAGGTCTCCGTATGTCTGTCTCTACAACCAGGCGGTAGGCACTGCGTTCACCTAACTGTGTCCCCAGAAAGAAAAGTAAACAAATATGGCAACTAGCTTGGGAGTATTTGTTGCCAACAAATAAACAATCAGATAGGGATAGGTTTCTGCTAATTATGGAGACAATTACAGTACATTAATGTTACAGAGAGTGGCTGGGTTTCTATTCAGATGGTGTGGGGAAAACATCTTTGAGGAAATGACTTTTAATCTGACAGATTAAGAATGGGCTTGCCGGCCGGGCGCGGTGGCTCACGCCTGTAATCCCAGCACTTTGCGGGGCCGAGGCGGGCGGATCACGAGGTCAGGAGAACGAGACCATCCTGGCTAACACAGTGAAACCCCGTCTCTACTAAAAAAAATACAAAAAATCAGCCGGGCGTGGTGGCAGGCACCTGTAGTCCCAGCTACTCAGGAGGCTGAGGCAGGAGAATGGCGTGAACCCGGGAGGCGGAACTTGTAGTGAGCAGAGATCGCGCCGATGCACTCCAGCTTGGGCGACAGGGCGAGACTCCGTCTCAAAAAAAAAAAAAAAAGAATGAGCTTACCCTGGAGGATCCTTCCAGGCAGGGAAGAAAGCGAGTACAAAGGCCCCTAGTAGTGAAAATTGGTGGCAAGCTTGAGAAACACAAGAAGGCTGGAATGTCTGGCAGGGGATAGAGAACTCAGAGACGTGGATGGAGAGATAGACAGGGAAAATATCCTAGGAGGCTTTGGAGGCCAGGGTGAGGAATTCTCAGCACAAGAGAAAGCTGTGTGAGTTTTAACATGGGCACAACCTAATTTTATTTTATTTTAAATGACCGCTCTGGATTTTAGGGGACACGACATTGGGTTCTAAAAGACAAATTTAAAGGGAGCGATGCGGCATGGACTCTTCTGAGAGGGGCAAAAGTTTGTTGGTGGAAATCCTCTTTTTTCTAACCTTACACAGGTGACCAGGACCCCTCTGACTGGCCCATTCCTTCTTTAGATCTATTAATGTCTTTTATCAGAGTAAAGTCAGATCTTACTGGGCTCCTTTTAAATATCTGTATTTGAAAATATCTGCTTTGATTCCTCATATCTTGATTTGTGGTTTAACTCTCAGAGAGCAAATTTATTTTCTAATTTTCAGAAGGCACCTCTGTTACACCCTCTCCACATACTGCATATATGATCAACTCCAAGTATGAATGAACTTGCTAAACAAATTTTAAGAAAGAATTCCTTTAATATATTTGTGGAAGTAGAGGAGTTAGAGATATTAAAAGAAAAAAAATAAACCTTTCCAGGTTCTTTCCACCGAAGTCTACAAAATACAATTAATAACATTTAATTATAACAGTCTAAGAGCTATTGGAGACTTCAGAGCTGTTAAAATAAATTTATGTAAAAACTTTCACACAAGACCCAGAACCTTTAAGTTGATCATCACTTCCTACTTCACTCAGTCCTCTTCTATCTAGATGCAGAAGTCTCCTCTACAATGTTTTATTAAGTTCTTGTATGTCTCTTATTGCCAGTCTCTAATGAGGAAGACAGATCTATATCCAATTAGAATACCACCAAATGATTTTGTGATAATTAGAAAAAAAAATGTATCCCTTTGTCAAAACACTTTATTTCCACATGTCAGAATATTGTTGTAATAGATGGATATTTTTTGGAACAAAACACTTTACTGCCATCTGCCTGAAGTTTGTTTAAATAAATATCCAGCAAAAATGGTGCTCCTTGAACTACACATATCACAAACAAGAACCCACAGCAGTCCTGGTTGGCACTCTGTAGAAACAGGATCTCCAATGATGAAGGAAGAGAGGAAAGGAGGGGGAGAAGGAGAAACTCTGGTTGATAGGTCAAGGAGTATGCAGAGCTGTCTAACGTTCCCTCAGTAGGAGCAAAACATCTTCAGTCCTTAAGATCACGTATATTCATAGCACTTCTTTGTGGCAGGTAAAAGAACAAAATCTCATTTTGCAAAGAGGAACAGCAGACTTGGTGATATCCACTGGGTTTTGTAATATTACAGAGTTCAAGCCAGAATCCAGATGTTCTGACACTCTATCACGTACTTTCTCGCTAGGCTATGCTGTTTTCTAACTTTCTCATTCCTTTATAGTCTCAGAGTTAATGTTTTTCAAAATAAACACCAATTATCCCAACATAGATTCTTAACACTTAAGGCTGTGTCATTTTATAGTAGGAAAGTCAGAATACTTAGCGTTTTTCAGTCCATCAAGGCCAGTACCATTTCTATCTCATAGTAACTCAAGACTCTTGAAATTAATGAATTGTTGTTCCCTTCGTAGCCAGTTTACTGGTGCCTGCAGTCTCTTGTCACCATTGTCCTTGTGCTCACAGTATCCTTTATAGGGAAGAAAATAATGAAGAGAAAGCCTTGAAATACTTTTAGGTAAAGAGTTAAACATAGGCAGTTCTCAGAAGTTACATGCTAGGTTTCTAGAATAACAGCAGCAAAATAGCAGTAGAAAGGAGTTTGAAAAGAAAGCATCAGTAGAATCTACTGCCATTTAATAACGAACTAAAATATACTGGCTCTCCCACTTTTCAATATACTTAAAGCAGACAGGGTTCCCATCTGGTCATGGGACTGTCATGATTTACAAACTCCCATGAAGAGGGATAACTCTAGGACGTATCTGTGAATAGACCAAAAAGAGATGCAGATCGCTGAAGAGGAACTAAAGGATGACTGTCTGCTTGCTTGTTTATTCATTTTCTGGATTGTTTATCATTTTGGATCATCTCAATTCCAAGACAACTGAATATTTAAAATTGCCATTCACCAATAAGCAACTTCCATTTACACCTACTTAAAGTTGTAATTCATAAATGAGGGAAAACATTGTAGTTTCATAAGCCTGCTACACTATTCCAAAAATCTTGGAATATTCAAATATTATTTTCTACTCTAACTTTTCTACAGGTATAATTAACTATTCTTATATTTATCTTACTTTTTATTCTGGTTATAACTCTTACTTTAAAAAAATAAAACACAACACTTGCTATTTTGCCCTCTCCCAGCACTTTCTCTCTGTCTCTCTCTCTCTCTCTCTGTCTCTCTCTCTCTCTCTCCACCTGCTATTCTTCTCTCACACACATAAGAACAAATACACACTTAGCTGAATATCACAAGGGGAAACATGTCTGCAAAGTTTCAACACATAGACATAGGTTGTGGCATAGTGTCAACACCAGCTCCTGTGCTCTTTTTTTTTTAATAATTTGCTATAAAACTATAGATTCACATGTCTCTGTCACCTTCCTTTTCTATATTTCTATACAGAGCTTACCCCTCATTTTCTCATTATTTCATACTGGAAATTTCTGTTCTTGAATATTTGGGGTTTAGACAAACATAATGTCACTCAAAATAGCTATTCTCTTGTTTTCTTTTGATTATTCAGGATTGTTAATTTTATACCTAATGTTAAAAACTTTCCATGAAACATTTAATGAGGATATTTTATGGTTTAATTTCAAAAATTATTGCATGCCTGTGTTCAAGAGAAGTATATTGACCCTGGCCAATGTAAACGACCCAGTTGTTTTTACATTTTCCAGAGTGACAAGATTATTTCCTGTGATGAGAGTAGGAGTAGAGGTGATGATGCTTTGTTCATTTTTGTTCATTTGCTGCATTGTATTAGATTGTAAGACACTGGAGATCATGTAATTCAAAATGTAAACAAAATGGATGTTTGTTGGGTGGTTAGTCAATGAGAGGCTGAAAGTTGGTTTTGTCACAGATCACTGGCTTCTCTCATTTCTTTTTGAAGGTGTGTGTGAAATTTTAAGAGTAATTAAACTACATTATGCAAGTCAACTATCTTGGCCATGGCAGGTTAGAAAGTGAAATAATTTCATAACTTGTTTGATAATTAGTAAGCCTGAAGATGTATCTTATTTGGTCACTAAATCAGGAGTATTAACTTACCATGATTGGATTATCTAAATGCACAATATGTGCCATAGTAGAGATTGCTTTGAAGATAAACACACAAACATAAGAATACAAAAATTCTGAAATTTAAAGCCTTATGAAGTTTCACTAATGTTAGACAAAATGTAAAATGTCAAAGAGATTGTGTAAGTATGTACTTAAAAATTCTTTACCAAGAGAATGATTGGATTACAGTTGAATATGAATATAAAGACTTCTCAATTAAGTGAATTTGTTGATACACAATGGTACCGTAATACTAATACTTCAATTTGTTTAGCTTTTTTAAGTTTTAAAAGTACTTTCACATCTATTATATCATTTTATATGTAATTTTATTCAACATAAAATTGCCATTGTAGTGATTGTTAAACTGCAAATAATTTAAAGAAACAATCTGTATAGGTGCATTACAATTAGTACATTTAAAGTTCTTTAGTATATGCAACGCTGGAATGCTTGTATTAAAACTGATTTCTCAGAAATTAGTCTACTTCACACATAGACACACAAAAAAGTATTATAATTCAGGCTCTACTTCAGTAAAGTGGACAATTGAAGAAATTATCCGGGTAAAAAAATTGAAAAAATAATTTGAACCTATGATATTTACCCTCAAAATTTGTAATGAACTAGCCAGTTGAATTGTCACTATCCAGACCAAAAAAAAAAATTGGTTGGCATGTTTTGGTTTCTAAATAGTGTCAGGCAATATACCAGATCAATTAAATCACAATTTCATGGATTGGAATCAACCACATTATATTTTGAAGGTATCCAGGTGATTCCAATCAAGGCTGAGAACTGTGATGTGATCTGGTGATGTAACAGTATTCATATCATCTGTTTTAGTGTAAAACTATCACAGTTACAGAATATTACACATATATTAATATTGTATTCAAAATATACTCTATATCTAACAATTCTCTATTTTTTAAATCTAAAATATTACTTGTGTGAATACATAACATTACATAGTATAGTGATGCTACAGCACAACAGAAATACAAAGTTTATAACCCACTATTCCTAACTATTAAAAGTTCACAATAGATACCGAATTTTGGAGGATTATTTAAGTGGTAATGTCTTACAAAACAAAAAGAAGCAGCTACACATACAAATGATGTGAAATGCCTAAATTTGAAAAAATAAAGACAAAATTAATTTACACGTGTTTTAATTTTTTAATATATTTTTGATTGTTACTAAATACAAACATTAACATCTGTGGGAAAAATATATCTGTTTTCAATTATCTGGAGTTTGAGTTTTAATATGTAATAGTAACAAGCAGTGATTGTACATTTCTTTTTAAAATGACTACCTCATCCCTGATTTCTTTCATCCTCATTTTTGACCTGAGTCACATATTTTACTCTGTCCTTTATGCAGAGTCATAAACTCTAAAAGAACAGTGTGTTACTGGCGATCATTGGATCAGCAAAAGCAGACTCCAGTGATGCTTGTCTTACTGAGATACATGACCTCAGCATCTCTGTGAGCCAATGAAAACATTAAAAGACTGACTTCTACAATCTTCCAGGAGTCAGTGTGAACACCATGGCGTTCCATCACCTGCCAAACGTTTAACAGCAGCAGCAGATTATGGCCCACAAACTGTTGACTGGTACATTAAATTTTAGAGCTATTATGCTTTAGGCATGGATGTATATTTTTATTACAAACTATATTAACAATGACATTTAATCATATCTTCATTAACTTTCTAGCTCAGCTTCCAGGAATAAATGCCATCAGCTTTCATGTATTTTGAATATAATTGATTATTGATACCATTATCAAAACAAATTGTGGCCAAAGGAAGTCAATCAGATGCACCTAATAAAGTTAAATGCACTAAAACATGAATATCCCAGATGGCTGAATCCTTGAACAGATAATTAAGGTACACTCTTATTTCATTTTTCATAAGAATAATCTATTCTGGACATCAGCCAGAAAACAAGGTAGGAGAGTTTTTTTCCCCATTGCTAAGAGAGAAGACTGTTTATTCACTGTGATTAGCCAAACAATTTATATGATTACTCCCATAAATATAATCATTTTGAAAAATTAATGAGAATGTTACATCTAGTCCAACAGAAGAGGCAGAATCATCTTTATGAAGTGTCTTCTATTTAAGGGATAATAGGTAAATAGTCGTATAGCACATCACATAAATGCTAAATTCAAAAAGTTATTTTATGTTTTTAATATATAATTTGTAAAGACAGTTTCGTATATATTTCTGAGGGAAAGGTTGCATTTTAAAGTCTAAAGTAAATTAAATGCAAGAAAAGAAAATGGATGCTAAAATTTGTTTACACATAATTGGTGGATTCTTATTGATTACATTTATAACACTAAAAAATATACTTTCTTGCAGAGAACATGAACAACCAAGAATTTAGACTTTGTTCTCAGGGGTGGGAGAAATCTTTGGATCCAGTTACAAGCTGATTATCTGAAACAGTTAAAAAAAAAAAGTTAGTGACAAATACGGGTGCATCCTAATTGAATTGTCCACTTCATTTTGCCCATTCTGCAGTGTAAGCAATAGGCTAAATCCTGTTTTTAGCTATGCAGGATAAAAGTCTATTTGAAGTTGTAGTCTATAGCTGGCTTTTCACAGTAAATTGACCTTGTTCAGCACAGCCGATGTCCTAATGCTCTGCTTTATCTAGGCTGAGAGAAAAAAAATCACAAATTGCTTCTGCATGATTAGTTCTGCCACTTCAAACGTGTTTCTTCCGAGTTTGCTTCTATACTTACTGCTAAAGATACGTGCCACTGGGAAATGCTGATTCAACTCTGAACTTCTTCAATTAAATAACCCTTTAATTGCCAGTTCATGAAATTGTAACCTTTAGAAAATGTGACATAAAAGCATGTTCCATATGTTAGAAATATAAAACGTCTTTAAAAGATGAGCTATATCTTATACAATATATCAAAATCAAATTTAATGCAAAATTAGTTGATGTTATAAAAATAATTGAAAGTTGAATTTGAGAAGTTGGAAAATACATTTAATCACTATAAAAGATACACAGAACTTTTTTTCTGAAATATCTAGACTACTCTAAATATTACAATAACACACTGGAAATGTACTTTTCTTTACATGTAAAAGTTTGCATTCTGTTTTAGGAACTGTTACATTTGAGTTTGAAAGCATATGAATACAACTTAATTTTTACTTAGTCAAGAAAAAAACCATTGCATGACCCATTGTTATAAAAATATTAAGAAGCAGTAATTCCCAAATATATAATTAACTGTACATTTTACCAAAATAAAACCTAATGATTTACATACCCAACTAGAATAGAGACACGGTTTTCTAAATAAATAGGATGCCAATGAAATATGGCCCAAAAATATGTTTTCTTCCTGCTCCTGACTTCTTTTACCACTCAGTGTAGACTTCTAAAGCCATTGATTTATTAACTTTACATGTCATCAAAATCAAGTATAGTGACTTTGATAATAAAAAGGAATTGTGTCAAATATTACCAATCCAGGAAAATATAGTTAGGATTGAATTTACTGATAATACCCCAAAAAGAAATGATAACTAAAGAAATTACTTTTACTTTGAGTTCATGGATTCATTTTCTACTATCAAAACTGCACAATCATAAAAGCGTTCAAGACAATGAAAATATAGCAAGTGAACATTGGAATTAGTGAAAAAATAGGGTTGTTTTGTTTTTTGTTCAATCGTTTGTTTAGATTGTCAAATGCTGTAGTTCTAAACTATCTTAAGGTCAGATACTTGTAAAGAATAGAAAACTCTTGGCTGGGCGTGGTGGCTCACGCCTGTAATCCCAGCACTTTGGGAGGCTGAGGTGGGCGCATCACCAGGTCAGAAGATCGAGACCATCCTGGCTAACACGGTGAAACCCCGTCTCTACTAAAAATACAAAAAATTAGCCAGGCGTGGTGGCGGGTGCCTGTAGTCCCAGCTACTCGGGAGGCTGAGGCAGGAGAACGGCGTGAATCTGGGAGGCGGAGTTTGCAGTGAGCCAAGATCGCACCACTGCACTCCAGCCTGGGCGATAGAGCGAGACTCCAACTCAAAAAAAGAAAAAAGAATAGAAAACCCTTGGTAACATCACTTTGAGTCAGTTTTGAAATTTTAGATACTATATTATATATCTAAATTGAAATATGAACTCGATAGCAAACTAAAATAATTATTCAAATAATTGAGATTAACTCCCCAAATGTTCAAGTTAGTCACTAGAACCTATCATCTGTGCTTTTACTGCATTTGTTTTGTGCTACTGCTGAGAAAAGTATAATAGGTAATTGAAAAATATGATTTGTTGAGTGTTTATAAGAAAGGAGAATAAGTGAGGAACACAAAATTCATGGGGCCGATTTGTGCTAAAGCTATTGGATACAGATAAGAGTGACCCAAAGTAGATAGATGGACTTAAAGGTGAAGAGAGAACTAGAAATGTGTTACCTGACAAATAATTCTGCATATCAAAAGATTTTACTAACCAGCCTGACACATAAATGGCACATGCTGTCAACTTCCATTAATCTCTTTACAAATGATGACAGCACCAAGAAAGAAAGAATTGAATATTTTTATGAAGTTATAGGCATTTTTCTGGATCAGAAATATATATAAATTTCTAACTAATAAAAGTTTGTGATTTACTTCCAATCTAATTTAACAATATGAAAGTATTACATCTTAAGCATAAGAGTGTTTCATTATGTGATATCATGTTAACTTTTTCTGGGAAACAGCTTAAATCAGTCATAGACATTTTATGCATTTGAATCCTGGAATTCCAATATGTTTTACCTGTGGTAATCAGGTAAGTCATAAAACAAAATTGTAATTTTAAAAAATGGTATTATTGTCCAAAACTGCAATTACTTTTGCACCAGCCTAACAAATAAATGTAAAGTCTGGAATGAATTTATTGAATTATTTTTAAAAATACACATTAATATATGTGGCAGGTTTTAAAATATTTTCTCCTAAACAAAGAATACCACATTGATACAGGAGTACTGCCAGCTTGATGAAACACAGTAACACCAGTCAATTATCTGTTTTGTAAGGAGATTTTCCACAGAAAATTAGATAACATTTACATCAATAAGTTGGTATTCACAAAGGCAACTTACAGTAAAATATAAATGTAATTTCTTTAATTTCTACAAAATATTTTAATTATTTTATTACACTTGATAATATCCCTATGGGATACACTGAAGCAAATACTAACTTCCTGTTCCCCAAAAAAATTGTTAGCAAAGACAATGTTAAAATCATGATTGTAAATTGTATCTGCTATATGCATAACCAGCCTCTGAACTGTGAATCCCATGTCTCCATTCATTGCTTTGGCCCATTTTCCTTAAAACCACAAAGTAAGGTATGTAAAGGTCAGAAGGAGGATTAGATCTCTACATGCTTGAACATTCCCAACTTAAGAAAGAAAAAATAAAATGCCTTAGAATCCTGGACTCAGGCCACCAAAGTAGCATTATGCCCTCGAGAAAAATCAATTTGCAGCTTGGTGTTATGAAGAGACTTACTGAATATCAATTGGGTGGGTTATGTTCAACTGAAAAGCATCTTCCAAGCTAGCTATCCATTCCATTTGGTTCATACTCAATTGCCAATTTCCCCCTTCTCTTCTATGCTACCTACTCTCTACCCATGAACATAATAGGTACTCCCTTCCCCACCCTACCCCACCTTCAAATAAAAGAAAGGAAAAGGAAGAAACAAAGTAAGTTAAAATTAAATTAATTTGACTTAGCTACTGCTAGAGTTACTATTTCATACACTTCTTTCATTTTCTGCCAAATTTCTTGAAATGTGCTTTATGTTTACTGCCTCATCTGTTTCTTCTTAATCACTCATTGCCTAACTCCTCCCCCTACCATTCTAGTGTAATTTTGTACTACATGGTTACTAAATCAAATGGGACAATCAATTGGTGATGTTTTGTTTTGTTTTTTCTCACCTCATTCAGGTTGAGCTTTAATTCCTTTCACTGGGATTCATCACTTCCTTATAAAATTTCATTTTCTTGGTTGTTCAGTAGAAGAGTGACAAGAGGACACCACTGCTATTCTCCAGGTTAGTCAAACCAAACAGACCCTTATATTCTATCAGCTTTGATGTTTGTGACAGGACACTGGTCCAATTCAACAGTTGGCTCTGTAGCTTCTCCATAGTTGTCTAAACAAATCTGCAGGGACTTTTCCACTTGGGTATTAAATTTTGACCCCACACACAGTATATCTAAAATTAAAATTCCCCTACATTTCTCTATGTCTGTAATAGCACTGAGATGATGCTATCAACCATTCTTAAGCTTTGAGTCATTTATTCTTTTTCCTGCATCCAAGTACTGACTGTAACACTCCCATTGTCAGCAAGTGTTCTCAGCCTTCTTCAAGTCCAGGGCAATATTTCCAAATGCAACCTGCAGCCCTCTGTCTGAATGCCTATCAATACATCAATCTTAAAAATGTAAAAGCAAACCAAGAGTTTATGCTTCCTCCTTTCCTCACTTAGTATTAATGATGTGGCCTTTCTCCCAATTACCAAGGTTCAAGCCTGCAAATCACCACACTGCATTATTCTGAGTAAGTTGTTAATAATTCTTAATCTGTTTCCTCACCTTCATGCATCCATTTATAAACACCTTTATGCCTTCCATTGGTTAGGCAAAGTTCAACCACAAATTGAAGAAGCAATGGGTCTCTCTTTAATTAATTACCTAACTGGGGCTCTAAATACATAAATAACATGGTGGTAATTCAGATAATGTGAGATCACTAACTTGGGGACTGAATAGATGAGACTATCAACAAAGAAAGACAGCTTTCTTTTGTCTTTTTTTTTTCTATAGATTTTAGAGAAGAACAATTGAACTTTTTTTTTTAACACAATGAAGATAACACCAACATATCTTGAACTTGGCAGATGGAACTAGGCTACTGATACTCTTCTAGTAAGGTAAGGTAAAATATGGGTGTGGAAGATAGTTTGAAAGAGAAAATATAATAGTGTTAGAAAAGAAGAATGTAGAGTGCTGATATTTAAGAAGCAGGAAGAGGAGAGAAATTAGTGAATGGATATGAAAGAAGGGATGTTAAAAACTTTTCCAAGCTGAGAAAATATCCTTTTATTCTCTTTCTACCATGTCCTCTTCAGGTTTTTTTTTTTGTTTGTTTGTTTGTTTTGAGATGGAGTCTGTCTCTGTCACTTAAGCTGGAGATCTCGGCTCACCGCAACCTCTGCCTCCCGGATTCAAGCAATTCTCCTGCCTCAGCTTCCTGAATACCTGGGATTATAGGCATGCACCACCATGCCTGGATAATTTTTGTGTTTTCAGTAGAGACGGGGTTTCGCATGTTGGCCAAGCTAGTTTCAAACTTCTGACCTCAAGTGACCTCAGCTTCCCAAAGTGCTGGGATTATAGACCTGAGCCACCGCGCCCAGCCCTCTTCAGGTTTTTTAATGCTCTGTTAAGCCATTAACATATTTTATTTTACATGTTGATTTTCTTGTCTCTCTCCTTTCATAGACCATCAGTTTTTTGAGGACAAAAACTGTGTTTGGTTCTTCTCTCTCTCCTTAGAGCCTAGCGAATTGCCTGTAATATAAAACATGCCCAAAAATTTTACAGGCTTAATTAATAAATGACAGTGTTATGAAAGAATTCAGAAAAGAAAAAATATTGGAGAAAGATGCCTTGACAACATGGAAGAAAGGAGGGAAAATGAAATCAGAACATTTGATTTGAAAACTCAACTTGAAGGTTATTGATGATGATAGTAAGAATAGTTAGTAGAGTGTTGAGAATAAAGCCAGATTTCAAGAGGTTGAAACATCAAACACAATTTTATAGTAGGTCGTACGGGGAGACCACTCTGGAGATAGATTTCAGAGTATGTAAGAAAGGAGTCAGAGTGGCAGACAGGAAAGGAAAAATTACTTGCATTCCAATCATATGGCTAGAGAATCCTCCAGCAGAAAGTCTACTCTAAACTGGGTTGAGTCTGCATTTAGCAAAAGGCAGCAGATTTAAGTGGAGACAATGCTGAGCTCATGAGATAAAGAGCAAGATGAGGCTATAAATGGCAAATAGAGCATGTGATGAGAACTGGGAAAGATGTGGAGAAGTTTAGGAAGCATTTTGTGAGGAGAAATAAGACAGACAAGCGGTTTAGGAAAAGGCTGCCATTTTCCAGCACTGAGTCAGAGGTGGTAACTTTAAGTAACTATAGAAGTCTTCGGGAATCCACATCAAGGAAAGATCTGTTTTCTTCTTAGGAAGGAGTGGCTGAAGCTTTG
Source organism: Homo sapiens (assembly GCF_000001405.40). Classification (NCBI taxonomy): domain Eukaryota; kingdom Metazoa; phylum Chordata; class Mammalia; order Primates; family Hominidae; genus Homo; species Homo sapiens. Next base: position 51,482,527 of record NC_000005.10, on the reverse strand, counting down.
GGTATTTTTGTTTGTTTGTTTCCCATTTTGTTTTATAATTTTTTTTTATTTTACTTTAAGTTCTGGGATACATGTGCCGAACATGCAGTTTTGTTACATAGGTATACATGTGCCATGGTGGTTTGCTGCACCCATCAACCTGTCATGTAGGTTGTAAGCCCTGCATGTATTAGGTCTTTGTCCTAATGCTGTCCCTCCCCTTGCCCCCCATGCCCGGACAGGCCCCGGTGTGTGATGTTGCTCTCCCTGTGTCCATGTGTTCTCATTGTTCAACTCCCACTTTGCAGGGGCATGAATGAAGCTGGAAACCATCATCCTCATCAAAGTAGCACAGGAACAGAAAACCAAACACCGCTTTGGGTATATTTTTTAAGCAGCAACAAGAGATTCAATCACAAATGAGTGGGAGATGATGATTCCAAAGATAAAAGATAACCTAATGTTCAAACTCCCAGAAAGGGGTGAAATTCTGGGAGAATTAACTTTGTGAAGGAGGGGACAAAGGGGAGCAATATTTTGTTCTGAGTAGGATGAGATACTATTAACTTGGGAAAAGAAGTGAACAAGCATGGTTGTAAGACAGGGAATGCAAGATTTTTCTGTTAAATTAGGAATTGATAATGAAAAAGATAGAAAAAGAATTGACGATTTGAGAAAAGAAGATACAGTTTAAAATGACTTCTGCAGGTATATGGAAACTTGAATAAAAAATAAATGAGATAAATTAGTTTTTTAAATTAAGATTACTCTACAGTATCAAGGGTCCAACTTAGATCACACATTTACATTGAACTTAATCCACTTCTGTAATTTTCTCCAACTCTATCCAAATTGCTTGTGAGCGGAATTAGAGAAAATTGATCATTTGGTTGAGCTAGGTTTGGGGAATTAACTGACAAACTGAAATAAATGTGTCAGTTTGCTCGGGTTAGGAAATGGAAAATGATAAGGAAGATAGAGGTGAAATAACTGAGCATGGCATCCATTATAGTTTGCATATGAAGTGAAACAAGAAACGGACTTATAAAATCAAATTGGATTAAGAAACTGATGTTAAGTGTGAGGTCAAAAGCAATGTTTAGTAAACATGAGAGACAGAGAATGGTAGCAAGCTGTAGTGTCAAGAAAATTTCAAAATATTACAGATATCGAATACTTTGGGATGCTGATAAAGTCCATAAATTAAAAAGGAAAGTGGAATAATGAAAAGGAATTTGTAGAACAATCTCTTGAAAACATTGAAAGGCAGCCAAGAGAATCCTCATCCTGCCTGCTCTCTCAGGCTACAGAATAAAGGGTGAATGTTACCATTCTGGAATCAGACACAGCTAGGTTCAAATCATGACTGTTTCTCCTTATGTAGGTAACCATAGGCAAACTAGTTTTCTGTGCCTCACTTTTCTTATCTGTAAAACAGGAATGTGCCTGCTTCCTAAGTTTGCTGGGAAGATTACATGAGATAAAAGAGTTTAGTACAGTGTAAGCTGAGAGCAGGTGGTTCAGTTGGACTCTGGAGAAGCACTGCTTGTGTTTGAATCCCAGCTGTGCCACTTACTGGTTTTACAACCTTAGGCAAATATTAACCTCTCTATGCTTCAGTTTTCTTGCATGAAAATTGGGATAATAATAGTAACTAACTCATATGGTGGTTGTGAAGATTAAGTGAACCACATGAAATTGCTGCTCTTCAATCATTTTTGACCTGTAAGAATAGCAATTTTATGTAGTTCAACCTAATAATACATGCACATTGTTTAAGATAGAGCATGGCACATAGGAAGTCATCAACAAAAGTTATCATGAAAGGATAGCTACTACTACTATTACTACTAGTACTTGTACAACTAATAAAATAAAAATTCTTAATGTGGCAGAGTCATAAGAGTTTCAGAATTAACAATGAGAAGACAGATCTCAATTAAGGCAAGGCAGTGAAGAGAATATAATAAAAACCACCAGGAACCACATAAACACATTCCATTAAATTCTTTGTCAATACAATAATGTTCTACAATTCACACAGCCTGCCACTTTGTCTTGTTCAACTCAACATCCCTGCCTGCCTGGGTAACTGTAACTTTCCCCCAGTTTAATTATCTCCCTTCAGTTTGTTTTCTGTAATCCCTGTCACATAATTCTCTCAAATTTATCTTTCTAAAAGGCCAATTTTTGTGTCCCCTTTTATCCTTAGAAAAATGAATAAAATTCATGCTCCTCATGTTTGTCTTCAAGAGCTGACGTGATTTGGCCCAAAATTAGCCCCAAAGCCTGTATTCCCCATATACACCACCCAAGCCTACTGCTTCAGTTAAACCAGGCTACTCGTAGCTTTGCAAATATGATGTACATTCCCACCTTGTCCCCATCTGACTGAAATATATTTCCAGGCTCTTGGTTAGTGCCTATTCATAACCTCAAATTCCATTTCAATTTCCCATTGACTAGTAGACTATTGAAATTTCAGTTCCCCATTTTACTCATATCTCTCTCACATCTGAGCTGCCCAAGTGCTGTGCAAAGATCTGTAACACTACTTTCATTTGTATTTGTGTGTGTAGGTGTGTATTCTATTTTCTCATGAGTCTTCAGGCACCCTTAAAACAGAAAGCATATTTGAAACCTCTTTGTATTCCTCATTGAACAACCACAGTTGACTTGTATTACATTATTATAACATTTATAGATGTTTACAACAATTTTAGAGTGACAAATATTGGGAGAACTGAAAACTAAGAAGATAAATTTTTGATACTCCCATAAGTGAAATACATATTCTCAATTCAGATGTGAAAATTGTTCATACAGCAAAATTTAGAAGAAAACAAAGAAAAGTTTACTTCCTACCATTCTTAGATCTACACTAGTGTAAAGCCTGTTAGATTGTCCTTACAGATAGACGAGAATCCAAAGAACAGAATCCAAAGGACCTTAATAAATTCTATTACCTAGAGTATAAATAAATTTTATTATTTCGAATGTAAATAGAAGCTTATATTCTATTACTTAGAATATAAATAAATTATTTAAAATATGGATAGAACCTTATATTCTATTATTACTTAGAATATAAGGCTACGCGTCTATAATTGACTGTGGAGGAAACATCTTAGAAAGCATGTAGATTTTTTTCTAATGAGCCCTGTGGTTAAGTTTGGAAATACTTTAGCTATATGCAAAATCAATGGGAAATTACCTCACTGGAATTTTTTAAAATTTATATGACTACAACTTTAAGAATGATTCCTAAAATTTCAAGATAAATAAAATTTTATTGCTTAAATCTTCTATTTTGAAAATGGGGCCCACTAAGATTAAGTCTCAAGTTCAAAGTTAAGGCATAGACTTCCAACTCTTTATTCTATAATAGTAATTTTGTAAGTCTAAAAATTGGTGAATTACTACATAAGCATTGTGTGTTCACATATAAAGTGAAAAAATAGCAAAGGAGTTTTAAAAAAAATTTAATGAGATCACTCTCTTCCTCTCCCTTGTAACTCAACTCATACATAGGTGATTGCATAGTGTACCATATACTTGTCTGCATATATTGGTAGAAGATATGTTAAGCTGCTATAACAAAGATTCTCCAATAAAATAGTTTAAATTAAATAGATAATTTTCCCTTTTATTCCAGTTTGAGTAGTCCAGGCTGGAGCAGTGATTGTGCTACAAGTCATCACTCAGAGGTCCAAATTCCTCCCATGTTCATGCTCTGTTATCTCATAGGGTGTTTTCTCCCTTTGCATATTTGGACCTAACTCACAATCAAGTTAGTGTTCCAGTTCATGATGAGGGAAAAGAGTGGAAACCCAGGGCTGGCAGATTGTCTTCAGTTGGAAATCACAAAATTTGCAGACATCTCTTCTGATGATATCAGAATGGTCCAAACTTAGTGATATGATCAAAATTAGCTGCAAGAAAAATTGAAAATGGAAACTATCTGAGCAATCATGTGCTCCACTTATACTTGGATGATTCTAGTAATAAAAAAAAGGATGGAAAAAGAAAAACCAAGGAACAATTGATAGGTTTTACCACAGGTGTTTACACACATGTATTCATTTGTTTGTTAATTTATTCACTCGACAATTCCACAAATAATCAATGAGCATCATATACACGGTAGATACTGCCTGTGATGCAAACTTGTCCCAGCCATGAAACTGCTTATAGTGTAATGGAAAAAATATGAAAATGTAATGAGTCTATGATGACGGTAGTCATAATTGGTAAGAGAATATTAGGTCCAAACTTTAGTCCACAGAGGATTCTTGATGCCTGCAACACTATATGTATTCATTTATCTCCTGTCTACAAATATTCACATAAAAATTAAGTAAAGTGATTTTACTTACCCAAATAAGAGCTTATTACAAGATATTTGTATTTGTAACCAAATCCGGTTGGAAACATTCTAGGAAGAAGTCTTAATTCATAAATATTTTGAGAAACTCTTTAGTTTTTGTCTTAAATATTTGTCATAAATATTTATTTATTTGTCTTAAATATTTAGTACTATTGATGCAGGGTCTCATATATACCACTTCAAAATGACATTTGTAGTCCCTTCCCCTATACTGTCTTTAGGTAAGAGTTAAACACAGTAGAAGGGAGTGTCTCTTCTCCATTCCCATATTCTTCAGGGTTGTGTTCTGAAATGTGGGATACTCAACTCAGTGCCAACCTAAACTATTGCTGTGAGTTGTAAAGTAAGTAAGACAAGTCCCCAGTTGTACATTTCACCCTAAAATAATTCATTTTCTCCAAACATTGTGATCACTATCTGCCATCACCCCTCAATCAAAAAGAAGACTTGCCTATTTCTTTCACTATCTTTTTTTTTTTTTTTGGTCTCTTTAGATTCCAAAATGACTTAAATGTTTTCCAAAAGCAATCAAACTGGCAAAGAATTCTTCAGAAATGAAGGCATAATTCTTCCGTCAGCATGCTCCCCAAATCATTGAAAATACCGATGACTCTATGGCACAGCACAGAGCATTGCAACTATCTTTAAAGGGCAAAGCTTCTCACTCTCACTCATTCCCACCACCACCTTCTTGAAGAAACAGAAGCTGAAAGTTTCAAATATTGTTATTTTTCTCACCCACCTCCCAAAATAAGCACATCGTTGTGCATCAGGTTATAGAAAGCCTCATATCCTCAAAATGAAATAGACAGGAAATCTCTTGATTCTCCCATGAGGACACATCAGAATCAAGCACAATATAAAGAGCTTGGGTTGCTACTTGTGATGTTGATCATCAGGTTAGTGCAGTAAAATCCAACATGGGAAACTTATCATATAATGAGTAAACTAGGACAGTGTTAAAGGATATTTAGCAAAGCAGTTCTAATTAACTTTCAGCTATTTCCATTTGCTTTATATATTACATATTATATATATAATATATTTTAAGTCAGTAATGCATAATGAAGACAGACGCAGTAGCTCATGCCTGTAATCTCAGCAGTTTGGGAGGCCACAGCACGAGGATCACTTAAGCCCAATAGTTTGAGACCAACCTGGGTGACACAGTGAGGCCCCCATCTCTAAAAAAAAAAAAAAAAAGAATGCATAATAACATTTTATATGCTAGTGATTACAATTTTAGGCATCAACTATACCATTAATATTTATTGAGTACCTACTATTTGCCATAAATCAGACAAATACCTGGAAATACAATGGTTAAAAAGGAAGGCATGCTTTTTTAATTCATATAATCATTGTAAAATGAGTCAGTTATGGAATGGTTTATTGTTTATTACAAATAATTAATAGGGAGGAGAGAGGGAGCATGATGACAGGTTGATCAACAGGTATAAAGTTATTATCATTAGATAAGAGGAATACATTCTGATGTATTGCACAATAGGGTGACTATGGTTAACAGCAAAATATTGTATATTACAAAATAGCTAGAAAAGAGGCTTATGAATGTTCTCATCACAAAAAAATGATAAACACATGAGGTGATGGACACACTAAATACTATGATTGGATCATTATATAACACAAATATGTATGGAAACATCAAATTGTACCCCATGGATAAGTACAATTACAATATGTCCATTAGAAAATAAATATATTTTCAAAAAAATCTTAAAATGATTAATGTATTCTCTACTCAAAAAAGTTTATTCTTATAATAATAACTAAAATTAGTATGCTCCTGATGACAGCAGCTTTCTTATTTTATCTAACAGTTCTTCATGCTTCAAGATTCCTAAACTTGCTTCTTATCAGCTCTATTGAGCTATAATTTACTTACAATAAAATTCACCTATTTCAAGTGTTAGATGAGTTTTGACAAATGTACATGCCCCTGTAACCACCACCATAATCACTTTCAGTTTATCTTAAAAGAACTCATATCTGGACTGCTTAATTGAAGGGTACACAGTCATGACTATGGAGCACTTAGACATCAGCACTCCCTCCTAAGGTGCTAAGTAGAGTCATTATGCAAAGTGAATAACTCTAAGGGTGAGGATATCCTCAACATCCTCACTCCTACTTGTGGGTTGAAAATTAGGCATAAGAAGGCCAATTGCCAGATAATGCTGTTGCTCTGAGGTTTGTGTACAAACTGAAAGGTTGAAGTGTACCCTTTCAGCACCAGGATTCATTTCCAGCAGATCCATTCTCCTCTCTGTGGCTTACACCAGCCAAAGCAACATTGCTACAAGCTCTTAGCATTCTTCTTCACGCTCACCCCGTAGACAAGCATATTGTCCTGTCTGGAGTGTCCTCTTCACCGACACATTCCAAGCTGCTTTGGCTTGGGAGAATCTAAACTTGGGCCTGATGACAGATAACTGAAATCTTTTACGAGAACTCCAAAAAGGAAAAAAAAAAAAAAAAGAGGAAAGGAACTAGAGCTGCACGTCAAGTCACACTGTGTTGTCAGCTACTTTAGCTGACTGAGAAATACAATTCTTTGGAATGGAAGAAGTTTCAGTGATAACCTTGTTGGGAAATGATATCAAAGGACAAAGGTGTCATTTTTAAATGTGTAACTTAGTACTATCAGCACTGTTAATTTCTCTGGCCACTTTAACTCTTAAAACTGCTGCAGTGTGAGTGTGTGAGTATCACTTATGCACAAGACCATTTTATCAGTAAGGTACAAGATGACATATTCATAGAATAAGCACATTGCCTATATAGAAAATATGTAATATATTGTTTAGGCTTCAGCAATGTTGAGGTAAAAGTATTTATTAAAAGGACATACTAGCTTCGTTGCCTTAAATTAAGTATTAATCTTTGGTCCTCTTGGCCCTACCGTTTTCATTTGAGATGCCCAGTTTGTATTTGGAGTTTATAATCACTTACAAGATATTTAGTGATAGTTCTAAAACAAGCAGGTGATTTTAATTTAGTAACTGTTCAATTTAGTAATTTAGTAACTGTGACACAACTAGCAGCCTTAGTGGAAGTTTGAAATAACGTACAAAGTTAATGCTTATGAACAGGTAAAAAATGAATGATTAATGCCTAATATATCTAGATAATTGATCAAAGGGGTGTGTGTGTGTGTGTAGATTTTTATCCATCCAGTTGTTAACATGTTTCTCTATTTTTCTTTATATACTCAAAATGTGTTTACTGCTTGGTGTTATTTCTTTAATATCTGAAAATTTAAGTGACAAAATGAACTATATCATGTATCAAAATATTTTAATGCTTGATTTACATTTCAAGGTTTTTATCCTCAAATCTTCCATCATAAATTATAGGCCTTTACCCAACCTGTTCATCTCTTATGATTTTAAAACAAAAATTGCTTGAATTTTTAATAAAAACTAACTTCATACATTCAATATATGAGGACTAAGTTTATTTTATAAGAATACACTTTTTCAAAAAAAACTAAAGTGTGCTATAGTCATTTTATTGAAAAAATACTATATGAATAAGTAGAGAGATAAAACATGTCAGTATTTCACCTTGTCTACTTTCACCAATGAATTAAAATATTTTAAAACTCAATTAGAATTACTAAGAAAGCACATAAGCATTATTCACTTTTTCTGTATCAGTCACTTTTCTAAAATAGGCATATTCATTATTAAAATGATATTCATATTTTTAAAAACAGTAATTTGACTCTATTCTTAATGGCTTCACCTTGAACCATAGTTTAACACAGATACCCTCTTTGCTATTTGAAGTTAGCTTTAGCAGGAAGTGTTAACATTTCCTGGTCAAATTTATGAGTACATCAGTAATTCACTATAGAAAGGATGGGTGGGGATTCTGAAAATTAACCCTTTATCAGAGGAGAAATAATGTAGAGTCCTGACATTCTTCTAAATTATCTACTCTCATTCAATATTCATGCAAGAGATATTTTCAAGTGTCTACACCTGAAAAGTTCTGTTTTTCAGAGATTCTGCCCAAAATATTAACAGGACCAAGAAAAAAATTGGAGGAAAAGTTAAGCAGCCTTTTTAGATTCCCAGGCATCTTTTCATTACTTTTTCTAATAATATATCCTTCTGAGTTGGAAGTAAACCTTCTCTTGGCTTGCCCAGGAGTGAAGAAAACAATTCACCAACACCATGCCCCTCTGCCACTGGCAGAGTAGATCTGGCACCATATTATATCCAACTGAAAGAAACTCTTTTCATTTTTAACCCTAACTCTGTTATTATAATTCTTAAATAAGTGTTGTAACTTTTCTGTCTCTAATGAATACCCTAATGAGCTTATATTTACCATTATCTCTTGACTCATTTTGATATGTAGTCGTATTGAACAGATGTATAAAATGATTTCTCAAAGTATTTATTTTCCACATTCTTTTTTAAAACTTCACGCATAATAACCAAAATTACTGTATGATTATACACTCAAATTTGCTTTCATAGCTGAATTACTGTTTCCAAAAAATAATTTTTAACTGTATTGAATGTTTGTTTTATATCTTGTTTAAAACTAGCGTAGACCTTCTATTAGCTTCTTCAAAGATTAAAGAAATTACAAATAGTCAAGAGCAACTATGATACCCCAAATGTCTTATTCTAATGTCCACAAAGATGCACGACTTTCATTCCATTTTTTAAAATTTAACTACAGTTACTAATATGACCCTTTGTTTATGATTGGAAGGAGAGAAATAGAACCAGAAAAGGTCCAAAGTAATACAAATATTTCAGAATTCTATCATCATTATGACAATGGTACATACCATACCAAATTATTATTATTATAAGGAAACTTTTATCTTTTTTCCTCAGAAACCTAATAATAAGGAAACACATCAAACTCTTAAAATTTTTACAATTTTTAAGTTACTAAGTGATGAGTAAAATCAACTACTTATAAAATAATGACACCTAATAATTTAAGATTAGCTTATAATTTTATTCATTTGTATAAGGTAAATACATAAAGATTCTTATTCTTAAAAGCTTAGAGACTAAAAATGTATCCTGTGTAGAAATCAGCATGGAATAGAAGAACTTGTTTTGTGTATCTCTAGCTAAATATTGCCATTATTGCACACAGATAAGTATCTGATTTAAAAAAACTCTTTGCAACATAGCTAACATCTACATATGCCAATTCTAAAATCGTTGTTTCTTAGGGAATTAAAAACTAAATACTACTACTACAGGCATTTTGAAGAACATGGATTTGTTCAGACTACCATGCTGATCACATATTTTAAAACAATGAAAGAAGTTTATCAGTAATTAGTTAATGTCTAATTAATGATTAATATGTCCTGTTGTCACAGATTAATCAACTTTCTCAAAGTGCCTATCCTGTAAGTAGTCAATACTTTTTATGGCCAACACTGAACCTCATATAATCTGTGCCAAAACCCAGTTACAGAGACATCACTATCTCTGTTTTGCAGATAGGGAAATTGGGGCTAAATTAAGATAAATAGCTTGCCAAGATCACTTCACTATTAAGTTGCAAAGATAGGATTTCAGCTATATTCTCCCTGACATCAAAAGCTATGCATTTTATACTATACCACATTACGTCTTAGGATCTCCACAGGGCCAAAGTATATTTTTACTTTTAAATAAATTTTAAGGTATCAGGGATAGTATCAATAACATCGTGTATTATACTCTGGTTAATACAAAGAGCTAAAATGAATACTTTATGCTATATCACTTGTATGTGAATGCTTCACTTTTTTCAGATTCCATTTACAAATAATATTGCATGTTTTCCAAATCTTATAACTTAGGGAAGGGCTTTTATTTGCATTGTTGGACACATGAAGAAAACCAAGACACAAACTAGGTGACCTGGGTAAAGTCACACGTAGACTAAATTAATGAGAAGGTCAGACTGAGACTCCCTGTTGGCTTCCACTTAACATGGTATCTAACAGTTTTTAAAGACAAAATAATAGGTCTAAATAGTGTGACATATCATGAGATCTTAACATTATTCACAAAAGCAATGTTCATTGAGAACATTAAAATTCAACAAAACTTGGAGCCAAGTGCCATGGCTCATGCTTGTAATCCCAGCACATTGGGAAGCCCAGGCAGGAGGATGGCTTGAGCCCAGGAGTTGAAGATTACAGTGAGCACACCAGACCTGGGTAACAGATTAAGACCCTGTTTCTAAAAAATAAATGAATACATAAAACAAAAAATTATGAAACAAAAAATACTCAGCCAATGACATCATCCAAAATATTTGATTTCTGTGCTTATAATTCGGGAGTATGCTGGTGGGATTTAAGCCAATATTGTTTCAAATGTTAGATTATTACCCTGGACCTTATCAGCTAGCATCTAGGCAAAATATCTGAAGAATGAATCAAGGAATAGAAATTTTAAGGAATATCAGTCTATAAAACTGTTGGCTACAAAAATAAATGAAAGAAAAAAATCACACTCAACTGTCTACATTTAAGCATACTTCCTTGTTTAACACCTTCATAAATATTTTGTTTTCAGTCAAAACTGAAGGATGGGAATCTAATGGAAAAATTATTTCAGCAAAGCCTGCTTTTATTATTTCTCCACGAACAGCAAGCTGAGATGCCTTGACCTGCATAACTCATTACTGTCCATGTAAATAGTAGCTGTCCTGGGGCTTAGGAGATGTAGGAAAATTTTTTTCCCCTTTTCAAATCTTTTTCTCTTTAAAAACTTCATGACCTGATTAGCATATATCTCAGAACCTCTTGGCGTAGATCAGTTTGACACCTGTGAGAATATATGCTGTAGGTCTGTTGTAAAATAAAACCCCTACTTTAAAAAGTATCACCTTGCATTACATGGAGGTGAAGTATTGCATTCTCCTTTTCTTTAAGGCTTTTCTAGAAGGGAATATGCATCCCTGTACAATTTACTTCAAGCACCCAGAGAGAAGAGAGAAGAAGTGGTGGAAGGATCCATTTTTCTACCCTGGCTCAGAAAATTCAGACTAAGGAATGTTCTGCTTTAAAATCTGATGAGTTTAAATAATCTTTCATACTTATTTATAAATATTTATACGGACTTTTTCATATGGAAAATATCATCTACTTGGTTAAAAAAAATGTAATGGCATTCTAATTCCTGTCTTTTTCATTTCACTAGTAATGAAATTTGAAGTTATAAAAGGCAATGCCTCTCCATGAAGCCCTTCCACTGCTCAGAGACATCCACTTTTCGTGGTTTCTCTGCTATTATTTTGTGATAAAATTCTAGTGACTCAAAGGTAGTCACCCAACACCTCTCCTACACATTCAGAAAGCAATATCTCCAGTATTAATAGCATTAACCTCACTGAGCTATAGTATTACTCCATATGACCTCAGAATTTATGACCTTAACTTGCACTATATTATTTTACACTTTTTAATATGATGATCTATGTCTTTTACATATGTGGTTTCATTTACGCCCATCCACGCTGCTAGTGACCAGTCTTTGTGGACAGAGGTCATGACATCCATAACATGAGCATCTCCCACAAACACCTAGAAATATTGTGTTTTGCCCAAAGTGGGAGAAAAATAAGTGGTTACTGTTTATATGTTCGCTTTCTGCTTACTGACCAAAATCTTATCATGTCTTAGTCAAATTTGGCAAATTGCTTAATATCTATAGCCCAGTTTTGTCATCTATAAAATGAAGATATAATACCAGGCTCACAGAATTGCTACAAAGATTAAATGTGTGATTGCTCTTTATGAAACATGAAATGCTATACATGCTAAATATATACATGCTAGTTACTTTTGCGATTAAGCTATCTGCAGGAGTAAATAGAGTTTTGGGAAAGAGATGGCTTTTGTTCTTTTTCTAATTACTGTCCATTTTCTCATTATTTTTATAGAAAATTCAACTATTTATGATTTTTAAAATACCAGAACTCAAGTGAGAAATAGAAACACCTTGGATACATTTATTATGCACAAACGAATGTCCGGGCATCCTGAGACTACTTTGTGCTTATCTGGACAACACTGTCTCCTGCTGTGTCCAGCACATCCTTCTCGTCCTCTCTCCCATTCAGACTGAGCACTGTGGATTAAGGCTCTGATCTGCCAACAGTGGGGGAAAGTAGCACTTTGCAGCTCATTAATTTTGAAAGACTGCATCTTTGGCCAAATCTACTAGTTTTTATACTATATTGACAGTAGGAACTCTATTTTATTCACCTCCTGTTCTCTCCCAGAATTAAGCATAGGATCTTGAATACATTAAGAAATTAATAATATTTATTAAATAATTTAATCCAAAGTAATTTATCAATGTTCATTTTATGTTTCATGGTCAGATCAAAGAAAAGAGATTTAGGATTACAGTTCCAAATAAATTGCATTGCATATATACAAAATGTGCATTTCCCCACTTGCCCATGACAATTTAGGGTTCCAAAGCAAGTAATTGGCCTAGGGACTTGGAAAAATTAATATAGCTTCCAAAGGGTTAACTTATCTAACAACATTGTAACCTGTTAGCTTATTTATGTTTTAGCATTGCTTGCTTCTCCACATTTTTAAGAGCATATTATAAAAGTTAAATGAAACATGTGTTGCTATATTTCAAAATAGCCTGCATGGAGAGATAAGAGAATAATGAAATGTAAATCTATTTGCATGAATTATAGCCCAATTAACATTTAGCTCCATGAGGGCAAAACTTATGTCTGGTTTTTGCTAACCATTTTTGTCCCATTACCTAGAATAATGCCAGATATATTTTAGGCCTTAGCAATATCTGTGAGTGTAATAAATAAGTAGATCTGTTGGGTATATGTATGACATCATACTAAGTTGCCACAGGATGTGCAAGGGTAAAAAAAGATGTCATTTCTGTGTGTATCTGTGTATCACACTGACAGCCATACCCTAAATCTTACCACTCTGCCTGGAGGAAGTGTGATCTTTGCTTTGGACCCCTCCAGGAATCTTAAGAAGGCCAAATGGGGTCACTGAGGAGGGAGTTTCTCCAAGAGGATCCCTCTGCTCGGGCTTTTGCACTTACTCAGTCCTTCGGCACCCTGGACCTCAGCACTCTGCCACCAGCATTTTCCTGCCCAAGCTGATCTCCATGCTTCTAGTGACCAGAGTAAATTGCACAGGGACCTCAACAGAATGAAGACTGCATTCCAGATGTGCACTTCTGTCTTGAGCCTGACTTACTCTTTCAGGGTGACTTCCACGGCAAACTCTGTATGTCCCTTGTGGTGCAAGTCTTTCTGTTTACAGATGGTAGTCTCCTTCCCAGAACGTAGCAGGGATGGCCAGGCATGGCCAAGTCAGGCACAGTCTCTTGATACAACAGTAGCCACTGGCTTCTCTATCATTTCACCCATATTAGTCAGTTTCTCTCAACTCACCAGTGATGTTCTTTTTGGGAGCTGTGATCTCCTCCAGTTGAATCTCTTTGGAGGGACTCACAGTACTGCAATCAGGTTTGTTTTATCCAGGACCTCAGTTATTATGAGGATTCATATCTTCTCACACAGGGCTCCTTGGGCTGACACAAATTACACAACTTAGCCAGGCAGCTGCTCCAGTGTCCTCTGCTTTTCATGACAAGTAAGAAGTTCCTAAAACATTCTATGCCATCTAGAGGCTGCTCTGCCCAGAGCATGCAAGACAGACCCCTAGGACACTTGCACAATCTGATTCTGCTCCAGCTGATGTCATTTCATACGCAGAGTGTGATAAATTCCATAAAGAAAGCACCCCAAAGGCATGATAGGAATGCAGAAGATGAAGCTGAATTCGAGGTTCTGTTGAGAAAGGGGCCTATCACCTGGGTCTTGTAGAGTGAACACAATTTCCAGACAGGCAGATAAAGGGGGAAAGGGCATTCCATTTAGACAGGGCTGAACCAAAAAAGGCATGGAGGACTGAGGGTAAAGAGCCAAAATAGAAGACATTAGTCTAATAGAAAATAGAGAAAGAGGAAGACAAGAAACAAAAGGGATGATCTTAATACATTCTACATTCACACAATGCAGTATTTAAAAAGTAGAAACATATTTACAAACGTTAAGTATCATCCTTCTAGTGTATTTTAAATACTTGCAATATATATTGGTATGTTAAAATGGCTAAAAATGGCTATGTACACTATTATCTCCCTTGTATGAAAATATTAAAATATTTGGATAGAAAAAAGTTGAAAGAAGATGTTAAGAATTTCTCTCTCTGAATGCTAGGCATATAATAAAATTTTGTTCTTTTTTCTAATTTTTATTCTTTTTGTTTTTGTGGATCTTATAATATTAGCATGACAAATAATTAAAATAATGCTAGCAGGAATATACTGAAAACAGGTGACAGAGTTTCCAGGCACAGATTTTCTGAATCTGGTGGATATCATCTTTGATTTTTACAAGGATATGTTAGTAACACAGAAAACAATTATTTCAATATCTAAGTTTCATTGTTTAATGGTAAGTATTTATTGGCATATAAGTAGTTATTTGACCTAGTTTTTTTTCATACAAAGTATATACTGAAAATGATAAATGTAAAAAACAAATAGTAAATTTAGAAAATTGTAATGAATTTCTCTGAGTTTGAATTCAGAGAGATTTATATAAATTCTGGACCAAGAGGATAGGGCCAATCTTAAGTATAATACATTTTTATCATGATTGAGAGATTCTGAGAAAGTTTCTCTGATATAAAATATCTCTCCTCTTCATCTGTGTTCTTTACTGACAAAAGCCCTTACTACGTATTCCACTTTTGAAGGCCAAGAGTTAAAATTTAAATGCAAAGATGAGCAATACTTTAAAAGTTATCAGTTATTTTAGCTTGCATTCATTTCTCAAGTTCCTGGTAGATAGAAGGAATGGAAAAATGGGAAGCTTCAGTTTGATCGGAGGCACAGTGTAAGAGAAAGGTTGGAAGCAGAGATTGCTTCTTTTCATGACTCCCTTGACACAAGGCTATGAGCTCCTTGAGAGGAGGAACTACATTGTACCCACCTCTTCTTTAATCCCCAGCCCATAAGACAGTGTCTGGTACATTGTAGGAAGACGGAAGCAAGGAAGCAAGGAAGCAAGGAAGCAAGGACGCAAGGAAGGAAGGGAGGGAGGGAGGGAGCGGGAGAGAGAAGAACTGCTCATGAAAATTGCTAGGGATCTATAAACTTCCAGAGGCTGCTGAGCACCTGGGAACAGGTGGTCAGGAGGACCTATCCACATCTTACCAAGAACAGATAGAAGAAACAAAAGAGAGAAAGAAGAGCACTGAAGATGTTTGGTAACACTAATGGCAGGTTGAAGAATAAACAAAAACAAGGGGAAAGGGAGGAAGAATGAAAGAAAAAAAACTTTATTTCCCACCAAAACAACTTAAAAATCAATATAGTTCACTACTTTCAAGGATAATACATTTTGGTAATGCGTAGTGGCATCTAGTTAACTGAAATCTTGTGAAATTTCTTATTGTTTAGGCCTCTCTCATTTCTCAGAGGAAAAAACAATATAAATGTAGGGTGAGTTGGTATAGGGATTAATATCCTAAAGTTATTTTCTCAGCTTTCTGAAACTTTATGACAAGAAATAAGGGTAATAACAGCACATGTATGCAGCGTATTTGTCAGGTTAATGGGTAAGCTCTGAACACCACTAATTTCCATAACTAGGTAAGTGTAGAGATTTGTCTTCTTGTATTAACTCAAAAATACCTACTACTATGGGATCAGAAGTTCAGAGATTAGTAAGCCTCTCAAATGTGGTCGGTTAAGACTCTTTATCCAGTTTCAACATCTGACTTTTCTTCAGCATGCTGCCATACCTCCTATAAAGAACATTTGATACCAAAAAAGCATCTTAGGACTGACAGATTAAGGAGATCTTATCCACCTAATAAAAGAGTTACCTTAGATTAAAAACAGTTTATATAGCACAGTTTAGATGATTTGTTTCACAGAAATTCAAACAGTATAATGCTATGAAAGCCTTTGTGTGTGCAAAGTGAGTTATATCTGTATAATTAAATAAACAAATATATTTTCCTTGTTCATATAATTTCTTCTCTTAAAATCTAAATATCAGTGTTTTGCTTTTGCAATAGATAGGTAGATAGAGAAAGAGAGAGAGAGTGGAATATGACCAAGATTAAATTATTATTTCAATATTGAGGTATGAAGGAGTCAATAAAGTTTTTTGGTGAGAACAAATAAATACATATATGTAAAGACATCTATTAAGCTAAGCTTCTTATCCAAAAAACAGAAGAAAAAGGAAAGCACACGGACACTTCATTGATACTCTCACAAAATTAAAAAATAAATTTTCACCAGTTTAAAAAAAAATGCATGTTGGGCACCTAACTTCTTAGATTAATAAAGAAACCACAAACATTTATGCCTACTCCAAAAGATGAAAACGCTAAACAATCCATAGCAAAATTTAACTTAGATATAGTCAGAATATTTCTGCTCAAAAACAAAACTAAATTAAATTGATGTTATACATTTTCAACATAATTTCTTTTTTTCTTTGATTATTTCAATTCTAAAGTCCTTCTTGAAACTATAAAACTGGGAATGTACAAAGTTTGCTTGTGTCTGGTTTCAAAGATGGCCTTTTTTTTTTCTTTTCTTTTCTTCTCTTTTTTATGCACAAAATGTCTGCCAAGCCTGAAAATGATGCAGATCATGTTTCTATGTCTGTTAGGTGGCGCTTACCAAGCAGTCTGGCTCTGTCCCGGGATTTTTCAACTGCTCTCTGTGGTGGAATTACAGTAGGGGGTTAGGAGTGGGGCGAATGGGAGGGAGTCTTTGTCCCTGCTGCATTTAAAATTACATCTAATCTTATCAAGGCGCTCGTCATTGTTTCTGGCGGCCAGGAGCAGGTACAGTACTGCTTTTGTTCAAGTCAGTAGCTTTGCTGAATAAAGTTGAGGGAAAAGCCAAGACTAAGTATTATTTCAGAACCTCATGTGCTGATTGAAAAAAATGCTTTGAAAGAGAAAGGTGGGGGTGGAAGAGACAGGTAAAGTCGCAATAGAAAAGCATCAATGTAGTTTTAAAAAAAAAAAGTACCAACTTAAAGGTTAGAGGAAAAAATCAATTGCAGGAAAAAAATGGGGAATTTGCTCAAAAATACTTTAATGCTTAACCACTCAGATGCATTGGCTCATTTTCTTTGGCATAGTACAAACATAAAATCCAGGGGACATATTCTGTCTATTTCTTCCATTTGAGAAAATTGAAACCTAAAGCAAGACTACTTTTTTTTTTTTAAGTGGCACAGAGCCACAGAGCATATTTTCTCTTGCACAAATAAATATTCCTAAATTTTGTTTGTACCGAGAGTCCCTGTTGATGTTCCTGTCCTTTTAATTTGCTAAGGTATAAGTTGAAGAGTCTCTGTCACAACTTTTGAGGTTGTGGTAGACCTAAGACAAGTAAGTGGTAATAAATCCAAGTTCAGAAACTTGCCCTGACCAGCTTTGAACAAAGCAGTGACACTATAATTCTAACAACCAGAACAATATAATTCTCAGCAAGGAAAGAAACCCCCCTCCCTTTCCATGTGTCAATAAAGATTGCAATTTAATTCAGACAGCAATAACTGGCATTAAGATTTATTAGACATTCCATGATTATAATTTGAAAATTAAGATGAAATGTAACTTGTTTAAACATATTCAGTCTAGAAGTATGGTGAATTAACAAAAGTTACTTATGGACAAAAGTTACTTATATACACTGGAAAATAAAGTTTCTACCAAAAATAACTGGTACAGATTTTTATCACTTACGATGAAATTATTATATATTAAACTGGATTTAACAAATTTTCTGAAGCTCAAAATATATTTCTCAGTGTGTACTTTCAGCAGATTAAAAGCCAAAATGATTTAATATTTTGATCAATAACAATCTTATGAGAGCTTTATTGTTTATGATTCTCATATTTTTTAGCTTTTGTGTATGCTGAACCTAATACTTAATTTTAATACCATGATCAAGAAAATACCTCAAGGTATGTGTTATGGAGGGATGCAAATACAAATTCTGATTAAATACATTTTAGCAATATGCTTTTTCTCCACATTATACTTACTACTAAATAGACAACTAATTTGGCAATTTTCAAAATAGTGTAAGGAGAGAATGCAGGCACAAAAACTAAAATTCAAGTGATTTTTAAAATTTGCAGAGGCACATTTTGTGATTTGATAGACTGCTCTAAGTAATATATAACTGAAATTACAATTAACATAATTTTTGATAGATTAAAATCAAGTGTATATACTACTTAATGTATTTTAAAGTTGTACTTCAAGGTCTTTAGCTATCACAGTTTATTTTTATATCTAATTGTGTAGTTCATCATAGAATCATTTGACTTACAGCTGCTGTGTAATCATTGTACTTAATTGCTAAAGTGAATTCTAACTATGGTTTTTATGATAGTTTTCTTTAAATCAAATATATTTGGATAGTGTATATATATGTATATAATATCAAATGACAATCAAATGTACATATAATACTTACATTTGTCATTTGATTGCAATTGAAGTCATCTATTACAAATAATAAGATGTCTTTTGGTCAAATGGATTGTTCTTTAGTCTAAAATCGTGCATAAACTTCCTTTGTATATTTGCATCCACTTCAATTTTTCAGCTAGAAAACTTCATTTGATGATCACGTCCAAAATTATCTGCTGCTATTTATATTATATTATCTTTTATCATTTGATTATAGAAATCAAGAAACAAGAATACACATCATATTTATAAAAGCCAAAACCATTAAATGATCAGTTTATAAATTTCAAATGGGGTTTCAAAAATTATTTAGTGGCCCCTTAAAATGTTATTTTCCTGTCTGACCTTGCTTCTAGGTGTCTTTTTTTTTCTGCTTTTAAAAACTCTTACATATCCCTGCAGGACTGGAAAATTGCTTCAATATTCAACAATATTGTTGCAATTGTTGCAATTCACAGGAGATATGAAATCATGATTCTCACTCCTAGTCATGCTAAAGACTTCCTCACTGTAAATGTTTTTATAGAAATGGGAAAAGGAGTTGGATATTAGTTTTTATTTGCTAGCCAAATTCCAAATTATGAAATTACTTTTACCTTCCTTAAACCATCTCTATAATTTTTGCTGAATAAATTATATTTCACTTCCCCTGGTCTCCAAACTGATTTTACACTTAGTGTTGGTGATAAGCTAGGGCTTAAGATGGAAGGCAGAAGTCAGGGAGGCGGAGTAGAAAGTGTTCCTAAAAAATAAGAGTCAGGGTAGAAAATTCCTTCTGGATGTCGTTATTTCTGCTCACTCACCAATTTGATGTATCCCTTTCTTCTTTGTACTTTTGTTCCTAAGATGTCCTTTTCTACTCTTCAATTTTATATCATAAACCTAGATTCAGTGGAGGGTTCAAATGTTCTGGGAATTTGTTACAACCCAGGAAAAGCCAGGGAAATAATTTCATTTCATTTTTTTCCTACCTCTAGCTCTACCTATAGTTGTTCATGTATCATCAAATGTGTTACTATTATGCTATGAATCATTTAGAGCTGGGCATGGTGGCTCACACCTGTAATCCCAGCACTTTGGGAGGCCAAGGCGGGTGGATCGCTTGAAGTCAGGAGTTTGAGACCAGCCTGGCCAACATGGTGAAACCCTGTCTCTACAAAAAAATATAAAAATTAGCCAGGAGTAGTGGCAGGCGCCTGTAATCCCAGCTACTGGGGAGGCTGAGGCAGGAGAATCATTTGAACCTGGAAGGCAGAGGTTGCAGTGAGCCGAGATCACACCATTGCATTCCAGCCTGGGTGACAGAGGGAGCAGAGGGAGACTCCATCTCAGGAAAAAAAAAAAAAATCATTTAAAGACTGTTATATCATTATAATTAATTTTTAAAATGAGAAAACTGACACACGAGAAGATGAACTGCATTTATTAAGAGCTAGAGACTATCAGTGACATCACTCTGAGTGCTAAATTAAAATTTAGGGTTTAAGAGATATGCTAACTATTTAACTGTCTTGTAGGTTGGAAAATAAACTTTCCATTTAAAAAAAAATCTTATTTTCTCTTCAAAGTCATTTAAATTATTTCTTTGATAGAGTAACTTTGTTGTCTTCCTAGTTAAGATTCTCACTAAACTTTCATCTCCTTGAATAGGCCATATTTTCACTGAATAATGGGGTCTCTGTGCCATATACAGTGCCTTAAATATTGACATAGAAGTAAATCTGTCCTGTGCCTAGACACAACTGCCCACATTAACTATGCAGAAAATGTCCTGAAAGGATGTTCAAAATTATAGGTAACCTCTTAAGACATTTGTGCTTGGTTAGGGAAGACCTAGGGATTTTATTAAGATTTAATTCATAAATAGCCAATGACAAATTTTTCCTGTCACATGCTACAAGTGTACTAGAGCTGGTGATTTCCTTATGCAAATTCTCCTCCACCAGGGCCCTTTCCAAGCTCCTGAGCTGGTAGAGACTTTTCTCTGTGGTGGCATTGGAGCTTCCCATGCCCAGCTACAAGCAACTTTTACCCTTTCTTCATCATCCTCTCTCACATTTGGCCTTCCTCAAATTCAAGGAGCTCAACAAAAAGAAAGTAAAATTTCAAGGATGGGACTGTAGGCCCAGAATAAGCCAGCAGCTCTACTGGTTTGAACTTTGTGTCTTGATTAATATTTTTGCAGATACAATTGATGAAGTGTTCGAATAGATAGACTGGTCTAGGAATTCAGCTTCTTTGTCCCCTCCTGTCATGAAAGAAAAAAAGTCTGAGTTTCTACCAATTTAGATTTCTTTTTTGTGACCAACACCATCTGTAAACCAAAAATACGCATTCCAAGGAAAATAACAAAATTGCAAGTTAAAAAAATGCAGTACTAATGTTAAGGCACACTATTAACAGCATAAATTAAAATTCAAACAGCCCACAGCAAATCCAAAAAAGCAAGTAATACCTGTGCCACTATAAAGGCTATCATCAAAAACAATCATTCTGATATCAGAGCATGAAAGAGAAAAGGCAAGAACTCAATATGTGACAGTCTGTGGTGTTAGACAGAAAGGGAAACAATTTTACATTCTTCATTAACACGATCTTTGATTAACTGGGAAATATCTTAATCTGAAAAATATTCTCTTGGCCAACAAAAACGCCAGATAAATAAAGTAACACCAAACTCAGGCAATATTTAGTAACATAACCACTGTGTATGGTAAGGAGTTTCTTTTATAAGATGCCTACTTGTAGATATAATATTTAATTTAGTGTAAGATTTTTCTTGCTGTAGTAGACTTTCTTGTTACATATTTCTAATTTGGGTTTATTTTATACTTTTTACCTGTTCTCAAAAACAAGCCTTTATTTTCCAAGAAAATCAGCTTCCAAAATAGTGCATCATATTTAATAACAAATGTAAATTCTGGTGAGCTTAAAATATAAGCTGTGCATTTCTTGTCTTTTCTACAGACAGTATATGTCTTCTTACACAAATTTTGTTCCTTTTTACCATACTAGCATGATCAAAGCAAATATAAGTTATCTGCTTTTAAAAGCACTAAAAGTTAAATTATTTTTGCATTATTACGACATTGTATTTCTACATGGAAATGCTTCGGAGAGTGATATGACACAGACAGTTAGTTGCACCCAGCAAAACATGGCAAAACACACTGTGGAAGGCAGGCAGTTCTGACACTATAGAAAGAGAAGACAGTGTGAAGGGATTCCATGCACAAATGGAAGACCCAACACTGCAAATATGCTACTGCTTCATAGCCTAGAAATCTGGGCATTATCAACCCTAAATTCTATTTTCAGCCATAGAACAGCTAAGAGATAAAGAAGTACTGGTTAGTTGTATAAATGTGAAATGAGGACATTGGGAAGGCTGGATTTATTTTGGTATACGTTTATCAATCCCTAGACAGCTTGATTCAAGGAAGGGTAGATTATGGTAGATACAAGATATATTTTTCAAGGGGATTTATTTGCCTTTTCACTTCTTACATAAAAACCAATTTTGAGATGGCTCACTTTTATTCTTATTTTCCTCTGCTTTGCTTCCCATACTATTCTGCAAAATCTTTCACCTTACTGATCTTAAGTTTCTGATATATGGAAAGAAATTTTCTTTCTGATAATGTTTCCATGTGGGTTTTGCTCTGGAGCCAGATTTTAGGTTCCTACCCACACTCCAAATGAATTCAGGATGGCCTGAGATGCGTTAAAGTAGCCTGTTTAATGCTTTGTTTTTCACACTTCAGTAAGCAGTCCAGCCTCTTTGCTTCCTCTGACAAAACCATCTTTGCAGAAACTGAAGTAGAGAACTATCTGGTGAAGCTTCCCATGATCCAAAAGTTGTTCCATTGACTACTTTTTGAATCTCCTAATTTTCTGTAATTAGGCTCTTTTTGAAGGAAATAAATTCCCCTTTTATTAAACCTTAACTCCAATATTATATCAAAATGTTTATTTCTAAGCTCCCCATGAAATATGTGTAAATGTTCAAGGTCATATAAAATTATCAAAATTATTTTCTGCAAAACAACTAGTTGACTGTACAAAAATAAAAAATGCTGTTCTTTCTCTGTCTCCCACACTAACATTCTTCATAGTGTTTAACACTCTATCAGTTGGAAGTTGAAGCATTCTGGAATTCAGTGTAAGTGCTTGAAGCTTCTTCAGAAAAAAAATAATAGAAATACATTTCAATTGTTATGATTTGCTAGAATACATCTTTCCTCCCCTGAGGGCTTAATGAATGCTGAAACTTTTTCCCTGATTTTTAAAAATCCATTGACAGCGTTCCTAATGTTCCCTAATCAGCTTTAATTTCTTAGTGATTTTAGTTGATAAGAGTTACTGTATTTGGCAAAGATAAAAAAGAATCAATTAGGAGGTATTTTTTCTTCCTTTCTTTCACTGGATCTTAAAAATATAAGGCATCAAGAGTGATAATGTACTAAATTCCAATAGCTTTTGATATTCACCATCAAATTGTTCATCAGAGAGAAATACTAAAAAGGAAAGAATAAAAAGTCTAGATTTTAATCATATTAAAACCTTATGATTTATTCCGTTTTGTTATGTAGATAGTAACCAGAAATGTTCCACATGCGGTGAGGCTAGCTGAGGCCCTGAACACACTTTGCCATGTCATTTGCTCTAGGAATCCTAGGACATTCCTGTCTTTCTGTGTAAGTGGCTAAAACAGATGAAACTGTGTCTATTTCACCTGAGAAAATAACCTTCAAATGAGACTGTTTGCCCCAGAAAGAGTGAACAACTGGGGATCTGAAACACAATGTTCCACCCATAGGCAGCCATTCCTTGCACTACCCAGCTGCTCTGGCCATTTCTGAACAATGTGCCATGGAAACACATGTAACTGATCTTAATGGTAAATGAGAAATGCGCCATTCTCCTGCGTGAAGAAGTTAAGGGGACCCAATAAATTCATTTATAATGTGTTTCTGTCCAGATGAAAACCAAGATGTCATAACACAGTGGATCAATGTTATTTGGAAAAATTTTCTCAGATAACTAAAGTTGGCTAAGCTATATCTGATTTCAGATGATCTTAGGCAGATTTCCAAGAGAAAAAAAAATCTCAAGTAGTATCTGCTTCAGAGCCAAAGAGCTACTGCTACTGCACTGTATCAAAGATACCATGTTTGAATTCTGGATCTGCCATTAATTTACTCAGCAAATACTTACTGAAAGCCTACTACCTTCCAGGCATTGTAGTTAGCACTGGCTAAAGGACAGTGAATGAAACAGTGATTGTTCTGTCCTGTGGGTTTTAGAGTCTATAAAAAGGCCAGATAAACCAATAGGCAATTATAATACAGGATGATTAAAAACCATGACAGGGAAGTGTAGACTATGGAAACTCCTGAAAAAAATACAGTAATAGTTTCTGCTTCTGTAACTAATTGCCATGTAGAACAATAAAAATTTTTGCATCTCAATCTGAGAAAAAAAAAAAAACAGAAAAAACACAAATTTATTATATTAGAGTTCTGAAGGTCAAAAGTCATAAGTCCCACTGGGATAAAATCACATTTCAGTAGGACTGTGTTCCTGCTGGAGTCTCTAGGGGAGAATCTGTCCATTTCCTTGTCTTTTTCAGCTTCTAGAGGCCACTTGCATTCCTTAGCTTGTGGTCCCTTCCTGTCTTCGAAGCCAGCAATGGCCAGTGGAATTTTCCCTGACACTGACCGTCCTGCCTCCCTATTTCACCCATAAGGACCCTTATGATTACATTGGGCCCACCTAGATAGTCCAGAATCGTCCTCCATCTCAGGGTCACCTGATTCACAATGTCAATTCCATATACAACCTTAATTCTTCCTGGCCATGTAACCTAACATATTCACAGGTTCCAGGAATTAGAATGTAGACGTCTTTGAGGGCCATTATTCTACCTAAGTACCTACCTAGACTGGGGGTAAGAAAGACAAAAAGTGAGGAGAGGCTTCTCAGAGGAATTGAAATGTAAAATAAAGCTTGAAGGGTAAGCAGAGTTTAGGTAGATAAAGGGAGGACTTAGCAGTGTAAGAGTGGGTTGCTCCTTTCTGACTGTAGGAACAGCATGTGTGAGGCCCTAGGAGTGAAATAGACCATGGCCCATAGGAAGATGTAAGAAAAAAAATCGAGAATGGCTGGAGCAGAGATTATGAGGATAAGAAGACGGTGACAAAAGAAAAACCCAAATGATTAAGACCTTAGAAAAAAAATAGTAAAAGTTTAGGAGTATGTTATCTGAATCTCAACAGGTAGAGAATAGCATGAAGGTATAGAGAGGAGAT
Organism: Homo sapiens; assembly: GCF_000001405.40. Lineage (NCBI taxonomy): Eukaryota > Metazoa > Chordata > Mammalia > Primates > Hominidae > Homo > Homo sapiens. Next base: position 51,457,260 of record NC_000005.10, on the reverse strand, counting down.
GAAGAGTGCTTGACAGTTTTGAGCAACGTGGATAGGTCAACAGAGGGGAAGCATTGCTACCCTAAATTTGGAGGGGCAGTGGAGGGAGGGAGGCAGTAAACAAAACAGAAAAGGGAAACTTTGTCATAGAAGCCTTAAGTAGAGGTACACAGACAATCCTTGGCAACCCTGCCTGGAGTTGCCACAGCAACCTGATACCCTGCTTTCAAAATGAATAAATTAAGATTTTGATGAATGTTCGAAGGAGACGTACAGAATGCCAACAGAGACACATAGAAGCCCCAAACTTAAGAAACCCTTAAGCTGAGATCTGGAACATAACTAAGACATCACTACATGAGCAGGGAGGATCTTTGAGGCAGAGATATAACAGTCACAGAGAACCAGTGGTAGCAAGGAACATGCTCTGTTCCAGAAGCCAAAAGTCTCTGCACCTTGAGAGAAAGTAGAGAAAAGAGAGTCCTGCAAGTTAAGCCTAGTGCAAGGCAGGTGGTGGGGCGGGGGCCAGGGGTTCATAGAGCTCTGTCGGATCTGTTAGGGATTTGAAACTTTGTCCTGAGACCAGTGAGATGTTACTCATAGCTTAACCAAAAGAACAGCATGATGAAATTATCCCTTTAAAAGATGATTTGGCAGCAGTGCGGAGAATGTACTGAAGAGGGTAAAAAATAATGTGCCTACAAGACAGCACAGAGGCTTCCTTGGAGAGAAATGCCCCTATACATCACAAAAAGAGCAATGGCAACTGGAAGGAAAAACTACAGTTGATTCTGCCTTCCAGAGAAGGGATATAATTCATCCCTAAAAAGATGGCTCTTTTTTTTTTTAGAAAAAAATACCTTAATGGTGTATGCTGTTTCCTTTGGTTGAGAAAGATCAGGTCCCTGGGCAGGGCTGGATGGGTAGCATGAGATTAAAAAAAAACAGTGCTGAACTGTTACTCTGTTTTATTATTAAAGGGAGAAGAATTTGACTTTGCTACAGGCAACCTAAGAGAGGGGCCCAGTATTGAGAAGAAAGGGGAGTTGCAAGGAAGAGCTAGGAAAAAATGCAGGAGGGCTTCTGGCATGCATGTAGCTGGAGGCTAGAGCCCACAAGGACACCCAGAGAGGAAAAACTCCTTATGGAAGGGGATGGCTGACAAATTACTTGGAACATATCTGTACCTGACATTAAAGCTGAAGTGTTTTCTGATCCCTAACTACTTTCTGCAACTCACGAATCTAGAATAAAAAGTTGCCACTCATATGAACCTCAGTTTGTGGTTCTTTGCTTGAGTGAAATGAGAGGGGTAGCACTGTGCACTGGGCCAGCCCAGGCAGGGAGCACCCACAGAACAAATGGTGGTAGCTTGGAGTGAGCGTCAGTACATAGGTGCACTTGCACTGAAGCTCCTGCACGCCAGAAAATCCACAGATAATGGAGAGGTTTAGCAGCTTCCCACAGTAGAGTTCAAGGCATTTAATTTAGTTATTAAAGTTATGGATGACCATAGTAAATTTGCAGATATGAAAGTAGGAAACATCTTGATTGTATTGTTTATATTTGAGGTTAAAGCCAACGTTGTACTGCCTGATGGTTATTACTATTTAATGTTCACTCTGATCCAAGCAAAGTCTTGACAATAGTTTTCATAATTTTCTATCAGGGCTATTTTTGCAGACACAACAAATAGCTTACTGAATAAAGAAATATTCTAAAGTTCCAGATGTTGTATAAGATACAAAAATGAAATCTAAATATTCTCTTCATCAGAAATATTCAGCTGTCAAAAATGCGTTAATGTGCTACAAAAAGGCATGCTGTGATGTCATTCCTGCTGCATTTCTTGTGATTCCTGGCTAAAATGATGAAAAAAAATCTGAAAAAAAAAGTCTGAACTTTGTTTACTAAGATTGTCACAGAAATGGCAATCGGAGTGAATATAACTGAGAAATAAGCCTCATATCATGTGGTTTTTATTAAAATACCAAAACACGGAAAACTTTTAACAAAACTCTTCTAATATGAGGACTTGTACAAGCTCTTTTTTTTAAATTTCTAGCTCACTTGAATTCACAGAAAAATTTCATCTGCTTTTGCAGACTCACCGGTCATGATGAGGACATTATGAGTCCAGCTGTTATCCGAGACATTTTGTGAGCATCTGCAATAAATACACAAATATAAAAGCAAAATGAAATTCAGAATGCTTTGTATGAATCATTTTAATAAACCTATGTTGTCAAAATTATCCAGATAAATCATAGCAAAAGCTTTAAATTTGGGTTTATCTAGATAATTGCGAGAAAAGTAGAATCTCTCTTTCTTCCCTCCATAGGGACAGGTATGGCTTGCTATGAAGTTCATATTCATGAAACATGTCATCTCTTACATTCATTGTGTTTTCTGTTCACTTGTGACTATTTGGGAACGTTTACACTCAGTATTAAACTCAAAGTCAAAGAAATGTAAATCAATATGCCTAAATCAATAATGATGAAGGTTTCCAGAAGAAAGCGGGCTTCCATGACATCAGTTCTACGAAAGCACAAATAAATTATTTTACAAGGTAATACCGTGTCAGCCATTGTCATGCACATCAGTCCTATCTGAAGCAGACTTGAAGTCCTATCTGAAGCAGCGGTCATTAGCCACTGACTGTTAAGCTGGCTGAGCATGGCCTAATATATTCCATGTGCCCAAACATTCATAGAGAAAGGAAAGACAAGAAACATTGAGGAGCAGGTGCCTTTGTTCTATAAATTTAAATTCCTATTTTGCTCTTTTAGCAAGAATATATTCTGCTATAATATTTATTACATCAAAACCTCTATTTCTATTATTTTCTAATTATTAACAGGCCAAAGGAAGCGTTAGCATTAAGGAGATTGTTTTCCAGGAAACTAATTTCCTGTCACATTGTTGAGACTTGATTTTTCTTAATTCTCATGTTTTATCAATCTAGCTAAAAGAAGGTTAAAATGATCTACTTTTCATTTCTTTTGCAAATTCCTTTTGGAATTCTTGCAAAAAACCTATTTTACACAGTCACTGGTTTAAGAATAAGGGAAAATTTGATCAAAATTTAACCAATTTACTTTAGCTATTATAAACAGCTAAAAGGTGTTTAGCACAGTTGAGGTGGTTCAACATCAGGCTAGGCACCAGCAACTCATTATCTCATTAATTCTTACAGGAACTCAAAGCAGCTATGTAGCATTATCTACAGAGCTATGGTTCTTAAACTTTAACGTACATCAGAATCAACTGGAGAGCTTGTTAAAACCCTTGTTGCACCCCACCCTACAGTTTCTGATTTTTCAGTAAGTCTAGGATAAGGCCTAATAATCTGCATTTTGAAGGCTTTCACAGGCAATGCTGATGTTGCTGGCACCACTATGAAAGCCACTATCTTAAATCAGGTTTCAGTAAACCATGGCCCAAAGGCAAATCCATTCCACTGGCTTTTTCTTGTTGGCAAGCTAAGATTGGATTTTACTTTTAAATAAGGGAAAGCATTTCACACAATAAGTTGTAACACATAAATATTATGTGAAAGTCAAAATTTAGTATCCATGAATAAGATTTTGTTGAAATACAGCATGCTTATTCATTTATTGCCTATGGCTGCTTTCACACACAATGGCAGAGTTGAGAGTTGCAAAAGAGACAGCACGGCCCAAAAAGCCTAACATATTTACTATATTTACTATATGGCATTTCACAGAAAAAAAAAAAAAAAAGTCAACTCCTGTCATAGATGGAAGCAAGATCTAAGATATTGTAATTACAAGTGGTAGCATTGGTGTTCATATCCCCATCAAATTTTAAAGCCCATATTCTTTACCCTTTTCCTAAGATGATAGAATTCACTATTTCTTTTTTTAAACAGCTTTATTGAGGTATATTTGACCAACAATAAACTGCATATATTTAAAATATACAATCTGGTAAGTTTTTCTTTTGCCATCTTAACCATTTTTTTTAGAATTTTATTTTATAAAATTTACTATTTCTCAAATAATTTGCTTGAGTTGGTGATGTTAACAATCTCTAGCATTCTTTCATTAGTTTAGCAATTGTTTTCTTTCAAAAAAAAATCTTTTCTCATTCTTACCAAACTCCATCTTCCTTTTTCACTGTGCTACCACTCTTGTTCTGTTAACATTATGTCTCTTTTTTAGCCAAAGGATTATCTGCATTGAAAGAAGCTATTTGATTCACCTGAGAATAATTTAGATTTGGTGAATCTGTTGCCCAGAAAATTAGTTCATTGCTTCAACTGCATACTTAGGACAAACAGAAGAGGATACATTTCATAAAAGATGTCTCAGGTTATTTCTATATTTCAGAGTAATAACTTCTGATGGGAAAAGCAGAAAGCCTTCTAAAGTTCAGCCTGGATTATGTAGGAATAAAAAAATGAAGTAATAATGATGACCTCATAGGTTCAGGCAAGAGAAGCTGACTGATGCGGTTAAGTTCTCTGCAGGCAGACCGGGGCAATGTATTTCACAGGGATATCATCATCCATAAGAGCAATGGTAGTGTAAGCAATCAAAGCTCCTCAACTCTCACCCAGCCTGTCAGCACCAAGCTATTCAAACTGGCATCATTTAGCTCGAGAGAGAAAGTTTTTCTGCCTTTTTTCTACTGTACCATTACAGGTTTCTTTGTTTTGAGTGGGAGTGGGGAGGGAAGAAATTCAAAGCATTGTTTAATGTACATAAACAATGATTTGGGAAAAACTTAATGTGTACCTGTAGAAAATATTTCAAAATTTTAGTTAAAAAATCTGTATGCCTAAAGTATACTACTGTTTGGCATGATCAAATTTCTTCACTTTTTGTCAAAATGTCACCAGCTCTGCTAAATTCCATTATTGTAAATAAAACATTTTATCTACAGATAATTAAAATGAGATGAAATTAGTCAAGACGATCTGTAAGTAAACAGACATTTGAACCTGTTTTATATTTCTATTAACTAGTAAAGACTTAATAATAGAAATGGAGAATTTCTCTTTGCCAACTAAGTCATTGAAGGTCTTAATGAATTTCAAATAAAAACCTCACAGTTTAAGTCTAATTATATCACTTTCAGTTTCAAGCATAGTAATTATTAGCTCTTTTCTTAATTAATATTTTCAAGATTGCTACACTAATTATCTACAGATTTTTAAGGTGTTATTTAAGAATATAAGTCCAGAAGAAAAGATGTATCCCCACTGGTATTTAGGCTAGTTGCCAACTTGTCTCCCTTCTGATAATGTTGGCTTTGAACCAGGAATAGAGAAAAGAACAGCTGACATTTGGAAAACAAAACTTCCAACTCCACCAATATTTTCAGTGATATTTACAAAAAACAGAAATAGGAACTAATTTTTTAAATATAGCATATCTAGTCAGCATACTGTAATTCATAAATTCTACTTGTTAAAATAAAATTTACCAAAAATCATCGTTCTTTACAAACTAAGGATTATTACTAGCACTTTTAAAAATAGCACACGATCCTTCCTCTTAATATCCAGTAATCATTGTTATTAAAACATAAACATAAATGGCAAAATGTTGATGGTTGTTTAAGCCAGGGAATGGATACATGGGGTTTTATTGTATTTTCTACTTTGGGTTATATTTGGAAAGTTTCATAACAAAAAGGTTTTTCTAAAGAAAAATACATAAACATACGAGCTCATGTTTCTATACTGATGGAGCTATTAAAGAGATTCAAATAATTTTAAGTTCAATAAATCTTTAGAAGACCTAACTAGTGACATAGCTCAAGCATTTACTTCTGAAGTTCTTATTCTGAAAATGTTAATAAAAGAATTATTGAGGTTCAAGCCCAGAGTACAGTTAGGCAAGTTAAAATAGAGCTTAGACAAACATGTCATAATTTTTGAAAAACTGAAAGCTCTGATTCAATGCTAGTCTGTTTTGGATAAGTCATAATACTAAAGAAGATTGAAACCTAATGAGAGAGAGAAAAAAAATTACCTGGCCAAATTTTACTGCTGCACTAACAGCCTCCTTTTAAAAGTCTTCTAACCCTTGCCGCTGTTTTCCATTGTGAATGTTCTCTCTTAAAGAGGTGCGCTGTAAAAGTAAATATGAAGGCTCCATCTGAGCTATACAGTCAGACTATGCCTAACCCATTAAAATAAGCCCTGGGAATTTTCAGAAGGGTTAGAGCTTTAATGTATTTTACCTGTGCTAAATTTGCTGCAAGTTCCCGGTATCAAAATTATAGATAGGCCACCAAACTTATGTCAGCAAATGTTTTAAACTTCCTTCCCACACCAAACTTAACCAGCCAACTATCAAAATTGATTAATTTGAGGAATAGCTAATAGAACTGTCAGTGGGCAATAAAATGACCAGGATGTAACAATGCCAACTGGGGAGAGGAAAACCAAAGATCCTAAATATTGCTCAACTTTGTACCTTAGCAATTGGTGGTGAAAAATGTGTATAGCCAAGAGAATGTTTCTTAAATGACAATAACACTAAGGCTATAATGCTTTAAAAGACTGAAGATTGCATCATCTACAGGTAAATCAACTATGCATCAGAGCCACATTTTGGTTTCCAACATACAAAACATTTCTCTAATATGGTAGCAAATTTCTCAAATGACTACAGATTAGGAGATAAAATTCATCAAAGCAGACAAAGGGGATATATGAAAGAAACAAAGGAGAGACAGGGCTTATGAACATTAATGAGAAGAATCCTGGAAAGGGCAAGTTAAAATCCTAACCCATGACGTATTTTGTAAAGAAGCTGACTTGTAACTGACTTTTTGCCTTCCCTCTGATCCTTCACCAAAGCATCTTCATCATGTAACCCAAAGGTCTTCTCTGGATTCATGGACCTACCAGCAGTGAAGGGACTAAGAATCAGTGATTATACAAGCCTACAAGCAGGCACATAAAAAAGTAGCTGTATATTATTTTCCATTTAATCGAATGTGTGAAGGTTCACATTTTTATTGTTGGTTCCTTATTTGAGAAAAAATGGTGAGCATAAAGAAAAATTTTAAAAATATACTTCCAAATGTATATGAACATACATTTGAGGGTTTAACATACATGGATCATGATGTACATCAAAACATACAGCCTTGAATACAATAAAAAATTAATAAAAATGAAGGAGAAACATATTTAAAAGTACCTCAAACTGGTGTTTTCCTGAGAGAACTCCTACCCTTGAAGGTGAGAGAAGAGGGGTATAGATGGCTTGATGTGATGTAACCTTATCATCAGGCTTCTCTGGAAGACCCTTCCCTCTGCAAACTTCCAATCACTTTTTTCTATGAGAAGGAAGGAAATTTCCATAGTAATAGAAACTCTTGCTTGTTTCTCTTCAGTAATGTATTCTTAAAACCTAACACAGTAGGTGCTTGACAAGAATTTGTTGAATGAAAGAATGAATTACTAACATCACTGAGATGATAAAGTGAGAATCATGTGAGAGGTTCCACACCATTTTATTATTCCATAGTTTGAGAGTTCAATCTCTACTCCATCCTTGAAAGGCTGGGCTTCTCATTTCAATTTCTGCTTCTAGAAATCTATGACTTAAAGAATAATTTAAGAAAATAAAATACTTATGAAGAACAAGGAAACCACTTACCCTTTGTGACTATAAAATGTAGCTGGAAAATAACTGAGGCAATGATCCTAGATTACAGTTTATTTGGGATGGTCCATTAGCACCTAATGATGGATGTAATTTTCTTTCTACATATCCCAACTGGTTTTCTCAAACCAGCCTCCTCCGTGCTAGCTAGCATTCTTTTTTGTCAAGGCGAGGATGGGAAGAAGTGAAGGGGTTAAATTTTTGGAAATAGGGACTTGTTTCCAAGAACAACTACTTAGTAGCATAATTACTTCAAATAGTTACATTCTTCCAGGATAACTTCCCCAGTGGCTGATTTTCTTCTTTATGGATTATAAACTTGTCCTCAACATAACTCTGGAATTCCTTTGATGATCCATGTTTAGCTGAATCTGCTACCTAACAGATGCCTGAATATTTAGAATCCCAAAGGACTACAATATCCTGTGGTTTCAAATTCCTGAGCAGTTGATCCAGCAATTCTTATTTTATTCTTCCTTTCCTACCATCTTAGGAGCCAGTAGCAGATGTTCATTACAGTTTATTCTTCATGCTCATACAGTTAATCCAATTGGGAATCAAGAACAACTTTATTTTTTTCTCTCACTGGTTTGACATCCCTTGTACTTTTTTTCTATAGTTGAATTTTTTTCCTCTGTCTTTGTGAATATTCCAATTTCTAAAAAAAGAATTCTTTAAAAAGATACATTCGATAGATGTTTAAAATGGAAATATATACATAATATGAATTTTTAGTTTCATTAGCTGCATTTATATTAATATATGGGTCCACTTACTAATTTAGTTTGATACAAATGTAAAAATAAGATGGAATAAGAGCAGTATGGCATGAATAGCCAGATTCTTAATTGACTATAGTATTTGCAGGGGCCCCAGAGATGCAGAGTACCTAGTGCAGACAATCAAATACCTGGAAAGAACTATTGCATATCAAATTATGAAAGAAAAACCCAGGTTCATAATCTATCTGAATTCAATTTGGCAAACAAGGTGGCTTAAACTGTATTGAAACTAAATTCTAAACTACAATTCCGTTAACTTTTACTCAAAATATTTAACCTATTACAAGTTCATTTTAATGCATTTTGATATTATAGAGAAATGTCAGATCCACAGTTGGACTACAATACTCTTAGTAAAAGTGAATTCTGAGCCTGTATAAAAGATTATATAATCAATGGAATATATCTACGTAATTTTCAATAACACTGTCAAGAACGAAAACCTCAAGTGACTAACATTAATCAAATATTTTATAAAAATGAACAGATGAACCTTGGAAGAAGGGGGCCAGGAAGAGGCATTAACTAAAAAACAAAACCTGATTTATGCCTACAGCAGGGAAAAACAATTAGTCATATAATTAATTCCATTTTCAATTATTTAATAAAATTATTCATTTAGGGGTAAGGTTCTACTTAGATTATATCCTTTAATATAAAGTGGTTGAACTGGTTGATCTCCAAGATCTTTGCATTTCTGTGGCTCTACAATAATATATACCGATGGTAACTGAAGGTGTGTAAATAACACACAATCCTATAGTTAGAAATCTTTTCCTTTCCTAATGAAGTCAAGGTTAACCAATATTTCCACATAGTACCAACTTTAATCTAGATGTAACACTCATTTTTTTAAAAATAAACAGACTTACAAAGGTAAAAATTATTAATAGACAACATCCACTAATGAATGCATTAGTGAGTGTTTGAGCTTAAACTGAAATAGCAATACAACTTCGGTAGCCATTTATTCAGCCCTTACAATGTGCCAAGGTAGTGCTGGCCATTGGGGCTTACAGCAATATTCAGGAAAACTAAACTTTAACTGTAAGATGTTTACAATATAGCGGGTAGGGGTAGGCGACACAGGCAATAAAGAAAGGCATAACTAAACAATTTCAGGTATTGATAAGTGCTCTTTACAAATAAAATAAAATAACATGGTAGAGAGTCAGTTGGAGAATTGCTTTGATTAGGATACTTAAGACTGCCTTTGAAAGTCAACCTTGCAATTAACACCTGAATGAATGAGAAAGCAGTCATATCAGATCTGGGAACCAACTTTGAAGCATGTGGTAAAAGCTCCTGAAAAGGAACAAACTCAGCATGTTTGGAAGACAGAACAAATACCAGAGTGCTAAAGCAGAAGGACAGAAAGCAGGGAGAGGAGGTCTGTCAGGTAGGCAGGGGCTGGATCATGAGAAGCCTTGTGATGAGTTTGTGTATAAGTCTACTTGTAATGGTAAATCATTCCAAGGCTTTACGCAGGGTATAATGTGATATCTGATGCTTTCACCTTAGGCGTTAGGTAGAAAATAGACTGCGACTGAGCAAATGTGAAGATAAAAGAACAAGTTAGAAGACTGTTGCAGTTTTACAGGAATATGACAAGGATGCCTTGGAATAGGATTGTAGCAGTAAAATTAGTGAGAAAGGGACAGATCGAAGATATATTTTGGAGGTCAAACTAACTGAACTTACAGAAGTATGGGGTGGGAGAAAAAGAAAAAATTATCAATGACTCCTAAGTTATTGGTCTGAACAACTGGGTGAATAATTTACTGGAATGAAAAAGGCTTAGCGGGTTTAATAATAGTTCTGACTTGGTCATGTTAAGGCAGTGATGTCTATTAGATATCCAGATATGAGGCAGGGAGTTTGTTATATGATTCTGGAACTTAAAAGAAATGTCTGGGCTGGTGATAGAAATCAGTCTTATCCACATACAGCCAACCTTAAGCTAACATGTGAAGTTCTACAAGAGCTGATGGGACTGCTGGTACTCTCCTAGAACAGGAGTTGGCTAGAGTAAGTGGCCAGTGAGACAGCAGGAAAGCCAAAATAAGGCACAAGCTATCCCAGGACCTAAAGGGGAAGAAGCAAGGAGTTGTCAGTTCCACCAAACACTGCTGAGGTATTGAGAAAAGTGAGGACCATACACGTATAAGTTTTAGGTCGCTAATGACTTTGATAAAAAGTATTATTCCTCATTTTAAAAACTGTTGAAATATGAATTATTTCTAATTTTACAAATGGCAAAACTTAACTTTGGGGATATTAAAATGCTTAACTTCCCCATAATCTTGCTGACTTTAAAGACCATGTTTTTATCTGCTATATTACCTGCCACAAGTCATTTTTCAAAGTAGATAAAATTAAGTCATTTTTAGAAGTAAATAGAATTAATATTTTAAATAGTATTTAAATACTGTTTTAAATCTAGCCTATACTTATAGACTTGAGTTTTTATTATTAATTGGAATATGTATTAGCTGGAAACATATTTACTGGGAAAGTATTTTTTAATAAGTATTGAATTATTTAGTCAGTAACTGCAGACATTAGAAAAGAATAATGTAACTATCATGCGTCCCTATTCTCTAAAGGAAGATAAAGCTCTAAGTACCTGGAAAATGTCAGTTGAGGGTCTCAAATGTCTAAAGAAAATCTTAAGACATTTAAAATAAAAAAAAAAAACTTTAGAAGGAGGTCTCCAAAAATACAAAATCCATTGTATTTTTTTGAAAAAGAAAAGGATACTTTCTTTACCCCTTGATTGCTTTGTACATAGAGTAATACTGCTGAACTCTAAAGAATTCATCTGGAAGAGCATCTTTAAAGTATTCATTTCTATCCTACTGTTCACAGATACGTACTGAGCAGTGGGAGGCTTGTCCATACCTAGTGCTCTCTTAGAGTAAAAAGGGGAATTTGTTGCACTTTTACATTTTCATGCTCATCTCTTTCCTAAAATCTCAGAAGCTAGTACACCACTAATACAATGAAGTTATGAAAGTTGGATTTTTGCTTGAAAAGTCTTTACTGAATTTAAATGGATGACATATGATTACTGATCTGAATCTATGAGCCCTATTTTGAGTATCTGGATATATTTAAGAATTAGAAAACTCAGAACATTTCATTATATCTTCAAGTTATTTTCATCACATCATAAAAAATAAACAATCTAAAAATAAGATGCACTACTTTGTACAATTGTGAAAGGCTTATCTGATTCAAACCCTCACCCATGTTAATTCAAAATTGAAGAAAAAATGTATACATATATTAAAATGATGACATATATTTTCAATCATTTATCATTTATCCACTCTCATAAGAGGTGGTTAAATCATCAATATCCTTATTTACTAGGTTCAGAAACTGACATCACTGTTTAAGATTTTTTCATGGAGTTTTGTTAGTTTTTGACAGTGGCTAACCAGAAAAAAGGAATGCCCAGCTCCTTCCCCTTCCTCTCTTCTGGAGCTCCCTGAATAATATAAAATAATTAAAATAATATAAAATAATATAAATGGAACACACAGTCATTTCATTCCTAATCAAAATCATGCCTATTATGCTCAGTGCAGAGCCCTCTGACTCCCTGAGCCTAACCTCCTCTCTCCTTTTATTGAGCCGAAAACTTCCCCATCAGCTTGCTCCTGGGAGCTAAAGAGATGAGTGTGGCTTAGCTCACTGGGGGAAGCAGAGAGAGGGTGGATGCCAGAGTGGACAGGGCAGCTCAGGGAGCAGACAGGGCAGCAGCTTTCTGCATCAGCTTCACGAAAGGAGTGTGGCATGTGAGTGGCTGTTTCCCAGTGGTGATCTGGTTCCCTGCTAAATAGGACTCAATTAGAGGCCCATACATCAGAAAGAGATAGATGGGTAGTTCTTCCTTTTTGTATTGACAGAAGAAGAGGAGAGGAGAAGGATTTTCCCTGGGCACCTCACCCACGACTACCCAGCAGTCATGCTCTTGCCTCCCTGCTCACTCTGTATCCTTCACCTAGAATTCCCAAACCCAGTTCAATCTTTGGAAATTCCATCTGTGTTTCAACAACCAGGTTAATGCCTAGAACCTCTAAGGTCAACACCGGAAGAATTCTGTTCCCGTGAATGGCACCCTCTTGGGATTCTCTCACTGCCCTCACCACTATCACCAGACACTTGACACCAGGGTTGTATCAATCTCCCCTTATAGTTCTTTTCCAAGTGTTAACAAAACTCATCTTTTGACTACTACTAACAGACTGGCCGACATTTTCACAAGCATCTCACTGAATATTAGGAGAAAATAAAATAGAAGTAAAAATTGTAAAAGTAATAAACCTGTCTTGCTTACAAAATTTTTATATATTTAATATATCTTCATTGAGCACTGAAAAGCTGGCACAAATTTGCAGTCACCCTAGACTGGACTTCATATTTCCCAGCCCTTTGTCTGACTCTGGATGGCTTGTGCCATCTTAAGCCTGATAATCAGGAAACAGCCCTCTAAGATATGTTAGCTTATATTAGGACTGAAACATTCAAATTTCTTTGTGTTTATCAGTCACCTAGGGATTCTCGTTCATGATATCTAGACTTATGTATGCTGCTGGTAACTGATGCCTGAAATGACTGTCGATCCTTGAGACCTTAATTACATGCAGGAGTTGTTCCCAGCAGAGGTCTAACAGTATAATATGATAGCATATTAGTCAGGGAAGGCTAAGCTAAGCTGTGATAACAAACACCAAAATCTCTGTGGCTTAGCACATAAGAATTCAGTTTAATTTAATTCTCAGTTACTTCAAAGTCCTCTGTGGATCTGGAAGTTCTCCACAGGAGCTTCCATACAGGAGCTAATCCTCAAGGATTCAGCATACTTCCATCCTATGTCCCCACATTCTCAACACATGGCTTCCAGGCAGGAAGACTATGAAGATTGTGCCAGGGGTCAGGTTGAGGGGGGGTGGTCCTTGTGTCATCACGGAAGTGTCACATGTGCAAATGTCCACTATCTGATTGCCAAAACTAGTTAGACAGCCCAGCTGTAAGGATTGCAAATAGGTGGTGGTGAGCATCAAACAACTCTGCTACAGCTAGACAAAGGGTTCCAAACACAATGTTTTTCAGAGGCCAGAAAGTTTACATAAATATGTGAGATATCCCCATATAGTAAAAGCATATAGTTTTACTCTCTAATAGGAATTCAGTCATTTCAATGAACATTTTGTTGTCTTCATAAAATTCTAAGTTTAATGAACTTCTCCAAAAGACAGGTGGGGAATTCTGGGCCGAGATAAACTTGTTAACACAGCCACTCTCCTCTCCCAAATCTAACTCTACCCTCATCAGCCAAACTAAGCAGTTGCTGGAATGAGGAGAAAGGCAAGGCACGGGAGGAGGAGTCAGAGATCACCGAGGCAAAGTGGTGCTTCCTGACCTCTGAGCCCCTTGTGAAGATCAGCACAATAAAGTCCACAAGAGAGATTCAAAAAGATCAGTTCCTGGGAAAAGTTTGTCAATCTATTAGATACAAAGTTATACTTTATTGTTATTTAATTTTCTTTCCTAGTGTTTTTGGAAAAGGAACATATTTGCAATATACTTCAAAATATTAATTTCCTGTGTCCAGTTTTCTGCTCTCTTGCTTTGCGTTTTTTTTGACATATTGCCAAAACCAAATATGAACAATAGAGGAATTTTTCAGAAAAGTATATTCTTACATGTTGTTGGTGAAATGCACATTTTCACAGACTTTGTGGAAAGTAGCCAAAGACTCCTAAAGTGAAAAATACAGACCCCCTTCCACCCAGCATCTCTACTTTTAAGAATATATCACAAAGGAGCTAAAGTACCAGTATGTAAATATATACAGAAAGGGTCATTTAAAAATTAATTGTTCAGTTTCAAAGTACTACCATGGAATAGTATGCAGTCCTAAAAAAGCACATTGACACTGCCTCAGTTGACCTGGAAATATTTCCACAAGATATTGATTAACATAGACAAAAGAAAAGTGTTTATTTTATTATCTCATTTTTGGAAAGCCATGACCAGAAACCCTACATACATATATTGGTAGTGCAATTTGAACACTGAATCTTTATGTTTAAAAGTTTATTCCCATCTATGTGTACTTTATAACCAATGATGCATCTTCCCAGTAGTTTTGAACCAAAGCACAGTGTAGGTGGGATGATAATATTAAAGATGTCCATTTGCATATGTCGGGCACTGTGATGGGTACTTCACAACTTAAACTTTCACAATAATCTTTCAAGGTAGAAATTATGATCTATATTTAATAGGAAAATCCAGGGGTTAGAGAGGTTAAGTAACTTGCCTAAAACCATGAGATGGAACTGAGATTCAAAGAAATTCTACATTCTCTGCTCCATAAGAAGCCCCCCATATAAACAGATATGTACCTTGGTATTAAGTAATTAGCTAGTCCTATGATATAACTCTAAGACATATATAGGTAAATATGAAAAATAGATTACAAAACAATGATTGCAAACTTAAGAATCTGGAGTCAGATAGACATAAATTCAAATTCTGGCACCATTCCTCGATAACTGTGTTACTTTGGCAAAGTTATTTGGTTTCTGAAGCTTCGGTTTTTTCATTTGTAAAATGGTAATATTGGAATGAGCTTCTCTACTGCATAGGGCTATGGAGATAATTAAATGAGAAATACGTATACATGGAGAGAGAGAGAGAGCTCAGTACAGGACTCTGAATCTGCACACTCAATAAACATTAGGTATTATGTTTATCATTATTTTTACCAAAATACAGATATATTAGTAGTCACTTCTGATCCAAATGTTTTTATTATCAATATAACTTATGTTAAATTTTTCTTTTTTTTTTTTTTTTTGAGACGGAGTCTCACTCTGTCGCCAGGCTGAAGTGCAGTGGGGCGATCTCGGCTCACTGTAACCTCCGCCTCCCGGGTTCAAGCAATTCTCCTGCCTCAGCCTCCCAAGTAGCTGGGACTACAGATGAGCGCCACCATACCCAGCTAATTTTTGTACTTTTAGTAGAGATGGGGTTTCTCCACGTTGGCCAGAATGAGCTCCATCTCTTGACCTCGTGATCCGCCTGCCTCGGCCTCCCAAAGTGCTCGCATTACAGGCGTGAGCCACTGCGCCTGGCCAAATTTTTCATTTCTAACAAACATAGCTATGAGATAGTCAGATAAAGGTTAACATTATCCTTAGTTTCTTCTCCACCTGGATGTTAATACATTCTCTTCTGTCCCTTTCTCTTTCGTTTAGTATCAGACTTCGAGAAACATTCATCTCTCATCCCTCCCTTTTCTAGAGCTCCTAGAAAATATTTTGACTGCCTTCTCAAGGTGACCTTTTCTCAGATTAACAATTTACCTATTGCTCAAGAGGTAGGGTTGTCTCAATAATTCATGTTTACCAAAAAAAAAAGTTGCCGTGAATTTTTACTCTTCTTTCATTATTTTCCATGGGAATATACCTTAAAACAGGTCCTGCACTACAAACTCTTTTAAAACCCTTAAGTATGTTGCCAAAATGGTTTCCAGAGGTGAGAACGACACTCTGAAAGCAGTGTATAAGAGTGGCCCACTTATAGCATCACAGCCAATATTACCTTAGAAGTAAAAATTGTTTTTAACCTGATAGGTAAAAATGGCATCTTGTTGTTTCAAGTTGTATTTTCTCAATATTAGTAAGGTTGATTTTTTTATTTGAATTTTTGGTCATTTGAATTTATTTGTGAATTATCTAATCAAGCTCTGTTGCCCTTTTCTACTTGGACTTTAGTGATTTTGTATTGAGAATTCTAAGAGTGCTTGATTTTTCTTTAACAGGTTGGTATTTTAAAAGCAGGCAAATATGTAGCATTGTGGTAGCTGTACAAAAAGCTTGAATAAATAAAAACTAGAAGTATCTATACTAATGCACATAAATTCAGCAAATGGTTTTTGAGTGGTTAGTACAAGAAAGGCACTATTCATGGATATGCAGTATAAAACATTCTCTGCTCCCAAGAAGCATGTGATCTTAGTTGAAGACCAAAATATAGAATAAAGAGACACAATATGAAAAATGCTAAATGAATGGTCACATAATTAAGGACTGCATCAGGGGAGGGAGTGGTCATTGTGAGTTTGCATGGTCAGGTGAGTCCTACTATATAGGTAAGGTAAAACTTGGGTGGTTTTGAATGAAAGGAAGAAATGTGAGTAAAGCAAATAAAAGGGTGTGTCACTTTGAAGACGTCATGAGAAGGAAGCAGAGGTTAGAATCCATCTTACTTTTTTCTTTTTTCGGAAACTATGAATCGACCACCCCTGTATTGGAGGAGAGTCTGTCTTAAGAGTTTGAATTTTAATAAACTTTTATCACAGCTGCAAATATGAAGCCTGGTTTTAGTGCTAACCCAGTATCAGTCTGAAGGAAGTTACAAATAAAATCTATGTTATTGTTTCACTGCTCTTTAGATCTTATGCTTAGATGAAAGATCTCCTGTCAATTCAATGGGACACTTGGGGGCCAAATGTAAAGCTGACTTCTATCACTGTATGCAATGGTAATTGTATCAGTTTATTTTCAGCTTGTGAGAAAAGAAAGCCTGTCACAGAATGGCTTGAATAACTAGGGGTCTATTTTTCTCACAGGACAAAAGTCTGGAGTTAGAAGGCTGTTGGCAGTGGTTCAGAGGACCAGCTCTGTTAAGGCCAGTAAGTCTCCAATTCTCAAGCTTTTCACCTCATTGCCACAAGTTTGCTGTTGCAGCTCACAACGTCATACCCACTTTCAAGATGGGAAGAAAGGAGACAGAGTGATTCCAGCCCTGTATCTCCTTTGTATAAAGAAAGCAAAAACGTTTTAGAAACCCCATAACAGAATTTCACTGATTTCTAATTAGCCAAAACTGTATCACACAACCTTCCTTTGATATAAGAGAAGCCAGGAAAGCAAGTAGTTTAGTGGAACACATATAAAAATTCCCAGAGGAGTTGGAAATTGATGTTGAAACAGTCAGTCTCAGGGTCTGCCATAGTGATGCTACACAAAGATAAGGTGAAGAAATTATTTGGAAACACAGAAGCTTTAGAGTTAACACTGCAAGATCACAGGAAAGAATAATATGGATAAAAATACTCACTAACTCATACTAACAGCTTTCCAATTTGGGTTAAATAAAAGACAAGTTTAGGATTCAGATCATTCCTGTAATATAGTTAACTAGAATGAAAGTTCTAAAGTACCAAAGCATCAAATATTTAAAGTCTAAGGTACCAAAGACCAAAGAGATAGCTTGAAAGGATTTTATTCTTTACATTTTTGAGTGAGTTCAGTGTTGGCAGAACCTCATCACTGCCTACATTATTGATGGGGATATCTGAAAAGAAGCAGATGTTTTGCCAAGAAAGGGAATATGAATCATTGTACCTAATAAGTTGAGAATCTTAGGAAACAATCTACACAGCTCATGAGTGAAACTAGCAATTAATCTTGACATGTTTTATAAAAGGTTGGGTTGCTTAATATTTCTCCCAAGTAATTTTTTTAAGTTTGCTGTAGGCAGGAAGGTAAAAAGACTGACAGTGCAGGAAACTGAACTTTTCTTTCCTCCAAATGCCAACTGTGCCAGTTGGATATTGAAATATGAGGTACATCATGATAGGAGATTAGTCAAACTCATTCACCAATGTGCCCTCAGTCCCAACTTGCTAGAGGAAATAATGAAGTGGCGCCATTGGAGACAAGGAGTCATGACCAATTTATTGCACCATTCTGGATGCTGCATATGTATGCAAAGTTTTATTTATAAAGATAATTTATGTGGCAGTTGGGTTATGTGCTAATCAGCAAAACACAGTGTCTAAAACTACACCATGTCACGCTAGCATGTAGACGGAAATTCTTTTGTATTGATGTACATATGAGAGCTTCCCAAGAGGTATGCTGCAACCAAAATGCATCCATTGATTCTCCCTCCATTTGCTTCTTTGAGGAGGAGAAAATGAAAACCTGATATTTTTAAAATTCATTGATGTTGCCATCCCCATTTGAGCCTACATTTGGCTACAAATAAATTGTTGAAATCTTATGCCAATAACTCAGTATGGATCTCTTATTTTCCTTTAATTTTAAGCTTTTAGATTACCTTAAAATGTTGATATTATTATTTAGTATCTATTTAATTCATAATTAACAGAAATTCAAACAGAATAAGCTCAGTGTGATCAGTAATCTGGATCAAATGAAGTCAGAGTCACTCTGTCTATATCTGATCTCAGAGCCGGTATATCTATTAGCAACTTTTCTATGAAAATTTATATTTTAAAGAGAAGTAGGGAAAAATTTGATCCAGAAGTCTGTTCTTTCTTTTCTTTCTTTCTTTTTTCTTTTTCTTTCTTTCTCTCTCTCTCTTTCTTTCTTATATCCATTTATATTCTTATAATAAATAACATGCACTATTTAACTGCTTCCATTATATTGAAATATACATTATATATATTCTCATATTTACACACACACACCCCATGCATCTTTATACATTTATTCATAAACACCCAAACACTATCATCTAGAACAATAACTGGATTTCCTAATACAAGAATAGGAAAACAAAAGACACAAATTCCATTAATAACTATTTTTTTTCTTTATTTTTTTTCACCATCTGCCCACCTCTTGCTCTCTCCTGGACTTCCCTCTCATTCATCCTCCCATTATTTCCATCCGTTGCCTCTCAGTAAAGCATTCCACAGACGTAGATACTACATATGACATCAAATTCAAAGAGATGAAAAGAACATTTGGCATCTTCAGTCAACAGGCACATGTAAATTCAAAACCATAATAAGATACCATCACACACCTGCTAAAGTAAAGAAAAAGCACTGACAGTACACAGTGCTGGTGAAGCTGTGGAACAATTTGAACTCTCATACATGTCTGGTAAGAATGTAAGATGATACAACTTTGGAAATGAGCTTGGCAGTTTATAATGGATTTAAACATACACTTTCAATATGACCCGTGTGTTATTAGTTTAGGTTGTCTAAGAAGAAGATGCTATGACTGGTATTAAAGATACAAAAGATTTGGGGGGCTGGAGGTGGAAATACCTTTGAAATACAGTAGTGGGACCCAGAAAAGGTGAGGAGAGACTTCAAACCATGATGCAGGTCTGACACTTGTGAAAGAGATGGGAAAGGAAGAAAGAATTAGTAGGAAGAGTCATAAAATTCCAAGAAAGATTCAGTCAGGAGTCTTTAATCAAAACTCATCCACTGGATAAACAAAATGTGGTATGTATACACAAATGGAATACTATTCCACCATAAAAACTTAAAATAATGTCATTTGCAGCAACATGGATGGAGCTGGAGGTCATTAGCTTAAGTGAAATAAACCGTGCACAAAAAGACAAATACCACATATTTTCAATTCTAGGTGGGAACTAAAACGTTTGAGCACATGGAGGTAGAGAGTGGAAAAATTAAACAAAGACTGAAAAGGGCAAATGGTGGGCGGAGGGGAGAATGAAGAGAAGTAGATTAAAGGGTACAAACATACAATAGGACAGAATGAATAAATCCAATGTTTGATCCAGAGTAGGGTGACTATACTTAACAAAAACATATTTTACTTGGATGATGGACACCCTAAATAGTCTGACTTATTCAGTACACATTATATACATGTAAGAAAATTTCTCATGTACCCCACACATTTATACAAAGAAATCACCCATTGGAGGAATTCAATTCCACATCTCGCAGGCATGGGCCCACTCTCGTTCCCTTGCTGTGCTAAATCATTGGCTGGGAAGCATGGAAAGACAGTGGCTAGCGTGGCCTTTGTGCAGACTTGGTGGTGGATACATAGGGGCAAAAGCTACAGCTGTCTGTCACTATGCTCGCCACAGCAAGAAGTATGAGCAGCACTTTTTCAAGCAGCCACAACACAATAATTTCAATCATAGGTATACACCCAAAAGAAATGAAAACACATGTCCACACAAAGTCTTTGCTTGAATATCTTCCTACTCTGTTCTTGAACACTTTATTGATACCTCTGTTATAGAATTTACCAGTTTGTCTTATTGTCAGTTTTTATTAGCCTAGTTCCATTTCTTGAGTGTGAGGCTTTTACAAACATAATTTTATTTTTGATCCTTTACTCTCTAGATGCAAACGTATATACACATCATTCATAGAATATTTAATTCATGTTAGTTAAGAACTAATATGAGAGTCCAACAACAGGTGAGTGAATACATAAATTGTGGTATATTTATAAAATGCAATACCACTCAGAAATAAAACAAAATTAACTATGGGTACACACAACACCATGAATGAACACAAAAACATAGATTGAGTAATAGAAACCAGACTCAAGAGACTGTTTAAAATATGATTCTATTTATGTGGAATTTTAGAAAATGCAAACCAACATACAGTGACAGAAAACGAATCAGCGGTTGCTGCAAAGGGGCTGGAGAAACATTTTGGGATGATGATGTTTTACACTTGGATGTGGTAGTTGTTGTGAGGGTAAATACATTTTTCAAAACTCATTGAACTGTATTTTAAAAACTGATAACATTTTATTGTGTGTAAATTATATCTCAAGAGGTTGAATATTTTTTAAGCGAACCAGAATTTTATGAAATAATATTTTCCAAAGTTTCCTTTTTCATAAATGTGGAAAATTCAAGAGATTTGTTGTTCAAAAATGTGGAAGATAAATGATATAAAAATAGATTACTCATTTATATTTGTTCATACATTAAACTGGGCAGTATATGATCATGCAGAATGTTTTATCATATGTGATATGATTAACAATCAATGTTATATTCAAAGCAACAGTTGAAACCATCAATACTTACCTCTTAACATTTAGAGAAAGTGAGGAAGGGAATGTCACAGAAATTCCTTAGGTAAAAAAGGTGAAAAAATTTCACAATTATATCTATTTAAAATCCTAACGTATGAAAGAAACACTTAAGTCATTCTGTCTTTTCCATGAATGCAGGAACTCACACTTCCATTTCAGGTGTTTAAAAAGGAACACCAGCAGAGGCTTTGTGCCAGGATGAGACACAGGATAAGAAGGATCTTGTGTGGGTGCCTGGCTTTAGAGAAGTTCATGAGAGGATATTAGCAACAAAGTCAGTGCTATGTTTGAAAACACATTTATTTTCACAGAGAGAAAATTGCAGCCTCAACAGCCTTTGGTGGGAAGTTATCACCAATGAACATCTTCCCTAAACATATCAAGGGGCAGATGGAAATCATAAAATAAAATTAATTCCTAACCCTGCCTAAATAAAACTTGAAATCCATATCCCACTGATTTTGGGTAGGTAGGACATTTTTAATTGAAATAGAACATGAAAATGCTTGACTGAAAAATACTCTAGGTTAACTGAGTAAAATTTCCTTTACCCTCTGCTTGGCAGAGTGTGAAACCATCAACACAAAAGAGAAACTAAAGTCAAGGAAGAAAGTTATCTATGAATGTTGTCATTGGACTATTGAAATAATTCCTTAATCAATTCAAGTAAAAATTATTATTCTTATATAATTGATTTATATAATTGAAGAAAACTGGATTATAAAATATTTATGGTTATAAATTGCAGTTGAAGTGTTTATACCCTCAAAGTGCCTAAAATCATGGTATTGTTCATTACCTTCATAGCAAAAGATAAATAGAATAAAAATGGAATTTTTTTCTGAATCAGCCAAGTATTTATTCTACTTTGCATTTTGCTTAGTTCTGTCAGAATCAGTGTACTTTTTTATTCCTAAAAAAAAGTTGGCATAATTGTATATAACATTTTTCATACCCCCAAAATAAAATAAAATATTTGTTTATTCAATATTTATTAAGCACCTACTATGTGCTGGGAAATATTGCTACTCATTGAAGACAAAACAATACACTGTATATACATATTCTCTGTCCTCATAAAGCTTACATGGTTGGAGCAAACACAAAAAAAATAAATTATAATAAGTGATAGGAAGGAAAATAAGCAAGGGTGTGAGGAAAAGGATGATGAAGGGTATTCAGAGAAGGCCTTCTAGAGATGACACCATTTAATCAGAGAACCTCCCAAAAGAAAAACTCAATTAGATATGCATTGAGATGAATTTTCCAGGCAGAGGTGAGGTCTGCAAAGGCTCTAGAGAGAAAGAGGTCAGGCCTCTTGAAAAAGCAAAAGAGCTGGCAGGGCTGGAGCTCAGCAAAGGAGGAAGATAGTGGTGTTAGGCAAGGGTCAGGTCACATAGGGATTTTTAGGCCTTGGGAAGAGGTTTTTAAGTTCATTCAAAGTGCAGTGGGAAATCATTAAAGGGCCTTTACAAGGGAAGTGATGTGGTTCTGTTAACATTTTGATAAGGCCATTTTTCCTGCAGTGTGTAAATTGGGTTAGATGAGAGCAAAAGTTGGTTAGAAGTCTAGTATCAGAAGATTGTTGCAGTCATTCAGGAGAGAAGTAACGATGGCCTGGGTTAAGGTGACAGTGGTGGAACTAGAAGAGAGAATGGGGTTATATCTATTTTGTAGAGAGTATAAGCAGGATTGCTAATAGATAGAGTAGAGCATAGAAGAAAAAAAAATCAGTGCTGGCTCCTAGGATCTGGTTTCCACAACAAAGTGGATGATGGTACTATTTACTGAGTCAGAGGCAAGTAGGAGAAGCAAATGTGCTCGGTGGGGATAAACAATCAAAATTTCCATTCTTTGGAAATTTTGGAAAAAGAAGTTTATGTGTAGTGTAGAAAAGTGGGCCCAGTAGTAAGCCTGGAAGAATGCCAACATTTGTAAGCATGGCAAAGAAGAAACCAGCCAAGGAGACCGATAGCAAGGGTTAGTTATGAAGAAGGAAAATTAGGGAAGAGGCATGTTCCCTACTCCCACAGGGTATCTGAAGAATAAAGAGTATTAAATTGAGGACAAAGAGTTGGCTAGATATGACATGTGCAAGTTATTGGCGACCTTGACAAGAGCAGTGTACATGGCATAGTGAAGCTACAACTGTGAGAAATGAATGAGAAGAAAGAAGATGAGGATATGTGTAGACAGTTCTCTTGAGTTTTCTCAGATCAGGAAGAAGATTTTGATTTTTTTAAGATGGAAAGCAGCACAGCATGATTGATGATGCTAGTGGTAATAATCCAGAAGGAAGTGATAGAAAACAATGGAAGAAAAATACTGTCATCGAACGAATAAGGAACTTGAGAAGAAAGCCACAAATGGGATCAGACCTTTGGTGGGAAGAGAAAGGTTTCCTCCATTGTGACAGAAGTAAGGGAGGAAAACTTGGATATTAGCATAGGTAAGTTTTAGGTCTGGAGAAAGAAAGATTAGAAATTGGTGTCTATTTTTTCTATATTATCAAGTTCAATTCTTCCAAAAAGTTTCAAAGCATTAATATTTAACCCATCCTAACTTGGAAAGTTGCCTGAAGGAACAGATAAAACACACCTTAAATATAGCATTCATCCTCCACTATGGTCATTCCCTGGAAGACTGACTCTGAGAACAAAGGAACTATTATTTTTACAGGAAGTAAATGTATGAGTCACAATTGATATTCTGAAAACATCTGAATTTTTTCTAAAGAAATTTATGGGCCTAATAGAACACAACATACTTTTCCTTCCTTATGCAACAGACACTTAGAGCAGGTTAGGGCACAAACACGTATTATAGTTACCCCTGTCTCATATATTAATTGAAGAAAACACATATTTTTATTATTATCTAGTTGAATCCACCCAGATGACACAATAATGCAAATATCTTTGATGTTAGTAGTGTAGATAAGACGTCATGTCAAAATAAAAAGCACATGTCTCATGTATAATTATGTTACCAATCAAGGACTGAACCAACCCACTTTTCAAAATGGACTTCTCTCAGTAATCTCCTGAAACCACCTCCAAAATCCAGGAACACTGAGCCAAGGAATAGGTTCCTAAATCCAGGAAAACGTTGAACTTAACATGATCAAACTAATATAGACTTTCCAGCTCATCTAATTCCATGATTTTCAATTTTCCCTGAAGACTTTTTATTTTCCAGTGAAATCTTATGTCAGAAAGATTAGGATGGTGCTCAGCGCCTGATGCTAGGATTCCCTCACATACTTCTGGTGGCTCTCATATACCATGCAAGCACTGTGCTTTGGTTCCAGGTACAGTGACATTGGTGAGATATTTTTTTTTTTTTGCACCTCTCATAGAAAATGGAAAGTACAATGATATGGAAAGAACATAACAGTTTTGATTTTACATGGCATAGATATTAAAATATATAAAACATTAAATATTTAAATAATATCCTACTTATGGAAAATGATCTTTAAATCTGTTCACATTTGGAAAATAAAACTCACTTTAAACCTTTAGCATTAGGCAGAAGTATTGGATTTATAAAATTGCACCTTCTGTCAAAAAATGTTAGTTGAGGGAACTGATCCTACTGTTTGTGTCTGCCAGAAACAAATCTAACACAATAATTGTGGTGGGTTTTTTCAGGACTGATGTAGATTTTGCTATGAATTGTGTCTGCATAGAATATCTCTCTCTCCCGCTCTCTCTCTCTCTCTCTCTCTCACACACACACACACACACACACACAAACACACACACACACAATATTTTTCTTCAGTTTGAGTGTGGTTTGTTTGCTGTGCTGCTTCTTAGCAACCAGGGACTCTATAGGCAAGGTGTGTTTCAAACATCTCATCCCTGTGCCTTACTGCTGCCTCTCTTTAGCTCCTTACTATTGAAAAAGAGGGTATATTTTACAGCACCTGTCATCCAGCATCATAAAATTATAACAACATGAAATAATGATAGTAAGAGGATGTTGACATAACCATATAAGGTGTTGTAAAAATAAAGTATTAAAACACACGCGTCTTACTGAATCGTCTGTGCAATGCAGTCACACACCAAAGTAGAGATGGCATCTGCATTGCCTGCATAACTGTCCAAACTTTCATTTTGTCTCTCTTACATGCAATTTGGCCCAAGATGTTTACTTCCTATTTGTCAGAAATGAGATTTCCAATTATATTCATGGTAACTGTGCATCCAGCAGAAGAGAAGGAAGCCCCCAAGAATGTATTCTTTTCTATTATACATCTAATAAGAAACTTTGACGTTAATGTAGCAGAGGGTCATCCTTGAAGGCTATGATTTACATATTCATATTACTTGGAGGCATAGCATTTACTTCAGTAAAATGATAGGCCACTAAAATTGGCAGAAATTAATACAAAAACATTATAATGTTTTCAAGGAATGTACTTCTTGAAATAATTATACAAAATTAATAAAAATTAATTAAAAACCTGAACATCTGTTTTAACTTAAAATTATTAAATAAAAACCATATCATGTCATTGATTTTAATGCTGTTCCTATTTCATTGATATATGCCACACATTTACCAGCTATTAAACTCGATTATACAATTATTCTATGGTGCAAATGTTGAGACAATCATCTCAGAGAATATAAAACGAAATTTTCAAAAAGGAGAATTTCCACAAGTCGGTGTTCCTTTTTTATTTTTATGTTTATTTTTATTTTTATTTTTATTTTTCCCAAGATGGAGTCTTGCTCTGTTACCCAGGCTGGAGTGCAGTGGCGCCATCTCAGCTCACTGCAACCTCCGCCTCCCACGTTCAAGCAATTCTCCTGCCTCAGACTCCCGAGTAGCTGGGATTACAGGCACCCACCACTGCACCAGGCTAATTTTTGTATTTTTAGTAGAGACAGGGTTTCACCATGTTGGCCAGGCTAGTCTCGAACTCCTGACCTCGTGATCCACCCACCTTGGCCTTCCAAAGTGCTGGGATTACAGGCGTGAGCCACCGTGCCCGGCCAGCCTTCCTTTTTTATACCTACTATCTTTCTCCATTCTGAAAAAATCAGAGCACATCACTATTTAAAAAAAAAAAAATCATAGACTTTTTAATTCATTTTCTTATAAGGCTACTGTAAATATATGGGCTTTTTCTTATTATAGGTTAAACACATTTGAATAAATAATTCAAATTAGTTAAGATCTTGTTATATAGTCTTCACTAAATTGTTACTTAGCCTTTCACAGACATTAAAAGCAAGTGAAGCAAAAGTTTCTTTCAGTGTGCTAAAGTTCCAACAATATGAAAGCTTTTCTAATATAGAAGTCCATTAATCATTATACAGTAGAGAATTTACTCTTCATTTTTCTTTAGTCATTTTCACCATTTGATGAAGAAAAGGTATCATTATTCTTAAAATCAGGATTTTTAATAATAAGCATGCATTGGAAAAATATATGGCAATAGAATTTCAAAGGTTATTACATCATTGAACTCAGAAACAATTTACTATCTTAACAAATGCATTATAGTTTCTTCTATAAAGTGTTAGTGAATGTTAAAAATAACACCTATTTTGGGAGAAGATGCAGGACATTGGCTGATTATACGTGACTAGTACAACTAGAAATTAGTACATTTCTAGAAGGCAATTTGACAATATAGATCAAAGGCTTTACAACTATACATATACTTTAATTCAGCAACTACACATCTGGAAAAGATTCCAAGAAAGTAGGAACAGCACTTTGCAGAAATTTATGTATAAAGATGTTCCAACAATAAGAAACAGGTCGAGTAAATCAATGGCTAATCAGTGTGTGGAATACTATGTAATTATTAAAAATGATGAAAATCTATACACATAAGTAGGGAGGAAACAATGCAAACAGTATTTAAAGCTGTTGCAACTGGGTGCCACTGTCACCCTGAAAAGGCAGAACAGAGTTCTGGGCACACCATGAGCCCAGTAAATGCTGCCTTAACTAGCAGTAACTCTAAACAGAAAGCCTTTGCTCAGTAATCCTACATCAAGGTTTGTCTCTGCAAGGATACCAAGGCAACTTCTTAGGAGGAGTTGTGCAAAGATCTGATTGATCTGAAGGATTTAGAGCATGAACAGAGCAAGAGCTTTGTACTTTCAGAAGACCACTTTTTTTTCCCCCATTATCATCATTGGAGATCAACACATGGAGATGCACAGAGCTTGGTATCAGGCCCCATTGAAAAGAACCATCAAGCCTTCATTCACCAGAAGAATGTACTTCAGCAGCATGTTGTGTTATTAGAAAATTCATTATCAGAAGTAGTAGTAATATTGCAAGTAAACTAAAGTAGCCTAAGACAGCAGAGCAGGGTGAAGCGTAATCAGTATTATAATACTTAAAAATTGTCAATCAAGATAAATTGCTATCCCTTTGATGAAAATGTTTCCCTTTCAGGCAGTTATTATCCAATTCTTGGTACTTTGTGAAGTGACACTGTTATCCATATATGCATGTAAATGTATATATATATAATTTAATTTTTCATGTACTTAATACCTTTGAAGAGTTAAACAAAAGATTAAAGTAGTGATTTGTGTGAGCTAAAGAGGACATTAAGAACGATGGTTCTGCAGTTTTATATGAACATGGATTTGATAGTGAGATGGCAGACAAAATAGATGCCTCAGAAGATGTTGCAAGCCCCAAAAAGCTTTATTTACAGAGAACTCAATTTTTTTAAAAGAGAAAAACTCACTTGGAAAGAGCATATGGTTATTTGGTGACTTACAGTCACCAGAGTTTCCCCTTAACTCCTTTCCCCTGACCTGTCCTTCTCTGTTAGACAGTTCAGATAAAGCCAACTTCATTTGATAAATATGTGTTCTGAGATATGCTAATTAATGCAATTTTTGTCAATATGGGTACATTTTTCTCATTGTAATTTCCGATTGATCTTCCTTTTGGCAGAGGTTCCTAAACTAGAATTTTATATTTCTTAGTAACCACTCTGTCAAGGAGGTATAATTTAATACACTTTAGGAAAATGGAGAATCTTATTGTGATAAGAAGAAAATCCTTTATTTATCTGTGTTTTCAATATATCATAACAAATCTTCTAAAAACCTATTTGAGGTCGAGTGCGGTGGCTCACGCCTATAATCCCAGCATTTTGGGAGGCGGAGGTGGGCGGATCACCTGAGGTCAGGAGTTTGAGACCAGTCTGGCCACCATGGTGAAACAACGTCTCTGCTAAAAATAAAAATAAAAAAAAGTAGCTGAGCGTGGTGGCACACGCCTGTAATCCCAGCTACTCGGGAGGCTGAGACAGGAGAATTGCTTGAACCCAGGAGGCAGAGGTTGCAGTGAGCCGACATCGGGCCACTGCACTCCAGCCTGGGCAACAGAGCGAAACTCTGTCAAAAAAAAAAAAACCAACAACAACAAACAAACAACAACAAGAAAAAACAACAACAAAAAACTCCTATTTGAGTAGGGCACAGACCACAGAGGTACAGTTTGCTTTTTGATCTTGGGTGCCTTTTGCAAGCCGTGAGAGTAACTTTTATCTACATTACTACGTGAGTCACAAGGACAAATTCGACCATGAGTTCCTGGAGATTGAATTCCAACCAGACAAGAAACTGAGATGTGCCAACAACAGTAATTACAAGGATAATGTCATCATCAGAAAAGAGGCTTACATATATAAAAATATGATGGAGGAACTGAAGAGAATAATTAATGGCAGTGAAATTACCAAATAGTATGACGCTCTGTGGCCTCCGCCTCACCAGGAGGAGCTTGAAATCGTCATTGGACATGAACACGTTTCTTTTATAACATCTAAAATTGGTTCCCTTATTGATGTTAAGCAATCCAAGGATCCAGAAGGCTTAAGAATATTTTGTTATCTGGTTCATGACCAGGAAGTATCTGGTCTTCATTGTTACTGAATTACACTTCAAGATTAAGCCAATCTAGATTAAACATTGATGTGGACGCAAAGAAGGTGGATATAGCTGTTTTTAATCAACATTATCAGAAAATTTTTGTGTACATCAGAATAATATTTTTCATAAACTATAAATGATTGTGTCTAATAAATAGTGACAAAAATAACAAGTAAACTTAAAAACCTATTTGTAATCCTAATGGCCTCAAAGGTCATTTCTGAAGATACTGTAAAATACATGTTATTTCAAATAAATAAAATCTGTCTATTTAACTTTGATATATCACTAACAAGTATTGGAATATATTCTAAATTCCATGGCAAAAAGAATTCACAAAAAATTCAGGCTCCAACAATCATTAATATTCTCAATAGACTAATTACTGTGTGGTCCAAGTATATAGCACAGATGACTGAGGTCTTCTGCTGGAAGAATGCTATACCAGTACGGGCTAGTATACAATTCTTTTTGCTTTTTATTGATTTTATTTAAGGAATTTGTATATTTTCTTCCTTCCAAAGAGCAACCTTTATTCTTCATTGGAATCCTTGTAAATTAAAAGCAAAAAAAAAATATTTGTTTTATATCTGGAGAACAAATGGATGTTCCTCCTTCAGCCTCAGACAGAGTGATTGATAGCTTTGTTATCAAATTCTGAATGAAATAAATTTGTCTCACTTTGAGAGTAAATAGTGATAATCTCTGCCAACCAACTTGGATGTAACTCATTGCATTTCTATTGGCCAATGAATGTACCAGGAAATGGGCTTGAAAAAATGACATTTAAGTAGTACTTAAATAGTAATATAGACTATTTCGTTCATCTGGATAGTTTTCATTTCATTATTTACATGTACTGTTCTTCTATTATTTTTGCCATTCATTCTCTTATTAGAAGATTGGAAAGCTGAAATCTATTTGGTAGTGTTTATTCACAAATAGATATGTAGTAGGAGAATATATAGCATAGGGGTTAAATATGGCCCTAGAGTCTGGAAAGTCTGAATTAATATCTGTAGTAGACTATATTATTGTTCAGGGTGCTCCCTGCTACTCTCTGGGGAAAGATCCAACTACTCCACCCTATGATAGCATGATTAGCCTTGATCTCGCTAATGAAGTGTGAGCAAGTGACATTTTTCACTTCGGGGTAGAATGTTTAAGAGCCAGTGCACCATGGTTTATCAGGATGTCTTCTTATCTTTGTCATATACCTGAAAATATTTTAGATAAAACATTAATTCTGTGAGCTTGGGTTCCCTAGTGAAGAGATCATGAAGCAAAATGATAGCCAGTGTGCCATAAACATGGAATAGGGGTAAGGAATGAACCCCAGTGATTGTAAACCACTGAGAAGTGGGAGAGTGTTTGTTAACTGCTAAATAACCAAGTCTCAGTCCCCACTAGTTATGTAACCTTATGAGCAGGCTTACCACCCCTTTGGCTTAATTTCCTCATTTTCAAAATGGAGATAATCTAAACTAGATAATTTAGGTAAAACAGCACAGTGCCTACTATGTAATAAATACCTAGTAAATGATGGCTTGTATTATTGCTATTGTTAATACTGCCAGGAATTTCAGTAAATACTATAGATTATATGATTATCTCATGGAGTTTGAAGTTTGATAGGGGTCCTGTAAACCAATTCCTATAGCAATGAGATAAATGTCTCAAGACGATGAAGAGGTGCTTCCAAATCAGAAGCATTTAGCTTTAACAGGTTATCTGCAAAGTCTCCCTGAATGTATGACATTTGAGTTAAGAAGTAATGGGTAAGATTTTTCCAGGCAAACAAGAAGCATAAAGGCATTCTAGGTGGAAGGGCCAGCATTTACAACAAAAAAAAATGCATGGCCCCTTTTAAGAATTCCAAGCACTTTGTAACTCCAAGAAGGCTGGGTATGTGAGCTAAAGGGTTGAATCTTTATCCTCTAGATGACACAGCCCCATTGAAGGGTTTTAAGTCCAAGTGTGGCACCGTATCATACCACAGGTCAAGATGGAAAGAGTTATGCCATGTAAAGTAGACCCCCACAGCACCTTTTATACATAAGTACACTGCTAAAGTTTAAAATATGTTTCTCTTTATTCGAGCAAAATGGAGGTGGGCCACCTAACTCTAACATGGATTGGGTGGTCTGACTTGGTGAAAAGGGAACGCTAGGCCTCTTTGCACCACATAAGTTGCCCATTTAGGCCTCTTATAACTATATTAGTTGCTCATTTTTCCTGCCTTGGCCTTGGTTTCATGAAATTACTCTTTGAAAATATGTATGGATTCTACAATACTATGATAGAAGAAATATATATGTAATATTCACTAGCTTTTTACAATGAGTGGTTGTGGCTATCTAATGATTTAAGGTAGAAATCCCATAATGTTCAGAACATTTTTGAACACTTCAAATTAATAGTATACTTTCATAAAGGACAATTAATAACTTTGACAAATTAGAATAAAATTAAAAATGAATAAATAGTACTTTTTAGATTTTGTATTTAAGAATTTTGATTTGAAATTTTAAATATTAAGACATTTATAGTTTTTTAAATTATTAATTCTTATTAGAAATAAGATTCCATCTATTTTGAGTGAGCCTAAGATTCTCTGATACTGACCAGGATTCGTTTGAATTTTTCACTAATAATGACAGTTAATGTATATATGGAACTATATGTGTCATGAACAGACATAAGAATTTCATACGGAGGAATTCTTTTAATATTTATGGCAATCCTAAATGTTAGGCTATACTATTATTACGTTTTATACATAATAAAATTAAGATTTGAAGGGGGTAAGTGACTTGCCCAAGGTCAAACAGTATGAGGTGGACCTAAGATTTGAATTTGGCAGACTGGCTCCAGATTCCATGCTTTTAGCTACAATGGTATATTGCCTCCCGTTTTTACTGATCAGAGCACGTGTAAAAATTAGAGCAGTACATATATGTAAGTAATATGTGTGCCTTTTTGCTTTGAAGGGAGAGGAGGAATTAGTATTACCAATAATATTCTCTCTTCAGTGAAGTACCAGATTAAACCCCAAGCCAAATATATTTGACTAAGTCTGGAAAATTGTTGGAAAAATAAGGGGGACCAACCATGAGGAACCGTAGCTAGGAATCAGCTTGGCATACCACAGACCCCACCACAGGTCTAGACTGGTGTGTGGTCAAAGCCAATGTGACAGAGAGGTGGGTGCACATGGTCTAGGACAGCCAGGGCAGTCAGAACAGAAAAATCAGCAAGAGCAGTCAAGATGATGTGTAGAATAAATCAATGATTCTTAACAATTTAGATCTTTCATCTTAAGCCCTTTGATTTGACTTTCTGATCACAAGTCCTGATTATGATACAAATAACTAAAATCATTTATGAATTGAGCTCCTGACTGAGGAAGACACAAATAAGTTCTCTAACCACCTCACAATGATTTTAACACATCAGATAACTATTCTTTGGCAGAATGAAACAGAGACAGTAAACAGTTGGAGCTGAATTATTGCACTGGTGATGGTAATTCCTACTTCCTGGACCCTCAGTTCTCCCCTAGTTCCTTTATTCCAAAGAACAGCTTTTTAAGCTCTGCTTTCTGTTCTGACCTCTACTCAGTATCTCTGTTTAACTCTGGTTATCAAGAGTCAGATTTGTTTGTTGCTACAAAACACCTCCAACCAATACAATAGTAATCCCCCCTAAACTGAAAAAGTTATCTCTCATTCCACTATCCTTTCTTTATCAAAACCCCATTAAAAATGAGTAAATAGTACTTCTTAGATTATGTATTTAAGAATTTTGATTTGAAATTTCCTTTACTAAGAATAAATTTGAAGTGACAGCCACTGGTACTACAGGTATGCATAGCAACTTTATTCTGTAATGTATAGTTATCCAAAATTTTAGTGCTTTTTGTCCAATTATATTTACATCTCCCCTAACTCTATCATATGATATGGTTCTGAGTGTAATAATAATCATTCAACAAATTCATATTGAATTGAAGCATCACTGTCACTATTCTACTATTGTAAGTTCTGTGTACTTTGTTCTATATAAACATTCTCATCATATTAGGAAACTTATTTTTTGCTACACTCGTAGTATCTTTAGCAAAGAAGTGGACACTTGTCTTTCAGCAAAGAATACACACTCTCAGCCTGGCTATCATGCTGTTGCATTAAATTCAACCTTATTTTAAAACACATAGGTTTTCTTTATAGCTTGACACACATAAACAAAAAGTTTGACCATATTCCCATCTTTGACATTCTCCAGGCAGGCCCTACCATTGAATGCTTTGATACAGTAACTCATAGGTTATTTTAAAGTTACTTATCCGACAACCCAGCTGAAAATCAGCAGACAAAGAGTTCCAAACAGAAACCATAAACTCTATGAAACAGAATCTTGCGTAAATTATTTATTTTCTTCAAACTTAAGTGCACTTAGTTGTAAAATGAAAATGAATAATAATTCTAATCTGTAGTATTATACTAAGGACTAAATGAGATAAAGTCACTAAAGTGTTTAGTGCAGATAGTGACACAAATACTGATATATCTGAGAGAAGCAGGTTGAAACAAAACAAACGCATGAGCTTTACTATAGAAAAGTCTCTCAGACTTCTGTTCAAAAAATGTTTTATTCATTTTTTGGTACATAGCTCTTAACAAATCTGGTTATCTGTTTTCCACGCTACAACAGACTAAGATTAGCAAAGTGAAACATTGGTAGGGGAAAGCTCAGAGCACCCATCACTTTGGCTGGCACACAGTGGCTCTTCTATAAATGTTTATTTGTTAGCATTGCCATTATCAGCTAAGAACAGGCCATTTAGAGTCACCTTGCCTCAGCCAGGTGATTGAGGAGGCACATATAAAAAACAAATTTTAAGGAAGTAATAATGAACCTCAAAAGCCAGTATCATGCAAATATAGCCCTAAACATTTATGTAGACATTGAGGGACTCAGAATATTTACACACAATGGGAGTGTGTTGAGTGTATAAAAAGCAATGGATCTAGGCTTAGTCTCCAATCAAGGTCTTCCTCTCATAAGCTGTGTGAGCCTCAGAAAATTGTTCACTCACTCTGTAACCTCAGTGGCCCCAGCAGATAAGGGAGATAACAATAACTACTTCACAAGGTTGTTATGAAGACCAAATATATGTGTGAAGTGCCTGGCACATAAGCGTATTTAGTACACGTTGCGTAAGGTGGCAAAGAGATGGATAATACAATTTAGAATAACTTAATTTTTCACTTAAAAGTTTTCTCTTTTTGGCCGGGCGCGGTGGCTGACGCCTGTAATCCCAGCACTTCGGAAGGCCGAGGCGGGCGGATGACGAGGACAGGAGATCGAGATTATTCTGGCTAACGCGGTGAAACCCCGTCTCTACTAAAAATACAAAAAACTTAGCCGGGCGTGATGGCGGGCGTCTGTAGTCCCAGCTACTTGGGAGGCTGAGGCAGGAGAATGGCGTGAACCTGAGAGGCGGAGCTTGCAGTGAGCGGAGATCGCGCCACTGCACTCCAGCCTGGGCGACAGAGCAAGACTCAGTCTCAAAAAAAAAAAAAAAAAAAAAAAAAGAGATGTTTTTCTCTGTTTAAGGTTTTGCATTAAAAACTATAAGCCTCAATGATCCAGAGACTTTATTCAGATAGAATTCTTCATTCTTAGACAATGCTAGACAAATAAAGCGTTACTACCTATGAATTAGAAACACATACACCATTTTTAAAAGCATTATAAACACAAGTTAAAGGCATATATTGGATTTTCGTGACTATTTCACTATATATTATACATATATACATAATCATCAAGAGGTACTCCTTAAATATATACAATTTTAATAGTCAATTCTACCTCAGTAAAGCTGGGCAAATTAAAACATAGAAAAACATATACGACAAAGGATTCATAACCTTAATATGTAAAGCTACCCAAAGAGTTAATACAAAAACATTGTGGAACAAAAGTAGAATGAATGACAACTGGTATATACATATATATATATATATATACACATATACATTGACTAGGATGTGGGGAAATAGGCATCTTTACACACTGCTAGTCTGCCTGTAAGGCAAGTTCCCAATTTATATCAAAAGCTTCAAAATGTTTATTCTTTCATCCAGTAATACTAAAGAACATATTCAAGAGTTAATACAAAAGAATATTCACCTCTTATAGATTGGAAATATCATTACATTTGTGTTCAATTAATATGGAAATGGTTAAATGAATTGTAAATTATGGCTTATTCACATTAAGTAGTATATATTAATTTATACAATTCAATAATGTACAAACATGGTCCAAAAAACATGATCATAATATAACGTTAAGGGAAAAGCAACAAAACATATTGAATATTGTACATCACAACAACAGCAGATAAAGAAGAAAGCATAGTTTAAAAAACTACATGCACATATAAAAATTTAGATGAAAATTATATAGACATGTGATAATAATTATTTGGAATTATTTTGGGTGATTCTTGATTTCTTCTTTTTGCTTGTTTTAATTTTCTGCATTCTTTACCTTTACCATATAGTCCTTTTACAATAGAAAACATAATGGAAATGAATGTATATTGATTTGTATATAACCCTACTTATAAACAATACCATTTATTAGAAAACATGTAAAGTATATCTTCAATAATCTTATATTTCCATATTATTTGTAATTTTCCATACAATATTGTCTTAAGACCAAGTGACTTGAACTAAGTCATTTCATAAATAAGGGAGACAGCTCTATCATAAATGTAATTCTTCTTAAAGTCCATGGCCTTTTCTGCTATACTGAAAGTTGGCTTCCACTTAATCTCTGCATGGCAGTAAAAGAAGCCAACTTAATATTAAACTATACTGTCACTAGAATTCTATTCTGGATATTTTTAGAGTTATCCAGCATAAAATTATTTTTCATTTCATTGAGTTTTCTTCCTGACAAGTTTGGACTGCAAATTCTATTCAGAGTGGAAAGTTCAAATTAAAATGTCAGTTTTGATTCAATGAAGATGCTTTACTTTCAAAATATTTAAGACAAATATTTTCATTAAAACCAAGATGATTGGATGATAGAGTATGTAAATGTTGTGGTAAGTTCTATCATTTAGTAAAAATATCTTAAGCCTTATTACACAAATTCTGAAATTTTATATTGCATAAAAACTTTAGTCTCCAAAATACACATGTGCACATGTATATTTATATAAATATTTAAAACATATATAACAAGTTCAAGGATCTTATACTGTAGTTTGTCAACATCCATGATAAACAATCCAATCTGTTGACAAGCAATCTACAACAATTATTGACAAAGATAGCATCCGTTACACTCTGTACTCTAATGCAGCTCTCAATGATGAATTGCTATGGATTTTGTTGCATTTAATTTCTTTCCATATATATATACATATATATGTGTGTGTATATATATGTGTGTGTGTGTGTGTGTGTGTGTGTATATATAGATATATATATATATAGATATATATATATATATATATATATATATATATATATATATAAAATAACTCCTTTATGGTCCTTTTCCTCTACGGGAGATCAATGTAGACTTTTGGGGTTCACTTTAGTCTAGGTTGACAGCCTCCAGACACACAAAATGAACTTTCTGTATATCTTTCATTATTCAGAAAAATTGCACAATTTACAATACACCCACCACCCTACCCTCCAAATGGTTGAGCATTTAACAAACAACCTACGAAAGCCAGACCTCATAGGCAAGTTTCACTTGAGTTTACTTCACCCCTAATTGTGTACGGATCTCTTCAATCATGGTGCAAAGAGCTCTAATGGTTTATGGGAAGAGTTTCACACAAATTGTATTTCACCTCCCCTTCTGCCTCTCCTTAGGACCTATAAAGATTTCTGACTCACCTCTCTCAGCAACATCTCCCCTTGTTTCACTCTTGTCTAAAATTTTCAGTAAGGATGAGAAGGAAAGGACTTCTTTAGTCCTTTCTCCTCTGAGAATTATTGAGTACTCTTTCCCAGACCACAGGAAACTAAATCAGAGCCACATATAAGTTGATAATGATGTCCTAAGCATTGCACTACTTTTCTCTTTTCTTCCTCCTTTTCTCTTTTTCTCTTAGCCTTCATCTTGATTCTCCACCTCACATAAACACGACCAACCCTTCTTGAGATCCACCCCCGCAATATGGCCTAGCCTTAAAAGAAATTAAAGGAGGTTCTCCCAATAACACACACTCTAGTCATTACAGTCTCTGCTGCTTGTGTGTGTGTGTGTGCACGCCTTTTTTTAAAACCACTCCGGACCACTGCTAGAGCCCATCTCAGCCATACATGGCTTAGCAAGGGTATTGTATATGTCTTACTTTTAAATGGTTTTATTACAGACCAAAACACAATTATACATAACCAATCACAAGTATATTCTTTTTAACAGATTCAATCCAGTCGTCAAAATGCTTAAAATCAGGGATTCTACTGAATTCAACCAGATGTTTTTAACTTAGGCATGGCAAAATCAGAATTAGACATACCCATGAAAAACCAAAGTAAAGACAGTTTTGGCAATATCCAATTCTAGAAGGATTATCTTAGTCAATCCCCAATTCAAGTAACAATCATTATAGAGTACTTAGATTTTAGTACTAGTCTAACTTTATTGTGTGTTACAATAGCAAAATAAGATGAATTGGGTGAGAACTCAGGAAACGCATACACAAAAAAATTAGAAAACAAGGGGAACATGTAAAATAGCACAAATAAAAAGAAAATTACCAAATGAAAAACCAGAAATACTAAATAAATGTTTAGTGAAATGTTCAAGTGAAAAATTAGTAAAAGAATGTTTTGTGGAGGGTATGGAACTCAAAAGGCACTATGTGGATGAGAAACGTTTCAGGAAAGGACACAAGAAAGGACACAGAAGTAGAAATTAATAATAATATAAGGTTCTTGCAACCAAAAGCTATGAGGAGTAACTGAGTTCATTCACATATCTGTTTTACACACATCCCACAAAATGGGAAATTGAAAGTGGCTACAAATTCTTCCCTCTCCATCAAGAGCTAGTCTCTCTCTTTCTACATTTCATTCTTTTTAAATTTTTGTCAGTACATAGTAGGTGTATGTATTTACATGAGATGTTTTGATACAAGTATGCAATGTGAAATCAGCACATCATGGAGAATGAGGTATCCATCCCCTCAAGCATTTACCCTTTGAGTTACAAAGAATCCAATTACACTCTTTAAGTTATTTTTAAATGTACAATTAAGTTATTATTGACTACAGTCACCTTATTGTGCTATCAAATAGTGGGTCTTATTCATTCTTCTAACTACTTTTTTTTTGTACCCATTAATCATCCCTACCTACCCTCCAGCCCCGTACTGCTTTTTCCAACCTCTGGTAACCATCTTTCTTCTGTCTATGTTCATGAGTTAAATTGTTTTAATTTTTAGATCCCACAAATAAGTGAGAACATCTAATGTTTTTCTTTCTGTGCCTGACTTATTTCACTTAGCATAATGATTTCCAGTTCCATCCATGTTGTTGCAAATGACTGGATCTCATTCTCATTTATGAGTGAGTAGTACTCCATTGTATGTAAGTACCACATTTTCTTTATCCATTCAACTGTTGATAGACACTTAGGTTGCTTCCAAATCTTAACTATTGTAAACAGTGCTGCAACAAACACAGGAATGCAGATCTTTGATATACTGATTTCCTTTCTTGTGGGCATATACCCAGTGGTGGGATTGATGGATCATAAGGTATCTCAATTTTTAGTCTTTTGATGAACCACCAAACTGTTCTGTATAGTGGTTGTACTAATTACATTCCCACCAACAGTAAACAAGAGTTCCCCTTTCTCCATATCCTTGCCAACATTTGTTACTGCCTGTCTTTTGGAGACAAGCCATTTTAACTGTGGTGATTTCTCTCTACCTTTTACATCAATGTTGTCACTGTGGTGGTCCTTGGGCCAATCAGCAAACAGAACACAATCAGAGGTCTGAAAAACACCTGCACCTTACCGGCCTTTTGCTATACCTGGTGTCCTGAGACCACCACCAATGGAAAAAAATCAAAGCTATCCGCTGGAAGATGAAAGATAAAAGACCTCAAGGGAGAGAACTGAGATTACACAGACAACCATCAGACAGCCCCCAGGCACCACCCTGCCAACTGCCCGTGATGTGAGGCCAGCACTTGCCACCTGACCAAGGACACCTGAGTGAACCCCACAGACACCTATGGAGCCATCCTAGACAAAGAAATGTGCCAATCCACAAAACTGTGAAGTGAATGGTTGTTGTTTTAAGCATTAAGTTGTGGAGTGTTTTGTTTCACAGCAAAAGCACACAAAACACACACACACACACACACACACACTTCAGCTTTTTGTTTCCTTATTCAAAATTACTGCCATCCAGTTAACTAAATAAGTCTCCAAACTGATCATCCACTTTTCAGTATTTCTAACCCCCTTAACCACTGCTATCAGATTAACTTGTCAAAAAAAAATAGAATTTTGGTCCTCTCACTCTTCTGATTGCAAACTTTAAATAAGAATTCATCCACTCATTCAATATTTACTGATCACCTGAAAGGTACCAGCCACTAATCTAGATGTAGAAAATATAAATGGTGTAAAAAGTCCAGCTCCATAAGACAAATATTCTAGCTCATCATTTTCTGCAGTAAGGAATCTCCAATCTGACTTCTTGTAAGAAGGGAGAGATTCTTACAAGAAGCAGGGAGAGTTTTATAATTATTTACTGAAAACAAACAATGAAATGATAAACCATACATTGTTTAAATGATGATCTATAGAGAGAGGAAGCAGATGGGAGGAACAGGCTTGATTACTTTGACAATAATTTGTTTTGCAAATTTAAATTTGCAAAATTTAAATATTCTATATGTTATTATATATGTAAATATTCTATATATTATTATAAAACAAAATTGAGTTTATAAATTCATCTCTAAAAATGAAAATAAAATAAAATAGATGAGCCTTGACATATAATCAGTTGGTGTAATCAAACAGAGAAATGATTCAAAGTAACTTTAAAACAGAGCAAATTGGCTGTCTTCCTCTAGTGACATAAGCACTAGAACAAAAAGAATTTTTTACAAATACTTTCCAGTGGTAAGATAATTAGAAAATATATTATTAATATTGTTAATCTAAAACTTCCATTTGTGC
Source organism: Homo sapiens (assembly GCF_000001405.40). Taxonomy (NCBI): domain Eukaryota; kingdom Metazoa; phylum Chordata; class Mammalia; order Primates; family Hominidae; genus Homo; species Homo sapiens. The sequence goes on along the minus strand of NC_000005.10, from coordinate 51,416,779 downwards.
ATTGTAGGACAAAGCAAATGGTTCATTATATAATCTCATTCTAATATTCCTAGAGTCACTGAGAGCTGGGATTCTGGGGAAACCTGGAAAAAAGGAGATACCAAAATAAAACCCCATAGTGATAAATATGAATCAAAAGTATTGTATAAATTTTTAAATTAATGTTTAAAAATTTGTGGGTACATTGTGGGTGTTCATATTTATGGTGTACATGAGAGTTTTGATACAAGCATACACAAACCCATATTTATGAAAGAGTAAAATAATTAGAACACTGGGCAGTTGACGATATTTAAAAATTATTGTTTTTTAATGTGTAGTAATGGTATTGTGGCACTTTAAAGTCTGTACTTAGAGATACATATTGAAATGTTATGGATGGAGTATTATAATCTCAGAGATTGGCTTCAAAATAATATAGAAGGTAGGGGGAGCTGTAGCGGTACAAATGAAACAAGACTGTCTGTGAGTGTGCAATTATTGAAGTTAGGTGATGGGTGCATGAGCATTCACTATACTGTTCTGCCTACTTTTGTATATATTTAAAATTTTTCATAACAAAAAGTTTAAAAAACGTGTATTGATACAAAGGCCCCACCTCCAGAGATTCTAACTTAATTGGTCTGGGACTCAGGTACTGAAAGAAAGGATGGAAAGAAGGAAGGAAGAAAGAAAGAAGGAAGGAAGGAAGGAAGGAAGGAAGGAAGGAAGGAAGGAAGGAAGGAAGGAAGGAAGGAAAGAAGGAAGGGAGAGGAAAGAAGGGAGGGAAGGAGAAAAAGAGCAAGCAGGCTCTGTGTGTGACCCTACTGCCCTGTTTGGGCCTAGAACCATTTGCCTACCCTCCAGCCATTCCATTTCTTCCTGTGACTCAGCAATGTTTGTACTTCTCAGTGGTTCTATCAAAATTAACTGGGGTCCATGTTAAACACGCTGATTCCTGGGCCTCACCCCAGAGTGACTAAACAGACTCTTGGAAGGTTGGGGTGAATCCTGGGAATGCATACATTGAATAATCTCTGTGGGTGATTCTGTTATAAACTCAAGATGAAAAACACCCCTGTGCTCAATGGAGCAGGACTCCCATTGTCTCCTGCACACAGCCCTGGCCCTATCACTCCCGTGCCTTTGTTCATTTTATTCCTTCCTTCTCCACCTGAAATGTCTTCCCCTTATCTTTATCTAAATCATGCCTGCTCTATAACCAAGTTCACAAATCACCCATCCATGAAGCCTATTCCCTTCAGGGAAGTGATTCCTTCCTCCTGTGAACTCAGTTTTTTCCCCTGTGCATAGGTTTATATCTGTTTATATATAATGCTTCAGCTCCTTTACTCAGCAAGAAGCTGCTTTAGGTCAACAGGCCTTTTTTTCATATTTCTGTAATTTAGGCATTGTTAAGACATATGCTGAATCTATGACTCAATGAAAATATAGCAGTGGATAGGATCCAGAACACAGTGCTTGCCCATTACGTGCTCTTCTCTTAAGGGCTAGTTAACAACCCCATACTATCCTAAATATGCAAGGAAGTCCCTCTCAGGGAAAGACGGTAGTGAGAGGAAGACCACACAAGATAAATGACTATCAACATTTCTCAAGAATCAGCTAAATCAGCTATAAAACCTTAAATACTTTCTAAATCAAAATGTCACACTTACCATTTTTCCAAATGAAAGAAATTGGTTTAAAGAAAAATATTCCAAAGTACTATTTTACTTATAAAAACTGTGTTCAAAAAGTGTTGAGCATCCTAAGAGGTTATGTTTTATAAAAATGTAAATAAATATACCTTTATGTATAAGCGTATTTCAATTTTATAAGGCTTCTAAAGAAAAGTGATATATTTTTATAAACACCTCTACTTCAGATTCCTAAAGGAAAAAAAAAAAACTTTAAACTTTGACAGAGAGGTTTATCATTATAAATTAGTGGATAGCCCTCACTGAGTGCTGACTGTACACCAGGTGCTATGCTCAGCAGTTTACATCATTCTCTCACTTAGTCTTCTCAACAACATTCTTATGAGTTGGGCTTGTTTGTGGTTTATGGATGACAACAGGGAGATCTGGAGGGGTTGGGTAACTGCACAGTCATTGAACTGACAGAACCAGGATCAAGGCCCTGTATACCTGATTGTTTCTACAGACTCTTGCTTTCTTGGCACTCTGCTGTCTATCGAGAATAAAACCACCAAGAGCTGGGGAAGTGGGCAGGGAGAAGGACGGAGTGTGGACTAGAGGATGAGGGACAGGATGAGCTGAGGGCTTGGCTGTCAGACAAATCTCGGTTCATATCTTATTCTTGTCCCTGTATGCACCTCTCTGATGTTCAGCTCCCTTCTCTATAACAATGTGGGCTACTTGGAGCTGTTGTAAGGAGCTGTGTAAGATGATGCATGTGAGGTCCCTAGCTTAACAAACTGGAGGTATTGGTAATAACAGCCGGTGTCATCAACTTTGGCGTTATCATGAGCCATGTGTCCTTGCAGATTTCTTGTTACTGGATTATCATATAATTCAGTGAAATGCACTGACTGATTTTTCAGCCTGTGCAGATTCTGCTGAAGTCACACAGTTATCATCTAATTTGTTGTTGTTCTTTGGGGAGATTTTGTATCAAATATTGTAAAGCATTAGGTATAAAAGAGAGTGTTATATTCAAAACGTTTCAAACTTTCATCTAATTCCAAACCCATGAGCTAAGCAGCAGTCAGTAACTGTACTTCACACAATCTGTCATATAGGCCAAATGATCCACTCTGTGCACAAATCATGCCCAAAGGAACATGGCCCAGGAAGGGTCAATACAGTATACCTGTCACAATTAGCCTGTCTAGCAGTCCTTCTGCAGCCTGCTTTGCTTCACCCAGGGATAATGGTGGTCATTACTTACTTTCCTAGAGCAATCCTTCCAAAAGGCTCATGCCTGACAAGAAGGAATGGAACTGAGAGGGCAGTGGGACACTCGGCATGCCATTCCTCCCTCATTTCTCCCTCTAATTGGATTGATTTTTCCATAAGTGTGTCTGGGTAGGGACATACCTCTTAGGATATCTAAGTTAGCGGGGAAAAAGATCTCTTCTACAGTCCATCTGTACCATCCATCCAGCAGGTACACATGGAGTTTTCTGGAGTGGTCTGAGTCCATGATTAAATTCTAGGAGAACCCAATACTTAGATATGCACACTTTTCTGCCTTCAAACTGGGGTGGAGTTTGAGTAACTGAGTTGGTGGTCAGAGGTGCGGAGAGAGAGACTAGCATTCTTGATAAACTATTACCTTGTTATTGGTCAATTACATAGATATTACTTGTAGAAAGAAGTTTACAATATCTACATTGTTTGTGAGAAACATAAATTATTGACCCATATAAACAATTTTTCATTTGTTATATTTCTGTGTATAATATTTAGTCTGCAGGGGGAAAAAATTCTTCACTAGTACCTTCCTAGTGATATGAATTAAAGGAAAAAAGTAATAAAATTAATTGTCTATTTATAACTTAGAAATAACTACAAATATTTTGACAGAATGATTCAGAAATCCATAGTAAAGAGCATACTTTTTTTTTCCAGGCAAACATGTGGTTCTCATACCTCCACAATGGCTGAAAATATTTTGCTCTCTGGGGGAATCTTGCACATACTAATTTATGGAGAACTTTTATTCTCTTTTTATTCACAGAGAGGGAGGATTGAAGAGCCTATCTTTTTAATGTAGTGTGAACATTTCTTAAAACTTAAGATCATTTATGTTTTTCTAAAAGATATGTTCAGATGTTTACACTTTAAATAATATAGCTATTTTTACATAAATACAGAAAATACAGGATATAAATACAATATTAAATGTACAATCTTGCTATGGAGCCAGCACTAAAATAGGATTTTTATTGTTAAAATCTTCCTAAGAGCACTCTGCATTGATGAGATTAAGCTGCTGTGAAGTCTGTTTTATCCATCCTTGAAATTATTTTGTCAGTCTCTTTTACTATCTAAGTATTTTTTACAGTTAGAATTAAGAACCCAAACCTTTCATTAGTAGTCTTATAAATTCTTAGTAGAAAATCTGTACACCAAAGAAAGGAAACAAAATTTCTTCTTAAGTAGAGGATGTCCTACGACTTGAAACAATGAATAAATAATGTAAATAATACACTTTTCAAAATTTATATTTTCTCTACTAGAATGACAGAGGGGAAACATTATAGCCAAATAGGCAAAGAAACCTTTGTCATGCTTCCAGTACAAGGGCTTAAGCTTTCTTAGGTATTCCTGCACCATTCTATAATGGTTGCTGAGTAACATTAGCATAATCCTGAATTATTAAGAAAATTAGAGGTCAGATTTACTTTACAGGAGAATTCAACCTATCTGAATCAGGCCTGAGAGGGTCATAGCATTCCAGATGTGTGCCTGGTGGTAGGTGTAAAGTGCACCACATGTAGAGAATGTGCACAGTAAGAAAAAAGACAAATTACCCGGAGCTATTACTGTCATTAGTTCCATCAGCCTGGGAAGCCCTCCCACGGCATTTTCAGTGTAGTGTGTGGAGCAGGCCTGGGGCTTATCACATCTCGCAGGGGGTCGTCTTCCGCCGGGCATAGTCACATAGTTTGACATTTCACTTAAAAAAAAAAAAAAAAAAAAAAGTCTGGGCCCTCATTCTCCATACAGGCATCTGTTTCCCAGCTCCACAACCAGTGGCGAAAATAAAGGGAGAGCCAGCCCACTGAAGGCTGCAATCATTTATCTGATGGCAGAATTGCTAGCCTTTCTAGAGGTGCACACTATTCTTTCACATAATCAGTTTTAAGCCAGGGACAATAAGCCTCTGCTACTACATTGTACCAGAAGCTCCTTTGAAGGTTGTTTGACTAACCTTTTGAATATTTCACCATAATTAAAAGGTTAGGGATCTATCCCACAAGAAATGTGATGAAATAATGAAACATGCATAATGTTAGATGAAATATTGTGTTTAGACTGTACAGTGGGAACCAATGAGAAACACTTAAGGGACAACTGATGCAACAAAGCCATTTTCCCAAGATGGTTTTCATTGTAGAGGTGCACATGGACAATATTTATTCTGGGATATTAAGCAAAAAGAGCAAAACACTATAAATACATATAATAATCATAACTATGTAGGAATCTGTGCCCGTGGCAAGTAATACACATAAAAGAAATGGGTTGTGGTAAGGTGCTATGATTTTTGTAAACTATCCTTTAATTATTTGCTAAAATCCCTTTCATGTTGCATATTCTCCTCAGTTAAAGGAAACCACAAAAGTATTAATATATGTATACAAGCATTCTCATGAAGGAAACAGAAACAGTGAAAAAAGAAAGAAATCAAATGTAAAAACACAAAGTATTTCCCACTTCATCTTTAGGGAAAAACATAAAGATTTAGCATCCATCTGAACAGAGAGAAAAAAGAAAGATGCAAAGAACACCAAGTAAATTCATTCAAGAGAATAAAGCTTTTCTCATACCCTTCTTAATAACAATAATAACAATCCCACATATAGGGTTTATTGCCTAGTAGGTACACATCAGATTTATCCTGCAAGCATTTCTCCTGCATGTGGAAACTATGGTTCAGAGAAACTAAGTAACATGCCCAAGGTCAAACAGCAAGTATTCATATCCCAGACTGCCTGACTCCATGCTCTTAACCTTTGTTACAGCCTCTCTTTCTCTCTCTCTCTCTTTCTCTCTCTCTCTCTCCTTTCTCTCTCTTTTGTCTGTCTCTGTCTCTCTCCCTCGTCTCTCTGCTGTTCAGAATCTTTAAGTCCCAGTCATCATTTTGAAGTAGCCCTCTTTTCTGTTTCTTCCCTTGACCATAGCCTTTAATAAAGCAGTACAGATTTCATCTGCCATTGGAAGGTCTGATATTCACTCATACTTTAGTTCATATCCAGTAAATAAATATTTCAGTATCTTCCATGCATTGTAATGGTACAAAGATTGTGAGATACAAAGCTGAAAAAAAAAAAAAACACTTTGAGAACCTACAGACATGTCAGGAATACAAATATGCAAACTGCCAAATGCAGTCTGTTACAAGAGCCCAAGACCTCTGCTTCTTGAAAAACTGGCAACTGAACTGAGAAATTAAAGGAAGAGATAGGAAAGGCAGATGAATGCTGCATGGTAGGAAAAAAATCCCTGTAGAGGGTGAAAGGGAAAAAAAATAAAAAGAAGACAAAAAAGCAAACAAAACCAAAAAAAAAAACAAAAAAACGACCATGGTACATTCCAGAAACTTGAAAGTGATCCATCTAGCCAGACTTAGAGTGCGATAATAAGCATCAGAACTGTTGTAACTGGAACAGTCACATTTTTAAAGACCTGGAGGGTTTCCTTTTCCAGGAAAAAAATGATTAAAGATCTCAAAAGCAACACTCAACACTTTTTAGGGTTTGCCTTATTGCATGTCAACAGTAAAAATTGCTTTGTGAGACAGCCATTGCTATACACTGAGCTCTACAGAGTTAAGTGCCAGGACAAGTGAGAGCTGGACAGTCCCTGGACAACTCTTCTTCACTGAGAAAAAATAACTAAACATGGTCAAAGGAGAGCCTTAGAAGCCAAGAGGCAAAATGTCATCATATGCATTCTTCATGAAATCTTGCCAAGAACAGCACAAGAAGCAGCACTCAGATGTTTCCGTCAACTTCTCAGAATTTTCTAAGAAATGCTTAGAGAGGTGAAAGACCATGGGTTCAAAACAGAAAGGGAAATCTGAAGATAGGGCAAAGGCAGACAAGGTCAGTTTATGAAAGAGAAATGAAAACAAATATCCCTCCTGCAGGGGAAACAAAAAAGAAATCAAGGATCCCAGTGCACCCAATAGGCCTCCTTTGGCCTTATTGTTCTCTTATGATTGTCACCCCCAAATCAAAGAACATCCTGGCCTATGTGTAGGTGATGTTGCAAAGAAACTGGCAGAGGTGGAATAACACTGCTGCAGATGACAAGAAGCTTTATGAAAAGAAGGCTGCAAAGCTGAAGGAAAATTACAAAGAGGATATTGCTGTATACTAATCTAAAGGAAAGCCTGATGCAACAAAAACGGGAGTTATTAAGGCTGAAAAAAGCCAGAAAAAGAAGGAAGAGGAGGAAAATGAAAATAAAAAAGAAGATGATGATGAATAAGATGGTTCTAACAGTTTTTCTCCTTTGTCTATAAAACATTTAACCCCCCTGTATACAACTCCCTCCTTTTAAGGAAAAAAAACTGAAATCTAAGACTAAGATTTGTTTTTAAACTATTCATTTTGTGTATAGTCAGCGCACTGTTGAATGTGTCTTTAGATAGACCTGTCTAATAGCCATTAACTTTGCCTGGTACAGTGTGGGGGTTGTAAATTGGTGTGGAAATTTAAAGCATGTTCTTCTTGGTGCACAGCACAAATTAGTTTTATATGGGGATAGTAGTGTTGTCATCTTCAGTTGTCTCTGATGCAGCTTATATTAGGAAATAATTGTTGTTCTGTTAACAGAATACTACCCTGTAATTGCAAAAAAAAAAAAAAAAAAAAAAAAGTTGCAGTTCTTGCAGTTCTTTTGTTGACATTCTGAATGCTCCTAAGTAAGTAAGGTTTATTTATTTATTTATTTATTTTTTGAGATGGAGTCTCACTTTGTCGCCCAGGCTGGAATGCAGTGGCAAGATCTCGGCTCACGGCAGCCTCCACCTCCTGGGTTCAAGCGATTCTCCACTCATGTAGCTGGCATTACAGGCATGAGTCACTATGCCTGGCTAATTTTTGTATTTTCGTAGAGATGGGATTTCACCATGTTGACCAGGCTGGTCTCAAACTCCTGGCCTTAAGTAATCTGCCTGCTTTGGCCTCCCAAAGTGCTGGGATTACAGGCATGAGCCATTGTGCCTAACCAACTATATATAATTTTTTATTAAAATAAATAAATAAAAACTGCTTTTTGAATAAGCACATCTAAATTAAGTGTTGTTATGCAAATTACTGATTCAATTAACTTAAATAATTGCTGCTTGTATCCACAAATTCTGTGAGGACTTGGGCATGTTCTCTTGACTAGAGATTATTTTCCTCTTCTGCAAAATGGAATACACCTATGTCTTAGTATGTTTTCTGCTGCTAGAACAGAGCACCACAGACGGGTAATTTATAAAGACAGGAAATTCATTTGGCTCACAGTTCTAGAGGTTTGTAAATCCAAGAGTACGGAGGTGTTATCTGGTGATGGTCATCCCGTATCAGAAGATATCACATGGTGAGACAGAGAGAGGAAATTGGGCAGCATTCATTCTTTTTATCAGGAGCTCACTCTCGCTATTACCAATCCTCTCTTGCAATAACACCATTCATCCATTCATGATGGTGGAGTCTTCATGACCTAATCGCCCCCTAAAGGTCCTGCCTCTCAACACTGTTACAATGGCAATTAAGTTTCTAACATATGAACTTTTGTGGGACACATTCAAACTATAGCAACCTATCTTACACGTTTGCAGATGAGAATGAGAAACAATGTAAAATTATCACCTAGCCAGGGGCCTGGCACATAGATGATAACCATTAAGTGGTAGCTATAGTAGAAGAGTTTAGAAAGCCAAATGTCTTTAAATCTCAATTTAGTGACAAGAAGCAGAAAAAGTCATTTTCTCATCTGCTTCATACTTGGTCGTCAGTCCTGATTGGTTGTTCAAATACGTGAATATTTTACTAACAGCAGAGTTCAATTTTGCTAATGATTCCAAAGCCTTCCTGCCTTTCCCCTACTTCATGTCCATTTATGTTTTAATAAGAATATGTGCTATGGATCAACAGCTTCAAGTCAGAAGTCTTGATACATTCAAGATAAGGACTCTAGGAACAGTTAGGATGCTCTTAGGCTTAGCAAAAGGTGCCCCAAAAGTTCTTGTTCGCTGCCTCTGTCTTCTAGCTACCCATCTGGCTTATGAGTGGCTTACTATAGAGCTAATCAGTTCAATGCCAAGAGGTCTGGGGAGTCCTTTAGAAAGCCTGACTGTTATGAATTTATCTAGGCATGTATCTTTCTGAGACATTTAATTGTATTATGCCTTGTAAAACCTAGACCTTTATTTAATTCTACAACTTTCCATGATACGCTGTATATGTATTCTTGCTAAGCAATAGTGAATAATTTGGACTGCCACCCTGAGATAGTGGGTGATGAGAAAGAAAATGATTCTCATTAACTCTCAAGTTTAATAATTATTTTTTGTATCATTAATTTTGAAGAAATTTTTTTTTTCCTTTCTAGAAGAACACCAATTTGGTGAAAACAAATGTAGTTTGAACAGTTACGGTGTGTTTTTTTTTTCCCCCACATATGGACCATCAAGATTTGTCTTTGAAAACAGATAATTAATATCACAATATCAAATTAATACAGTTAGAAGAGGTAAACTATTTTTCCATTGTTAATATACTTTGTACGTGATGTGCATTTTAGAAATCGCATGGGTGAACACTGAATGATGATAGTTCATTCAGAAAAAAATCAAGATTTAGATTAGAAGACTTTTATGTATCACATTTGGATTCTTCAAGGAATGGAATAATTAAAATATTTATAATTATGGAAGTACTCTCATTTTTATTGCTTTGTATAATTTTAGCATAATCAAAGTTAGAGCTCAAAAGAAAAAAGATGGAATCCTTATCATTCCGGAAGGAAATGGCATTAAAGAAGTCACCATAACTAAACATTTTTAAAACTGAGTGTTTTCAATTAGACTCATCAAATTATTTTGCTTTATCTTGACACACTTATCTATACTACTCCTTATGCATTTTCTTACCCATCAGATGGGTTTTTCCTTTCTATGTGCTCCACACTGACCCTCAAAAATCTTCAAATCTTTTCTTCCTCTATTCATTTCAACATTTACTAGCGACTTTATGATTTATCCTCTTGTATATACTCCAAACTATTGGGTGGTGAGTCATTAACCTTTTAAAGTTATTTTGAATTACAAATAATAGCTAACCTAGTGTGATTATAAGTGCTACTAGGTTTAGTCTTTATTTCCCCCAATGAGCTTGCATTCTAGGGCACACCTATAGTTGAATATGCCCTATCATTTTGCAAAAAGCAAAGCAGAACTAAGAGAAACTATAAACTCTTGGTAGGTATCCATCCCAGGAGAGGCAAATTATGGCAGATAGTATTACTGATTTTCTATTACCATGGACACCTCAGCAATGCAAAATGATACATTACCCTCTGATTGCTCAGTGTTATCAGGCTTGCAAAGTATCAGCTGGTTGATATGTCGCAGTACAAAATATATAAAAACCTTGCTTCTTTCCACCTGAATTTCAAAGGCTCAACAGATTAAGAACTTACCGTGGTTTTTAAGTCTGTTGCTTGTTTTCAAATCTTTGCAGCTGAGTTTTTAACAGTATGGTAATACATAGTTCAAGGAATATTACCTTCTGATGAAACACCACAAATTTTAGCATAGTGGCAACGAAACCAAGCAAATTGCTAACTTCTTAAACAGTTTTACAACATGCCAATAGACATTTCTCTTAGATTTTTGCCTAGACTCTTGTAATTATTGGACAATTACCTCTCCATACTCACTTTCTTTTGACAGCTTAGTTCTAGCCTCTGGGAGTTTAACATCTAATTGGTTTGTTTGCTTAGACTGTGGAATCTTGAGTCTTCTTGAACTCAGCAAAGTCAGACAGCCAAAGGAGTTAAAAATATTTTAGTTAGTTCTATCCTCTGGAACCCATCTAAAAGGGTTAATAGAAGTACGGGCCTCTGGTACTTCTTCAGTCATTCTTCACAAGCCTGGTAACTAGACTCAGTGAATGTTTGGTTATTAGAGTGGATCTCTATAGAATCACCACACTCAATAAATGTCCAATAACAACAGTGAAGAGTTAGAAGAACTATATTTAAAATATTTTCTCCCTAATTCCCCTCCTAAATCTGGCTTCCATCTTTGCCTCTTTATGGTATCCAATGACCTCCATTCAGCCAAGTTCAAAGGCATTTTCTCTGTCCTTATCTTCCTTGATCTTTCTGATGTATGGGGCACAGCTTTTCATACCTGCCCCTTTGAAGACTTCTGGCTTCAGTTCCGGAGACATTTCTATTGTCTTTTATTTTTCCTCATCACCACCCTGATCTCTTCACTTATTTCTCACATTTATGTCTTTCTTTTTTTTCTTATACCTTTCCAGTCACTTTTTTTCCAATGTATCTTTGATGAATTACTATATTATTTGTGTCTTCCTGCTTTTTAAAACTCTTCACAGATTCTTTTATTTTCACTAAGTTATACAAGAGAATAACTTCCAGATACCTAACACTGATCTATTTCTTTATGTACAGTGTTAGATACAACAAGGGTATATCAAAACTCAAACACACAGCTTCAATATATTAATACAATTTATGCATATACATTTATCTCATTTTCACTTTTTTTGAGCATTCGCCACCTTTTCAAAGGTCACCTCCTCAAAGAAGCATTGCTTGATATCAATTTCTCCATCCCCTTTCTCTGGGTGATTTTTCTTTATAGTGTCTATCCGTGCCTTCATTATAGTATGCACTTATTTGTATGTTCTTTGAATGCACCACAAAAATGTAAGCTCCATGAAGGCAGAACTCTGTTTTGTTCACTTCTACATAACTAGCACATAGAATAGTGCATGACACATAGTAAACACTAGAGAAAAATTTGAATGGATTAATGAAACAGTGAGTAAGTGAGTAAATGCACATTTCCTTCAGATGCTGTAATTCAGATTCGGAACCTCAGTCATCCTTGACTTCTTAATGCTGCCTTAATGCTCTAGTCTATATCTGGCTTAGTCTAGGCTAGGGAAATGCAACAAATAAGACACAATAATTCAGTGGCTTAAAGAAACTAAAACATTTATTTCTCCTTTACAGTTTGAGCTGAATGTTTCAAGTTGCAGGCAGCTCCACTCCCTGACGTTATCTGGGACATTGGTTATTTCTGTCATGTTGCTTTTCTATATGTATACCTTTGTGAGTACCAGCTAGTTGGATGGAAAAAGACAGCATAAAGGAAGCATACTCACTATCTCAAGGTCTAAGCCTAGAATGACCCACAGTACTTCTGTTGTATTAATGCTCTAGTGATTTAGGTTTGTTTTTTACATCAAAAAACAAATCTGTTTAGATTCCATTAGCAATATGTAGTCATGTGATCCACCCAACTAACTGTAAGGGAGCCTGGCATACGCAGCCTATCCATATGCTTACAAAGAAGGGAAAAATAAATTCTGATGCACAACTACCAGACTCCCCATATGAGTAAGTTCCTTGGAATTTGTCACAGATCAATTTCTTCCTTTCTCTTCATGCCACTCCCTGCCTGAACCACTAGGATCCTTGACTTGTTATTTTCCTGGCCTTCAGTCTTTCATCTTACCACCCTATCTCATTTCAAAAGCCAAATGACTTTTCCAAATTATAACTATGACTTTTAATTCCTGGTCTCAAAATCCTGTGGCTAGCAATTCCTACTTATGACAAGTTCAAATTATTTGGGATGGATTTCAAAATTCTCTTCAGTGCTGATATCCTCCACAACTTCACAAAGTTAGGCTCTAAAAATTTTTAAAGTCCAGCACATTTTACGTACACTAGCCAATGTTCATGTGGCTTTCTCTCCTAGAGTTTCTTAAAGTGGAGACTTAAATTTTCAGTTATATGACATCACCGTACATTTTTCTTCAAGGCCCTGTATATAAGGGGCTTTCGGAACAGTGTTTGATAATGTAATTGAAAAGTCACAAAATAAAACTGCAACCTAGATTTGATGTAAAAAACAAATCTATATCACCAGAGCATTAATACAAGCAGTTATTATAAATTTCCTCAAGCAATAGTTTCTCTGTAATCATTTTGCAAAAGCCCATTTTTTAAGGCAATGGTTCTCAATATGTGCTCTGGGGAACTCTAAGAAGATGTTCCCAAAATCTTTTCAGGGAGTCTGTGAGGTCAAAACTCTTTTCAGGATAATGTTGGGCCAGGCCTGGTGGCTCATGCTTGCAATCCCAGCACTTTGGAGGCCAAGGTGGGTGGATCACTTGAGGCCAGGAGTTCAAGATCAGCCTGGCTAACATAGCAAAACCCTGTTTCTACTAAAATACAAAACTTAGTCAAGCATGGTGGTGGGCATCTGTAATCCCAGCTACGTGGGAGGCTGAGGCAGGAGAATAGCTTGAACCCGGGAGAGGTCAGTAGCCGACATCATGTCACTGCACTCCAGCCTGGGTGACAGAGTGAGACACTGTCTCAAAGAAAAAGAAAAAAAGTTAAGACCTCATTTGCCTTTTTACTTTCATTCTTTCACAAGTGAACCTGGAGTTTCAGAGGCTACATGATATCACTATAGTTTGAATGAGGAAGCAGATACAAGAATTCAATTGTCTTCATTTGAGCCGGATATTTCAAAGATTTACAAAAACTGATATAATTCCATTCTTCACATTAAATTTTTTGTTTTGTTAAACTATGGTTATTTTTATTAAAACGTTGTTTACATTAACATGTAGTGTTATTTTTAATGAATTAATATTTGTAAATTATTTTTAATATATTATATGGTACCTACTCATAGATATAACTCCCATAAATGAAACCTTTGAGGTCCTCAATAATTTCTTTCTTTTTCCTTTTTTTTTTTTTTTGAGCAGTAGCAAGGTTTATTGTGAAGAGCAAAAGGACAAAGCTTCCACAGCATGGAAGGGGACCCGAGCGGGTTGCCACTGCTGGCTGGGATGGCCAGCTTTTATTCCCTTATTTGTCCCTTCCCATGTTCCGTTTTTGTCCTCAATAATTTCTAAGAGTGTAAAGCAGGTTTGGGAGCCACTGCTTTAAGGTGATAAATTATAGTTTTGCTACAGTTTTTGGCACCCACCCCTTTCCCCGTCATCTTCTTTCCTCACTTCCTAGAAGTAAGAAGACTAGAAATCACTGAAAATGTTGGTAAAATAATTTTCATTATCTGATCTAAAATAGTCCTCACTCGAGTCACCAAGGACTTCTTTGAAGTTCTGCTATTACACATATGAAGGAAAAACAAGGGAACTGAGAGTTGTTCTGAAAAACAGGTACAGAGGTCATTAGGAAAACGGGCTCTGGTGGCTCTCATGCATAACTGATGACTGTGAAGTGCTTTACAGATAGAAAAGTGTTACGCCATGGCAGAAACAACCACTATGCACCTCTCACTCTAGAAGAAACTGACTCCTTTCTTAATGTTCCCTATAAAGAAGAATTAAAACAGTCTACGTAGTGCTTCTAGAATATTTTAGCTTGAATAACCAAAACAATATTGAATGTGAACAACATTCATCATTTATAATCTTGGACTATCACTCTCAGTTCTATAATGTTAGAGAATCTAGTCCAATACCAGAGACTTAGCTTTGCCCTAGAGAAAACTCTAGACCACAGCCAAAGGCTGCCACAATACACATTAGGAATGCATATATTTATCCACGAGATTGATTTCATGTAATTTATCACTATTACAAAATGAAAACATAAACAAAGCATCACTCAAATTCCAGTAAATAGTTGAATACAAACAACTTCCTATGTGGTAAGTAAGCAGTATAGAGCAACTTTGGTTCTAGATCTCGGTAGCAGAGAAGTTATATCACCTACCTAGCAGCAGTATTTCTGAACTGTCAGTTAACTAAGGGATTACTCCTAAAATTCGGAAGTATGAGAAAAATATTTTCAGGCCTTTTTTTCCCCTTCTATAATGCATTTGTCTTTAAAGTCAATTCTAATCCTACCATTTCACATGCTTATTTTCATTTATTAGACAACATATTTCCAGGGCCTAGATGGGATCAAAATTACTTCTTAGGTGGTTTTAGCCCTAGCATACTTGCTACAAAGAAATTGCTGGTTGAAATATCTCCAAGCCCTTTTTTCCACATGACAGACAAGGACATTTTCCATTAACATTAATGAGACTTATGAGTCCATCCTGATGGGATAACAGAACTAAAAGGTAAGTTTTTATCGGCAGTAAAGCGTCCTTCACCCAAGTGTTCAACTTCTAGTAAATAGATAGATATTTGCCCATGTATAAACTGTTAACGTGACTAGTGCCTTTGAAGTTGCGAAGATTTTAAGAATACATCATAGTCTTAAAATATGAAATGTGCTTTGATACAAAAACAGAATTCTAAGTAGCGATCTCCAAAATATCTCCATATGTTATGGAGGAAAGTAAATGAATTATTTCAGAATTTACTAAAAAGTGTTATTCTTCAGAAACTGCTAATCCATATTTTTCACATGTAATCTTTTCAGATATCAGCCGTTCCATGTTAGTGAAAGTGAACTGCTGTATTTTAAAAACAAAATAACTCATTTTTTTGGTAAATGAAACACTGCTTTTTAGGTTGCCAGCCTATTTTTATTTCAACTATTTCTTTTTGAGAACTGATCTCCTATAACAAAAATTCTTGGACTACTGAAATAAAAATTTAAATAACCATCAGTTATACTTTTAGAGTTTAATATGAGATTTTTACTACTTGGGCCCAAAAGTTTTTCCATACTTAAAATACACTGTTTCAAAGTATATATTCTTTTTACAAATCTCATTCATTTTTTTTCTGTTTCCTCCTAATCCTTCCAAAAATCAGGGATAAATTTTTTTTTTGTTAAACCTATTTGTAGAGTAAACCTCCTGTTTATAATTAATAAACCAAATTAATAGTTGTTCTAATAAATAAGAATTGAAAATTTTAAGACAAAACATGTCTTTACCTAGGTGTGGGCAATTTTTTTTTTTATGGAGGGAAAGAAAACTTATTTAAAACTAAACGAGAATATGAGTAATTAAAATCAGCAAAAAAATCACAGAATAGAACCTGCACAAGTAACATTTTGCAAATCATATCTTTACTGTGCATTGAACAAGTTTACTGTTTTTTTATTACAGAACTCTGAGAAAATAGTTAATACTTTTTGAAAGAATATTAATTAAAAAGCTATTAGAAAAAAGTAAAATCTTTCATAGCCTTTAAAAGTTAATTCCCACCATATTTTACTTTATCATATTCAGTGGCCTGTCTAGTATTATCTCTACATACCTGCTAACTTTAACATGTTTCAAACAACACGTTGTATTTGTGACAGGTCAAAATAAACAGTAACCTTTACCCATGAGAAAAAGAAAAGTCTGTGCCTGAGTTATTGCTAAGGATTGTTTTCTGGAGAAAGAAATAATGATAATAAATCTCCCTACAGATATTCTTCAATTTCACAAAACTTGTGTTTTGCCTTGTTTTGTTGTTTTTTTTCTTGGTGACACACAGCTGTGACACAGAAAACAGGCAGGGAAAACACGAAGATGTGGATTTTCGCTGTCACCAAACCTGGGAAATGTGGTGTTTGCATTAACACCACGTTAGGCACATAACCAAATTACTCTCACCTACATCTATAGGTAGTTTTCAGACAGAGGCAGTAGTACCTATTCTATTCCAATCTCTCTCTTTCTATCTGGCGCGCGCGCGCGCGCGCACACACACACACACACACACACACACACACTTGTAAACTAGAATAGTCAGTTCTAAGATGTAACTAGAAACCCCCTTTTCTTGAAACAAGAAAAAACAAATCCCATAGGGAAGGGCCAAAATTATAAACAACTTAATCTCAATTAATTTGGAATTCGAGCCACAAAATCCTTGACTATAAATCTCCAAGCCCAGCTATTGGCTCCTCCAAAAAGGGCTTTACAAAATCTGTCCCAATAGTTCCCTTGGTCCCAAGTGGATAACACTGCCATTCTCTTTGTGGTGGCAGCCTGTTAGGGAGGACCAAGGCTTCCATGATGTGTCCCGTGAAGTGGTCACGAAAACACTGGAAAGTCACGCCACTTGTTTACATTAGTGGGGAAAGGGCGATCGGCTACGCAGTGACACCTTGTCCAAGATGGTGACACATCCTTCTCGGTACATTCGGGAAAAAAACTCAGCTTATTACTGAACTAAATATTTTATTGATTGCCCTTGAGTCAGAGCCCACTGACCCTGCGAACCATAAATGGCTTTGGCGCAAAACTGTCATTTCCAAGCAGCAAGAGGAGATACTGGATTAGTCAAAGACACCTCGCCTAAGCTTTCTTTCACTGTCCCTCCACCCTTCCGCCTCCGGGCTTTGGAAGCAAGAAAGGGGCTGCAGCTGGGTACCTCTCCAGGGGCCTGAGGGCGCACGGACAGAGCCGTGCGCGCTTACACGCGCGATGCCGAAGCGGAACGCCCGGCGCTGCTCAACATGGGGACCATAACGGCCGGGCGCTGGCGCACGCCCGTACCCAGCGTCTGTGGCTGCAAAGCGGCCAGGTCGCGGAACCAAGAAGACAAATGAATGTTATGCCGCATTCTCCATTAAACAATAAAGCGAGCTATAAAGCCTCAGGTGCTGTTTGTTGTGCCGTCTGCGTCGAGCGGTGGCTCCGGACCCGGGCGAGCCGAGCGGAGTGGGCCGGGGAGCGCCTCTTCGGCTGATTCCAGGGAAAGATAAGGAGCCGCCGAGCCACCAGCTCTGTCTAGACTCGCGACCTCACAAGTCAAGCGCCTTGTTTGGATTAGCCCTCCAGATCTGCCAACCTGATCAACTCCTGAAAGAGAAGGGCCCAGAAATACCCTTATTTTCCTCTCTCGGACCACGTCGATTGTCCCTGCTTTAAAGGATCAAGGGCTGACTTGCCCGCGGGAGTGGCGGGGCTGGTTAGACCAGTGTCCGGGTCCCCCATTCCCAGCACTTCCCACCCCTAACCTGAGTGCAGACAGGCGCTGCGCTGCCCTGCCCGCTGGACGTGGGCAACGCACCTGGGGGTAGAACCAATGGGACAACGCGCAAAATTAAGTAGCTAACTCGGTCAAATCCACAAATAACATCACTTCAAAATGAACACTAACTTTTGATCAATGTAATGGAAAGAGGATCCCAGGCAAGGAATAAGCAGTTCTAAGGCTAAGTAGAATCTTACATGGCTTCGGAAAGGGAGAATCAATGTGTCTTTCCTCCCAACCTGGCAAAAAGCAATCTTACCATACATCTTTCTTCCAAATCCAGGTGGTCTCTTTTGGGGGCTGTGTGTGTGTATACATACACATATAAATGATATAAAGAAAATTACATATAGGTATGTGTATATTATATATGTATGTATATATGCATGTATGCCCACACATACATATATATAATTTTCTTTTTAGAATCTTTTGCTTCTCAATGCTGAGCGCTCTTGCGGACAGATAATTAAGCAGAAAGATTTGCAAAATAAATTTTTAGAAATTAGAATCAAGGAGTCCTAAGTGCAGTTCCGGGAAGAGACTGGCTTCCTCGAGACAGAGAAACTGGCTTCTTGGAGCCAACAGCTTAAATACCATAAAAATTAAAGGATGTGATAGTAACAATGCTCACAGCAAACACTCAGCAGCCTTCCCTGCCGCCCCTCCCCCTCCTTCGCTCCCTGTGAACCAACTTCTCTGTCTACACTTCAGAAGTCTCTGGGAGGTGTGGAGAGATCCTCCATCACGGCTTGGGACATTGTAAGCTGTGAAGTTTATGTTTGTGGCGCCTGGGCTCAAACAGCCATTCAGTGGCTTGCTCCATTATCAAGAAAACAACAATCAGAAAAGATCAGTAAACAAAATCGGCTGCCAGAGCCTTGAATTAACTCCTTGCGTTTTAGTTTAAAAATACCAACTCACACTGTACAAGTTACTTTTTATTGTAAATAGTTATTGAGAATTCAAGATGTGGGGCCGTTTTTTTAAGAGAACATTTTTAAAATAAATACACAAAAATTGCTCCCTCCTTTTTTCTTCTTGTGCCCCACCCCCAAGAAAAACAATTTGCCCTGTTGCGACGTAAATCTTTAATTGTTGATTAGTGAAAAGGAAGTAAATATTCCTAAAGAAATAGAACTCAGGCATCATTTGGATGATGAATCTCATTTACAAAAGTTGACTAAACTGAACTTTACAAATAAGAAAAGAAGTACTTTCTGCTTAGACAGTTCACTCGTATTAGGAATGAGATTAAAAACCCAAAGTGGCTGGGTGCCATCCAAACTTAACTCTTTAAACTTTTTTTTTTTTTTTTTTTTAGAAAAAAGAAAACGCTAAGTAAAGCCACATGGGATTTTACAACAGTTACATTTCATGAGATAGATCTTATGGCTTAAAATTCAAGGTGCTAGGGAAATACAAGGTACTTCCAACGTAACCTGAAAGCACATTGTCTTTTTAGCTAGTCTCAAAAGGATAAGATACACCAGAAAAGAGGTCAACATTATGAGTTTAACAAGTTGATCAGGGTGAATAGCAGCCAAGCATCACAAAGTCATCTATTTAATCGTGAACTCCAAGCAAGTCGTCAATGGGCAAGTGGGTACACACAGAATTACAAATAACCAGAAACCTTGTTTCAAAGGAGAAAAAAATCTTCAAACATGCTTCTAACTTAGAAAAGAACTTTTTTGATTTGTAAGAAAACCCAAGTTCATTTGATGAATGGGATAGAGGGAAAATAGGCTGAAATGGAAGATAGCATTGCGCTGAAACTACAGGGGAAACAATATCCTGACTTTAAGACTATGTATATTGATATGAATTTTCTGATTTAAGGGGAGCATACTAGATGTTTTTTAGCTGCATTAAATTTTAGCTTGCAGAAGCTGGAGGAAATGAGTCATAATGTCCAGAAGGAAGAATTCAGAGTAATAAGGGAGGGACGATTAAAGATAATAACGAACAAGAGGAATTTCATTACAAGAGCAGAGCTCAAAACTCAGTCTCCAGAGGTGTGCAGAGAAAAGTATGCAAGAGATGATTTGCAAACAAAATGACATTTCAGCTACACATTTTAGAGTGCAGGCTGAGGAGTCTAAAAGGGGAAGACACACCTTCGTATAAATAATAAAAGAACTAGAATGCTATTGACCCATCAATCCATTCTCAGCCATCAGGCAACAAATATCTTGAATCTAGCAAGTGAAACCAAATCATTCATCACCCCCTCCCTAAATTATTGTGCTTAAATTCAAGCGATGGACTTCAGAATACTGACATCTATGTATGTAAAACATCAACGCCCCCCACCCAAACATGCAAACATATTCTTAATCTTAGAAATCAATTCATCAATTCGAGGAGGAAAAAGATTCTCAAAGATGGGTGCCTCACTTAAGTCTCTCTATTGCATTCAAATCCTAAATAAAGTGTTTTCCATCTCTAGTCCCTAACATTTTTGAGTCCACCAGAGGCTACGGCTGGGGAAGTGGGTCCAGTGTTTTCCAAGTAAGGAAGGCTTGGACTCTCAGTAACTTTGCAGGCATGACACCAATATTCATGTTGAACCTGCCATCCTTACACATGCATATTAGTTGCCATTTCAGCTATGATGGTGAGGAAAAAGGAAAAAAGAGACCAATAGAAATAGTGAATGGGAAGCTAAAAGAGTAAAGTCCCTTGGCAAGAGATTAGAGGAGGGAGATCCGAGTGAAAAACAAAACAAAACAAAACAAACAAACAACAACAAAAAAACCTTTCCCGGAGAAGATCCGTGTGAGATAAGACATAACTTCTGTTTTTCTCAGCAGAAGACTGCAAGCCATTATTGCCACCAGCCAAATTATTACCCCTCTGTCAAGAATTAGACACAACAATCAAAGTAATCAACGGGCATGTCTAATGCACTGTAACATTTTCAATGCAAAGTTTGTTTTCTCTCTGCCCCCACGTTAGAGCCTGTAATTAACCCGTTATGTAGAACCAAGCCAAACAAAAGCCTAATTGAGGCTGGCTTCCAGACTTGAGGCAGGTTTGCAGAGGGTGAAAGTGACTTGAGAGCTGGGGGGCACAGCCTCCACCTCACCCTATCGAGCCTGGAGGGGTACGCCACATGACACACAATTAGGGTACTTTAGCTTTCATAATAAGAATTGTCAGGTACTGAAAATGGCATTACACTCGCGCATACAAATCAATGCAGTTTCCAGAGTCAAAGCATCATCCTGGGGTGGGGTAAAGGGAGGAGGGGGAACAGGGTGGAGCCCCAAATCCTAATTCAATGCCAGCAAATGAAGAAGCACCAAGAAGCCCGATTTCGGGCAGTGCCATTTATCTTTTCCAGGGTTCTGGCTCTTGCACTTGAACTATTGCTAAATGCCAGGGGAGGAATAGTCTGTCCCAGAGAGCATGCCCGTAACCCTGATAGCTGATGGGTCCAGCAAAGCACATGACCTGCTACCCCATCCCATAAAAGGTGGTTTCCCAACAGTATATATGCCATGTTTCTCTCCATAGCCAGTCATGCTTCCCAAGATTTTTGAAATTGGACTTGGGCAAGGGACGAAGCGGAGGTGGGAGAGGGGAGAAGAGGCAAGAAAATGCATACACCGACTAGTCTGGGAATTGCAGAGCATACTCTCTTCTCTAGGCCTGTTCCTTCTGCACAAATAGAGCAGCATTTCTCAATCGGCTGACAGCCGCCACTGGTAAATAATGGTCATACCTCACTGGCTAGGCAGAAAGTCTCTCTTACCAAGAGCTTATATATTTGACATATGGGTCATTTCAACAATCCCAAGCAGGAGACTTTGGTATAAATCACGTATTCTAAGAAAATAAAATAGTGACTCTGAATCAAAAGCCATTTTAAGCAAGACCCTCTTCCTATTTGGGGTGGGTGGATGGGTGGGGTATGGCAAGAAAGAGACTGGGGGAAGGAAAGAGAGGGGCAGGACAGAGAACAGCATCTCATTTTCACAAAACCAGTAGCATTATCATAGCTGAGAGCTAAGGGGCTTCCAACCAACTTTGATCCAACTACTGAAACCCAAACATGCAAACTCGACCTTAACTACTTGCAATACAATATCACCCCTACTGTGTGTCAGTTTACCCCAATTCACATGCAATCCTTACTTTCAGACATTTGAATAGCTTGTTTGTAAACATAAAAGAGGGACCCTGGATCACTGTGTTTATTTATTTATCTATGCCAAATGTTTATTAGTGAAATAGTCCTGAAGATATAATTCTACATATGGCGCTTTGATTTCACATAATATTTAAGAAAAAGACAAAACACATAGAATTAGACATATAATTCAAAGACCACCGTACAACCTTTATCTTTTTTTTTCACTTCAGCAAACAAAAAATGTCAAATGACATGAAAAGTGGCAAGTCTTCCGACAATAAATAATAAATTACTTTATAATTTTTGCAATGCAAGAGCAAACAAAAAAAGTTTCCTTTTTTTTTTTCCTTTTTATTTCCATAGAGAGAGAAAACAGTCATTTTAACCAATAACTATACACATCTTTGGGGGAAAAGTTCTTGGACAGACACAAGTCAAACACAATCCCGAGACGCTTGTGGCAAAATAGAGGTAACCTTGTTGCAATGCTTTATAAGTTGGTTTTTAAATCTGAATTCAAAAACCTTTATAGTCGCTTCAGACTTCTTGATAAAGGATGGATCTCAAAAAAAGTGGGGAGGGGGCAAAGTAAAAAATAAACCAGCTACAGGACAGGCCAAGAGACCCAGGATTTCAATTAACCCCTTGTTAAAGTCAACTTTAAACATATCAAACCAATGCAGCTCCACCTTCCTGAAAGGACTCTTTCAGCCAAGGAGGCCAGTCTCTCTTCCTGCGCTTTTGCTGGAGCTCCTGTTTGGCAAGGCAATGACCAATATAGAAACAGCACCATTCAGATTAGGATGGACTAGAAAATTTTCTATTTTTGTTTTTCTCTAGATGTGCAGTGAAATGAAAATGCTTTCTTTGAGATCCTTGAATATAAATCCTCTACGTTTTAAAAACGTCTTTTTTTTTCAGTACTTCTAAGATCATTGAATAGCATATACTGGGTTTTGCGTTTTGTTTGTTGTTTAATTCTAGTAAAATCCCATGATTGTCTTCACAGTGTTGCTACCATATCACCTTGTCATTAAAACAGACTTCGTGCATTTCATGGAGCATTCATTTCTTGATTCAGTTTTCATTGACTGGGTCGTTAAATACTTTTGTTTCAGAGTTCGACATTATAATTTCCCACTTTCTCCAACAGGGAAAAAAAATACAGAATGAATGTTCCTCATGCCTCAATAGGACTGGCTACCATGCTGTTAGGTGTATCTGGAAGTTGAGAGGACATTGATGCTACTTCACTGCCAGTGGAATTAGAGCCCGGTCCTCCTTCTGAAAAATTGACCTGCATAGAAGGTTGAGAAATAAATAAAGGACACTGGAATAGTATTCATAAAAAGATTATAAACTCATCATATTGTATATGTAGAAATGTTTGTGTAGATAGATATGTAAAGATATTCACATAGATAACTGAATTTTAACAGGCTTAGAGAAAGCCTAGAGGAGAAAAACTTGGGAAGAAATCCTCTCACTTTCCCATCTTCCAAAAGATCTCTGTTTTAACTGAAACTGAATTCCCAACATTATGTTGCATTAAATTATTTAAGAACAAATGTGTTTCCCACTGTAAAATGGCATCACAACTCTACTATGCATGCTCGAAATAAAATTATCCTGCTGGCTACATGTTGCCCTGGGAGTAGGTGAGCTCTCAGTCTCTAGGCATCAAAGACTCTCTTCTTCAGTTGGAAAATCCGTAACAGGCTCAGATCCTTTGACAGGAGATTGAGAGGAGGCTCCACAGAACAAAGATTAACTCCTCAGCAGGCTCACAGCTTGGGCATTCTTCCTTGTTGGTCCTGCTGCCTCTTGGCCTTTCTCTCTCTCTCTCTTTAAATCAGGCTCTTCCTTCCAAAATGAGACCCATATATTATGACATCATCCCATTCTGACTCCTTCTTTTAACCCTAATATCTGACTCCTTCTTAAATATCTGACTCCTTCTTTTAACCCTAAACGCATTGTACTGCTGTTGTAAACCTTCTCTAACTATGCCCACTCCTGCCTCAGCTTCCCTTCCACTGCTCTCATCTGACACTAAAGTTTCAGAAAGTGCAAACATTTGGCTGCCCTGAAGCCTCCCCTTACCTTCCTCCTGTGATTCAGGATTCGCTCAAATAACTCAACAGATTAATGAGCTTAGAATAATTTTTTTTTCCTAGTTCTAGAGCCTACATTTCTTTCTACAGTAAATTTTTCCAATATGAGATTAAGGGACTTCTAGCCTCTGCACCCACTTAGCATTTGCAAACACAAGCCTGGGGCCAAGCCCTTTTAACCACTTGCCTCTGGCCAATTACCTAACTGTTGACATTGAGAAAGCAAATGCCCTCCAGGTAAATATGAGGGTAAAAAGCTAACCTCAACTAAAGCTTCATTTCCAAAAAAGGGAACAAGGTTTCAGGATAGATCTTTACATTTTATAAAACAAGATTCTATAAGGCTGATTACTCTTTAAGAAAAAAAAATCATCTATATAAATATAGCATATTACAAAGGACATATATTTATTGTTCTTATTTATCTTGACCCCTTAAGCCTTTTGTAGGCAAAAAGTGAATTAATTTTCTCCTCTCTGGATGTGGAAAACATGTTAAGGTTTTCACAGATTAAACACTTTACTTCTGATTGGTAGAGCTCATGTCCCTTTTGCTATACATGGTACACACTGTGTGTCTCTATGACATTTGAACTCATACACTTGAAAACATTTAAACGGTCCTACATTTTAGATTAAGACATTCCCAGCAAGGGATACTGTAACAAAAAGTATTCATCTATTTGAATAATCTTTATTAATATATTTGAAAATTGTACCCAGACACATGCCTGCTGTTTATTGATAACAACACTGATTGTGTATTATAGCATTGATTATATACTACAATCGCCTTGATTTGGGTCCTATATATCCCATTCTCTAGATGCTCAGGAAGGATAAACTTACTAATTGCTGATTGAAATGCCAAGACGATTTCCTGAAGTCCTTGACAACTCTAAAATTCTAAGATGTATGATTCTCCAACACTGTACATCTTCTGGCACATGCTACCTAGAGTTAGGTACCTTGAAATTAATCCTTCAAAGAAGGCCTGATTGATAGAAAATTCAACCTATATGGTCAAATTATGCAGTCTCATTAAAAAAAAAAAGATGCCAAGAGGTTCGTTTTCCCTGCATTTGTCTCCCTTCTCTTCATTACCCACCTCCTTGGTTTCTCCCCAACCCTGAGCCCAAGAAGGCACCCTCCCCACTGAATCTTTCAATGTGTGACAGTTAAACCAGAGTCTCCTGTTGGGAATTCAGCCTCTTCCATCTGGGAGCTGACACTTACCAGTTGCTGAAAAGCAGGCTGATCTATGTCACTCTGCAAGGCGAAGTCGCTCAGTACTTTCCAAGGTGGCTGGTAACTTTGTACTTCCACTGGGTTAGCCTGTAAGCCACCGTCGTGTCTCTCTGGACTGGCAGCCACCATGGGAGTTCCTGTCATCCCCTGGATATTCTGTGAATAGGCCCCCCAACCAATCCCAACATGTTAATGAGCAAATTCCCTCCCTCCGTTGTCTGCACAGGCTAAGCAAATATACCCTGGTATTATCTTATCTATATAGTGGTCTTTATTGACTCAGTTAATCCGCCGTACCTACGGATATTAGTTAGAATTCAATTTGTTTTATTGTTTTGTTTTTCTGCCTCTGTGGGCTGGACTATTAGGTCTGCATGGACCTTATTAAACCAAATTCTACTTTGATTTTCTTCTTCCCCCTTACCTTCACAGCTCAGCCCAATTCCTCCCCTCTGCCTTCTCAGACCATAGCTTCCCAGAACTAAAAAGCTGAGGTAAGCAGGGCTTCCCTTCAGCCTCTAGACAGGGTGGTTTTCTGAGCAGTTTCAGTTAGCTGCAGATTTTTTCCAAGCCGTTCTCCTCAAGGAAGAGCCAGCCCCCCACTCCATCCCCCCAAAGCATTTGGGTCTGGTTCCTATTGTGCTATTATGCACTAACCAACTCAGAAAGTGCCCTGGCCCAATCTTGGCCAGCCTGCCAAGTTTAATGACAGCAGATTTTATGGCATTTAAAAATAGGTCCAAAGCAGTAAAAAAAAAAAAAAAAAAAAAAAAAAAAAAAAAAAAAAGAAAAAGAAAGAAAAGAAAAAAAGGAAGAAAAGAAACTCTAGCTTAACTTCACCAGGAGGCCTGCAGAGTGGGTGCTTCCGTGGGACCAAGATAACAGTGGATACTGGTGCGAGGGGCCTGATGCCTCTGTGGAGGCCTGGGCTTCACCTGGAGCAGAGGGTGATCTGGGCATGCGGGTCACCTTGGGGGAACTCGCCAGCCTGAAGGCGCAGCGGCCGACCTTACTTAGAAGTGCGGTGCGCCCTGGGGGCTCACAGGGTGACCTGCCCACGGAACCCCTGGATGTAGGCAGGAATCCAAGGTATTATCCCTCCCTCTTCTTGTGTACGTGAGGAACTGACGATCTGAATGTTGGCAAAACCCGGGCCAAACCTCGTTGCCGCCTGCCCTCAGAGGGGAGGACGGCGTTTCTCCGGTTCACAGGTACAGGCGAGGTGGAAGGGCATGAGCCCACCCACGAGGTTGGGACCTGGATGCTGCTCCCCCGGCGCACGGAGCCTCCCAGCTTCCCCGCCCTCAGCTGGCGGCCGGCGCCGGGTAGCCTGTCCCCCGGGGCATGGGTAGGGGGGTAAGGATGAGGGGCAGCCCCGGCCAAACTCCTGCCCAGGAGCAGGATTGAAAACCGTGCGATCCTGCGTACCAGGAACGCACCTCGCACGCTGCGTCTCCTTCCCCCTCGCATTCCCTGCCCGGCCCCAGAGCCACTCACAGTTTTGTCATTGGGCTGCTGCTGCTGGAGTTGCTTCATCATGATGCTTCGCTTCTTGTCCTTGCACCGCTTGTTTTGAAACCAGACCCGGATCACACGGGGACTGAGGCCCGTCATCTCTACCAGTTGCTCCTTCATGAGCGCATCTGGCCGCGGGTTTGCGGCGTAGCAGGTCCGCAAGGTGTGCAGCTGCTTCTCGTTCAGCACAGTCCGCACGCGGGTGGTCTTCTCCGGCTGCTTGTGGACGTGGGGCCGCAGGGCTGGCTGCCTGGCGGAGATGGGCTCCGCTGCGGGGCAAGGAGCGCCGTGAGCGCTGGGCTGGAGGCTCGCTTGCCGGCCCGCCCGCGGTCGCGCGCTCGCTCGCTCGCTCGCTTGCCCGCCCGCCCGCCCGCTTACTTGCTCGCCCGCCCGAGATACTCAGGACAATGGCTAGGGTTTGCAGCCTCAGCACACAAAGCAGGGGGCGGCAGAGGTGGGGGCGAAGAGGGTGAAAGGGAGAATAAAATCTTCCTCTCTAATCTGCAGAGGTCTTTGCTGAGTAATCCCGGCCTGAAACGCAGCACTCGCCCCTCCTCGTGTCAACAAAGTGTTAGCCAAGGGAAGCAGGTCTCAAAGTCTGTCCCCCTGTTCACAGCAGGGGTGGCATTTTTCAGCACTGTTTCTCCTCCATTCTCACCTTTCCTTGTGCCCAGACTGGGCCCCAGTTACATTGATTACCACCCTCTCCAGGATCAGAATTTTCTCTTGGGCCAAGGCCACAGAGGGTACCAGGGAAAGGAACGCAGAGCACTTCAGTGACAGCCATAAATACTACACCAGCAGGGACTTCTGCAAGGGGAAGGTCGAGAACTCTGCCAGAACGCCTTGAACTTCAGTCCGAGAGGACAGTCATGTGAAGGGGCTGAAGAGATTCGCTATTTCTGCCATATCTCCAATCCCTGCTCTTAGTATTAAATCTAAGGTAATACATGGATGTTCCTGAGATGGGCTGATCCCAAGCAGTGGAAAACGGAAACTCTGTTGAGCTGCCTAGGCTCTAGATAAACGGTGGCTGGGAGATGTCCCCCGCCTCCCTCTCGGTATTTTAGCTTCCTCTGTGCTTCCCCACAAGCAGAGTGCAGGCTCCACTGAACAGGAGCACCACCCCAGCCGTGCCCCGGTGCAAACTAGTCACAAATCCCCCTGAACAGAATTCTTAGAGCTGCCAGAAGGCAGAAGGGTAAGGGAGGGCTATAGTTTCCTCACCTTCAGTGTTTAGTGGGAATTGATACTTTAAAACTGCAAAGGGGTAGATCTATTCATGGCAGGAAGTCAGGTTTGGAAACACTGTCCACCTTCTAACCCACTGCTTTGGTCCCGGCCAACCTTGCTGTGTTTCCACTCCTCTTCCTTGGGAATGAGTCCTCTTATCTACATGATACAAATCCTGCACCTTCTACAACCCCCTAGGGTCAGGCCAACACCTATGGGGTCAATTTAGAGCTACAACCATGGGCCTGAAGATGAAATTCTCACCAAATCATATAGAATGAATGATTTAAAGAAGCAGGCTCCCTTTAAAAGGCAATTACTGCAGATAAGCTTGTTGACAGTTTTATATTACAACTCTGTGCAATGGCCTGCAGTTTTTAAAACTGTATCTTTTCAGTCCTGTTCTCTCACAGAAAGATAAAAAAATTAAAAAAAAAATTTCGAGTGTGAAGCAACTCACAAGGAAAAAGGATTTGGGAGACTAAATGACTTCAGGCCACCTAAGCTTCCTTCATTGGGTTAAAGGATGAAGCTCCAGGGACCCGGGGCTCCGCCCCTTTAATTAGGCAGCAGGAGAATACCTGGCTGGGAGCTGAAGCCCGTTTTCAGCAAGCCAAGGTTTGGAGGCCAGAGCGAACTGGAAGTAATGTTTGGGCGTGTGTATACACGTGTACACAAGTGGTGTACATTTATGTGTAACCATATAGAGACACACAGACGGTGTAGGTGTGCTCGGGGAATCAAGGGAGACAGTGAGTGCATTGAACCTTGCTGCAAAGGAGCAGAGCACAGCGCAAATTGCATACAGAACACTTCATTTAACTGCAGGCAAACACTACGACCACCCCTGTAGCTACCATAGTTGTTGTGGCCGCTGGCACACAGGCTGGCTTAACCTGGCGCCTGCCTACCCGAGCCGGGCAGAGGAGTACCTGCCATTTGCAGTGGCCGCGCTGGATGCAGGGGACTGAGCGGGTCGCCAGCGCCTAGACTGGCCCTCTCCACCACATCGTGGTCTGCTCGGCAGAAGAGACCGTCCTCCCGAAGCGCAAATTCGTCCCCAGGGATGAGCTGGCGGCTGCAGGCCACACAGCGGAAACACTCGATGTGATACACCTTGGAGCGGGCACGCATCACGAAGTCGTTCTTGCTGAAGCCGATGCTGCACTTGGCGCATTTGATCCCGTACAACCTGTGCGGGGGAGGGGGGAGCGGAGGCGGCCCAGAGCGGGGAGAGAAGTACAGGAAGAGGGGGTCACTTCAGGCCGGCACTTCCCTGGCCCAAGATCCCGGGCAAGACGCCCCAAGTAAACAGCATTTCCAAACAGAAGTTGGAAACAGAAGGACAGAAATGAAACCCTGCTCTCTCCTTCCCTGTCTCTCTTCCTTCCCCCATCTCTCTTTTCCCCTCCCTCCCTCCTCCCTTTCTTTTACTCCCGTTTCCTTTCCGATGAACCTCTGTCTTAGTTGGTAACTCTTAGCTCAAAACACCTAGCTTGTACCACAGAAAATGTATTGATGGGTTCCAAACTCGGGCTGCTGCTCTAGCAATCAATCCCAGTGTTGATCTTGCAGATCTTGGCAGGAAGGAATCCAGAAAGACTCTGGTGGCCACCGACACCAACACTTTCACTTCCCTATCCCACAATTTCTGCTGCTAGAAATGTCTAAAACTGCAACAAAAAGTCCTCCTTCCAAGAAAAAAGGAGGTAGGAGAAGGGGATTGTCACCCCACTCGGTTTGCAAACACTCACAAATAAACAAGCAGAATAACAAAATGAAACCTCTGAGAGTTTCCACATCTCCTTTTGCACAAGTACTTTCCAGTCTTTCTCCAACTAAAGATTTTCTTCAGGCAGCAATGTTAACAGAAAATTTCCTCTCCATTCTTCCTTGTATTATTATTTTTTTAAAAAAATCTGCGTCTGTTCCCTCAATCTTTTTCAAGTTGCTGAATCATCTACCTCATTTCAATTTTCTTGAAAACCATGACCAGAATGAAAAAAATGCAAAGACCCGCTTCTAAGGTCTTTCTCACTCCTGGCCTTTCCTTACCAAGGGACAATCTTTATAGGTTCCATCTAGGCTGCACTTCCCTGGCCCCTTCTCCATCTTTCAGGAATAACAGAAGCTGGGGCATTCCTACGAACAGAAAGAATGGAAGAGAGAGGAAAAGATCCACATAACAGGAGGAGGCATCCTGCTTCTCCAAGGAGAGATGTGGAAATCTAACTGTCCAGTCTGTTCTGCTTTTACAACTACAAGATTACACACACACACACACACACACACACACACACACACAGAGTTGAGAGAGAGTGAAGAGAAGGTAAAAATGATTAGTTCCTTCTACACATGTGTGTATCCAGAATTAGGCACATGCAAGCCTGTGTGCAATTGAGCAAAATACTATTTCCATAGCAGTAAAGATACTCCTGAAGTGGGCTCTCCTTCTCTAGAATCTTGCGTTTACACACCAATCTAGTAAACAATGAAAACGCTCATTTGTCAGAGGTTAGAAGGTGGACTCAAAAGTTTTTCCTCCCTCCGCCTACTCAATGTGAGATCTTCCATTTCATAGGGTGAAGACTTGACTTTGGCGGTGACCAAACAATTTAGAAAATCCCTCCCCCTTCCTGTACCCCGACTTCCCTTACTTCCTTTCACTCCCTCTCCGAAGTATTAACCTCCCCCAACCAGGTTAATTTTATCTACCAAGATTATACTCTCTGTGTCATGATTTTTAAAAAAGAAGAAAAAAATGCTGGATACTAAGTGAGCAGGAGCAAACTGTGACTGTATATTAAATCTTAACTAAACTTTAATAAAAGTTCTCAAGCTCCAGAAACCATTTGCCTAACAAAAGCTAATTAATTACTTGTTAATAGCCACCGGACATTTAAAAAGTGATATTTTGCTATTATTTAACATAATAATGATGCTGATGTCTCTTCTGTTTGTTAATAAAATGAATACAATTTTCTTTAGAGACTACTGGCTTTCTAAGGCAGAAAACAAAGTTTCTGATACATACACACAAGTCAGAGGAAACTTGAGATTAGCAAAACGTGTTGCAGAATAAATTGGAGGAAAAAAAAAACAAAAACTCTCCAAAACAACAAAACCAAACTCAGAAAGTTCCTATGTTGTTTCAGTCTTGTCAATTTGGACAATTCGCTCATTTTATCAGTTACCAGATTTTAATGTGAGAAAGGAAGCTGTTCAATTATCTAAATATACCAATTGTTCGTAGACAGATGATGGGCAATTTGATCTGCTCTAATTCATCAGCTCAGATAAGATAAGAAAGAAGAGACAGTTAGATGTCACCAAAGGGTTAATATTTAAAAAGATTAAGTTTCCGGTGTTTTTTCCAAGGAATATTTAGGTTGGTTTTAAATTTTTCTCAGAAGGAGGTCTTACCCCAAAAATAAAAGGAGCAATACCTGTACTCGCTCTTTCAAAGTACATCTCTAAACATGCTTCGGTCAAACTTTTATTTCACCTATTGCATTGATGCCACCAAAGAATTTGTAAGCTACTAATTTTAAAAAGGACTAAAACAAACAGAACACTGCACTATACAACAAAAATCAACCCTATTTTAAAGCTAAAAATCCAAACTTCTCCATCTTTTTAAAATTTTGTTTTGTAAGGGGGAGGGTGAAAGAGGAAAATAATTTGTGCATCATAAACTCCAAGAGTAATTAAACAAGCCTCAATACCCCGGAATTATGAATACCACTGTTAAGGGTTTTTGTTTTTCTCAACTAAAGAATGAAATGAACAGCATAGCTTGATTTTTTTAACACATGTACAGGGTAACTTTGGCTTGTATGACTACACTGAGGCAAACTTCACAAAAAGACAAAGCCACACCAAATAATACATAAAGAGTGGGGAGATTCAGGGAAATCCCACAAAATTAAGAAAGAAGTGTAAATGCCATACCTGATATAATCTCTTTTACAGTAGGTTTTCCCATCCCTAACAAAGCATGTACAGCTCTCGTCCAAATACTGATTACACTCCGCACATTTCAAACATGCCGCATGCCATTCCAAATCCGGAGAAACCCTCAGAATATACTGATCGTGAATCTGATTGCCGCAACCAACACATAGGGAAATCAGACGTTTTTCTGAAATGAAAATAAATACATGATTGACTAACCGTTTACTTCCTACAGAGATAAACACACTTTTAGTGTCGTTCTCTTATAGGGCGTACTCTGGGAGGTTTTTTTCTTTCTTTCTTTCTTTCTTTTTTTTTTTTTTTAGAGCATTGCACTTTGGGATGGTAATTGAAATGTGCCATCAAAACCTTGACTCATTTTTAAAAGGAGGTGGAATATATGTAAAATGCAGATTGGAATAGTCTACATTTGTACGCCTAGCACGCAATCAAACCCGCTCATTTTGTATTTCTCCCCCCCCCCTTCCTCTTTGCTATAATCATTGGGAAAGATTATGGATAAGTCAAGTCAAAGAAAAGGTTTTGACTAGAAGCGTTAAGTGAACGCAGGGATGTCTATATTTTCCGTGAAGCGCGCTCTTAAATAGCACACAGGACTGGATATTGTTAGCAAGAGCAGGCATAAATACAGTTGTCACTCGTTCTCTTTTGCAAGTCTAATGCTAATTCACATCTCTGGGCATTGACTGTGCAGGCAGACCTTTGCAACATAATAACCTTCTCGGAGAGCTCAGGATTCCCCAGGAGGAAATCACCGCTTAGCACCAGAAAGCTAGAGCTTTGGAGGGCACACAGGCGAATTCACACACAAGGTACAATCAGTTTCCCGAAGATAAGAACCGACAGTAAGCATGCAGGCGTGGCGGCAACAAGAAAAAGCCACCTTTTCTCTTTCTCCAGGCAATGACTCCAACTCCAAAGAGCCCTTGGCACCTCAGCCTGTGCCTGAGAGAGAACCCCGCACAAGAACAGCACACCGAGCCCCACAAGGTAAAATAGCCTCTTACTTTTTGGTGGATCTCCCATGTCTCCCATATCTGTAAGAGGGAGTAATGTCCACAGTGAAATGGTGGTTGTACAGTTGGTGAACAGCCCACAGAGAGGATGCTGGAGCTGTGGCTAAGTGGGAAATATTGGCCCCTGGGGTTGCCAATGCTGAAAGAGCCGCTGCTCGGCTGCGCCGCGCCCTCGCGGATCTAGGAGTCCAATTTAAGCCGGCGGAGTTGGCGGAGCGGAGGCGCTGCGGCGGCGGCAGACTCGGCGCGGCTCGGGCACCTCTCTTCCTTATCTCTTACTCAAACTTCTCTGCTCCAACTCAGCTCCATCGCCATTGGTCTGACGCAGCGCGCGGGGACGTCAGGCGAGCGCCGCGCCCATTGGCTGCAGGGCGCGCGGCGCAGCTGTTCTGATTATCATATTTCAGCCTCGCCGCCGCTGAGCGCCACTGACCGCTCGGCGAGCCAGCGGGAGAGGATTAGGGCTCCCGAGGCAACTTGCTCGGGGCTCAGGCCGTTCTCCCCCGAAGCTCGGGCTGCCGGGCTGTTCTGGCTCTGGCCTCCCTCTCCTCCTCTTCCTCTTCCTTCTGTCCCCTCCCGCGTTCCTTCCCGGCCGCGCCGCCTGCGCCCTCGCCTCCTGTGGCGCTGCTCCTCCGCCCTGCGCTCCTGGGGTCCCCGCAGTCCGGCTGGCCGCGTTGCGCGCGGGGCTCACTTTCTGCCGCCGGTGGCGAGTGGCTGGTGGGTAGGTCTACCTGTTGACGAGGTCCCTCCCGGGCTCTAGGAAAAGGGGGGAACTTGGAGCAGGCCGTTCAGCTTGGTTTGGTCCCCACGCCGTGGTGCACATCCCCGGGGCCTGGCCTGCCTTGGCTGCTCCGGAGGGCTAGTTCCTCCAGAACTGGCTGCGCTCGGCGCGCTAGGGGAAGAAGAATCGGGAATGGGATGATTAAACCCAGAGGAACTGTTTCCTGACTGCTACACCATTACTCCGTCTCCCCCAACCTCAGATATCTAAAAACGTTGGGTGGGAGGAAAGGGGCGCTTCTTGCTGTTGGGACAATCAGGTTGGAACGCACCGGTAAACCGAAGTTGACTCCGCGGACTGACTTTTTGTCTTTCAGACCCGCGAGGTCTGCTTCTCAGTTTAACTCTAGAATTGAAGCTCACTAACCCGAAGCCAAAGAGCGAAATGATCTTTCAGTAGTCTAAAGTTTGTAAGATTTTTATATACTGTTCAATTCTTCTCACTGCTGGTCTCCTGCCCTTTGTTTTTAAGCAAACTTGTGCAACTAGCTGTGGTATTTTGGTAATTATAAGGACAAGTCTCCATGACTTTGTGGAGATTTTTTAAAAATGCATTAGTCTAAGGGCGCGAGTAGGGAGGGATTTATTACAGAACAGTGAAAGACCTATTTCACGTCCCCAGGCGTTAATATATAATTTTCTCTCGAGAAACTACTTGGAGAGAGAAGACTGTTAGGTGCAACTCGCCGGTAACCTTCTTCAATCATTCTTACATGTTCCCATCATCTGTTACGGTCTCCCAAAGACAGTCACAGGAAGGCCACGAAGAACCCCCGCGCTTCCCCCAAAGCTTCTAAAAAGCCATTTCTTATCTAATGGGGCTGCCAGTTTTATCTAAAAAGTCCTACAGACACAAACCATAGAAGGCTTAATTTCGGTGTCTTGTTGCTGTGAGAAGACCCGGTGTGTTAGGAAACTCCTTTCTTTATATCTTTCGCAAAATCTAACCCTTGATAAGAGCTGTAAATCCTGGCCGGCCGCATTGGCTGGGCTTGAACGGGTAATGCCTCTCCAAAGCGGAAAGGGAATCAAAGATGCGTAAGTTTCCTCCTGACCTAGCTGAGGCTTTCTTCCCCAGGAACTAGTTTTGATTTGTTTTTTCTCAAGGAGGATTTCAAATTGGATCTGTCTTCCCTTCCATTTTTATTATAAGTTGTTTTAGAGCGCGTGTATGAAAGCGAAAGTTGGATAGACCTAGGTTGATAAGTTTACCAGTTGTGTGGTGTGTGTTTTTTTTTTTTTTTTTTTTTGGTCTGTTTCTAGTCTCTGGTATTAGATGTATGGAGCCTTTTGTCAGGCTGCTTTTGCAAAGCTGATGCTGTTAATCTCAATACGAAGCAAATCTTCCTAGTATTTGTGTGTGTTTCCCATAGAGATAAACATGTTGACCCTAGTAAAAAAAAAAAAAAAAAAAGATACCACCACAATGCCAGAAAATAGAGTTTTACCTAGTCATATTCCATCATGCCACTTTTATAAGATGGAATTAAACACCAGAAGCCACCAGAAGCCTGATGACTTACATTTGAGATCCACAAAGCACCCTCACTATCCATCCTCCTTCAAACCAGCCCCCACCTCCCACCCACAGTGTGGTATTTTAACTCCCTAAACCAATAAGCTATTACAAAGAATTATTGCAGATGATAGCACTTCCAAGTAGAAAAGCTTGCATGCGGCTTGGGGGAAACCTTTAGTAATAGACAATTTCACCTTAATGGTGAAGACAACATTTTCCTCTTTTCATTCTGCACCATTGTTGTAAACAAGTATTTTCTTAATAAGTTCCTAAACTGATAGAAGCAAGACGCATGGTGAAGATACCAGCATTAAAAGGAGACGTTTGAGGGACCCCACCATGATGGACATGCTCTGAAGTTCAGTGCATGTATCATGACACATTTTGCATTAAAATCCAAGTTAGAATAGCAGGCTTTGTAGTTTTACTTTACCTTGAAGTTCTAAATTGATCATGGATTATTATGATTTCCTCAGCTGATTGCTGTATGTGGATTTAGTGCATCAAATATATCTGTAAAATTTTGTATACATAAAACTGATGAGCAATTTATCCGTAATACTTGATCACAGGAGCGACCTCTTGTGTTCAAAGCGGGGATTAGACCCTCTCCTCTCAAAAAAGGACTCGTTTTGACCTTTGTATATTGTTAGGTCAAAAATATATCCTTGAAAACGGCAATAGTGTGAATCTCTGGTTTGATTCCTTTACTGAGAAAATGAGGAGTATGAGTAGTTATTAAGTGTAGTCCCCATCACCTCCAGGCTGCCTCAATATATCTGACAGTGTCTTTCAATATAAAAGGGATACTGAAATTTAAGTTCCTCTGGAGTCTGTGGCATCTGCCCATGTGCCCTTGTATACACCTTCCAAAATGTGGCTGTTACACCCAACCTCCTGATGGGCTCTTAGACTTGTGTTTTTGTGTACTGTTGCTTTCTCTGCTTTAGTTACCATTTAAACATTCCACATCAAACTTAATGTCAGATACAGATTCCTGCACAAACATCATGCTCTCAAGCTACATTTCAAAAATCTAAATAGGTTTTAATTGCAATTGAAAGGTAAAATTACACATTTAGCATTTATTTATCTCCCAATAACCTCTGGCAGATATAAATGAATTTTAAGTTGTTTCTTTGGGAAATCACAAACAGTAAGACAGCTTATTCCTTCTCATCTAACCAAGACTGGGAAGGGAAGAGGGGCTTTGATCAGCTTTCCAATGGAGGTATAAATTTGAGAATTTA
Source organism: Homo sapiens (assembly GCF_000001405.40). Lineage (NCBI taxonomy): Eukaryota > Metazoa > Chordata > Mammalia > Primates > Hominidae > Homo > Homo sapiens. The sequence continues at coordinate 51,380,141 of NC_000005.10, read as the reverse complement.
TTCCCAGGGAGATGATGCTATATGTTTAGCTCACATCAGAATCAGGTTTGAAAGAGTAGAATAAGTTACACTGCCAGTTTTACTGAGTAAGGTATTCAGATGAAAAAATATGTATAACTGAAGGATTTATATTTTCTGATGTCCACATCATATAATTTGGGGGCCAAAATGAAACAGGAAGATTTTATTTACCTCTAAAAATGGATATTGAGTAGATGCGTATGTATCCCCTTTCCCGTTTTTATCTTTTCTGTGTAGTCTCTAATGATGTAGAATAAGGCTATATAAATCCTCAGTATCTTTAATCATGTCCAAGGGTCAGATAAAATTATGTGCGTTTAAAGGGAGTTACGATTAACCATTTATATTCCACCGCGAACGGGGTGTGGGTGTTTAGAACCAATTTGCGTCTCTTCCCGTTGGTGGTGGTGGCTTATTGAGGAACAATCAGGAGAATCTGTGCTCTAATTTCAGAGAAAAGGAAGAGATACCAGTGGGTATGAAATGATTCTCTTTTTCTTTCCTTTTACTTAAAAAAATACTAAGCAATGATAATAAAGGCAGTTGTTAACAACAACAAACCTTTAGTTGTGATTCTTATTCTGATGCCTAGGACTCCTGCTGCGATTGTGGTTTTGTTGAGTGTCAATTGCTTTATTAACCAGATAAAACAGTCTGGGTGAATTAGCAAGAATTTTCTCTGCACGCAGAGCTTCCTAGCCTTACTTTCTGAGTTCAGGTAGTTGTTTCTGACACCAGCTTTCCTGGTATTTCTTGGCAGACGACAGGCCAGAAGGCACCGTTCTTGTGCGGTCTGTTGCTCGGTTCTCAGCCGAGATAGAATTTCATGCTCCCGGCATCGGGGCAGCTGCGAAACCACAAACCTCAGTTCAGTCCTGAGCATGCGAAGGTCCGCAGTTGATTGCAGGGAGGCGTTCGGCCAAGCGAGGACGGAAATTTGTATTCTCCCTTTAAAATTGTGCTTCTGAAAGTATTTACTATGACTTATCAAAAGCGGCTGGCAGTGTCAAGTGAAACCTTTTTCTTGCTTCCCCCTGCCCCCTAGAACTCCTAAGTGACCAGGAACAGACGATTTTTAACCGAGTTCTGCTGCGTGGAGCCCAGGTTGGCGCTAGTGAGTGCAGTGTGCTGACCCAAGTGGTGGTGGCCCAAGGACGCGCTGACCCGTACATTTGGCAAAGCTTTCATTAAATGTATCAGATTCTCGCGGAAGTGGTTGCAGTCCGGAGAGTGAAACAGCTATCTCTCAAGTCCTGACCGGTTCAGCTGAAATCTACATTTGCACTGAATCTGGCAAAACACGGACGGGTCCGCCCGAGATCTCAGGAAACCCAGAGCAAGTTACCTCCATGTAGTTGATCATTCTTTCTGAAAGGACGGACACCATTTACCCCACTGCAATCCTGTCCAACGGGCAGCTCTGAGTTTAGCTTTAGCGCCAAAGGATTGATTTCCCCCACCCGCTGGAGATTTACTGGGGACGAGCGGGGGAGGGGAGGCGAAGGTACCTCGGAGGAGGTCAAGTGGGGGAGGAGGAGGAGCAGCAGAAAATTACCAGCCAAGCAGGGGAGGGAGTTGGAAGCCCGGAAATATACCAGGATGCCTCAAGTAACCTTCCTTTAAGTCTCAGAATTCAGCCCTCGGAAAACAGCCTCATAAGGTGTCCTGGGAAGGAGTCCTCGGGTGGGCTGCGGAGGTGATGTCAAGAGTTACAGCTACTTTATGAATTAAACTGACGGCTAAGGCATGTCGGGACAGTTTAGTGTAAGCTGAATGGTGCGTGGACGGGGCAACTTTTAAAGAGAGGTGGGCAATCATTGGTGGCATCTACCAGTATATTCTGCATGTAACAGTAGTTTGGAAGCTGAAGAAAAACCCCTCAAATCCCAGTAAATGCCCGGTCAGTTCGAGAGAGATTTTAGGGACAATTTTGAAGGTCGCTGTCTGCTCCAACTCCGCAGAGATGAACAAGAGTGTGAACTCTGGCGCGGGTGTGTTTAGAATTATCTACGACTTCAGATCCATGCTGTTGAAACTCATCAATTCTTTGTGACTTCACGTGGAGAGAAGAATTTGCCCTGCCTCCCTACCTGCTAAATGCCGACTGAGAAAAGGGGCCCAGGAGACGACCCCTTTCAGAAAGAACGTCACTTCATCAACTCGGCTGAGTTATTAACTTGCTCCCCGAAAGGTCAACAACGCCTTCTCTTCTCAGCCGCACCGCGCGGAGATCAATCGCTTTACCCTAGGTAGCCTCTTGTTCAGGGCTCAGGAACTCCTGTCTTAAGGTCCTTCTGGGGCTCAGAAGCTGTGTTGTGTATGTTCTTTCCAAGAATCCCACCTGTCTGCTTTCAAGCACACACGGCGCTAGAAATTTAGCCTAGCCTGAGTCCTGGGATGAGAGAAGAGCTAAACAAAGAGACCCCAACCGTCCCCTTGGCCCCCTGCCCCGCCGTTTTGCAGTTTGCCAACCTTCTAGCTAGACAGCCCCCTAAGTCTCCGTGTTGCGAGTGAAAGAGAATTTTTCTATTTCATCTTCCCATTGACCGAAGCAGAAAAATTGAACCGAATCTACGCCCCTTGTTCTGATTCCTGCTAGAGGAAAACAGAAAATCATCCCGCAGGTCTCTTTCAGTCCCTGGATGGCGAGCGCAGCCCCTGGGAGGCCACACTTAGTTCTTTATTGTGAATCTCTCGCTACTCAAGTTCGTTCGGGACCAGGGCCTCGGATGGCCTCGGTTGCCCGTAAGTACGCGAAAGAAGAGGTGAATCCAATCGCTGGCCTAGAGGATAGTGATCAGACAACCCGAGGATTACTAAACAAGGGGCGGCGGTGTCCCTGTCTCATGGGGTTGGCGTGGGGCGGGGGGTAGGCAGCAAGATCCTCCAGGCTCCTGGATGCAAAGAGTGAGAAAGAAAGCGCAGCCTCTGGCAGCCTGCTTATAAATGCAGCCTTTCGGAAGATGAAACTTGCAGTCTTAGGTTGTCCTCCTTTATATCCATGTTCCAATCCTCTGGGCTTTCCTCGAAATGAATAAAATTGTGGAAATGAATGAATGAGAATATCACTTTAATTGTTTCAAACTCATTGTCAAGTCACCTTTTCTGCCATCTGCCAGAGGTTCAATTTGCGCTTCGTGTCTACATTCCAGAAAATTGTAAGGACGTTTCCTCTGCATCTGTCTGCCTTGTTGGCAGCGTGCGGAAACGATAACTGCACAGTTATTGGTACAGAATATTTTCATGACTAGCTTAATTCTAAATATCACCCCAAAATACAGATACCTTACTTCTTAGTTGGCATTATTCAAGTTTATTCACTTTGTGCTGCAAATGTTTGAATTAGAAAACAGGAGAGAACTCCCGCAGCAGAGATGCACTTCTCTGCTCTCCTGTCAGTCACAGAACCCACACTGGGTGATTAGCCAGAGGGGCGGGCTCCTTTGTTGACTTAAGAGTTCACCAGGCAAGATGGAACAATTATCTTGTTGCCTCTTCTTAACTGTCTATTGTTGACTTACTTCTAGTATGCTTCCATTGTACAAAATTCTATCCAAAATTGAAGAATAAATCGTAAGTTAAAAAGGTAATAATGATAATAGGTCTACTTTAATTTTACCTGGCTTTGTTAATAGATAGTCTATACCTGACAGTCATATACATAAGAGATGTCGAAAGTATATAGCATATCATTTATGTATAATTATATATGTTATAATTATATGCTAATGATACCATCATTTAACGTTACAAGGTAATTCTATAGAAAACTTGAAGTTCTATTTTTGATATATATAACACCCTCTTTACAAGAAAATAATTGTCAGGCTTAAAAATGATATTCAAGGGTGCTTTTATCAAGAGAACAAAATCTGAAGCTTCATGAACTAAAATCCTATCAAGCAAGGTGGTCCATAACTAGGTTGCTTTGGGTTAATGATAACTTAAAATACTCTTGTTTTTGTAACTTTTTGTGCACAAAGTGCACATTTTACAGTTGTGCATGTCAATGTGTGTTTTACCACTTATTATTCTGAAACCTTCAGTCACATCATTTCAGCAGGAAATAAAACCTGAATAAGTCCTAGGCAATGTGTAAGGAATAAGTATGGTTTAACTTTTGTAGCTTAACAATATTGTGCTGATCTTTAAATGCAAATATTAATATATTGAAATTAATATAAGTAGATAATTTCATCACCTCCTAATTTATAAAAAATGGAAAAGCAAATATAACAAGCTGCTTTACTTTCTATAATGTCTATTTAAGGACCTATTACCAAAATATAGTAATAATAGGATTCATGTATGTGTAACACATATGTAGCTATCACTCTATTATTGGAGAGTTCAGTCTAGTTATAAACACACTGAACTATCATATGATGTGTGCCATTACTTGAATGTTGCTAAATTGATGCTATGCTATATTTTAAGACTCTCCCTCCTCTTTCCAGATACATGTACTAGCCCAGGAAGATCCCTGCATCTTGAACAGTAATGCTGAATCGGAAACTATGTCGTTACCCATAAGTAGAATCCTCCTGACTTTCACTTAAATATCAGGACCCAAATTATTTTATGTCTCACTTCAGAACATAGCACAATGTGCTATTTTATCTTCTTGGCCCAGTCTTTAGATTTATTCTATACTCTCCGTGTTACAAGCTGCACAAACCATTGGTGACAATGAGAACCACTCTATATAGTTTTACTGACTTTGGATTCTCATATAATGTATGAACAAATATAAGCCATATCTTTTAGGTCTTGACGATGTGTTTCTTCCAATTCTGAAGTGTTCGTATAGTTGTCCCTAATGTCACGTGATACGTCTCTTCGTTGTCCTATACCCGAGCCATAGCAGATCTGATGTGACTTTGGATATACCATGTGAGGGCAAGCATTTTCTTTTAGGCTAGGCCATCAATGAGGAAGAAACATGAGTAGAGCTCTTAAAGCAGAGGAAAATGTAAGTGGATGGAAAAAAATCACACTTTTGAATATAGTATTGGAGAAAGAATTGAGTGTGGGTGACTTTATTAGCTAGCAGAAGAAAGAGTGAAAATAGGTGCTTGGCTAAGATGAGAAAAGTATTCAATTTTGAAAACAGAAAGAGAAAGCTTATTTAGAAAAAGAAAACATGGAGTAAATGTCAAGAGGAACATAAAGAAATAGGGCGTGGTGACCCAGTTCATTCTGATAGAATAGGCGTTTAAGGGCAAAACCCAGATCCGAAATAGGTAGTGGATGGAACTAGGGAACAGTAGATTCATAATTATTTTAACTTGGCATTTAAAACTTTAAAATCTGAGTTGAGGGGTTTTTTTTAATGGTAGAAAAGCAGCTTATTTGGCAATAATTTTAAAAACTTCTGTCGCATCTTTAATCATACTAGACTGTTCACCTTTGTAAACTCCTCACTATCAGTAAACTGTCAGTACACTGTCAGTACAGAAAATACAAACTAAAAGTACTAGAAATATCACAATACGGATTTCTCTTTTTAATGTAACTAGGTTTATCTAACAATAAGATTCAGGATTCAGAAAAGAAAAAAGACCAGATCTGAGAAGGAATTTTAAAAAATGGTTTCAAAGTTTTCCAGAGTTTTGTTAGCCATTGCCCTTTCTGCAGACGTGGTTATATCAGAAAGTGTAATTCAAGTATTTGCACTGCTTACTTAAACCACAATAAAAAGGGAAAGATGTTGTGAAAACACTGCCTCATGCTCAAATTTATGCAAAACAACTTGAAAGGCTGCCAGCAACACTGTTGTTATGTTAGCAGTTCTGATCTGGCTTCACATTCTCCTAGAGGAGTTCTTCTGATGTGAGAAGAATGTAAACCCAAACCACAAGGGAGTATTCATTGTACCTATGCACTTGGGAAGAGTTTGGGTGCCCAAAATGTCAGAAAAATCAGATACAGTTGTTCTCTTAGAATCTATTCTGGAGGTCACAAGGTCAGAATGCCTGCACATGTGCATAAACCAACATGCCCATAAAAGCCTGATAGGAGGCAGCAGTGCCCCATAAAAGGTCACACCCAGCCAGAATCCAGCAACGTTGGAACAGCGTCTGTTATGGAGAAGAAATATGTGTCTGACAGCAGCAACAGCAGCAGCAGAGAAAGATGGATTGGGGATTAATCATGGTAAGATACTGAGCAAAAGAGACAACAAATTCTGCCAAGCATGAATCCTTCTCTACTCACAGGTTTCACAAAATACACTCTTCAAAGTACAAGCTGGTTGGCCAAGGTCAGGTTGATCTTTGCTAGGCTAAAGAAGCAGCTGCGGAGTGTTTCCCACGGCAGATGGAGAACACCTAAGGATTTTTTACTGTTAAAAAAATAATAATTTGTGTTTCAACAGTAGAAATACTCCTGATAACACACGTGATCAAAATTGCATTCCCCCTCAGTTCTCATGACATTCACTTTGGGGTAATACCATTTAAAAAATATTATTGGTAGCTGTTAGCCTGTGGCTTTCCAGGACCTTACTTTTAATGTATTTCCCTTGTCTTTCTAGATTTAACATATTGCCTCATTTCATAATCTCCCTTCATTGAGATCATTTGTATAAGCAAAACATGTTACATGACAGTCTTTGGAAGACTGAATAGGCGCCACTAAATTGTGCAGTTTAGAGGGCTCTAGGCAAGGCCACCCAGACTGAAATGGTAGCCCCTCTATATCTGTCAAAGCATCTCAAATAACTCTAAGAAAGATTTACTACTTTGACAATCATAAAGACTCTTTAGTTTTCAGGAGGTTTTGTTTAGTTTTGTTGGTTGGTTATTTAATGCCAAAGCTTTCTGTAATTGATTTTTCCTGCTTCTTTACCCATTTGTACCATTATGAAGATTTCTATAATAAGCATGCCAATAATAAGAAAAAAGAAGGAAAGAAGGAGTTGAAAAGGAAATAAAGATGATAAACCTAAAAATAAATGATACACAATGGAATACTATTCAGCAATTGAAAGAACAACTGATACATACTTTAACATGGGTGGGTGAGTCTCAATATGCTGAGTAAAAGAAGCCAGAACAAAAATGGACACTCTATAATTCTACTTATGTAAAACTCTAGGATATACAAACTAGTGTTTGACAAACTGATAGTGAAAGAAATCAGATGAGTGGTGACTGTGGGATGGAGTAGGCGAAGGGTAGATGGGAAAGGCAGAGATTAAAAAGGGACTAGAGGAAATTTTTGGAAGTGATAGACATATTCCTTAATTTATATTCCTTATTTTTATTGTGGTAGTTTAATGGGGGTATGCTGTGGCAAAGCTTACCAAATTATATATTTTAAATATGGGCAGTTCATTGTGTATCATTTATACCTCAATAAAGCTATTAAAAATAGAAAAGAAACTGCATTGTGTTGTCCTGTTCTTTGTTATTGTTATTAGTAGTAGTATTACATAATTTTTACAATAAAGGGGAAAGGGCAAATACGCAGCACTGTATTTATGAAATAAGGTACTTGAAGGGAGAAAAAAAGGAGTTTAGCTCAGCCTAATTGGTGTTTGGTCAGTGGGTACTGGGGAATACCAATCTGAATTTTCTATTGCCTAATACTACAATTTCAAGCACTTTCCCATCTTGTAATACTACTCTTCAGGATCCCAAGATAGGCTTCCCAGAAAACATCTCTATATTTTGCTTTCCCCAAAGTCAAATTAATTCTGTAATTCCTAGCACTCTGTATTATTTTTTTCAACACATCACTTTATAATTTGTTTACATATAGGGTTTGCCACCATCTTCCAAGACTCAAAAAAAAAAAAAAAGTTTTTGAGGAGAGAGTCCATATCTGGACCATTACTGTGAACTATTGTCTCTACAAATTTTCGGTGAATTATCAAATGGTCTCCCAGCCAGATAGCTGGGCTCCTGCTGCCTTTGGCTGAACTTCCTCAGACATCAACTGCTGGTTCACCCAAATGCTTGCCTGAACAAAGACACCATTTCCTGGGTACCCTGTTCTCTTGGCCCACGGGACCCTGGAGTCAGCCTGATCCATATCTGAGTTCTTCATACCCATTGGGCACTCCCTCTGAGACTTGGCTGCACCCCAAGTCTTTCCAGACAGGTTTGCCACCTTCTCTTTCTGGCCCTTGTGAATGAGGCTCCAGCATGTCCATATCCCACTCCTTTTTCCTCATAAACTTAATTTGCTATGAGCTGACTTCAATATCTGATTTTCAAGTAGTCATATCAGCTCTATGGTAAATCAATCAGCCACAGACAGACTTTTCTGTGAGGCAGAGGGAAGGAAGAAGGGAAATGATTTAACTGGGATGTGTTTAAATACAAGATTTATTTCTTTTCATGTTTTGGATTTGGGGTTTAAACATCACTGATCAGGGAAAAGATCAGTCAGTTTCTTTGTGGATCATATTTGTGAGTCTTTCCACAGGGCAGGACATGTACCCAGTGAGGGAGCAAATAGCTTCATTAAGGACAGGGATGGGTATGAAGCATTTAGGGTCAGAGGAGATGGAGCTAGATTAAGAGCATTAGTATTGACTAGAATTCTTTCTTTATACTCTGATCAGAGGCACACAGCTGACATGTCTTGTAATATATTTCTGTGTTTGCTAGAAGCATTCTGCTTTGAAAATTTTCTCTTATCAGAAACTTTTAAAACAAAAACTCACATTAAAAGATTGATGTGAGGAAAATTTTTCCTATTTTTTTTCCTCTCTGAGGAGGAGATTGCTATTTGTTTAAAAAAAAGTCCTTGTTCCCTTGACTTCATTCTTCCTTTCTAATATAATCCTGATATTTGTGTTTGTTTACCTATTGGCTATATTCCCAGCTAAAATACTCTGTTTTCTAGCCTCTCTTATAGCTAGAAGTGGCTGATAAGTAGAGGTTGCCATGTGAGTCTTCGGGGAAAACTACTTACAAGGGAGACAGACAACTGGCACAAACTTCTCTGACATTTTTTTCTTTCCCTTCTTCTTGACTAGAACCTGGGTATTGTGGCTGGAATTCCATCACCCTCTTTTCACTTTGGGGTGACACCGAGGATGGAAGTCAGATGCAATGGGTGTTGCCTGGATCACTGATTATTTTCAAGAACCATCATATTGTCTTTGGACTGTGGAGTTATATATTGCTGTATAACAAGTTACCTCAACTTTAGCAGCTTAAAACAACATCCATTTATTATTTCAGTTTCTTTGGGTCGGAAGTCTGAGCATGGCTTGACCAGTGCCTTTGCCCAAGGTCTAACAAGGATATCATCAAGGTGTTAACCAGGCAGCGTTCTCATCTGGAGGCTTGACTAGGCAAAGAATCAGCTTCTGAAATCACTTGGATTGTTGGAAGAATTCATTTTTTTTGCAGTTGTATGACTGAGGTCTCCATTTTGTTTTCTTGTTGGCTGTTGGTCAGAGACTACTTGTCAGCAACTAGTTTAGGACCTTGATCTCCATAGCTCATATCATGGCTATTAGCATCTTTAGGGCCAACAGTAGAATCTTTCTCTCTTCAGGAATTTCTCTCCTCTTTTAAGGGATTTCACCTGATGAAGTCCGTTAACCCAGGATAATCTCCCTTTTTGTTTACTCCAAATCAACTGATTTGGGACCTTAATTACATCTGCAAAGTCCTTTCACTTTTGCCATATAATGTAACCTAATCATGAGAGTGACATCCTATCATATTCACAGGTCCTGTCCACACTCAAATGACATATGTATAACAGGAAGTGAGACTGCTGGAGGCCATCTTAGAATTCTGCCTATCACAACTCTTTACCTGTGGGCTTCCTGCACATTAAGATGATAAGCCCTTCATTTCTTTCACCAGAGTAGACAGGCACATCTCTAATACTTGCAACGAAACAATTCCTGTTACAAGCTCTGGAAATGTCAGGAAAATAATAAAGTATACTTAATTATTTCCCTTAATTTTACAAATTATGTCTTTTATTCTGGGAATGCAAAGGAATAATTGAGTAAAAAGAAATTGATTTCAGGCTGGGTGCAGTGGCTCACGCCTGTAATCCCAGCACTTTGGCAGGCTGAGGCGGGCGGATCATTTGAGGTCAGGAGTTTGAGACTAGCCTGGCCAACATAGTGAAACCCATCTGTACTAAAAATAAAAAATTAGCCGGGGCATGATGGTGGGTGCCTGTGGTCCCAGCTACTTGAGAAGCTGAGGCAGGAGAATCACTTCAACCGGGGAGGCGGAGGCTGCAGTGAGCCGAGATCTCGCCACTGCACTCCAGCCTGGGCAACAGAGTGAGACTCTGTCTAAAAAAAAAAAAAGAAGTTGAGGCCAGGTGTAGTGGCTCACACCTGTAATCCCAGCGCTTTGGGAGGATGAGGTGGGAGGATTGCTTGAGCCCAGGAATTTGAGACCAACCAGGGCAACATAGTGAGACTCTCTGTATCTAACAAAATAATAATAATTTTAAAAAGTTAGCAGGGCGTAGTGGCACATTCCTGTAGTCCCAGCTACTTGAGAGGCTGAAGTGGGAGGATCACTTGAGACTGGGAGGTTGAGTCTGCAGTGAGCTATGGTTGCACCACTGCACTCCAGCCTGGGTAACAGAGTGAGACCCTGTCTCGAAAAATAAAATTTCAAAAAGTAGAGTGAAAAGTGAAGGCTCTCCTTCAAATATACCAATATGTCTTTACTCCCTAAGGGTAGGCACTGTTAGCAGCCACTTTTTGATTATCCTAGCCCCAAAAGGACAAAAAGTGTGGATTTACAATACAAATAGGTATGTATTATATATAATAACATACATAATTGTATATTCATAAACCTATACACATCTCTATGTACTATAAATCAAATCATACAATACATAATATTCTGGAAAAGTTTTGTTAATGACCCCCAGCCAAATATCACCAGGAATTCACCTGCACTTGAACAAGCTGGGTTCCTTGTTCATTGCCACAAGGGAGACTACACATCATGGGGTATTGTGGAGTGTCTTAGTAAGAGGGTATTAGGATTTAGAGAATTTGCGCTTTGTTTGGGTGATCTGGGGAGAGTTCAAGGAAATGGGGGTTTGCTCACTTTGGATTGGATGCTATCAGGAAATGGAGATAATTCTATTATTGAGCACCTTAATAAATCTTTTCCAGAAGGAGGAAAGACTAGAAGGAAAGTAAAGCTGTAACTGGTAAAGCAGAAGCAATCACTTAAATTAGCCAGGAGAGCGAGATGTTTGGTATTTCTGTGGTTGCTACAGTGACCTTGTTTTTGTCTTGTGCTTAGACAAAATTATGAATGGTCTCACTTTTTGTATCACTTCTTCACAGTCACAGAGTTACCTCGTCTCATGCTGATATTCCCTGAGAATGTTTTGGTCCAAGAGGAGAACATCAAGCCCTGGCTATGAGAGCCAGGCCAAATTCTGACAATGCTGAGACCCAGCTGTTACGTGTCAGACCAGTTCCCATATGTCAGGGGCTGCTTTTATTTTCATCCCAAAGAACATCTCTGATGAGAAAAAAAAGATGCAAATTAGATAATATATTGTATTGCATTGGGGATAGAAGAATTATAAATTGTCCATTACACATATAATTCATATTATGTAGGGTCATGCTGTGGTTGATAATTCCAGACTTTATTAGGTACATTTCAATGTCGTGCAAAAAATGGCCTTTGTTGGTGGGAGCTATATATATTCTCCTATCAACATAGGACATGTGTTTTATATATGTGAAAATGTATACACATACATATATGAAATGCATGTTTTCTATGTATTTTATATAACTATACTTTTAAAGAGAAAGCATAACTATGTCTAGAAAATGTATATAACATACATAATATATATACTTTTTAAAGAGAAAGCATCAGCTCTCACATTCTGAGTCAGTATCAAGTTAGAGTTTGTAGGATTTATCTTGATTAGTCTTTGTTTCAAAATTGTATAAAATAAACAACTAGCTGCTGCTGCTAATATCAACATTTTCTAAAAATATGTTGAGTATGTTGTGTTCTTCTAAATATTTATCTTTTAAAAATAATCTCAATAAGCTATGCTTTGGGAATTTTTTTGGGTGGGCAAATAAATACTTCCAACAGAAACAAAATGAAGAACAGTTCTGCTCTCCTCTAGCATTTACAGAGAGATTCTCTTCTTATCTAGTATTCTAAACGTTCTTGGTCCAAAATACATTGTCTATAATGATTTTCTCTCTAAAGCTGGAGCAAGAGACACTCCACTCCAGCAGCTAGCCTTTTTTTCTCATCTGTTGGAGAAAGAGGCCCCTTCCAAGCTTATTCTGAAGTTCCCACTGGAAAATGTATGTATCTCACATTTCTAGTCTTTCAAGCAAGTGTTATAAATCTTATCTACAAAGTAATTGGAGTTATCTGAAAGGGAATATGGGCTGCTTGTCTACATTAGTTAAGATAACTTGTAATTTCTTGGGAAGAAAATGCAGAAAATGAAAGTTATCTCTGTATGGAATTCCAGTATTCAAAGGATGAAATCTCTCACAAAATTTTCCATGTAATATGGTTCAAAAAGGTGTAATGTAGGCATGCTACTGCACCTTCTTTCGCCTCTGTAACTCCTGGAAAGATGCCACAGAACATGCAGTTTACATCTAGTCCTTGCTTGACATTAGTAAGAAATTACTGTTGATCAGCTTAGCAGACAATAGGGGACCAAATTCACCATTCCGTCTTCTGGTCTTTGTTCTTGACAGGTGTTCTATCCGCTTGCCTTCCACAGTCTGTAAACTGGAATACTGCTTCATGTCCAGTTCACATGGCAAATTGAAAGGAAAAGAATGACTCTTGAGAAGGCGGAATGATGAAGCAAGTTGATTTTTAGCATCCTCCACTTCTTAACCTGTCCTCTATTGCTCAGTCAGGTACTGTGGCCAGGATGCCTGAGGACCCTGCTGAGGCATCTTATCAGTCTCTAAACTCTATGGGGAGAATTTGGATGCCCATGCTGGTTCCAACAAAGCTCAAGGGCCCGAAAAATGGGTGGGTGGGGGAGTGGACAAGTTCTCCCAGCCCTGATTTGTCTATTTAAGGCTTGTTCCCAATACCTATCAGGCTGTTGAAGTGCATTTATTACTCTCAGGTAATGTCTCTGGTGGGTTGAGGCAGCCCCATATCATTTAGAGTTTGGTTGGTTTTCCAGCACCAAACCAGAAAAAGCATTTTGCAGGTAATTGCTTCATAAAGAAGCAATAAAGAAGCAGATTTCATAAAAGCAGAAATGGAAAGTCTACTCCTAAAGAAGGTTAAAGTGTAAGTCTTAGTTGCAATACAGATGAGACATAAACAAAGCAAATTTTCTTTTTCTACTACTGCAATAAGTTCTTCTACCATTAAATATTACATTTTAATACACATGGTTGATCTGAAAAAATAAGATAATTGATGTGAAAATAATTTGTAAATATAAAACAGATTAGTTCTATAAGCAGTATAGTTACAATAGTAGTGATAACATTATTACTATTATTTTACTCTTGTTACTATTACTGGTGGTAGTGATAGTCAATTCCTGTTCAAATGTCAGAAGACTTAAGACTGGGAAATACACTAGGGGTTTAATTGTTAATGACTTGCTGATGATTTATTCTAGCTCCACAGAAATATATAGATTTATTATTTTCTCAGTGATCCTAGGAAAATAATATATTATATCATATTATATAATATGCAAATAAATACTAATGTAAGCACATATTCACTAATGTACGTATATAAGTATCAGCCATGGTGTAATGCATAATATTATATTACAAAATTATAATGTAGACTCCACACACATTATAATAAAATACACATCAAGTTAAAATGGAGTTAAACCTCATATCAAAGACATCAATTATCATATATTTTAATTAGAAACCTATCTTTAGTTTCTTTGCTAAGCACAAATTATTTATTATAATATTGTGTAAAAATGTTAAATTGACCTTAGAAAGGCAAGCACTCATGCTTACTTGTACACTTCAGGCACGTTATATGATATTTTACTAACGAGTACCACCAGTACGTTTAAGGAAAGCAGCTCAGGGTAGTTTAAACAAATGATTAGTGTAGACAATATGGGCATAAATCTTTTCTGCTCTTCATATGCCTGTAGAGATAGGAACCTATTTTATAGGTAAATGCAAGTTCTAAAATTATAATCTTAATGTGCATATTTAATTGGCTTTGTATGTCACAATACTTTGACTCGAGGCATTTTAAAAATATGCCTTATCTAGAGTAAAGCCTGTTCTTGTACCTTCATTTCAGTGAGAATGTAGAACTGACTCTATTGTGTCTCTATATGTAAGACTCTTTGTAGCATTTCCAGGAACAATAATGTGTATTCAGTCATCTACAAATCGTGTTATCTTTTGTGATATTCGTTCATGAATAAGGTAGGAAGAGGCGAGCGGAGTTCCGAGTTGAGGTAGAAGCTATAGCAAAATGGTAACCTAAGACAATTTTAATTCATGTGTAAAATCTCCCCAGCCCACTTTGGCTGTATTTTCCAGAATCTTTCACCATATGCCTTAGAGCAGAAGTTAACCTCTAGGGTTTGGTACTGGGGAGATGGAGAGATAACTCCATGATTTGTATGAAATACCGTTATTCAACCAATTTGAGGGACTGGTGAAGAGTTTTAAGAATTATGATTTATTATTACTTTACCTAACTTACCTAATTGAACGAAGTGTAAATGTTTGTCATTTAAATACATAAAATAGATTTCCTTCTATTGGCAACTTTGACCCAGTTCTTACAGGGCATAATTTGGTTGGTCTGTCTATATATAATTTCAAAAGAGCCGGATGTAAAGTGACAGTCATTTTTGGTATTTATTTTCATATGAGAGAAAAATCTCTAGAAAATAGACATTTCATTTTAAGAGACACGGTCTCATTCTGTCATCCAGGCTGGAGTGCAGTGGTGCAATCATAACTCACTTCAGCTTTGAACTCCTGAGCTTGAGCAATCCTCCCACCTCAGCCTCCTGAGTAGCTAGGATTACAGGTGAACGCCACCATGCCTAGCTAATTTTAAAAAACTTTTTTTGTAGAGACAGGGTCTCACTATGTTGCTCAGGCTGGTCTCTAACATTCCTAGCCTCAAGCAATCCTCTCACCTTGGCCTCCCAAAATAATGGCATTATAGGAATGAGCAACCATGCCCAGCTGACTAAATATTTTTGATCAATCTAGATAGTTGCATTTTATTGATATAGCTTTTAAAAGCAACTATAGTAATAGTTTTGATAGACTGCACACAAAATAAATGTGCAACTGATGGGCACATACATTTTAAAAATTATATTATTTACCTGGCTGACTAAATATTTTTGATCAATCCAGATAGTTGGCATTGAATTGATATAGTTTTTAAAAGCAACTATAGTAATAGTTTTGATAGACTGCACACAAAATAAATGTGCAACTGATAGGCACATACATTTAAAAAATCATATTCTATTTACCTTCCTGTAATGATCCATTTATCTGACCTTCATATTGCAGTAAATTGTATAACTTCATAAGTGTCTCTATTCTTCTTTATACCTTTGCTAATTAATAAAAAAAGTACCTAAAACACATTTTTTTGTTCTTTGAAAGCATTTTTGTAACTCTTTTATAAGTGTTACTTTTATATGTAAATATGAGCAATCATAATTTTTTTAAATGGTAAGATTCAATTTTTCTGAAGTGGGGGCAGCTATGGTTTATTATTTTATTTTATTTTATTTTTATTTTTTGAGACAGGGTCTTGTTCTGTCACCCAGGCTGGAGTGCAATGGCACAATCTTGGCTCACTGCAACCTCCACATCCTGGGCTCAAATGATCCTCCTGCCTCAGCCTCCCAAGCAGCTGGGACTACAGGCATGTGCCACCATGCCGGGCTAATTTTTGTATTTTTTGTAGAGACAGAGTTTTTCCGTGTTCCCCAGGCTGGTCTCAAACTCCTGGACTCAAGGGATCCGCCCACCTTGGCCTCCCAAAGTGCTGAGATTACAGGCGTGAGACACCTCACCCAGCCAAAGGGCAGCTATGTTATAACTCACTTTGAAAGATGAAAAAATTAAAAATTGAATTACTGATGAACCATTATGCTGTCTTAAACTTCCTTAAGCTTGGTATTCTTTCAGAGTACCTTAGGGGAATTTTAAGACTCAACTCATTGAGTTTTAAATGAATAGTTATGAAAAATATATTTTATGTTGAATCAGTGGACTGGCATCAAAGACACAACACACTCCAAAGGTTTAATTAGACAACTATTAATGAAGGGATTATGTTTGGAAATGTGGGCAAGGTTAAGGGATCCAGCAGGGCTAGGGAAGCATATGAGACTAGCAACGGTGGGGAGTTCTGAGTCCTGGCCTAGGATCCTGAAAGCTGGGGAAAAGAGGATGATGTTATGAGTGGTGGCTGTAGGGAAAAAATATCACTACCAAAACTGCAGTGATCTAAAGGTCACAAAAGGATAAATACCGTGGACTCTTTCTTACGGCCTTCCCATTGCCTGCCAGTACCTTCTATTCATTGATCTCAGGTAGAAGCCAGAGGTCAGCCTCCTGTGGCACAGACCAAGTCGGAGTAGGATGGAAGTGGATCTGCTAAATCAGAGGAAAACAATTAGTGTCAGTTTTTTATGTTTGTGGTAACAAATTATCACAAGTTTAGAGGCTAATATCAACACAAGTTTATTATCATACAGTTCTGGAGATCAGAAGTCCTGCATTCAAGAGGTTGGCAGGAGGCTGGGCGCAGTGGTTCATGCCTGTAATCCCAGCACTTTGGGAGGCCAAGGCAGGCGGATCACATGAGGTAAGGAATTTGATACCAGCCTGGTCAAGATGGTAAAACCACATCTCTATTAAAAATACAAAAATTAGCTGGGTGTGGTGGCTCACACCTGTAATCCCAGCTACTCAAGAGGCTGAGGCAGGAGAATCGCTTAAACTCAGAGGCAGAGGTTGCAGTGAGTGGAGATCACACCACTGCACTCCAGCCTGGGTGACAGAGGAGCCTCCATCTAAAAAAAAAAAAGAAAAGAAAAAGAAAAAAAGAGATTGGCAGGGATGCCTTCCTTATGGAAGCTTAGGGGAGAATTGATTTATTTGTCTTTTCCAGATTCTAGAGGCTACATATTTTGCTTCATTTTTGACTCCTTCCTCCAATCACTTCAACCTCTGCTTCCATTGTCACATCCTCTTTCACTCTGACTTTCCTGCTTCCTCTCATAAGGACCCTTGTGATTCGTTGGGCCCACCTGGGTAATCTCTTCATTTTAAGATTCTTAACTTAATCCCATACATTGCAAAGCATGGTAATATATTCACAGGTTCTGAGGATTGGCAGGTGAATATCTTTAGGAAGGGAGTTTTCTGTGTACAGACCACAGATCCCAACTAGCTATAACTATGAAAGAAGTTGATGTCTCTGCTATAGGGAGAGTAAAACTAAAGACTGTGTACACATTTTACAGTGAAGAAGGAATTGCTTTTTATAATTTGTAAAGTATTTTCTTTTTTGAAGGATGCAAAAATTATTGAACTAGTGTTCCATTGAATTTTAACTGTTGTATATATTTAGTCCTTTATGTTTGAATGCTTTCTAAAGTAGCCACTTTCCAAGTTAGCCTCTCCACATCTCATGACAAGAATACTTTGAGATTTTTCATAAACAGACTTGGAAAAATAATAACAGCTAGGTTTTATTGAATTATTATGATTTTCTAGCCACTTTCACATGCCATTTCTACAATATCCATAATACTATTAGCAATAATTTATTTTATTTATTACTATTATTATTATTATTTAGAGACAAAGTCTTGCTCTGTCATCCATGCTGGAGTGTAGTGACGCAATCATAGCTCACTGCAACCTCAAACTCCTGGGCTGAGGTAATCTTGCCACCTCAGCCTCCAGAGTACCTGGAACTACAAGTTCACACCACTGTGCTTGATTATTATTATTTTTTATTTTTTTGTAGAGATGGCAGGGGGGTCTCACTATGTTGTGCAGGCTGGTTTCGAACCCCTGGCCTCAAGCCTTCTGTCTTGGCCTCCCAAAGCACTGGGATTACAGGAATGAGCCACCATGCCTGGCCAGCAGTATTTTAAAGATGATGAGGCAGAAGCATAAGTTAAGTAATATACTTCAGGTAGTGTAACTAATGTGTAATGCGTGGATATGTTATCATTTTCTATTTGTTTTCCCTAGATCAACTTTCCGCCCTTCTCTGCCCTCCTGTGAGAGGCTGAACTATTCACACTGCCTCAACCACATTCTCTTTTCCCCTGGCTTCTGGTTGGCTTTAGCCAATGGGACATATTAACAGGGTCTTAATGGTGAAAGAAGAAAGAAAAGGAAAGATTTTCCCCTATCCTACTGCCACTTCCTGTTCCTTTCCTGCCTTGCTAGGGAGGGTCTTTTCCCCTGTACAACCATAGCTCTTACTGGTGCCCATTCCACTTCCATACCACATTCTGGTAACACTGTTTCTTGAGTTCTTGGCGGGTCATAATGGCTGCTTCCCTTTTTTTTTTTTGAGACGGAGTTTTGCTCTTGTCACCCAGGCTAGAGTGCAATGGCGTGATATCAGCTTACTGCAACCTCCACCTCCCGGCTTCAAGCAGTTCTCTTGCCTCAGCCTCCCAAGTAGCTGGGATTACAGGCATCTGCCACATGCCCGGCTAATTTCTGTGTTTTTGATAGAGACAGGGTTTTGCCATGTTGGCCAGGCTGCCCTGACCTCAGGTGATCTGCCTGCCTCGACCTCCCAAAGTGCTGGGATTACAGGCGTGAGCCACTGCACCTGGCCAATGGCTTCCCATTTTTGCTAGCCCCTTGTTTTTTCACCATCTCTTGTTTTTCTCAATCTTCCCAACACCTCTGCAAACAATTCCTTCCTTAAATTATTTCCAGTTTATCTACTCTGAACATGCCATCTTTTTTTTCTCCCTTTGGAAGTTAGTTGCAATTTGATTACAAGGATAATTGACTTTAGAACCTGAGCCCTTAATCACTTCAATATATTGACTTGAACAAAAACATATCCCCCAAGTAAATGAATTTCTAAATTGAAATAAATTAGTTGCATGCAGTCAATTGCTTATATACTTGATTTTAGTTATTAAGTTTTTCAAAACAATGACTAACTGAATTAAGCCAGTTTTACAATTTTCACTATGTGAACATAGCATACTATATGTTGTGTATAATGGGTATATTAGTTAATAAACCTATCTGTAAATGTAAGGCCAGCTCACCCTTGTTATTATTTTGCCATCAGTGAGCATTGTTTATAGCATCTTATCTATCATTCTCTGATTTCATCCTTTGCAGTGAGTTTGGGTTTGATTCATTAACATTGGAATCTCATGAAGTTGTCCCTCAGAGAAAGGGACTCTACCCCATCACAATATACAGTATACTTCTGTTCTTTTACAGGTTTCTTACCACTTTCTAAGTGGTGCTGATGTCTGTTTCCTTGACAATGAGGTAGGGTGAGCACTGAAATGATACAGAGTACATGTCAGGTGTATTCGCAAAGTGAGTTGTAGTTGTTCAGAAGAAATATATCAGAGCAACCTTGTCTTCTCTTGTGAGCAAAGATGCTAATGAAGGAACTTCACATTGCAGGTGGTTTCTATGGAACCAAGAGCCAGATACACATGACAGACACTCAACACTGGCCTATTACATTTTTACATTTGTTTACTACTACTGTTCATTTCTTTTCCCCCAGTTATTTCTTAAGTACACAGCCTGACCAACTAGTTTACTACTTGGAAGCTAAGCAAACACTTGATCTATTCCTTTTTGATTGTGGGACACAATTAAGGTATAGCCTGAACATCTTCAGCAGTCTTTGTATCTAAAACACGTAGTTCAAAAATATTATAACAGTATAATTATTCTGCGATATAACAGCAGATCAATCAGAAGCCTTCCTTAGCAAGTCTAAATTACGATGTCTGTATTGATAAACCTCTGATGTAATAAGATCCCAAAACTACTTATGAATCATAAAAAAGCTATTAGATTGTTTTCATAGTCATTGGATATTAAATGTATATTGATGTGTTCTAATTATTTGAAAGTTGTTAATTCAAACGTGGTGAGTATGGAATATCTATTAAGGAGAATATGATTAGCTAACGCATTCCTTTTCCTGATCATGACAGATAGAGAGTTTACTCTATTTGGGTAATGATCCTCCTGAAACTGAAACATCTGGGATGCTTTGGTTAAAAATTAAATGATATGAATGATGTAATCTTTGGCTACAATTATGGTATATGTGTATTAAA